>NC_000017.11:51935980-52560980 GCF_000001405.40 Homo sapiens | reverse complement strand
TTTAACACTCAGGAATAGAAATAAAAAAACTGAAATTTCTTCCAGTTGACTTATCTTGAGTCAGACATCAGTTTCCCCAAAACTGATCTTGAATCAAGGATTTCGGTGCAAAAGATCTGTAAAGAAAACATACCTACAAGAAAACAATATGGGGGTAAAGCAGGCAGGCCACATAAAGGGAAAGTTGCTAAACAAGTTTTCAATTACAGAGGAAGTCTCAAACTTAGTCTGTTCCTTCAGGGAAGCTTTGTCCAATAGAACTTTGAGTGATGATGGAAATGTTCTATATCTGTACTGTTCAATATGCTAACCACAAGCCATATGTGGCTAATGAACACTTGAAATGTGGCTAATGCAATTGACCATCACAATATTTAATTTTATTTAATTTTAATTGATTTAAATTTTAGTAGCCACAAGTACTGGACTGATCAGCTCTAGAGCATATATTCCACCTTACAGTTTATTATCTTACCTCAAGCAAAGAAGCTGGATTTTGTGTTCCCATACTAGCCAGTCATTGGCTATTGCCCCGCCCAACATAAGGCACCATGTCACTTCCAGCTGTATCATTGGCAAGTGGTTTAAGTGTCCAAGGGAAATCTTCAGATTGAAGCAATTAGCCACAAAAAATGCAGAAGCTGGAGGATGGGCACACAAGATTGAGAAACTGGATGCAATGTGGTCTGAAGGATACATCCAGTGGTACCAGTGGAAGGAGGTACCACTGGATGCAATGTTGTCTGAAGGAGGTATCAATGTGGTCTGAAGAAGGTACCAGCAGCATTACGAGGTATAAAATCTGCTATACCTCATAATCACTAAAATTCTTCCTCTCAGCCAATCTTTGACCACAGGGAGTTGATGGCTGAAGCTGTAGTTCTCCCAAATGACTCAGCTTTGGGCCAGTGCTTCTTTGGCCAACCTCCTGGCTGCACCAGTATAGACCTAGTTCTTCTCATACCACCTGAAGCTCTCACTAAGGCAGAGAAGAGTGGTAAATCATCCCCACCGTGATAGCAAGTTATAAGGCATCTTAGATTGTTCATGCTATTTCAATTTTGTAATAAACCCTGCTGCTCAATTACTTGCATTTGATTTTCTTTATAGTCTCTCTCTCAACACACACACACACACACACACACACACACACACACACACATTTGTCTCCACTTAGGAAGACTAAAAAGATGCTTTGAAATTGAGTCCATTGATGTACAAGGGAGAATATTAAATGTTTAGTCTGGTTATACTCTATTCCATTGACAAGTGACCAGTATCTCAGGAAAGTGCCAAAGAACATCATTGCTCTGCTGATTAAAGTCAGTCTCTTGCCTAACTGGGACTTATTTTGAAAAGTAATGGGGCCTTCTACAACACAGATCAGATAATTTTAATTCCAGAGATTTGGGACATAACTATCAGTTCCAAAGTTTATACTGTGTGCTAGAGGTGGGTATATAGTTTGTAAACCCCACTGGGGACCACTCTAAATGATATTATTTCTTGGAAACAAAACCTAACTAGGCTGATCATTAAACTCAAAACATGGATCAAAATGGGAGTTGTTTTTTTCCAATAATTTTAGAAAGAAAAAAGAGACATATTTGTATTTTTAACAAAATTTATAACCATACTAGTTTTGATTGACACAAGCAAAGAATTTTGCGGTTTTTTTTAAAGGCTAAAAACATTTAGAAGTTAAATTATTAAGCTAATTGAAATGTGGCTCATTGGTTTTCCAAAGTAATCATCATTTTGTTGTTAATGAATGTAGCTATCTGTAACTTATGACCAATGTGCCTCCCACCAGGCCCACAGATGATAGGCAAACATGTTGATTTTTTTAAAACAGTAAATATTCTAGGTGCTTGTGCCTAAATTATCCCACTGACTGATAGTCTCCACATCTTGTCTCAAATAGTAGCATTAATGAAGAGGAAATGAAAGGAAAAAGTTAAGTCCAAATTGGAAGAAATACAAAATCTCTAAGGGCTTTGTGTTGTCGTCATTCCCACAGCCTCACCAAACTTTCTAACAAAGACTGTAAAATAATGCTCTTTTTAATCATCTGGTCTTTAGTCTTCTCCTCTGGAAAAGTGAGAATGGGAGTGTGATTTTTCCTTCTGGTAACTTTCCATGTTGCTTTGTAATGTAGCAGAAATTACACTGGGCTGGGAGTTAGAAGATCTAAATTACAGTCCTGACTCAATCCCATACCAGGTGTGTTCCTTAAGTAAGAACCCGGGTATTTTATATCTCATTCTGTTGTTCTTTCTGTTTCATCACTGTACATATGACAAAAAGGGGCAAGGGTAGAGAGGTTCTGGCAAATAAGTGTATACAGCTCTCTCATCTTCTCTGAATTTGTGATTAGGCACACCTAGCTTCCCTACTCAGCTCTTTTTTGTATTAACTATATAAATTAGTTCCTCTTTGTCCAAGACAAAAATCTAAATGCAAGAAAGGGCATTTATTGGTTCATGTAATTATACAGCCTAGAAATTATAAAGCCTAGTTCTGATTTTGGACACACCTGGATTTGGGGGCTCAAATATTCTCATCAAGACCTGGTATCTTGCCCCTCCTGGAATCTACCTTCCATTGTTTTGAGATCTATTCTTAGACTGTCTATGGAAGGGCCTGGTTCTGAAAGCCTTATAAATACATGTCTAGTAGAAAATACAGATTCTAATTCTGGTAGCTTCTATGCTATTCCTAAGAATGTCTCACTATAGGCCATATGACTGAACCTGAACTAATCATCATTCTGAGCAGAATGCAGTCCTTTGGTTGGGCCTAATTACAGGCTCCATTGCTAAAAGATGCAGGACTAATCAATATAGGCCAGTAAGAAAAGACTAATACTGCAGAATACTTATGAAATTAGGCAAGTTCCCTCATATGAAAAAGGAATATAATCATATCCCTCTCTAGGACATTATGGGAATGAACCAAAATCATAAATGTGAAGACCCAGATATTCTGCTTAGAACACTGGGAAAAATCACAATAATTGTTAGTTGTCCATATTTACAAATCAATCCTAGGTCTTTAGGATAGCTTCTCAAAATACTCATGACTTTCTCAGATTTGTAGGGTTCACCTAACCAAAACAAAAGTAATAGTAATTCTAAGTGTGTATAGAAAATACAATAATACAATAAGTATTATCTACATACCTAGACAGCCAAAGCAGTTTCCCTTGACTCATATTAGTTTTCAGTGGTTGCCTTATAAACTATTGCAAATGTAATGGTTTAAAATAGCATACATTTATCTCACAATTTGTGTGATTCAAGAGTCTAGGCATGGCTTAGATGTTTCCTCTGCTTAGGGACTCATAAGGAGAATCAGAGTCATTCAATCCCTGTTTTCATCTGGTTGCTTGTATTAGTCCATTCTCATGCTGATAGGTAATTCATAAAGCAAAGAGGTTTAGTTGACTCACAGTTCTGCATGACTAGAGAAGCCTCAGGAAACTTATAATCATGGTGCTAGGAGAAGCAAACATGTCCTTCTTCACATGATGGCAGGAAAGAGAAGAATGAGACTTGAGCAAAGGGAAAAGCTCCTTATAAAATAATCAGATCTTGTGAGAACTCACTCACTATCACAAAAACAGCCTGGAGGTAACCGCCCCCACAATTCATTTACTTCCCACCTGGTCCCTCCCATGACATGTGGGGATTATGGGAACTACAACTCAAGATGAGATGGGTGGGGACACAGCAAACCATATCATTCCACACCTGGACCCTCCCAAAACTTATGTCCTCACATTTCAAAACACAATCATGCCTTCCCAATAGTCCCCCAAATTCTTAATATATTCCAACATTAACCAAAATTCCCAGTCCAAAGTCTCATCTGAGACAAGGTAAGTGCCCTCCCCATGTTAGCCTGTAAAATCAAAAGCAAGTTAGTTACTTCCTAGATACAATGGGGTTACAGGCATTAGGTAAATACAGCCATTCCATATGAGAGAAATTGGCCAAAACAAAGGGCTACAGGCTTCTTGCAAGTCCAAAATCCAATAGGGCAGTTATTAAAACTTAAAGTTCCAAAATGATCTCATTTGACTTCATGTCTCAAATCCAGGGCATGCTGATACAAGGTGGGCTCCCACAACGTTGGGCAACTCTGCCTTTGTGGCTTTGCAGGGTACAGCCCCTCTCCTGGCTGCTTTCACAGGCTGGTGTTGAGTGTCTGCAGCTTTTCCAGGTGTATGATATAAGCTGTTGGTGGATCTACCATTCTAGAGGGTCTGGAGGATGGTAACCCTCTTCTCATAGCTCCACTAAGCAGTGCCCCAGTGGGGACTTTGTATGGGGGCTCCCACCCCACATTTCCCTTCTGCACTGCCCTAGCAGAGGTTCTCTATGAGGTCTCTGCCCCTGCAGCAAACTTTTGCCTAGACATCCAGGCATTTTCATACTTCCTCTGAAATCTAGATGGAAGCTTCCAGACCTCAATTCTTAACTCCTGCACACCTAGAGGACCAACACCATGTGGTAGCTGCAAAGGCTTTGGGCTTGCATCTTCTGAAGCAATGGTCCAAGCTCTACCTTGGCCCCTTTTAAGCCACAGCTGGAGCTGAAGCAGCTGGGATGAAGGGCACCATGTCTCCAGCCTGCACAAAGAAGGGGAACCCAGGGTCTGCCCCATTTTTTCCCTCCTAGGCTTCAGGGCCTGTGATGGGTGGGGCTGCTATGAGGATCTCTGATATGCCCTGGAGACATTTTTCCCATTGTCTTGTATTAACATTTGGCTCCTCATTACTTATGCAAACTTCTTCAGCAGGCTTGAATTTCTTCTCAGAAAATGGGTTTTTCTTTTCTATCACATTGTCAGGCTGCAAATTTTCTGAACTTTTATGCTCTGCTTCCCTTTTAAACATAAGTTCCAATTCCAAACTGTGTCTTTGTGAATAAATAAAACTGAATGATTTTAACAGCACCCTAGTCACCTCTTGAAAGCTTTGCTGCTTAGAAATTTTTTTCACCAGATACCCTAAATTATCTCTCTCAAGTTCAAAGTTCCACAGATGTCTAGGGCAGGGGCAAAATGCTGCCAGCCTCTTTGCTAAAACATAGCAAGAATCACCTTTTCTCCAGTTCCCAAAAAGATCCTTATCTCCATCTGAGACCACCTCAGCCTGGACTTCATTGTCCATATCACTATCAGAATTTTGGTCAAAGCCATTCAACAAGTCTATAGGAAGTTCCAAGTTTTCCCACATCTGCCTGTCTTCTGAGCCCTCCAAATCTCTCGGAAGTTCCCACATTTTCTGGTTTTCTTGTGAGCCCTATAAACTGTTCCAACATCTGTCTATGACCCAGTTCCAAAGTTGCTTCCACATTTTCATGTATCCTTATAGAGGCACCCCACTCTCTGTGGTACCAATTTACTGTATGTTTGTTCTCAGACTGTTAATAAAAATATACCTGAGAATGGGTAACTTATAGAGGAAAGAAATTTAATTGACTCACAGTTCCACATGGCTGGGGAGGCCTCAGCAAACTTACAATCATGGTGGAAGGGGAAGCGAACATGTTCTTCTACACATGATGGCAGGAGGGAGAAGAACAAGAGCTGAGTGAAGGGAGAAACCCCTTATAAAACCATCAGATCTTGTGATAACTCACTATTATGAGAACAGCATGGAGGTAACCACAGCCATGATTCAATTACCTCCTACCTGGTACCTCCCACAACATGTGGGATTATGAGAACTAAAATTCAAGATGATATTTGGGTAGGGACACAGCCAAATGATATCAGTGCTCAACTAGGAAAGAATCTGCTTCTAAGCTCATTAAGTTGGTGGGCAGGGTTTATTTCCATGTGACTATATTCCCTAGGGCCCTAGCTTCTTATTGGCTGTTGGTTGGGGATGACCCTCAGATCCTAGAAGTTCCTCTCCATAGGCAGTTCACAGCATGGCTTTTTGGCTTTTTGCTTTTTCCAGAACAATAGGAGAATCTCTTTCTCTCTCTTTCTTTCTCTCTGTCTCTGCTAGAACTTATGGAACCAAACCTAATATGGGGAGCACTTTGTCATATTTGATTGTTTAGAAGCAAGTCATGGTGGCCACACTCAACATAAGGGGTATTATCCAAAAGCATGACTCAATTAGGACCCTTTTAGGATATATCCACAGTACCTCCACATTATAACACTAGATAACAATTATATATGTATATATATTTTTTTCATTGAATTCTCACAAAATACTGTTAATTAGCTAAATTGTGATTAGTTATTCATATTCAAGGAAATAAAAGAAAGAAAATTGAGGTTAATTATACTGGTTAAATCACTTGCCCAAATGTACAGGCAATTATTAGCAAATCTGAGCATTCACATTTTTTTTTATTTTCAGCTTTTCTTTCTGCCTTATCATGTTATACTTCAGTGATTTCCAAATGTCAGTCACTTGAGCACCTCCTTCACAAATTTTGCCTAGATGTAGGCTAACCTAACATTACATAGGTAATTATTTTTAGAAATAATAAACCATTCTTTATGTAAATACATTTGTTTTCATAACCATATTTATATTTGTACTGCAAATGGAAGACCAGTACCAGTTGCATTAGAGGAAAGTAAAATCTAAAGATACATCTATTTGGTTTAATATTGTTTATTTGTATCCTTCCTAAATTCTTGTTGCATGTTACTAGTGTATGTCACAGTCACACCAGGGAAAGCAATCAATACATATATGTTGAAAGAAACCTCAAAAGATGTCCCATTCCTAATTATATCTGATAACAAAAAGAACTTGGGGTGTCTGGCATGTATTCTTGCATTCCCAGGAATATATGTTTTATTATGAGGCGGCAAAGAGCCCAGCACTAACTCTGGGCACTCCTCCTGGCTGCTCTGAAAGCAAAATTAGCAAATACAATTAGCTCCAACACATTTAAGTATGTCCCCTTTCCTTACTTTCTCCAAAGCTATACAAACCTTTGTGACTTTGTGTATATTTTGCCTATAAAAAATGCTTACACTTTGTTGCTTTCTCCTCCCTTCCTGCTACCTTAAACAGCCTTTTGATGATTCCTTCAAGGTACTAGCATTCAAATATTTTGGAATATGTCAGGGAAAAGCCTCATTCTTGTTCTGTCTCTCTCCACCCCCTTCCCACACATGATTTGTCCCAATCTTCCACCTCTCCAGGGTTGGCTCTATTTCTGTTCAAATTATCTTTAAAAAGCTTCCATAGCACTCTTTCATGTCTTATTTTTAGTGCTGTTTTTTAATGCAGATTCCCACAACTGTATTTATTACTGAAATTTTATTCCATGAGGCTCACCATGGACTCCCAGGAATATGCTTCCCTAAATCACCATACAGATCTTAAGTTCATATTTTGTCACAACGAATGGGACAGATGTGCTAATTGTATTCTCTTTTCTTCACTGATGGGAAGTAGGATCATAAAAAATAAATATGTATGCACAAATAGAAACAGAACAAATATGCTGCTTATGTATAATAATCACGTTTGAATAATTAACCAACCCCAGCTAGTTTCTGCATAATTCTCTTAACCACTGAAGAAGCAAGGAAAAAAATTTGCCTTGATTTCAAGAGAAAGTAGAAATCCCACAGTATTAGTACTTTGTATAAGATCAAGATGGGTCATTTCAATCAAGAGTACAGGAACAACTGGCATTTGCATTGGAAAGCTCCTCTACATCCATGCCATACTTGCATTTGATCCTTGGGTAACCCTGATAGGTATTTGCTCAACCCATGACCCCTGAAATCAATCAAATCATCTATGGAAACCAGCTGAGATAACATCCTCTGGATGATTATTTGCCACTATTTATGCATCTGTCTGTTTGCCTATCAGATCTATTGCTCTTTGTTTGCATTATCCTCTATTGAAGATTTTCTAGTCTCCAACACTGAAGTCTAATTCTGGAGCACTGATTTATTTTGATGACCCATGTGGATTTCCTTTTCTGGCTTTCTGCATCACCCTAATTTCAACTCTGCACACTTCTTTAAATTTGATGTGTTCTGACTCTGGCAAGAATCACATTGTGCTTTAGCCTTCATTGCATAGAACTTGCAGACTAGACTAACTACCATAATTACCCTCCAGAAGGATCAGAGGTTGTATCTAGACATGAGCATGCTTATCATCATGATTTTGGAGGAGGTGCAATTACTCTGCATGACTAGATCAACAGAGGTTGTTGGTTATAGTGGGGTGGCAGAAAAGAATACTAAAAGAGGAAGTCTAGCTCCTAAGGTTTGGCAAATCATTTGTTTGGATCTTGAAGTTATCAAGATTGGAATATAATTAGTGACAGAGAAAACAATGCATCATGAACTCATAAATCAATAAAGGTTAGTAGACAGAAGCAAGAAGGGAGGCTACCAAATGTTAACTTGTAATGACATGGAGCTCTAAGAATCTGTAAGTTTTGATGGGGGTAGGAAAATACGTAGCCTTGAAACAGCGGTGAAAAGAACCTAGAGGCCATGCGGTATGTATGATATGAAACAAAAATTAGCTTCCACTAAAGGAAAATGGGGAAGACATCTACATACCTGTTAGGGTCATTCTGAGAGGTAGTTGGGAACACAGAAAAAGTTGTTGAATTTAGGCCAACATTTTTAGGAATGCTTTAAGACGACTGAAATCTTGAGTAAGATAATAGTGATTTTGGGTTAAGATGTGGTAACCAGGGGTTCTAAAGCTTCTGGGGATTATTAAAGCTCAATTGTATAAGGCATGATGAAAGTAGCCTGGGTAATCACTTAAAGCCTTGCCAGAGAGTGTGGTCCGTGGACTTCCAGCATTCGTATCACGGGGGAATGAATGGAACTGTAGAACTCCACATCAAAAGTACTGAATTAATGAGCCAACAACTCTGATAATATAGTTTTGGTGAAATGGAGGAGAGTGAAAATGCACAAAAAATGTGAAAATAGATCGGCAGCAAAGAAAATCTAAGCTCTCTGATACCAGGCAGCATTTCTAGAGGTTAAAGAGCTCAGGATGCGGATTCTAGAAATGCATGTGCATGACTCCTAGTTCCCCTAACCTAGATGAATGACCTTGGACAGTTTTATCAAAATTCCTCGTAAGTAAAATGAGACTGCAATTGATACTTATCTAGAAGGTTTATTGTAAGAATCTAATAGCATGATATGAGTAAAATATTAAATAAATATTATCAGTTAATGTGTTTGACTTCTACTTTTCCTTCATCATTCTGCCAAAGACAACCATGTCACAAGAGCCAGAACGAGTCAGCCCCGTTCACCTTGATATCCAAATAGGGGCTGGATTCATATTCTAAGAATAGTGTTCCTGAACTTGGTTACTCTACTCCTTTTCTAAAGGGGCACAGATGGAGAACCATGGGATCTAGGAGCTAAGGTTGAACTTCAGAAAGGTAAAGACACAAATGATGTCTATTTCAAGATTGAAGACTAAGCATATTCCTTTACTTCTTATCCCACAATCTCACAGAAAATCTAACAGATATGAGCGATGTGTAGTTCTTGATAGTGTGGGAGATAATCAGACAAAAACTTTGAGAAAAATCAGAAAACCAGGAGATTTGATTAATTATAAAAATCAGAGTAAAGGAAAAAAGCACTAGACAAAATAAATACAGGAGAAAAACACACAGAAAATGAACACTCCAAGCTCAGGGGCAAGTACAGGTTCTAGAGAAGATAATTGCTTCCCCAATCAACATATAGCTTTGAAGTAATCCCAATTAATAACCCTAATAGATTGCTTTATGGAAACGAATGTATTATAGAACATTTAGAATTCTGTCTGCACAATTAACTGCCTTTGAAAAGCTTGTAATGTTGAAAACACTTTCTATCCTCAGGAGTGTGTCTGTGACAAATAGGATAGGTCTTCCAGGGAAGCTCTTAAACCAAGTGCGGTTGACGAAGGCAAGGTGGGAAGGAAACATTACATAGGCTTTCAGTTTTAAAGAGGAAAGCAAGGTACCATGACTTCAAAACTTCATAAATAAAAATAATGAGTGGAAAGGGAGGATTCTAACAAGGTACCTCTCTCCAGATTTAAATGTGCGAAAGTGCTCAACCCCTGCCCTCACTGCAAATTAAAGATTTTTGAGTTTGGCATCTTTATTAGTCCATTCTCACTTTGCTGTAGAGAAATACCCGAGACTTGGTAATTTATAAAGAAAATAGTTTTTAATTGACTCACAGATCTACATGGCTGGAAAGGCCTCAGAAAACTTACAATCATGGCAGAAGGTGCCAATTTACAGGGCAGCAGGAAAGAGAACGGGTGCCAGCAGGGGAAATGCCAGATGCTTACTAAACCATCATATCCCTTGGGAACTCACTGGATATCATGAGAACAGCATGGGGAAACCAGCCCCCATGATTCAATTACCTCCCACTGGGTCCCTCCCACAACACATGGGGATTATGGGGATTACAATTCTGGATGAGATTTGGGTGGGGATACTGCCAAACCATATCAGCATCTAAGACATTTTCCAGACTCCTTCTTGACTTTATACCCTAAAGGGAGTTCTTTTCTGCATGCCTACCTGACTTCAAACTATACTACAAGGCTACAGTAACCAAAACAGCATGGTACTGGTACCAAAACAGAGATAATAGACCAATGGAACAGAAGAGAGCCCTCAGAAATAATACCACACGTCTACAACCATCTGATCTTTGACAAACCTGACAAAAACAAGAAATGGGGAAAGGATTCCCTATTTAATAAATGGTGCTGGGAAAACTGGCTAGCCATATGTAGAAAACTGAAACTGGATCCCTTCCTTACACCTTCTACAAAAATTAATTCAAGATGGATTAAAGACTTAAATGTTAGACCTAAAACCATAAAAACCCTAGAAGAAAACTTAGGCAACACCACTCAGGACATAGGCATGGGCAAGGACTTCATGTCTAAACACCAAAAGCAAGGGCAACAAAAGCCAAAATTGACAAATGGGATCTAATTAAACTAAAGAGCTTCTGCACAGCAAAAGAAACTACCATCAGAGTGAACAGGCAACCTACAAAATGGGAGAAAATTTTTGCAATCTACTCATCTGACAAAGGGCTAATATCCAGAATCTACAAAGAACTCAAACAAATTTACAAGAAAACAACAAACAACCCCATCAACAAGTGGGCGAAGGATATGAACAGACACTTCTCAAAAGAAGACATTTATGCAGCCAACAGACACATGAAAAAATGCTCATCATCACTGGCCATCAGAGAAATGCAAATCAAAACCACAATGAGATATCATCTCACACCAGTTAGAATGGCGATCATTAAAAAGTCAGGAAACAACAGGTGCTGGAGAGGATGTGGAGAAATAGGAACACTTTTACACTGTTGGTGGGACTGTAAACTAGTTCAACCATTGTGGAAGACAGTGTGGTGATTCCTCAAGGATCTAGAACTAGAAATACCATTTGACCCAGCAATCCCATTACTGGGTTTATACCCAAAGGATTATAAATCATGCTGCTATAAAGACACATGCACACGTATGTTTACTGGGGCACTATTCACAAGAGCAAAGACTTGGAACCAACCCAAATGTCCATCAATGATAGACTGGATTAAGAAAATGTGGCACATATACACCATGGAATACTATGCAGCCATAAAAAATGATGAGTTCATGTCCTTTGTAGGGACGTGGATGAAGCTGGAAACCATCATTCTCAGCAAACTATCACAAGCACAAAAAACCAAACACCACATGTTCTCACTCGTAGGTGGGAATTGAACAATGAGAACACTTGGACACAGGAAGGGGAACATCACATACTGGGGACTGTTTTGGGGTGGGGGAAGGGGGCAGGGATAGCATTAGGAAATATACCTAATATAAATGATGAGTTAATGGGTGCAGCACACCAGCATGGCACATGTATACCTATGTAACAAACCTGCACGTTGTGCACATGTACCCTAGAACTTAAAGTATTAAAAAAAAAAAAAAAAACTACCCAGAACCCAAAGTCAACCTACAAATTGAGGAACTAAGCCTAATGAGACACGTTTGGCAAAAACTTCTCAGCTAATCCAACTTGGCCTTTGTTCATAAATACAAGGAATCAAGCATTCCCAGGCATTCAAATAAAATTCAAGGTATTAAAAAATAGTAATCCCTGACCATAGAGGAAACATATAAAGAAAAAAAGAATAAAATTGTATAATCACATGCTATGCACAAAAGTATAAAGTGTTTATTTTATTCAGCACACAAAAATGAACTGCAATAAAAAATAGCAATAAAGAACAAAAGAGAATTATTGCGAATTGAACATTTGCTACTTCCTGTAATATATGCCTATGGAAAAACTTAAATTACCAAGAAAATAATTATTATAATAAACAAAAGACCAGCATATGGCAATTTAAAAAATCATATTTAAACATAAGTCAAAATAATATTTGTCAAGACAGACAAATAATAAAGAATTTTTATCTATCAGATAAAATAACAAAAAGATGAGATCTCAGGAAAACTCATTCTATGTATAAAGAATTAGTATATCATAATAGTGAAATTTCAAATCAGTAAAGAAAATTTGAAATATCTAAAGATATAAAATAAGTCATTGAACATTTGGCAAAATAAAGGCTTTATATCCATAAATAATATCATACAATGGTAAATTCATATATGGAATAAAGATCTAAACAAGATAAAACTAAACTAATAATTACATATAAAGGAGAAAGTATTAGAGAGCATGTTTATTATTTTGAAGGGGAAACAATTCTATGCCAGTCAAGAAACCAAGAACCTATAAATTTTAGATTGTCAGCCTTGACAAAATAAAAACTTAATTTTTAGGTTTTTATTTTAAAACTAAACCATTTTAAAAGTTAAAGGACAAGTAACAGATTGGGAGAATGTTTTTTGAAAAACACGTAGTAGGAAAATTATGTATCTCTAGATAAACAGAAAAGACTCCTAATATTAACAATGACAACTTAGATAACAGATATAAAAATGTAATTCACAAAAAGAGCACAAATGATGATACAAGTATAGATATGTTCTCAATCTCCTGTGTAAACAGAGAAGTGAATATTTACATCCCAGTGACTTAAATTTGTTCACCTATCACTGTCACACAATGGCTGCTCCAAGCAGTTGATGAGGTGTCCTGAGGTAATCCAACTCTGTATGGGGCCGCAATGACCCTCAGATGAGTGAGCAGAAGAGCTATATAAAAGCAATGTGTAGCCCATTGGTTCTCAACCTTGAGTGTGCAATACAGTCACCTGCAGGCTTAATAAAAATTCACAGTTCTGGACCTCACCCCCAGAGTTCTGATTCAGTTGGTCTGGTACAAGGCCTATACATTTGCAGATTTAACCAGTTCCCAGGTGATACTGGTGTTGCTCATCATGGGATCACCTTTTGGGAACCACTAGTGCCATCAGATGAGGAAATCTTATGATGGTAACTACTGTTCTCCTCTCTAACAAGAAGGAGACAGACTTCCTTTTCCTCAGTGTGTTTCAAAAAGCCTGCAATGTAGAATATTTAGAAGGCTATACAGAAACCCTTCACTAAGGTTATCTCTGGGGAACAGGAATGGAGGGTAGGGAAATGGAAAATAGAATACAAATCTTGTAACCTCATTGAAGTTCTTCATTTAATCCTATAACCCCAAAGGCATCAGGACATGATGTAAGACCAGCTCTTTGAAATCCTTTTAAAACAATTCTTTCTTTCAAAGTTCTCTTCCTTAGCTGTACTAAGTCAGGGTCCCAGATGGACACAGAATTTATTCCAGATGTTTCAAATAAAGAGGCTTTCATGAAGGGACTATTTACAGAGGGGTGGGTAGAGTTCAGGGAATGAAAAGAAATGATGAAACGCTCAGACCTAATAGATAGTGGGAAGCCTGACAGCTGAAAGCACCAGGGTAAGAGACTGGCTGTGGAGCTCCACCTGAGAGTTAGATCTGGGAACTGTAATAGTTCCAGCTCCTGCTGGAGATAGAGCAGAAAAACCTAACCTCTCTCCTCTCCTGACCTTTGATTTCCTGTAGGTAATTTCTAATGGTCAAGCCCAGAGTGTTCAGGTGATACAGTCCATTGCGGTCAGCCTCCCTCCTTGCAAAGAGTAAGACAAGGAAGGGTGGTATATAGATCTGGGTTGGAAAACAGAATCAGCAGGAGAGTCACCCTTTTGCTCCAACAGTACTCAGTTCAGCACCTGCTCTCTGTCTCTCTCTTTCTGTCTAACTCCCTCTCTCTCCCTCTCTCTCTCCCTCTCTTCTGTTATGTAGATAAGCCAGGGATCAGGCTACCAGAAAAAAACTCGTGCTATGAACAAATTGCCTGCATACTGCTATTCTGGCGTTTAGCTCACTGAGTTTCAGATAAAGTTGTCTATCTCTATTTCTGTTCCCAGATTCTGAAAACTTTGAAAGCATTCTTTTGTACACTCTGCAGTACCTGTCATCAATAGCAGAAACTGAATGTGTGTTACTTGCAAGAATAAACAAAAACAAATAAATGAAAGCCATGTAAAATATCCATAATTTACCTGTTCGTTTTTTAATTCTTTCATTGATTGTGATTTTCATCAAATAAAGATGAATATGAGTGTCTTGACCCATGATTTTTGCTTGGGTTACTTCGTGCAATTCATTTATCTAACAATAGGACTCATTGTCAAGCTTGAAAAATTATCCTTTGCAAATAGAGATTAATTAATAAGCAAGAACCTAAAGACAACTTTTGTTTAACACAATAGCTGTTTGTAGTATATACCCTGTGGCAAAGAGGAAGCTGTAATTCTTTCTAAGCTATTAATGTAGATGACTTCTGTCCAATAGAACTTTCAGCAGTGATAAAAATGTTTCCTACCTGCACCATCCAATATGGTAGCCATTGTGCACATGTGATTATTCAATGTATGAAATATGGCTGGTGCATTTAAGAAACTGATATTTTTAACTTTATTTAATTATAATTAATTTTAATTTTCATGCTATGAGATAACAATATGGTGTCAGTGGCTACCATGTTGGACTGGTTAGTTATAGACAAAGTATCACCTAGAAAACAGTGAATGTCCGATTCTTATTTGCTCCGCAATTGAGAAAATGATGCTACTAATATATGACTTGGGTTTGTCTCTACTTTTCTCCTGTCATTTAAAAGCAGAGCAGCACAACTTCTTGAAAGTAAAATGTGTGTTAGCTTCACTCCCATGCTAACAATATGGGATTGCCCTTAATCTGAGTCAGGAGGAATTTTTTGAAGTGGAGACAGTGATAGCATAGGGCCTACCACACTCTTTTTTTTTTTTTCTCTTTCTGTTTGAGGGTACTCTTTTACTATTTAATAAAAACCTCAGATTCTTTATTTAGACTTCTTCCTTCAGAATAAGATGGAAATAGATTTAAATCTCAGCTTCATTTTGTAATATCATGTTCATTTGTCAGTTTACTCCACCTTCGTGAGCCTCCACTTTCTGCCATGTAAGATCATGATGCTAACTCTTACCTGCTAGTGACATTGAACAAATTGAACAATATTGTGTATACGAAATTTCTGTCATATTAGACCTCCAATAAATGTGATGTCTTTTTGTTGGAACCCATTCTTGGGAAGATCTGAGGAACTTTCAGTAAGACAATTGCCTCTCTCAGAGACATTTTCCTGTGATCCCAGGTAAGAAAATTAACCTTTGGAAAGCAGGTTCTTTAAGGGTAATATTGCTACTTTTCTGGGATGATTTCTGGATTAGGAGTAGCATATGTAATGTCCCTTGGACTTAGTAAATACTCAAAAGTAACTAAAAAAGTGTTGATGTCTTACAATAATGACATTCTTAAGAACAAATTCAGTTAATAAGGGCTAGCATTGACTTCAAACCACCAAGGCTTTCCTGCCCCTTCCAGAAAAATAGACCAATTTCACTTCTGGAAAGTGGCTAAAATGAGGGAGGCGAGAATTTATTGCTACCTGTCCTCTTACTTCCTCCTTCTTTTCCAGCTCCCTTTCTTTTTCCCCTCACTAAATAAACAAGGAAACCCATTCTTTCGCCTTCTACTCTCCTTTACTCTGAAGTTTAGATCAATAGTCTTTTATATGTAGCAGTTTCTTATTGAGCTCAAAAGTATTTTTGACCCATTCTTTGACCCATGTGTGGACAAAGACTGTGTGTGAAAGGAAGGAGGATGGAGAGAAAATAGACTATAAAGAGGTGGGAGCAGAGGACTTCCTAATGGAAAGTTGGAGCAAAAACCAGTCAACACTGTTATGAACCCCAAAGAACACAGTGTATTTTTCCCTATAAAGGGAAGTCTCAGCTTAGCACTGAGAAATGATGCTTTTCAGAGGTGATGGGAACACTCAGAAATCCTCATCACAGCTACAGAGCAAACTGCTCCTAAAATGTGAGAGAGCAGGCTCCACACATTTAAAATGAGTGCAGTCTACATTTCATTCCAAAAACGTCTGGGGCTCTCTAATGTGTGCTAATTTGAATACTAGGTAAAGGAGTTACACAGTTTATTTGAACAAAACTCACAGTTATGTAGGGAAGATACATACATAGATAACGGCTTACAAAAGTGTGATCTGGACCCAATTATTCTACAAGAAGAAAAAGAAAAAGAAAGCCTCATGGCTCTGAGGAAACAGTGCCTGGACCTATTGTTTAAGCTCAACATAAAAATACTGGTAGCTACATAGAAATGTATAAAAAAGGAAATAAAAGCCATTCATAAGTCCTTCCCAGTGGTACCATATCAGTTTGTTAGGGCTTCCATAAAAAAAAAAATACAAAATATCACAGCGTGGCTTCACAACAGAAGTTTATTTTTGACAATTCTGGAGGCTAGAAGCCTGAGATCAAGGTGTCAGCAGAATTAGTTTCTTCTGAGACCTCTCCCCTTGACTTGTAGATGGCCATCTTCTCCTCATGTCTTCACATGGCCTTTTCCTTAGGTGTTTGTGTCCTGATCTCCTCTTCTCCAGTCTAATTAGATTAGGGCCCACCCACATGACTTCATTTAAAATCAATTACCTCTTTAAAGACCTTATCTCAAAATAGTACCATTCTGAGGTACTAGGGGTTGGAACTTGCACATATGCATCTGAGGGGGACACAATGCTGCCTGTAACAGGTACATACCTTAATATTTCGATATATACCTTATTTAATATTTGCATAAATGTATATTTAAAATGTATAGACACATAAGCAAAACTTGGATTAAAATATCTGTAATACCAAACTATTTTCCTGTAATATTATATGTCAATATTTCCACATATTTTCAAATATTATGTGAAAACATGAATTTTGATGGCTGTATACTTTCCTGTCATGTATCCACATCTTTCCTCTATTGAAAATTTAAATTGTACCTGCTTTTTCAAATTATAAATACTACTATAGTAAAAATACTGGTATAAAAAAGCTCTTGATAGCAACTGTGAGGAAAGATTCCTAAAATTAAGATGATTGGGTCAAAGGTACACATACTTTAAAGGGTTTTTTATAGCTATTTTCAAATTATTTTCTAGAAAGGACATACAATTTCATGTACTTACTGGTTGTACATATCAATGTTGGTTTCAATGTTTGATTTAGAAATACAACATGAAAACACAGCTATAATGGAAATATCTATGTAGTTTTAAGAGAAGAACTATAGTAAGTAGGTATATTCACCAGGGAAGGGTACAGTAGGTTGACTAATACAGGGAGCCTCTGTCCTAACAAATTCAACAAGGTACAACACTGATTCTCAATGTGGCTAAGTCATTTGTTACATATAACATAGATTATAAATAGTCGAGCTCAGATTAGAACGTGGGTCTCCATATTATGAGGTGATATTTTGTTGTACTCAGCTCTTGATCTCAGAGAGCTAACTTGGATCCATTACTCTGGCTTCTTTGGATTGCGTATCCAAACTTACTCTCTTCAGTTGCCTTGGATAGGAATTTGTGCTCCAGATACATCTCTCTAGAACCTGAGCTGTACTCTTAGCACAGCTCTGGTCCTGCCCAAAGTAGGTGAGGGTATCTCAGGGGAAGGAATGATTGTACAGCATTCTTGAATATATGTTGAAGTTATCATATACTCAAAGGAAAAACTCTCAATGTATATGGGCAAGGCCAATTTTTGGAATTTAATTTAAAAGTAAAAGTGAGAGTTCAGTGTAGGTTTGCCAATCTCCTTGTTATAATATATACAACCCAAAAGTTATGAAATCATTTGACTCTCTGTAAGATCGGAAAGATATCCAGACATCCTATACCTGCATACAGGCAAGAAACATACTATGAGAAGTAAAATTGGACCTATCCCAGCCTAAAGAAATATTAATTTTATTTAAATTTTGAAAGCATTATATACACGAAGCTCAACCTAACCTCAGAACTCATCAGTAAATGATTAAAATAAGTTCTGTATGTATATATTTTCCTCCAACAAAATTAAGGATGTAAATATGTAGGGTTATTCTGAGAATAATTTTGTTTCATTCATTAATTCATTCAGCAAGCCTTAACAAAATATAGATATTAATCCAGCTATATTTTAGCGCAATTATTATCAGGATGATTAAGATGTTGTCACTGCCTTCAGGTAAAAGATAGCTGTTGCTGTCATGGAAATCAAAGAAATCATGAGTGAACAAGGTGAGAAGAGCAGTAATAGAAATGATAGAATCATAGAGTGATTCATTCTTTTTGGAATTTTTGTTTTCAGCTCCATGAAGGACAAGATAAATGTCATATCTTTTTTCAGATGTATCCCCAGCACCTGGCACAGTGTTCACTCACTAGGTTAAAATAAAATGATTAAATAATTAAACACGTGAAGTGCTTGATCAACAAATGAAATCCATCTTTAATTAATAAATAACATTCGGTTATCATTAGCTCATCATAGTAGCTGTCTCAGAAGACTACATTTACCCAATGACTGTAGAAAGTTTTCTCAATACCTTAGAAAGGTCAATATTCAATTTTCAATTTTTGTGCTATCACAGTTGACCTTTGTACAACACAGATTTGAACTCACCAGTCCACTTATACACAGATTTTTTTTCAACAAAAGTTGAAGTCAAGTGTGCCCACCTCTCCTAACTCCATTTCCACCCCCCACAATTCTTCTACTTCTGCCATCCCTAAGATAACAAAACCAACTTCTCTCTTTCTTCCTTCTCCTTACCCAACTCAACGTAAAGACAATGAGGATGAAGACCTTTATGATTATTCACTTTCACTTAATAAATGTAAATATATTTTCTCTTCCTTATGATTTATATAATAACATTTTCTCTTCTCCATCTTACTGTATTGTAAGAATGCCATATATTATAAATATTCCATACAAAATATATGTTAATCAACTGTTTATGTTATCAGTAGGGCTTGTGGCTAACAGTAGGCTATTAATAAAGTTTTGGAGAAGTCAAAGTTATACATAAATTTTCAACTGAATGGAAGGTCTGCGACCCCAACCCCATGTTGTTCAATGATCAACTATAACTTGATTAACTCTTCTTATAGGAATGAAGATTGGAAGTGTACCTGTGTGTTTAGTGTGCAATGCTTGATCAGAGAACTAAACCTTAGATGGCTTACAAACCTTCCTAAACACTACCAGATTCGTATTCTTTTTTTATCCTACCATTTTTTTATCCTTACAATCCTCCCCAGTTTTAAGTTGCCCTTTAAATTGTCCATATCCAACATTAATAATGATGATGTTGATGATGGTGGTCATATTACTAATGAAGACTAACATTTACGGAGTACCTGCCAGGCAGTACGATACCTGCTTTACAGGTATTGTTATTCCTCACATCCAACATATGAAGGAGATGCAATCATTCTCATTTCACATACAGAAAACTAAGAACTAGAGATGTATAGAGACTTGCTTAAAATTAGTGGATGAACTGGGACTTGAACACAGGCAGTTTTACACAAGAGACTCAGCCTTGATCTCACTTCATGGTCCATACACTGACAAATTCATGGTTTAATCTTAATCTTCTAGCCACTGACTCATTCTATTTGACCTACTTGGAGTTTTTAATTGCTTATTTTATTTTTGCTTTTTAAAAAAATTGCTGCAAAGTTATGTACTTTTAATTTCACTAGAATCTGGCACCACAGTTGATAGTTTTGGGCAGCTGCAAGAATTTCTGTTACCTATCTAAAACATTACATACACAAAGCTCAACCCAACCTCAGAACTCAGCAATAAATGCTTATTTTAACCATTTACTGATGAGTTCTGAGGTTGGATGAGCTTTGTATGTTCAGTTAGTTGCATTTCTCTGAAATGCAGTTGAGTTTCTGTGGCAATCCCATACTTCACTTGATGACTTTTATTTTCATTTTTACCATGTCCATCCAATAATGGTAGGGCTGGGAAAAAAGGAGAACTAGCTGGTCTTATATTGCCATTGCATAGTAAAAGACCCCTTATATAACATTTTCTCATTAATATTTATAATAATCTATAAGGTAGGTTTTATTTCCACTTTATCTGTGAAGAAATTAAGGCTAAAAAGTTTAAATAACACGTTCAACCCCACAGAATTAATAATATGAAAGGGTACCCTAGAACTTAAAATATAATAAAAAATATATATATATATAAAAAGGGAGTAGATTCAAATCAGGTCTACCATATTACAAATTTTGGACTCTTTTCCACATCACTTTCACTGGAGATGAACTTCCTCTGTAATCATAGAAACTCACTGGTTTCATTCTCACATTTTTCCATTCATTTGAAATTATATTCCATATATCATCTTGTATTAGGTTAAATCAGATTATGTGGCAGTAAGACATTAACTCAGAATTTTCAATTGTTTAATTAAACCAAGCCTTATTTTTTTTTCATGAGGAATATGGCTATATATGGGAGTTGGGGTAGAAAACTGCTTCACATGACTCCTCAACAGCATCAGCTGATGGAAATTTCCACCACTGAAAATGTCACTAGTCACTATAGCATAGGAAGAGAGACTTGAGACACTTGGATCTGACATGTTCTTTATTGCATAATTAGCCACGTTACCCCTTCTTTTTTCATAGAGGCTCGGAATATAGAGCAGCATTTGGAATATTTTGATTATCATAATCTCAGCTATACTTCATTCTTGTGGAAATAAAAAAAAAAATCTCTCTACTCTTTTCTTCTCCATCTATAACACACTCACAATCTCCCATTGGGAGGACACAAAAGTCTTAGCCAGTCACTGTGTCACCTCAAAACCTAGGGTCACTGGTATGTACAATAGCCTCTACACCAAAGGTGGTTGAAATTTTTGGTATGAAAGTCTATTAATAAAATATAGCATAAAATTTCACTCTTCCAGTTTTGCACCCAATACAGGGTGCACAATAATCAGTGTCTGATGAAAGCTGGAGCCATGCATCAGTTATAGGTCCAAATCTGCAATGCGACTGGGCACCCATCATATAGAACAGCAAGCCTAAGAGTAGAGGTGAATTTTATATTTGGTCTAGATTCTGCTTTGTAGGAGGAGTCCTCTTATTCATTGTTCTCCCTGGCACTGGGTTCACTGGTCTGGAAGGTTCATTGTTCCTTGCCACATATCCTACAAAAGTGATCATTGGGGTAATCCACACCTTATCCATAGAAGATTGTGACCCAAGATGTTCTAGTCCAAGTTTATTATTTCTTTGTCACTGTCTCAAAAGTTTAGTAGACTTTATATTTATTTGCCTGTCATTTTTAAATGAAAGTAATTAGTACTGCCAGCCTCCCCCCATAACATACAGTTCTTTTGAAAAATTGGTCCAAGTTTGCTATTTGCCTTCTTGACACCAAAACTTTTGTCTGCAATTAATGGTGGGCACATAGAATAGAGACATAGAAAGAAATTTTTAATGTTACTTTTGCCCTGACATATTTAAGTAATCGATATGCTTTTCTGTGCATTATATCCTTAATTTGCTGTTTGTCATGTGGTACATTAATCCACTGAAGGATTTTTATCAACTGTTCTGAAGGTCATGCCATTAATCTAATTTTTTCTAAAGGCCAATATATTGTCATTCAAATTTATTTTTCAACATTACAAGTTCATACATTTTTGGAATTTTTCTATTCTCTTCCATTTTTACTTGCAAATGGTCAATTCCTTCATGAGTTTATCTCTTTCTTTGTAAAATGTCAAACTAAATGCAAAAAAAAAAGACCACAAATAAACACTACTATCATCTTGTTTTCCATTCCTTTCCCCCAGAGCTGTGGTTTATCAGGTATGTTATTTCCCATCTAACTTACTGTGGAGGACATTTTGCCAAATGTTTTGCCATTGCATGACAAACATTACAAAATGTTTTGTTATTGCCTGTCTTTTTTATTAGTGTCATTGACCTCCATCATTTTAAATTTTAAATTTAAATTTTTCTGTGGCCACATCATAGCATTGGTACTAATCTTATTATTAATTAGGACACGCTAGATATAGTGCATTACAAATTAACCTCTAAATGCCAGTGCCTTAATGCAACAAGTGTTCATTTTCCAATCAACATGGGCTGGCCTAATGAATATGCTGCAGGCCCAACACAGTTTGGCATGGGACTTACTCCACATAGGGTCTCAGGAATCTACACTGAGCAGAGCTGCACCATCTGCAATTCAACGTGTCACTCATAGAGGGGAAGAGAAGCCCGGGAACTCATACTTCTATGCTTTAGCCTAAATGGAATGCATGTCACAAGCTTAGAATAAATTGTGAGACTCTGCCTAACTGCATGAGTACTAGAAAACATACAGAACATGTGGAATATTTGGTGAATATTTCTATTCCTGCCACATATGTCTTCTAAATATCCAGAGTCAAGCCTATTACTTGAAACCCCTACTTCTGAAATTTTAGCATCCACAAGGCAAACTGTATCTGCAGAGACTCTTTTACACTACCACCCCTCAAATAGAACATTGTATCATGCAACCTGAAGAAAGTTTGTTTGAGATCCTATGTGTAGAATGGACTTGATTCCTCTTGCACTGAAAAATGCCTTAATAAAAATGAATGGTTTTGCCCATACTGTAACTGTAGTTTAGGTCCATTTGACTAAAGCTTGAGTCCATCTTCGGACATTTTGAAGAATTTCTTCCTTTTAAAGCTGCTATATTTACTGATATTTCCACCCCCTGGGAATCTGCTTCTCTTGTTTATTAGAGCTGCTAAAATGAAAGCTTGCCAACTGATTAATTTTAATAGTTTAGCCAGAAACCTGTGGATAATGTATATTGGCTGCCAAGCTTGAGATAAATTCTGTTGGCTCTGTTGCAAAGATTTTGGCAGAAATAAAGTCTGCCCTTTGCAAAAGAAGCACAGAGGAACTGGAGGGAATGCAATTTCAAAAGCAAGTATGAAGCAAAAGACTGTTTTGTCTTTCTTTGTGACTTCCCACTGCTGTGGGGATCTGATAAACCCATTCAGCAATTCTTTTTTAGACCTTGTATGTTTTATTTTAGCGTTATAGTTAAGGAAGAAATGTAAGCCTTTTGTGTATAGCTGGACCCAATTCAAAGTCAGAAAGACTTCAGAGGCAGCTTGGTGAGGCCAGCTGCAGGTTGTTGTGATTTTTAAAGCGATCTGGACAACTAAACAGCATCTTAAGGCATCAGGAGTTTACCACAGGAGATTCTTATTGAAAGATATCTCACTTTTGGGTGATTTATTCACATTCTACAGGGTTTTCATTTTTTTTTTTTTTTTTTTTTTTTTTTTTTTTCAATGCTGGTTCTTCCTCAAGATGTGCTAAATAATTTTCAGGACCCATTGCAAAATAAAAATGCTAAGCCCCTCATTCAAAAATCAATAAAAACTTGTCATTTGGTGTGTTGAAATATAAAGCCTTTTCCTTTCCTTTATTGTCTCTCTCTTGTGTTTCTTCATGATGTTCTATATTTGCTATTTAATTCTAAGTAAAGAAAAAATAAAATTTTAAATTATTAGATCTTATCATCCATGTTTATATTATGCAAGTCCACTTTTAAACGCAGATATCAGAATATTAAGTTGTATGCTGAAGCACCGTAATTACACAATTCTTATTACATGGCTTATCCCCAGAGAGTCCCTGGAGCTAGTAGAAGAGAAAAACACAAGCCAGATTAAGGAAAGTTGGAAGGAGGAATAGAAGTTACTTCCAGGAATGAAGCAGGCCAGGAAAGCATCCTTTAACACGGGGACACCCATGGAGTGAGCCAGACCCTCACATGTGCCTAGGGTTTTGCCAAATGACACAGGCCATGTGTGCACAAGCTCTGCTTAACAGCTGCCTGGACTACATACCATGCATTAGCCAGGACAGCATCTGAGGAGTCCAGACGGTGACTCCTCTTCCCACAGGCCCACTTCCCCAGCCTGCTGTGCAATGGGCAATTACCAAGGATATTGCAACCTGAGCGTTGGATGCCCTTGGTCTCCACCTATTCACTGCTGAGTTGTCAGCCCAGGGCAGGGATTGTCATCACTATGCTCTACTCTTGCCTCTGGATACCACAGGGCACTTGTGCCTATCCCTAATCTCCCATCTACTATCAGGTTCCCACCTGTGGCAGAAAGTGGCAAGACCAGATTGGGAAAAGGGGGGCCAGGCAGGCTAGAGCACAGGATAAGAGGAGCAGGCAGCTGAGAATTCATCCTGGAGAGAGAGATGGAGGCAATACCATGTGAGCCAAGGCAAGCTCCAGGCTCAAGTGCCATTGTCCCATCAGATTTTGCTTACAAAACAAAATTCAAAGATAAATCTATTAAGATTATTAAGACAGTAAGTGCAGTGCATTAAACTCTAATCACAGGAGCTTCTGAGTGTGAAACCCACTAGCCACGTAACCATGAAGCTGTCCCTGTCCCTCCTTCTTTGGAAGTGGTCTTCTTGCCATCATTTAGTAGTGCTGGAGTGGTGACCAGCCACTGAGCTTGTGCTATTGTGCATGTCAGGATTTAAAGACAAAAGTATTTGTTGACTAAATTGTCTTTTAAAAAATCTGCTACAGAAAGCAACACGTTTTATACATCTTAAGATAGTGGAAAAAATGTAATTTTCTTGCTCCTTTAAAATAGTAATATTTAAAAGATTACTTTTAAAAGATACTTTACTTCATGCTGCAATAAAAATTACGTCTGAAATCTTAGTGGCTTAATATCAAAAGGTTGATTTATTACTCATGATATATACTTACCAGGTGTGGGCAGGAGGCTCTGATCCCATTACATTCAGGGATCCATGCTGGTGGAGGCCACGTTTTTTGTGGCTGTGCCTTCTGGGATGGGGCCTTTGAGGTCACTGTGGCAGGGAAAGAGAGGAATGAGGGTTGCGCGCCAGCATAGAGGGATTCGGCCCACAGAACTTCTGTTTATAGCAAATTACCTAGAACTATTATCTATCAGTAAAGTAGCTCCATCTAACTAAAAGAGTCCTAGAAAATATAGGGAAGCTCATAAATATTTGGTAAACAGAAATTGTCTGTGCTACGTATGGTTTGCAGAGCATTAAATGTCCTATAATTTCATTTTGGGGGTGATGGACTAATTCTGTTTATGCTGGGAGTTTGTTCTAGCTCTCTCTTTTTCTCTTTCAATCTCTCTCAATTTCTTTCCTTCACAATGTGTGACTATTGAAAGGTCTCTTAACTATTCTGAACCAAAATTTCTTCACTGTGAAATAGAAGTAAAAATGTCTGGCTCACACAGGATTATTATTAAATAATAGAATGCCCATGAAAGCACTTTGTAAATCATAAAATGACATTCAAAAATAAAACATTATTGTGTATCAGACTGAAAGGAAACCAAAGAGATATATTTCTCTTTTTCTACACTTCAAAACCCTCCAAATGACATTCAGTATACTGTTTCTTCAATCTCAGAGGCAAATCCCATAATTTTCTATGTGAACACATACTCTGAACTGAGTATGAAAGAAGTTACTTCCTGCACAATCATTCTCGTCTCTACCATTAGATGGCCATGGAACCTAGAAAAGGTATTCAATATACCAGACCTCCATTCTTTCATTCATAATTTAAAGGTGTTAAATCAGGCTAGGGACAATCTAGTCTAATATTTTCGAGACTAGTCACTTACCTCCAAGATGTAACATGAGATGAGCCAAAGAAGTCTCTTCCCATAAGCTCTTCCTCCCACTGGTCCAGTGGCCACTAATGTGAGTCTCTCCTCTGCACACAAACACAGAGGCGATTGATATAGAGTAATTTATCTGAGAGTGAAAGAAACTATACCATTTTTAACAATTGATATCATTAATTTATTTATTCTAGCACACTTATTCAGAACTCTACATTTAGCTTTCTAATGAGAAAGTATTTTAGAAAGGGAAATCATTTGGTTATATCCATGTAACAAACAAAAAATAAGAAATGAAGTGGGTTAAGAATACTGAAACCTTAAGCAAAATCTGATGAAGAGTTAATATTTCCAGAATCTCTACAGATAACATACTTTCATAAAGTGTTTCATGTAACCAAAGATGGTGTATAAGAATTTTTAGAAATGCTATGTTAAAATTATGCCATCTACCTATAGACCTGCTGAATTACCAGAGCGGTATTACCCAGGAAAATGCTCATGCATTTTTGTCATGTTCAATTTCACATTTGAAAAAATGGGCAAACATATGTGGCTTTAATAACAAGGAAAACAGCTTGTTCTTGCTATATCAGTCTAATACATTGATCACCCAGAGAGTTTTTAAGTATATAAATTATTTAAGTGAATATCAAATGATATGGTCACAGGCAGACTTTTAGAAAGTAACAGAAGAGTATCACACAAAAGCAATAGACTTTCTGGGTGGGGAGAGTGGAGTAAAACAAAAATAACCTTTATATATATATATATATATATATATATATATATATATATATATATATATATATAGAAAGTTCAGCAAACCAAGGAAATTCTGAAAAATTCTTTTCCCTAGAAAAACCAACTTCAAATAAAAAAACTTATCATTTGTACTTAAAGTCAAGTGATGGAATTTTACTCTAACCAATATGACTATATTTTACAAAACTTGGAGGAAATATGAACTTCAAACTCTACACTACAAAGATTTGCAGGAACTAGAGTACTTTAAAAGATATTCTGCTAGTGACATCCCAAAATAGTTACACAATGGTCGCAAACAAAATAGTACAACACAACAGAGCATGGAGTATAATCAGTTTTTATGGTGGCAACAAAATGTTCAAATCACTCCTTTCAAGCAATACCAGGTATAAAGCAAGAAATTTAATATATAATTTTTAGATGTCTATATACATTAACAACAGTAGAAATAAAAGGCAACAAACATCAACATTGTGCCATTGTGCCAACATTGTATAAGGTACTTTATACACACTCCTCATTTCATTCTAACAATAATCGGTAATATAATTATGTCTTTAGCATATTTGTCAAGACAAGGCATTAAATGCTTGCTCACAATCACACAGCTAATTAATTCTTGATGCAATATTCAAAGACAAGTCTTTCAAAATTTTGTCATGGTTTCCCTATTATCTCTCTAGGATACTTCTCTACTAAAAATTAATCATTTTAACATTTCTGGTATGATCTTTGTACTTTGAGCAGACATAATTTAATGCAGATGTATCATTTTCTGTTCTGCACCTTTCACTTCAAGACTACATAAATTATTTAATTTATTTCTATTTAGCCTTCAAAGTCAATTTTGGGTCATGTTCCCTTGAGTAGCTGCATCATATAACATACTTAACTATTCTTACACAGATGAATAACCAATAGCTTCCCATTTTCTAAAATTATAGGTGACTATAGTATGAGCAAATTTGTGCATATAATTTTAATTTTCTCTTGGATTAGTCTTCTGTGATTCCTTCCCAGAAGTGGAAATAATGGCCCAGATAATTTTTAATAATCAAATGGCATAAATACATACTAGATTACAGGAAAGTAACAAAATAATAAAGTAATACTTGTGATATTTACTGTTTATTATTGTTGCTTTGTTTTGACTTCTCCCAGTCAAGTAGCCTGATTAGATCGCCTCTGGGTATTAGAGACACGGAGGGAGAAGTGAATTAGACTGTATTAGTTATCAATTATTACGTAACCAATTACCCCAAAACTTAATAACTTAAAACAGCAGCTATATTATCTTACAATTCCTGTTGGTCAGGAATACAATTATAGCTTAGCTGTATTCTTGGCTCGGGGTTCCTCACAGGCTGAATGATGGTGCCAGCTAGGACTGAAGTCTTCCCAAGGCTCAAGTGGGGATGGATCTGTTTCCACACTCACGCATGTAGTTGTTGGCAGAACCCACCTACTCCCTGGCTGTTGGTCTGGAGGCCTCCGTTTTTACAGCAGCTCGTATCACAGCAGCTTGCTTCATCAGAGTGAGTAAATGAGACAAGACAGAGAGATCAAAGCAAAAGTCAGTCTTTTATAACCTAACCTCAGTATGACATCCCATCCCATTTGCTATCTTTAGAGCAATTCTATCCTATTTTATTCTTTTGAAACTAGTCACTAGGTTCAGCCCAAACTCGACAGGAGGGGAATATACAGGATTGTGAATACTATATGGCTGAAATCCTGGGGAGCGTTTTAGAAGCTACTTAATCACACAAACTCTAGTCTACCTTTTTATTCTTCATAAAAGAGCTTGAAGATATGCTTCGCCCCCCACCCCCACCATTCTGTCATCATCTTTGTATAGTCCTTGACTCAAGCCCAGCCATTATAATTCTCTCTTAACTGGTATCTGTTGCTGTTTTCTGTCATCTCTTATCACTTTTTCCATATTTACCATGATCAGAGGAATCTTCTCCAAACTATGGATTTATTACTTTATTCTATTCAAAATTATAATATGTAAAGAGATATTCTAAGTATATTTCAAAAGAGTTATTACATACTGAAGAATTTTCCATATCAATTTTCTTAGCAATTATTTTTTTCTGTGTTAATGTGTAATTCAGCTAAGATCTTTATAAAATTATCTTAATTTCATTTTGAGTATAATAAGAATTAATAAGGTTTTACTAAATCTACAAAAGAGGCTCATGCTTCTACTAAGATGTCTAGCCTAATTTTCTATTCTTTCTTTTATTTCTATCTTTTTTTAAAACCTGGAAAGAGGAAAGAAAAAACTACATATTCGGCACAAATTATTTTCATCTTGTCTACAGGTTAGAAAATGCTGAGCTCACTCCTTTTTGCTAAATGATGTGATTGAAAGTATAAACCTTGAAACCAATTAGAAGTTTATGTCTCACTTCAAGCAAAATCTCCTTCTCATTTCTACCACCCTGATCCTTATTCTCGGTATTCATTATGAGTCCTCTGTGGATCTCTTTATTATGTTTTTCCAAATATGTATGTTTCTCTACATTCATCTGGCAATTAATTTCAGGCAGGGATTTTCAGCAAGAAGAATTATCAGCATGATATTGGAATTAAAAAATATTTGTTGAGCAAATATTCAGTGAATGAGCAAATGAACAAATTTGACATTCATTCTAAATACCTTCTGCTTTGGAAACCAGGACTGTGATGCTTACAAAAAATTATTTGGCATCTCACAAAGCCCCATTGGTTTAATATCAAAAGAAATAATGACTGAAAACACCTATTGCAAAAGAACCAGGTATTAGCATTGAGAGTCAGAAGCCAGCTCACTAGAAGCCAACTCACAAGTCAAATAGATAAACTTCTGTCGAAAGAAAGTGCATCCTACAGAAATAGATCAAGTAATGCATTTTTCAAGAACTGGTTCTGAGCAGTACTTTAATTTTCCAGAGGAATAGATGCTACAAATTTTATTTATTCAGGTACCTACTGCGATCTATACCTCTGGCCCTAGAATAAAAATAGAGTGTGTCCATCTGCCTCAAAGACACAGAGCTTGCTATCTGGAGGGCTAGGAAGGGACTAGAACATTCCAACCCAGGCCTTCAGGATACAGGAAATAACTTCACAATTTCTTTTTTTTTTAATTCAATTTTATTATTATTATACTTTAAGTTTTAGGGTACATGTACACAATGTGCAGGTTTGTTACATATGTATACATGTGCCATGTTGGTGGGTTGCACCCATTAACTCATCATTTAGCATTAGGTATATCTCCTAATGCTATCCCTCACAATTTCTAAAGAGGACAGACTTAAGGGAAGCTTTGAAAGTAGGACATTTCTGATGTTTTTAGAAGTTCCCTAAATCTTTTGACATTAGCATTTCCTAAGAGTGCTGCGATAGTCATATTTCCATTTCGGGTTGTACTCTAACTTTTATTTTGAGTGAATTGGGGTATGGAACACATATCTTGGATAAAAACCCATGAAGCCTAATATATTCACATTTGAAACAACATCCAAAAAGAAAAATCAAGATTTTCACTGCATCTTAGTAATTCAGAAAAAGGAAGTCAGGGAGGTAAGATAATTTATCTCCCTTATGTAACCTTGCCATTCATTACATCATAATGTGTAGAGCACACTTTGGAGAAACTGAAAACAAAATACTGGCCTCAAAAAATGTTGGCATAATGTCACTGTGTCAAAACCAAACCAAACAAACAAAAAGACACAATTCAATTCACATTTTGTTACATTCTATAAAAGGAGGGGTTTTTCAGTGTTAATCAATTTTAGTATATTGGAAAGTCAACATTAGCATATCTGTAACAATTGTGTATTTTTTCATTCAAATAAGTCTTTGATCATGCTTCTGTGGTATTATGTTAATTTTAACTCCCTTAGCATCTCTGAAAGACCATGTTGATGCTGCAATATGCATCCTCTCAATTCAGATCCACGGAGCTCTAATTTCTTCTCATTGCAACCCCTTCACTCAACATACATTTCATAGAACAGCAGATACATAAATGTTGATTAAGTTAATTAAACGTGAGCTAATTAAGAGTCAAAAGATAAATTTAAGCAGAATCCTCTTCAGTAACATATTCCAAATTATCAAAAGGTGGAATTTTTGTTTGTTACATCCACAGAAAAAATGTTTAAAAAGGATATTACCTAGCAATCTTCCTTATAATTATTCTCAGTCTACTGTTATACCAACATTATTACAACTAACTTACATTATTTGCATAATTATCACTCTATAGAGTGTGTTAATAGCTTAGGTATAACTTTGACATATACATCTCATTTCATCATGTTAATACTATTCACATAGAGATTAACAGAAAATAGGCTGGGAATGGTGAATCACACCTGTAATCCCAGCGCTTTAGGAGGCCGAGGCAGGTGGATCATTTGAGGTCAGAAGTCTGACACCAGCCTGGCCAACTTGGCAAAACCCTGTCTCTACTGAAAATACAAAAATTAGCCAGGCGAGGTGGCAGGCACCTGTAATCCCAGCTACTTGAAAGGCTAAGGCAGGAGAATTGCTTTAACCCGGGAGGCAGATGTTGCGGTGAGCTGAGATTGTGCCACTGCAGTCCAGCCTGGGCAACAGAGGAAGACTCTGTCTCAGAAAAAAAAAAAAAAAAAAAAAGATTAACAGAAAATATACTTAAATATCTCCCCAAATGCTCTTTGTTTGGGATATATAAATACAGACATATTTAAAACTACGACCAACCTTTCTAACTACCTCTTAGAGATGCTATTTGTGTTAAATCTGAAACAGTCAAAGGAATGTGAGAAATAAGCCTTTCTAAAGACATGTAATATCTTTGTTATCTCCTAGAAATAAATTTAAAATTAAAGTAGAAAACAAACCATAATTCTAGAATTCTGAAAAAGAGAAGTGTAGAGCACCTTCTCATAACATAAAAATTATAAATTAACAACAAATGAATAGCTAGCAGCCTGATGGGAAAATTAATAAATATATATTTAAAAATGTAAAAATTACCATTGGAATGTATGACGATAGTAACACAAAGAAATCAAAGAGTGAAGAATGAAGACATACTGGTTTAATTCTTGCACTGTAAATGGAGTGGTATAATGTTTATTGTAAACTGTAGAACCACAATAAAACAAAACACTCAAAGAGTTATTAGTAGTAAGCCAATGATGGATAAAAAGTGAAATCAAAAGCAGGGAAAAAGCAAAAAAGAAAAAAAAGTGTTGAAAGAAAATATATAAAGTAAACTGTATGGTGCTAGATTCACATTCAGCCATAACAATAATTACTTTAAATGTAAACAGTCTAAGCACTCGAATTCAAAGTCAAGAGTTGTCACATTGAATTAAAAAAAATAAAGACCTGAAAGGATATAAACTCACGTTAGAAAAAATATATACAATATACATATTATCTATATTATATATATTTATGCATACACACTTTATGCACACAATCTGTGTATTTGTGTGTAGAAAGTAAAAGGATCGAAAAACAGCTACTATTTTAAACACTGATTAAAAGAAAGCTTGAGGGCATACGTTAACTCTAGACAATCAGATATTAGAACAAGGAATTATAATCTAGGATAAAGAAGAATACTTCCTAATAATAAAGGGATCAGTTCATCAAGGTGATATAAAAACTCCAAATGTCGCTGGGCGCAGTGGCTCACACCTGTAATCCCAGCACTTTGGGATGCCGAGGTGGGCAGATCACTTGAGGTCAGGAGTTCAAGGCTAGCCTGGCCATATGGGGAAACTCCATCTCTACTAAAAATACAAAAAGTAGCTGGTCATGATGGCACACACCTGTAGTCTCAGATACTTGGGAGGCTGGGGCAGGAGAATAGCTTGAACCTGGGAGGCGGAGGTTGCAGTGAGCCGAGATCGCGCCATTGCACTCTAGCCTGGGAGTTGCAGTTTGACTCCGTCTCAAAAAAAAAAAATAAATAAAAATAAAAATAAAAAAACTCCGAATGTGTATGCGGTCAATGGTAGAGTACAAACTATACAAAATACATTTGTTAAGAAAATAGAAAGTAGATTTAGAAAAACTTGCAATTTTAGTTGGATATTTAACACTCTGAAAAATTAAAGGAGTTTTGTAGAAAAAATAGCATTTTTAAAGAAAGTTCAGAGAAAATCAGTAAAGATACAGAATAACTGAACAATTCTGTCAACCAATTTGACCGATTTGATATTTTAGAACGCTCCATTTAACTATAGCAGAATGTACCTTCTTTTAAAGCATATACAGAACACTTACAAAGATAACCATTTTTGTCATAAAAAGTTTAAATAAATATAAAAGGATTCAAATCATATAAATATGTTCTTTGACTACATCAAACTAACTGAAACTCAATAACAGTATAGTAAATAATATCAGAATAATCCTCCAAATACTTGCAAATTAAACAAAATATTTTTAAACAACTTAAGGATAACATAAGAAAATTCAGTGGAAACTAGAAGATATTTTGAATCCAATGAAAATGAAAATGAAACATATCAAAATCTGTGGAATTTACCTGAAGCAGTGTTTAAAGAAAAATATATAGCATTAAATGTATATTAGAAAAAATAAGTAAGATTTCAAACAAAAGACCTCAAATTCTGTCCTAAGAATCCAAGGAAAGATGATCAAATTATCCCAAAGACATGAAGAAAGAAAGGAATAATAAAGATTTAAAAATTAATGAAATGGGGAATCAAACAGCAATGGAAAAAATCAATGAAGCTAAAAGCTGCTTCTCTGAATAAAAGTCAATATATTCATTATCTTCTAGCAAGAATGACAAAGAAAAAAATGGGATACAACATTATCAGTAATAAAGAAGATATTACTACAATGGACATTAAAATGTGATAAGGAAACATCAAATAAACATCTTAATGCCAAGAAATTTGAATACAGAAAAAAAGAACATATTCCTTCAAAGACACAAACTAATTCTAGGAAAAAAAAATGCACTAGTTAAATAACCGTACATCTATTAAAGAATTTAAATCTACAGTTAAAAATCTTTCACTGGTTAATTCTACTAAATATTTAAGTAGGAAATAATGCTGATTCTTCACAATCTTTTCCAGAAAAGTGAAAAATTAACACTTCCCAACTTATTTTATGAAGCTAGGATTATATTGCTTTCAAAATGAGCAAAGCTTTTACAGCAACTCATGTATCACTGTAAACCACATCCTGCATCCCACTTCACTGTGACTTAACACTGTGTTCATCCATTATCAGGCTGCTAATAAAGACATACCCTAGACTGGGTAATTTATAAAGGAAAGAGGTTTGACTCACAGTTCAGCATAACTGGGGAGGCCTCAGGAAACTTACAATCATGGCAGAAGGGGAAGAAAACATGTCCTTCTTCACATGTTGGCAACAAGGAGAAGTGAAGAACAAAGTGGGGGCAAAGCCCCTTTTAAAACCTTTAGATCTCCTGACAACTCACTATCACGAGAACAGCATGGAAGTAACTGACCCCATGATTCAATTACCTACCACTGGGTCCTCCCATGACACGTGGGGATCATGGGAACTACAGTTTATGATGAGATTTGGGTGGGGACACAGCCAAACATATCACACAGTATCCTGGTATAACTCTACCACTGCATTTATCAAATGTAATTGTATGTTTACTTGCACGTCTCACTAAACTAAAATCAACTTTAAAATAAGCACTATTTATCAGATTCCTCAGCATCTAACACATAATGCATGTTTAAATTAACAAATAAGTGTTGGCCTGGTGCAGTGGCTCACACCTGTAATCCCAGGACTTTGGGAGGCCGAGGTGGGCGGACCATGAGGTCAGGAGTTCAAGACCAGCCTGTCCAATATGGTGAAACCCTGTCTGTACTAAAAATTCAAAAACTAGCCAGGTGTGGTGGCATGCGCCTGTAGTCCAAGCTACTCGGGAGGCTGAGACAGGAGAATCGCTTGAACCTGGGAGGTGGAGGTTGCAGTGAGCTGAGATCATGCCACTGCACTCCAGCCTGGGCAACAGAGCAAGACTCGTCCCAAACAAACAAACAAACAACAACAAAAAAAAATCACAAATAAGTGGATCAAGGGTGTTAGTTTTCTGAGGAAGGAAATTTACTTTCACTTACTCTTTATACCATGTTATCTTCACCATTGACCTGCTACCTTTTTCAAAACTCCACTGAATTTCTCTCTAGTTTCCTAATTAGTTAAGTGTTCAGATGAATTAATATTTACATTTTTCAATCAGACCTCACTGCCTGTCAATAAATGCTTTGTTTTCTGTTGTTTTTCAAATCCAGCAAAATATCTCTCTTCCCTGAGAAGGAAAGATGTTTGTACTTACAGTACCATGGGCAACAACTTTGTTATTTTGTTGCACAGCTTCCTTTACCTACATAAAGATCCTTTTAGAGCAAATAAAGGTCAAATTCATTTTCTCCTTGCTCTCACTGTGTCCTTCTAAGTATAGATTCAAGTCTATTAAAATAGATCTTCTGTTTTGTTGCTCTTGTGCTGTGATTCAAAATGTGCCAGCTATTAATTTCAAAAGCACTGGGAAAACACAAGAGACTTCCTAACTCTCCTTTTTGTCCCGGCAAGATTCTTATAAGTGAGCTTGCTTTGCACAGTGCAGGCCAACTGTCTTACTTGGAGTTGAATACTTCATTACAGAAAGATTCGAGTTCCCCAAAATGACACTGGGGTGGAAAATAATTTAAATGGAAAATCCCCGTAGCTATTTTAATGTAAGGGAGTGCCAAGTGTATGCCAAAAAAAAAGTGGGCTGCTGGCTAACAGATAACAAGTACAATATGTAAATAGGCAGAGAATAAAGGAATAGTTACTAAGACTTGAAATATCAGATTCAAGTAGTTTTTATCGCTTCTCTCTCAAAGACAAAATATCTACTCCCTATTATTGCCCTAGAAAATTAAGTAGTGTTTTGTATCTGTCCTTAGTTTTCATATGTGACCTATTGTCTAATTCTTCAACATTAATTCTGTAATCATTCAGCCCCTGTTCTATGCTAGATACCCTGCCATACATAGGCACACATATACAAAAATCACATTTTCTGCCAAGACCTTGATACAAGTCTTGGTTTTGATCTATAACAAGAGCATCGCTACCTCATTACGAGTAAGAAAAATATCATGGTAATGCCACAACCATTTCTAAAATGGTGGAAAGAAATATAAAAAGCACAAAAATAGGAAATAAGAAATAGGGCCTTAACAGTAACTTGCAATAAAAATAACCATGGGATTATAGGAATGCCTTGTTTTAGAGTGGTCATTGTAATAGTAAAAATGATAGTATCATGAAGGTAAAAGTAATGGTGGCAACAACAGAGGTAGTAAGTTCATACACATCCTAAGCAATTACAAGGTAACAAGTCTTGTGACTAGGGTTTTATGTAAATCAGCATATTTAATTTTTATAACAACACCATCAGACGTATGCTACTATTATCTCCATTTTACAGATGAAGGCGCAAAGTGGAAGAGAGGTTTGAGAAGTTTCCCATGGTTTCACAGCTAGCACCTAGTCAAATTGAGACTGAGAATCAGAGTCTGAGGTTTCCAAAGCCTATCTAAATGGTGTGTAGAGACAGGCAGACTGCTTACACTTAGTCTTTATGACTTGCTACTGAATAAACGGAAGCAACTTCAGGGCTTAGAAATGTTTTTTCTAGAAAGAGCCAGATAATACATATTTTAGGCTTTATGGACCATATGGGCTTTGTCACAAGCACTCATTTCTGCCATTGTAGAGTGAAACCAGCCATAGACAACAGAACAATTTTATTTCCCAAAACAGCCTGACCCTTGACTTACAAGGGTTATTTATTCTGAGCTTCAGATATTTTTGTCATTAAAATAACATGATTCTACATTTCTGGATTGTTGTAATTATTTTAAATATACATGTAAAGAATGTAGTGTGACAAATATTACATGCTCAATACATGATAACTTAAGCTTTCATTGATATTTTATTAATTTCTCTTCTTTTTAAGCTGCAAAATAATCTCTGTATTTTTGCCTTTCAATAAAAAGTTTATCGAAAAACAATGGAAATACCCTCTTTATGTATAAAGCCGAATGTGTGTATGTGAGTATGCATGTGTGCAAAATATGCTGCTATGGGGGGATAAATTAATTCAAATTTTTAGAAAACTTCTCATTCATATAATCTGCAGTTGCTAAAAATGCCAAAATCAGAAAAACACAGACTCTAATCTTACCAAGCTAAACCCTAGTAGGGAAAATGACTTGTGTATAAATACCTATCCAAAATTGTAGAATTTATTTTCTTGTAATACCACTGTAATAGTTACAAGTTGTATTATAAGAAGGGATTTTTTTTTTTGTCTGAGTCTCTTATTATTAGCTTGTGATCTCCTTAACGACTGGGATGGCCTACCTCAGAGTTCAGTATGGAAACTTACTCATAGCATTAAGTGTTTATGTGGAAATGAATAAACAATGTTAGAGAAAGTAGTAAGTCATGTAAGATGGTAAGACAAAAAGTCTCTGATTAGAATGATGCAAGAGAATGTAAATCATCCACCAAATTTTGTTAAATATATGTTCCATGTAGGAGGTGGTTTATAACACAGGTTAAGAACAAGGGAATTTGAGTGAATTTGGCTTGCAGAGCAGCGTTCTAAATATAACCTGGGCTAAACCATTTAAACTGTTTCTTACTTTCTTCTATCATAGAGAAAACTATATGCATTTCACAGAATTGCTGGAAGGGTTGATAAAAAATTATATATTTTTTAACTTTTTAATTTTTTAAAATATTTATTTATTTATTTATTTATTTATTTTGAGATAGAATCTTGCTTTGTCACCCAGGCTGGAGTAAAGTGGCACTGTCTCAGCTCACTGCAAACTCCACCTTTCAGGTTCAAGCGATTCTCCTCCCTCAGCCTCCCGAGTAGCTGGAACTACAGGTGCCCACCACCACGCCCAGCTAATTTTTGTATTTTTAGTATTTTTGTCTTTTTAGTACAGATAGTGTTTCACCATGTTCACCAGGCTGGTCTCAAAACTCCTGACCTCATGCAATCCACTTTGCCTCAGCCTCCCAAAGTGCTGGCATTACAGGCATGAGTCACCACACCTGGACAGAAAATTATATAATTTTTAAATTATTTTTTATTTGAATAGTTATAGTGGTCCAAGAGGTTTTTGGTTACATGAATTGCATAGCGAAGTCTGGGCTTTTGCCCAAATAGTGTGTATTATACCCAATAGGTGATTTTTTTCACCCCTCACCTCCTCCCTACATCCCCTCTTTTGGTTTTCCGTCTCTGAGTTACTTCATTTAGGATAACCGCCTCTAGTTCTATCCAAGTTGCTGCAAAAGACATGATTTCATTCTTTTTTATGGCTTAGTATTCCATGATGTATGTGTGTGTGTCTGTGTTTGTGTACATATGCATATGTATACATATATACACACCACATTTTCTTTATCTACTCATCAGTAGATGGGCATTTAGGTTGATTTCATGTCTTTGCAATTTTGAATTGTGCTGTGATAAACATAGGTGTGCAGGCGTCTTTTTGATATAATGACTTCTTTATAGATATCCTTTGGGTAGATATCCACTAGTGGTATTGCTGGATCGAATTGTAGATATACTTTTAGTTGGGAAATCTCCATGCTATTTTCCACAGAGGTAGTACTAGTTTATATTCCCACCAGCAGTTTATAAGCATTCCCAGTGTCTCTGGGAAAACAGGATAGCCACATGTAGAAGAATGAAACTGAATCCCTATCTCTAACCATATACAAAAATTACCTCGAGATGGATTAAAAACTTAAATCTAAGACCTTAAACCATAAAAATTCTAGAAGAAAACCTAGGAAAAACTCTTCTGGGTATTGACCTAGGCATAAATAATTATATCTAAAGAATGCATATACTGCCCAGCACACTGTGTAATAATGACTAGCATGATAATAATGCTGAAGATTTTGATAATAATGATGATTTTTAACAGTCAGAATAAGACTGGCTGAAAGAAACAATAAGTGTGGGTTAAACAACTATTGGTTTATTTTTCTCACATAAGAAAAATTCCAGAATACAGCTATTGCTGCCATTAATTCAACTGCTCTGCAATGTTGTCAGCGATGAACTAAATGTTTATGTTCCCCCAAAACTTATATGTTGAAATCCCAATTCCTAATCCCAGTGATGGTATTTGGAAATGGAGCCTTTGGGAGGTAACTCGGTTTAGATGACATCATGTGGGTGGAGCCCCTATGATGGGACTGATGTCCTCAAAAAAGGAAGAGGCCAGGTGCAGTGGCTCACACCTGCCATCCCAGCACCTTGGGAGGTCAAGGTGAGCAGATCTCTTGAGCCCTGGAGTTCAAGACCAGCCTGGGCAACATGGTGAAAACCCATTTCCACAAAAAATACAAAAATTAGCCAGGCGTGGTAGCGCACGCCTCTTGGTCCCAGCTACTTGGGAGCCTGAGGCTGGAGAATCACCTGAGCTCAGGAAGTCAGGACTTCAGTGAGCCGTGATTATGCCACTGCACTCCAGCCTGTGCGATGGGAGCGAGAGACCCTGTCTCAAAAAGGAAGGGGAAGGAGGAGGTGGAGGAGGAGGATCACTTCAGTCCAGGAGTATGAGGTGTTTGAGGAAGAAACACATGAGATCTGTAGGTGTGTGTGTACACACACCAAGGAAAGGCCCTGTGAGGAAATAATTAGGAAGAGGGCCCTCACCGAGAAACTAATTATTCTGGCATCCGGATCTCTGAAGTCTGTCTTTAGAATCATGAGAAATAAATGTTTCTGGTTTAAGCAACCCAATCTATGGTAATTTGTTATAGCAGCCCAATCTTTCTGGGACAGAGTCATAGGCTCTTTCTATCTGCCATATCTTAGCCTAGCACTACTCGATATGTGGTCCATGGGCAAGCAGCATCAGTATCATCAGAAGTGTGTCGGAAGTGTAAATTTATGGGTAAATTCACCCTAACCTACTGAATCAGAGCCCAGATTCCTAGTTGTTTTTCTTATGCATGTTAGAAGTTGAGAGCCATAGCTTTAGCCAAGTTTTCATCTTCATACTTGCTTCCTCATAGCAGCAAAATGGTGTCTGAAGTTTCAAATACCCTCCTTATGTAGAGAGCAAGTAGAACAAAGGAAGAATAACTATATGCAGTAGGTTTTGTTTTGCTTTGTTTTTCTGGTAATGTATGTAGGAAGGTGCCTCTGAAAAACAGAAAATAATGTGATGAGAAATCACCATTCAACCCAGCAATCTCATTACTGGATATATCCTCAAAGTTAAATAATTCTCTACCACAAAGACACTTGTACTGATATGTTTATTGCAGCACTATTTATTAATACAATAGCAAAGACATGGAATCAACCTAGATGCCCATCAGTGGTAGAATGGATAAAGAAAATATAGTACATACATTCCATTGAATATTACACAGCTACTTAAAAGAATGAAATCATGTCCTTTGCATCAACATGGGTGCGGCTGGAGGCCATTATCCTAAGCATATTAATGCAGAGACAGAAAACAAAACACTGCGTGTTCTCACTTACAAGGGTGAGCTAAACGTTGAGTACACAGGGACATAAAGATGGGAACAACAGACAGTGGAGACTCCAAAAGTGGGGAAAGTGGAGGAAGGCAAGGGCTGAAAAACTTTGTAGTAGGGTACTAAGTTCACTATCTGGGTGACAGGGTCAGTAGAAACCTATATGTCATTACCGTGCAATATATTATTGTAACAGAGTTTCACATGTACCCCCATGAATCTAAAAGAAAAAGAAAAGTAATGAGATGAAAATGGAAACTACTTCAAAGATAGTTGTTGGAGTGTGGATAGGGAAAAAAGGTGAGAGACTGTGATGAAATTCAAGTATCAATAAAAAAAAATTTTGCTCAGAGTAATAATGCCAGTGGCACAAATTATACCCCACTGCTAATAGTGGCCATGTATTCATTGTTATATGGATATTAATAGTGCCACCCTTGTAATCAATTAATGTAATAATAGTTTGGATGCTGATCATTAGAGGGTGGGGACAGCATCAGAATTGTATCTCTAGAAAATAAGCTTAACAGCATTTAAGAAACACTACTGTAAAACTATGTTCTCTTAGCTTGACCATAGAATGAGACTCTCCATGTGGGGTCAAACAGCTGATAGTTGCAGCTTTTTCCTGTGTCCCCAGTTTCATTTTCGCTTAAAAATATATTATTAATGACCACTGTCACCAAGAATATGCAAACAACTTTTTAATGTCACTTAGCATAGTTGAGACAAGATTTTTATTTTATTTTATTTTATCTTATTTTGAGACAGATTCTTACTCTGTAGCCCAGGCTGGAGTGCAGTGGTGTAATCACAGATCACTGAAGTCTTGACCTCCCCGACTCAAGCAATCCTCCAGCCTCAGCTTCCCCAATAGTTGGGACTACATGCACGAACCACCATGCCCAGCTAATTAAAAAAAAAAAAAAAAAATGGAGAGACAGGGCCTATGTGGCCTAGGCTGGTCTTGAACTTCTGGGCTCAAGCAGTCCTCCTTCCTTAGCCTTCCAAAGTGGTGAGATTACAGGCATGAGCCACTGTGCCCAGCCAAGAGACAAGACTTTTAAATAAGACTTAAAAACCTACTAAAGATTTAGAAGGACAGGGCCGGGCACGGTGGCTCACACCTGTAATCCCAGCACTTTGGGAGGATGAAGTGGGTGGATCATGAGGTCAGGAGTTCAAGACCAGCCTGACCAATATGGTGAAACCCTGTCTCTACTAAAAATACAAAAAAAAAAAAAAAAAAAAAATTAGCCAAGCCTTGTGGCAGGTGCCTCTAACCCCAGCTACTTGGTAGGCTGAGGCAGGAGAATCACTTGAATCCGGGAGGCGGAGGTGCCACTGCACTCGACCCTGGGTGACAGAGCGAGACTCCATCTCAAAAAAAAAAAAAAAAGAAAAAAAGTACAAAAATAAATAAAGAATATAAGTGTAACCATATGCTTTCTGGCTTATGTATTGCTAGCTTAGGAAAAGGTATGCTTTAGAGTTTCCTGCCCTGAATTTCCCTGAAGAAACTTCAGGACTCCTTGAAAGCCTGTTCTGTGTGGGAGAACAGAACAGAGTTTACCCTTAAAGGTGTCATGTGTGTGTGTCTTTTCTTCTTCCCTTGCATGTCTCCTGCACAGAACAAGGCCAAGAGATCCTTTTTCGACATGTTTTACCTCCAATTTTTGCTGTCACTCTGGCTGAAGTGCAGTGGCTTGATCATAGCTCACTGCAACCTCAAACTCCTGGCCTCAAGGGATCCTCCCTGCTTCCGCCTCCCGAATAACTGAGACTACAGGTGTGTGCGATTGTGCCTGGCTAAAGCTCACTTTCAGAATTCAAGTTTCCTCTCCTAGGGGCCACTTCATTACTGTATGATGGGTAATGAGAAAGTAAAAACTAACATCAAAAATTTTACTCAGAGTAATAATGCCAGTGGCACAAATTATACCCCACTGCTAATAGCGGCCATGTGTTCATTGTTATATGGATATTAATAGTGCCACCCTTGTCATAAATTAAATTCCCATACATGTGTGCATGTGTGATAAGAGATAAATTATCATGTAGTTTATAATCACGCTTTATTATAAACTATTTCAAATATATGAAAAAGTTCCATGCTTTAATGAATTTTAACATTTTGCCATTTTTACTCCAGGTATTACTAACAATTAAAACCACACCATAGCCCCTTTTGTATACTTTATCCATCTTATATCACCCTTCCTTTCAAACTAACTTGTTACATAACTCTCATTCCCATTAGATTATATCTAAATACACTCCCCTAGATTTGGCCCCAGGATGCCATCCACGGAAGTGGTGTCTCTCTCTAAGACCTGTTCAAAAGAGGTGAAGGTATCTCTTTCTGGCCCATGCTTATGTGAGTATTCAAATGTGTATTAGTTCGTTCAAAATGGATACTACTGTTTTGCTCATATGTAAATGTTAAATAAATGGCATAATTCGTTTCTATCATTCAGTGTATTCATTAGGGTAAAGTAGGCTGGTAAAAAAATAGACTCAGTATTTCAGTAGTTTAACAATTTGTTTATTTCAGACTTGCATAGTAGTCAAGAAAGGGTGTTCATCTCAGTTAGGATGGCTCTCCTCCATAGGGATTATTCACACACAGAGTGACAGTGGCCCTGCCATCTTCTGTATTTGTTTTCTATTGCTGCATAACAAACTAGCACACACTTACTGGCTTAAAATAACACCCATTTTTTAACTCAGAGATCTGGAGGTCCGAAGTGGAGATACAACGTGACTAAATTCTCTGCTCTTTGTTTTCCAATGAGAGAATCAAGGTGTTGGCCTGGCTGTGTTTCTTTCTGGAGGCTCTAGGGATTTTACTTCCAAGCTCATTCAGGAGGATGGCAGAATTCTCTTCCATGCTGAGGAACTGAGATTCCAGTATTTGCTGGCTGTCAGCCAGGTCTTTGTCAGCTCACAGAGGCCACCTTCATTTCTTGCCCCCTCCCTCTTCAAAGCCAGCAACTGATAATATCTCTCAGGTCAAATTCCTCTCAAACTTCAAATCTCCATTAAGAACCCAATTCTTTTTAAGGTTTCATCTGATTAGGTCAGACTGACCAAAGATAATCTTTCTGTCTTAAGGTCAACTGATGTAGTGCCCTAATTACATTGGTAAAAGCTCTTCACAGCAGCACCTATACTGACATTTGATTGAATCACTGGGTCAACACAAGGGGGCAGAAAATCATGTGGGGAATCATTGAATTATGCCTGTCATATTTTCAGTATATGGCTTTCAGAGTTGTCCTGGGTATTAGCCATCCTAGTCAAGGAAAAAAGTATAGAGGTATAGAGGATAATTCATAAGATTTATTTAGTAGGTCAAAATGGGAAGCAGCATATTGCATTGCTGTTTACATTCTACACAAAAATATATAGTCATGTGTTTTATCTAACGTCCAAAGAAGCTTGGATGTGCTTTCTGACATTGTATGCAAGAAGAAAAGTGATTTTGGTGGCTTGAGAGCAATCTCCGTATTCTTCATGAATTTTGAGGTTCTCTCATTCATTCTCTCTCTCAGCTTACTTTCCAGGTCTAGTGATTTTGTGGTAATGTCCACAAAATCACAAGACCCTCTGTCACTACTATTTACATGTAAATCTTGTATGTGACTCTGTGGGGAAAAATAAGTAGAAAGCAGCTTGTTTCAGGATCTATTCAGAGGCTCTTTGTCCTCTGCCTTTATTGGCAGAGATCTTTATATAAACTGCAGCCACAGGCAGTGGTTGACAGGGACCCCCACTCCATCCCCTGCTTTAAGCAGTTGGCCTGACTCAGGACCCCCACTTTGTGCCAGGTATTTTTGTTGTTCTTTTCTGGTAATTTCTCTAGGAGTCATACTCACAGCCTCAGCCCCCTTTCGCTATTTTTGGACTTTGATGTGACCAATACTATAGTTTATCTTCTGGTCACCACTTTCTTTCCATGTACTTTTTGGTCCATGAAGATATTTATCTTAATTTTAAATGTTCTCTTTTCATGTTTTAACTATCATCGGTTTATGCTGAAGAAGAGCTGAAGACTCAACAGTAAATTCACAAATGCCATCTTTACCAGACATATAGGAATAATGATTTTAACATGAGTCCTGTGGGTCTGATTCCATTGTGTATTATTTCTCCTGTATTTGTTTTATGTTCCTGTTTCCTTGGCATTCGTTGAACTACAGATACATAATTTCAATCTCTACCTCTGTTGTCATGTGGCATTCCCCTGTTTAAGTCTGTGTCTTTTATCTTTTTATGAAGACACCATTCTTATTGGATTACAGTCTACTCAAACTAGCAATGATCTAATCTTAACTTCATTACATCTGCAAAGGCTTTGTTTCCAAATAAGATCACGTTCACAGTTACCAGGAGCAAGAACTTCAACATGTCTTTTGGGAAACACAATTCTACTCACAGAACTCTTCATGTGTCTGTTCTTTTGATTGTGAATACCAGAAAATTTATTTGAAAGACTATTAAAATAATTTGAGACCTAGAATGATAGTAATTTCCTCCAGATCAGATTTAATTTGCTTATGAAAAATGACTAAGGATATAATCAATCAAGGATCAACATAATCCAATTTCAGTGTTTAAGACAAGTCAAAACTTGCCTTCAGTTGCTGTGAGGGCTTACTTCACACTTGTGATTCACCCTTGCTCTAAAATTTAACCATTTATAATACAAATCTAAGATGTAGGAGGTTCACTAGGCCTCCAACCCAAGCTTGGTGGATCCAGGGCTCCAATTTTTGTTTGTACATCTTGAGAAACCATCAAAAGTACTGTTCAGCTTCTTACGTTCTTCTCATTTCTTCTAGAGCCAAAAGTTAACCCTAGGGAAAAAGTAGCCATAAAATTCAGGAATTACATCTTTAAGTTTCTCTCTTCGATATTAATTTGTCACCACTTTTCTAATTATCTCATGTCTTCAAGCTATATTTTAAAAATATATTTTGTCTAATTTATTGCTAATTTTTTAGATGAAAGGAAGATTTGTTTAAATTGGTCAATCAATATTCATATATATTTTAATATTTAAATATTCATTATCACATATAGATAAATATTCATGATGTTACCTTGACATACTGTTCTTGTACATTTTACATGTTGAAAGTCCATCAGTTAGGTCAAGGAAAAATATATGTATTATCATAGTAGCAAAATATTGTCATAATTAATTAGGTTGATATATGGGTTTAATTTTATGAATAAAAATAATTACAAAAAACTCTCATATAGCTCAAAAATGGAGACATAATTTGACAGTTAATACAAAGACATAATTTATTACATAATATTAGAAAAACTTTATTATTTTGAACTAGAAGATGTTCATAAGGTATAATTAATAAGAAAAAGTAATGAAAATTTGTGTATATCTTAATCTCAGTCAGTAAATAATTTCTATATATTAGCCTTCATAAAATTAAATTATACATGTATATATATTTAATGACTTAATTAAGTTAAAGACATGAGTATTTTAAGAAAAGCCTTATTAGGGATTCGTAACATCTGGTGAGTATAAAATAAAAGCAAAATGTCAATGTTTATGTCCTTTGCTCACTTTTTAATAGGGTTGTTTGTTTTTGTCTTGTAAATTTGTTTAAGTTCCTTACAGATGCTGGATATTGGACCTTTGTCAGGTGCATAGTTTGCAAAAATTTTCTCCCATTCTATGGGTTGTCTGTTTACTCTGTTGATAATTTCTTTTGCTGTGCAGAAGCTCTTTAGTTTAATTAGACCCCGTATGTCAGTTTTTGCTTTTGTTGCAATTGCTTTTGGCATCTTCATCATGAAATCTTTGCCCATGCCTATGTTCTGAATGGTATTGCCTAGGTTTTCTTCTAGGGTTTTTATAGTTTGGGATTTGGTAGAAGAGTTGCTACCATGCCTATAAAAACTATTCCAAAAAACTAAGGAGGAAGGACAACCCAACTCATTCTATGAGGCTAGCATCATCCTGATACAAAAGAAAGAAAGAAAGAAAGAAAGAAAGAAAACTTCAGGCCAATATCCTTGATCAACACTGATGCAAAAATCCTTGACAAAATACTGGCAAACCAAATCCAGCAGCCCATGAAAAAGCTTATTCACAGTGATCAAGTAGGCTTCATCCCCAGGGTGCAAGGCTAGTTCAACATATGCAAATGAATAAGTGTGATTCATCACCTAAATAGAACTAAAGACAAAAATCACATGATTATCTCAATAGATGCAGAAAAGGCCTTCGATAAAATTCAACATATCTCCATGTTAAAAACTCTCAATAAACTGGGTATTGAAGGAAGATACCTCAAAATAATAAGAGCCATCTATGACAAACCCACAGCCAATATCAAACTGGAAGCATTCCTCTTGAATACCACTGTGAGACAAGGATGCCCTCTCTCACCACTCCTGTTCAACATAGTATTGGCGGTTCTATCAAGGGCAATCAGGCAGGAGAAATAAATAAAGGGCATTCAAATAAGAAAAGAGGAAGTCAACTATATCTTATATAAATACCTAATCTTATATTTTTGATTCAAATATATTAAAGAATAAAAATAGTATGAAATAAAACTATTGAAGAAAGTGATGTAACCTTAAAGAAAAGCATGAAAGCCAACATCTATTTAGAATCACAAATAGGCAGTACAATGATTTTAGAAGTAATCTAGTAGTTGACAGCAGAGCAATTATTGTTTTTGCACCATAATTTCAAACTTACAAAATTTCACCACTAAAATTTCAATATGAAAAGTTTAATAATATTTATATTTGCAGTAATATTTAAGATTTGTTTCTGTATTCTAAAAGTTAATTTTAAGATGGAAATATCAAGGTTCAGCTGACTATTAATTTTAACATTAAGCCATCCAGCATTTAGCTAAAATGCATATTCAGTTGCATGTCAAAATATGTAGTTGTATTTTTAAAACCAGTTTCGCTTTCCTTTCTTTTCCCTTTCACCTTCTGTTGTGCATTGTATGCATTGGTAGTCTTAACTTTAAATTTTAGTCTGTAGATTTTACAATATTGATTCAAGATTACAAAGGCCCAGAAAAGTGCAAGTCCAAAAATCTTGGACTTGATTTTTTTACACTAATTAATAAGAATCAGAATAGTCTATTTTTGAATATAAGAAAATGCATGCATGTGTGTACACATGTGTGCCTGAGTATAGATGAACACTTAGGGCCATATATTTCATATATTTCATCTCACTGCCCATTGATAGAAGCATAGTCCACAGGCCAGGTAATCAGATGCACAAACATAGGATTATCAACCCTAAAAAAGTAAAATAAATATTCAGGCACATTTGAGAAATTATTAATGGCAGCAGCATTCACATTAAGATTGAAATCACTAAAGAGATTTTAGAAATGGTAGGTGGTGGCAGCATAGCTTTGGATACCTTTAACTATCAATATAAAAACAAAGAGGACAACTAAATAGAAATACTAAAAACCTACTGACAACTTATTAAAAAAAAAATTTAAGTGACAAGTCAACCTCCTGAGCTCCAAAGCACAAGTGGTAAAGACAACCAACAGCCATTTTATGTGCATAGTAACCATCTCTGTTTTTAAGAGAGCACGGGGCTGCAATAGGACATCTAATGCACCAGAGAAGAGTGGAATCTCAAAACAGGCAATAAATACTCACTATATAAAATAAGTAATAGGAACTCACAATATAAAAATAAGTAATAGAAAAATATTAATGTCAAATGTTATAACAATTGTCATAAAAGAAAATAGACTACTGAACAAAAAAAACATTTTTATACATAACAAAACACACCAGAAATACTTGCTCAAAGGACAGATCAAAACAATAACTTTTTATATTGACAAATGTTAACAGACATTAAGAAATAGATAGGTATAAACAACATAATTCAGAGTTAGAAGAAAACTCATAAAGCAGATGACAGAACTCACAACATATGTACATACATATTATTTTAAAAATTATTCCAGATATTAATTTGTGATAGGCACCCTCCAAGATGGACTTCAATGACTTTTGTCTTCTAATATTTGTATTTTTCTTTAGTACTCCTTTACATTGACACAGAACTGATCAATAGGGTACTGTGGAAGAGACGACATGTGACTTATGAGGCTAGGCCATAAAAGGTGTTGCATTTTCCATTTAGCCTCTTTGATCTCTTGTTTTGGGAGAAGCTATCTTCTACCTGTTGAGCTCATTCTGTTTGTTAGTACTGTGGAAAGGCCAACACAGAGAGGAGCTGAGACCTCCTGCTAATCGTCTTCATCAGCTTGCCAGCCATATGCATTAGCTACCTTGAAAGTAAATCTTTCATCCTTCAATCAGTTCTTCAAATAACTGCAACCCCATAAGAGTCTCTGAGTCAAACTGCTCAGCCAAGCCATGCCAGAATTCTTGACTCAGAAAAAAATCGTGAGAAATAATTTTTATTGTTAGTTTAAGTCATTAAATTTTGTGACAACTTGTTATGCAGCAGTAGAGAACTAATACAAAGGCTAAATTGCAAGAAACCTAAAAGGGATAAACAAAATGATGTTGCCATAGAAAACATAGAAGGTGCAAAGGATGAAAAATTGAAAAATCAACAAAAAATTAAAAGATAAAAAGCTTCCAAAAATACAAAGTATAAGCAGAAAAGATTCAACTTATAGATGATAAGAGTCTCTGAAAATCAAAGAGAACAGAATATTAAATTATATTTCAAAAATATTTATTACATTAAAAAAGACTTGAGACTACATATCAAACTGGATACTATGTAACCCAGAATGACCAACGTCAAAATATAATATAGCAAAATAATGTAACTTTGAAGAAAAAGAATGATATATAAAACCTCCAAGGTAACTAAGCAAAAAAGTGACTTGTAAGGGAAACAAAATTATATCAAAACATTGTATGCCAGAAGAAAATGAAATAGCATGTTTCAGTTGTTACGAGTATTAAGAGATAGTAAGGAGAGAAAATATGAACCACAGATTTTATATCCAGCTCAACTGACTTTCAAGTGGGAAGGAATAAACTGCTAGTAACATGCAAGGACTCAGGGAAATTTATTCCCATGATCTTTTCTTGAGAAACTTACTAGAAAACATACTTTACTCTCTGGTTCTCAATCCACTCCCTTCTCTCAAGTGGTAATCACTACCTCAATTTTTTATTCCTTGTATTTATTTTACAATTTTTCATCCAGATGTGCATCTTCAAACCCTACAGTTTTTCTTCCATTATCAAAATACATATGTATATGTCTACTAAGTATCTTTTAATTTACAGGTTTCCTCTTCCTCCTTTTCTTGTCCTTAAAATGTATTATTTGAGGATGCGGATCCATTTGAACTATGTGCATGCATGCATGTGTGTGTGTGTGCACGCACACGTGTGTGTGTAATAGGCATTCATTTATGTTAAATTTTGGTTGATACAGCAGGAAAACTGTAATCAAATTACTTTATCAGTTTTGCTTTCCTCATCTGTATAATCAGCTAATAATACTTACCTCAGAAAGGTTTTGACAGAATAAAATTAGGTAATTAAGTACATTATATAGTGTGATGCACAACACTCAGTTCTCAATAAGTAATTGTTAAATTTTTTAAATTACTGACTTGTGAAAGAATGAACATAAAAAATGACATGCAGTTCTTCAAGTGTAGGTGATTGGGAAATTGATGAGGCTGTTGATTTCAAAGAGATGTCAATTTGTGGAGGGAAAAAAGAGAATTCAATTTTACTCATATGAATCCACATTTTGAAAAATATTTAATTGTCAATTATCCTAAGAATATTCTCAGGTAGAATGCAGACTGTAGTTCTTCTTCTCAGATGTCATCTATGTACTAGTGCTAGGATTTTGCACATCTCCAGTGCAAGTGCTCAGGTTCAGTCCTGTCTCCTGGTTCTTGCCACAAGGGGAATTAATTAAAGTGCTTTCTGTGGGTTCATTAACCCACTCATTAACCATGAAACTTTTTTGAGTATTTGCTGTCCCATAAATAGTCACACATAACAGGAGAGGAGTGGACCAGATAACAGAAATTCAGCTAATGGGTATTTTTTTGCCAGTGTCGATGACTATAGAAAGCCAATCAGGGCTTTCTCCCCCATCATACATTCCTACTTCACCATGCACGACTTAATCACCACATGGATATTCTCTCTGTCCATCTTTTAGGTGTGGCCATCTCTCTATATTCTTTTTAATACCTTTAGTATTGTCATTGTTATCTCCAACTGTTGCCTTCTGGAAGGCAGGAATTGTACATGGATTATCCATTACTAATTAACTGAATCTACTACTTACCACTTTGTATTTTGAAAACTTTGTATTACCAAGTGCTACCCAGCTTCTTCCATGGCATGCATTATCAATATAACAAATTACTGCTGAAAATCGTGTAATACTTTGCATTCCAACATAGATCATGAGTAAAATATGACTTTTAATAACTAGTAATTTGCCTACCTGTTCTTTGTCATTAATCACATACCTAGGCCCATTTCCATGTTTGGATCACTCTGAAATTCACCACATTTTGTTTTTGTTCACCATCTTGGAGTTTAAAATATAAAATCATCCTTTCTATTATCTTAATATCTCCTAAGCACTCACTGTATATCTTATTTATCTCCACACCACCTGATCCTTCTCTATCCCTTTCGCTCATCTAGTCAGCATACATAATATTCAAAAGATGTTTACCTAATTGAGTTGTTCTCTCTGTGCTAATACATTTTCCCATTTTAACCTATTATTTGCTCCCCATTTGACATAATGAAAAACAGAAGTCTATGATCAATGACTTTATTATTGGTCATAGTAAGAGTAAGGGACAAAGTCTGATCTACATTATAAGGCTCCAAGTCAGATTTCAGTGCTATTCTCATGACACCAGTCCATATGAATTGCTCAAGGTACACAGCTAGTTTGTAATGCATCTTTCGTTGTTGAAAAAAGATCTGGAAAAATACAGTTTTGTGATTCTACTCTCTCCTTGGGATACAGAGTCTTTCTCTTCTCCTTGAGATAAAATGGGGACTAGGATCAAGCCGAGAAAAGAGTTATTGAACCTAAGAGAGGACCATATTGATGTTCACTTTACTATTCTTTAATTTTTTGAGGTTTTAAAATTGAAAGAAGAGCAAATTATATATTAATATAATTTTTGGTTTTCACCTTATTTCAACCTAATTTCCTATATGGCATATGATTAAAAAGAAAAATCACAAATAAACTTAGAAAGGGTGGTATATTTAACAAATAATTGGGGAAATTAGTGGGTTTCAAAAATTAAATTAGCGCATTATTTTCCACTTTTCAGAAAAACAAAACCTAGAAAACTTTAATGTGAAACTATTCATAAATTACAATACTTCTTGTAAAGATAAATGTCATGGAGATTTTTCTAAGTATAAATATATAAATATATACTTAGAAAATATATATACAAGTAAATATATATATTACTTAGAAAATATACATCTAAGTAAATATATATATAAATATATGCTTAGAAAAATAAATTGATACATTTGACTTCATAAGAATTAGAAATCACATGTGTCAAGAGAGCATTTTATGTCTGTATCACATACCTTCAAGGTTTTTTTATCTTTGCAGACTTGGAATAGAAATCTTGATTCCCAAGTTAAAATACAGGATGTTGGATAGCACAGCTAACAAGGTTTCTACCACTTTTTATGTTGTACATTAGTATTTTACCAAATTGAGTCTTCACACCAATTGCCCGGAGTCATTCACGGGCTTGTGCTAAATATGGATATCTGGGACCCATGCCAGATCTACCAGCTCTTATTTGGATGTAAGTCTGAAATTTGTATTTTTGTCCAATAGCCTGAGTGATTTTTATGAATATCAAACTATCTAGGATAATAATGAGGACAGATTGGCTATTTAATAAATTATAATTGGGTTAATTGAACTAAAACTGTGAATCAAGTAAAGCACTCTCTTCAACATTTTTAATGGCTTCTCTTGGAATAAAGAAAAGCTTATACATTTATTGGCTTGACATGCAAGATACTGCATCAGACCAGGCATGGTGGCTCACACCTGTAATACCATCACTTTGCGAGGCTGAGGTGAGTGGATCACTTGAAGTCAGGAGTTCAAGACCAGCTGGCCAACATGTTGAAACCCCATCTCTACTAAAAATACAAAAATTAGCCGAATGTGGAGGTGCATATCTGTAGTCCCAGCTACTCAGGAGGCTGAGGCAGGAGAATCACTTGAACCCGGGAGGCAGAGGTTTCAGTGAGCCGAGATCGCGCCACTGCACTCCAGCCTGGGTGATAGAGCAAGACTCCATCTCAAAAAAAAAAAAAACATACTGCATCCACAGTCATCAGCTCTTTCAAATCTTTTGCCACTTGTCTCTGCCTGTGTGCTACATACAACTTCCCTATCCTTCACTTCCAACTAAGCATTTTAACCCTCAATGTCCTGACTATTTACATAGTATGTTTGGAACATTTTCCCCTTTTATTTCCTCCTATGTTTTCCTTCTCTATGCAATGTCTTTCTTCAGCATTAACACCCATCCTTCACCACAAGGTCTTTCCAAATCTCATCCAAAGAACAAAACTCTAAATATCAATTCATTCTCAGATCCTACTCTATGATCTCTTAGACTTTGTACCTTTACTAAAGCATGATCACAATTTGACTTGTAAGAATCACTCATATGTCATGAGTCTGTATGAATATGTATCTATAGCTGACCCTTGAACAACACAGGTTTGAACTGTGCATGTCTACTTATATGCAGATCTTCTTTGCCTCTACCACCCCTGAATTGGCAAGACCAACTTCTCCTCTTTCTCTTCCTCCTCAGCCTTGTCAATCTGATGATGAAAAGGTTGAAGATCTTCATGATGATCCACTTCTATTTAATGAATAGTAAATATATTTTCTCTACCTCATTTTTTAAATAGTATTTTATTTTCCCTAGCTTACTTTATTATAATATAGTATATAATATATATACAAAATATATGTTAATTGACTACTTATGTTATTCATAAGGTCAACAGTAAACTATTAGTATTTAAGTTGTGGGGGAGTCAAAAGTTATATGCAGATTTTTTACCATGAGGGGGGCCAATGCCCCAATACCGTGTTGTTGAAGGTTCAACTGCATATGAGTCCCTAAAATTCTAGTCTATGTATTTTAATCTCTAGCTTATCTAATGTGCTGTTTTAATTATCTCAGATGTTCAATATTTGCTTCTTGAGTTGACTATATTAAAAATGTCTGATTTTTTTTTTTTTACCTTTCACATATCATTCTACCAAACTTTCTTTTTCACTACAAAAATTTAGAGAATTTCTTAAGGGACACAATTTCTTTTAGTTTTTATAATAAGTAAATGATTAATTTGTGTCATGAATAGCAGTTACTGTGACATAACCATTACATCTACTATAAAATGCCAAGACCTTGGCTTTTACCCAGAATTAAATGGGCTGTCATTGAAGGCTTTGGGATAAAAGAATGACATGATTTGACGTGTGTTTTAGGAGGATACACTGGCTGTTCTGTTGAGGACAGGCTGAGGGGCAGCAAGGGCTGATGGGAGGAGACCAGTTAGGTAGCTAATGGAATAGTACAGCCTTAAGATGATGGTGACTTGCAACAGGGGTGTTGTAGTGAATGGTGTAAGAAGTGTACAGCTTTTGAATATATTCTGAAGCTAGAACCAACAGGATTTCCCAGTGGATTGGATATCACCTATGTGATAAACAGAGGAGTCAACTTACCGTTTTTTGAACTGGGCAATTGAAAGATGCCCTTGCCACCAACTGAGAAGGGAAAGACTGCAGGTGGCACAGGTTTGCATATGAGAGAGCATGTTTTCCAGAGTTTAGTTTTGACATGTTAAATACTATATTTAAGAAGGCAGTAGACTATATGGGCCTTGAGTTTTAAGAGAGAGGTCTCCCCTGGATATAAATTTGGAAGTCATGGGATAAAGAGGGAAAACTAGCAAGTGAGACTAAGACAAAGCAATTATGATTGATGTAGGATGAGATCTGGGAGAGTATGGCACCTGGAAGCTGATGTAAAAGAAGTGGTCCACCATGATAACTTCTGCTCTTGGGATATGCAAGATAAGTACAAGAGCTAATCAGTAGTTAGAAAATAATGTCTTAGGAAAGTCGCTGCAAACTGGTACTATAAATAAAAGCCCACTAGGAGCCTTTAAAATAAAATAGGAGCTGAAGAATTAGAGATAGTGAATAGGAACAACAATTTAAACATTTTTTTCTATACATAGGAGCAAAGAAATGAGGTGGTAGCTGGCAGGGAAATGAAATCAAGAGAAATTTTGTTTTAGTTTTATTTGGAGATTTGTTTTAAGGTGGGAGAGTCAGCAGCATGTTTATAAGAGAAATGTCTTTTTGTAGCAGAGAGAGATAATGTGAGATAAATGAAGAGTTCCTAAAGTCAAGTTTTTGAGATGTGGTGGGCTAGGTGCTGGTGCACAGGTGGTGAGACTGAATTTATGTAAGGACAAGTATTACTCATCTTGGATAACAGTCAGGAAGGTAGAGTTATGTGACCTCTGGAGAAAAGGTGAAATAGAATGGCAGAGAGTGACAGAGTCATGTGGAGACCTGAAAATAGTAAGGAACTTGGCTGAAGAGCCTGAGGCAGTTTTAAGAAAAATTTCCTAACTGTTACATGAACTGACATTAGGAGTTTAAATGTCAGAGTTCTCTAGAGTCTTCAATCTAAAAAACTCTAAAGCTCTTCACTCTAACAGCTTCCAGAATGTTTCTGCTACCTTCAAATCTGAATGATCAGCTCCATGCTCTACCTCCACTTGGGGTTTTAAAGGACATCTACGCTGTATCTTTCAAGAATCCAGACACAGAATCTGGAAACTCTGGAGGATGAGATGCTAGGCTCTCAGGTCTTTCCCTCAACATTAATTTGCAAGGTGGAAATAGGGGTAGAACCTTCATCCCTGAAGAACCAGTTGTGATATATGTAACAAGACGCACCATGAATTGGAGCAAACCTAGAAGACACAGCCCAGCTATAAATGGAGGGCAGCAGAACTCAGTTGCACTATTTAAGATCATGAATAATCCCAGAGTTCATAGCTCTCTCTGATAAAGTATTGGACAAAGATTCAGTTACAAATCAGATTTCATAACAAATGGATAAATGATAGAATGGATTCAGAAAGAGCAAAGAGTAAGCAATTTCTGTGAAGGCATGAGTTGGGATTCTGCCAGAAGGCAGGTTTTGACAAATAAGAAAGATGTTTCAGAGCTTCTGGGGGTATCATTTGAAGTTCTTTAAATTTACCAAGCTCAGCAGCATTAATTAAACTTAATTAAAATTAGCACATTAAAATTTAAATGCTTGCAGTTTGAAGGCCAATTTGGTTTTTTATAAAATTAAATTTCCCTGTACATAATGATCTTCAACTATAACTTACTCTGAAGAACTCATTTTCTGCAGTTACTGCCATGGTAAGTGCTACTGTGAAATAATGCCCATTCAGAATACCTGAATTTATATACATGGCATATTAAGAAATGCTTGACCAATTCAACTTTTTAAACAAAAAGAAATGGGAAATAAATAATAAATTTAGATCTAAAGACCAGAGTTGGAGTCATAGCTCTGAGATTTATTCAGGGTAAATTTGGGATGAGTAATTAAATTTTTCTGTCCCTTAGCTTCTTTATCTGCTGTAAAGATAAAAAGGGATAATAATTCCTGCCTTTACGTTGTTATTTTCCAGGATTTAATGAGATAAAGTATGTAAATCATCCAACCTTCTCTGGGAGGTTATAGATATTTAATAGATATTAGTTGAACCTGAATCTGAGAATGGCAGCATAGAAATACTTCAATGAAAAAGCTTAAAGTGTACTATTGTATAAGACATTGAGAAAAAACAAAGGAAAAAATTTCCCTAATTTTATGCATTTAAGTGTTTGAGCTTCTGGATAGTTGTATCCATTCCAGAACCTGACATTTTCTCAAGATTAGGTTAAACCCAAACTTCTGAATACTCTGCCAAAACTCCCCTTATCCAAAACCTCCAGTTATTAAAAAGTCACCATTAAGAGTTGTGGGTGCTTAAGCAGACATGGGATTTGGAGTGCAGCTTGTTTAGGAATGCAAGTGAAGAAGGCATGTGGAGGGAAGGAACAGCCAGTGTTTTATGGTTCCATGCTTAAATTTATCAGCAGGAAAACACTTTTCCTGGGTAGCTGAAATGCTTACTAAAAAATGGGATTGGCGATTGCAGTAGAAAAAGTTCAGTTTATCTTTCATGCCACAATATACAAAATCGTACCATATCTGATCAACTAACAACTCTGACTATATTATCTAAAATAAAACTTAAAGAGAGAGGGGAACATATTGAGAATATTGTTACTCCCAAATGATTACAGATCCACCCAACTGTTAAATCCAAGCGAGTAGTCCATTCTCTTGCTATTCTCATTCCTAGAAATATTGGCATGGGTTTTATAGACACAGCATTTTGCAGTGGACTTTGATGGATAAGAAAGAAAGCATTCGGAAAAGTGATCCCAGGGCTCTTTCTGGCTTTTCTCAACTATGTGTTCAAACCCTTAATGGTCAGATTTATTGTAGGGATTGAGAACTTCAAGCTGACATGGTAAAGTGTGAATACATTTCAGTTCGTGCATAATGACGTTGCATATAGTTTACGAGAAGGGTGAAGGATCTACTCCCTCTTGGCCAGAGCAAAGAATAGAAAGATTTGAGGGAGACAGATTTTTATTTGGACTTTGTATTCGTTCCCTAAGGCTTCTATACAAATTACCACCAACTGGGTGACTTAAAACAACACAAATGTATTTTCTCACAATTGTGGAGGTTAGAAGTCTGAAGTCAAGATGCTGGTGGGACTCCTCTGTGTGCACCAGGGGAGAATTCTCACTTGCCCCTTCCAGCTTCTGGTCACTGTAGCTGTTCCATGGCCTCTGGCAGTACAATTCATTTCTACCTCTGTCTTTACAAGCTTCTTCCTTTGTCTTTCTTCTCCTCTGTCTTTTCTGCTTCTGTCTTTTATAAGGACACATTTCATTGGATTTAGGGCCCATCCACTAATTCTAGGATTATCTCATCTCTAGATTTTTAACATAATTACATCTGCAAAGACACCATGTACTAGTCTGTTCTTACACTGCTATAACGAACTGCCCGAGACTGGGTAATTTAGAAAGGAAAGAAGTTTAATTGATTCACAGTTCTGCATGGGTGAAGAGGCCTCAGGAAACTTACAACCATGGTGGAAGGTGAAGGCGAAGCAAGACACCTTCTTCACAAGGCAGCAGGGGGTGATAAATGAATGCAGGAGGAAGTACCAAACACTTATGAAACCATCAGATCTCATGAGAACTCACTATCACAAGAACAACGTGGGGGAAACAGCACCCATGATTCAGTTACCTCTACCTCGTCTCTCCCTTTACACGTGGGGATCATGGAGATTATGGGGATTACAAATCAAGATGAAATTTGGGGTGGGAACACAGCCAAACCATATCACCCCATTTCTAAATAAGCTCACATTCACAGTACTGAGGATAAGGATTTGGACAGAACTCTATTGAGCCACTACTCAATCCACTATAGATTTAAAATTTTCTTTGGCTGAAATAAAACAGAAGTGAATTCAGTCACTGGTAAGAAGAACGAGACAGATTTATGTGTAGGTGCCTTAGAACTAAGATGCTTCAAAACTAACCACTCCTGACTCTACCCACATGGACAGTTGTTCAGCCAAAAAGCTCTTCCTGCACTCCCTTCAAATACAGCAAAAATCTCATAGCAGCTTATAAGCAGTCTTTGCCACCTATTTGTCCCTTTTCTTCTTTTCTCTAACATCCAATACAAAATAACACATCTTTCAAATTGATACACCCTTCCTGGCTTCCTTGTCTTCAAATTTGCATCGGTTGTGTATTCTCATCATTACATTAGTGACAGTGATATGCTTGTGGCCTAATTCAGGTGAAATAATGTTTCCCCAGATCACCACATAAATAGCCATCTATTTTGAAACAAAATGTTTTGTATAATATATCATATAATGCCTGGATGATAAAAGTTATCACCTAAGTTGAAATCAGAAGCAACTTATAAAAAGCATGGCTTTCTGAATGAAATGAAGAAAAGCAAAGTGCTTTGAAAAGACCATAGAACTGGTGTCAGGCATTTCTGGGTCCAAATCCATTTTTTTTCTACTTATTAGCTGAATAATTCTAGACAAAGTTCACCTTACTGGCCTATCTGATTTTTCATTTATAAAATGGATCCGTTAATACCTACTTCATAGTGTTCTGTGAGGGTTATAAAAATACAGTGTCTGGCATACAGCAGGTATGTATAGCAATAATTATCCTAAATAATTCTTTTGGCAAACTCTATATAATAACTGCTATGGAAATTAGCTTTCTTATCTGAAAATCTGAATTTAAGTTGCTCTCAAAAGTCAACAGAATTACTTTGTAAAACTTCCTTTCCTTCTTGTCATTCTTGTAGTTTTGACAATTTTGAGACACATGTACCAGAGAGAATGGCCACCTGTCATTTGTCATTGCTGGCTTTGCATTCTCAGGCCACCATCAAGGATGCTCTAGATGTGAGGATGTCTCATTATAATATGCTCAAGGTTTATTCCAGCTCTCTGATTCTAAATTATTCTGATTGCCCAAGGCAAGTGATCTGACCTCCTCAATGTCTCATACATACTGCCAGTGAAACAATCTTTCCACTAATAATATCTTCTTTTGGTTTTAGTATTGATCAGCATAAACCTCATAATTGTAATTTGTTTTATCCAGATAGATGTCACTTGATCTAATTAGTTTGGAAGGCTTTGATTAGTATCATTATTGATGCCTTAAAACAAATGAAAAAATATTTTGAATGACCAAGCACTTAGTGTCAATGAAGGAATTGGGCCAAAATTTAATAATATGGTTTACTTTGAAAATCATAAATTGTCAATTAGCTTATCTCTGTAGTTATAGGTTTTCCCTAATATCCTAAGCAGTCACAGGAGCTAGGCCACAGTTTGCCCTGGGAAGAGCCAGGATTGGAGATAGAATCAGTAGCAAGGCAGGCAGACCCTTGATTGAACATGAAGAGTGAAAACCAATGAATCAGGATAAAAGAGATTTGCTTGCCTAGGCAATCCACAAGTGGCTTAGCTCATGATATGACTTGCCATGGAAGGCCTTCTACACTGGAAAGAACATGAGATTATTAATTTGACGTGTCCATAGAATAGACCAGGTATCAAAAACGAAAAAGAGAAAAGTTTACTATTGGTAAGGGGAGGATATCTCGTCTAAGAAAAATAACTTTCTATTTGGAGACCCTAGAGATGGGCAACAAGAGGCAGCTTAGCCCATGGATGGCTCTGGATAGGTTATTGGGGGATACTGAGGTCACAGCAGGCAGGAACATAGATATGGGTATTTTGCACCAACCGAATACACCAAGAAAAATGGAGGATAGAGATGCATGGCAGTATTTTATACAGGTACGAATCTAGTTTTCAGGAAGTAATTCATTAAGTTGGGAATTCAGTGTAATATTCAAAATAATTCTGCCATTTATTTAGTTCTTACTGTACATCTTAGATGGAGGATGCAGAAGCCAGGATAATCCCTTCAGGCCAGAGAGGCTGAAAGCTGCTTCCATGTGCTCAAATATGAGTGAAATGTGAAATAAGCCTCTATCTATCTTGGTTACTGTTTTAGAGGGAGAAGGGAAGGGAGATATCAGGCATCTATAAAGGCACCTCATGTATTACATGCCTTTAAGAATACTTGTTGAAAAATAGCATCCCCTGAAATGTACTCAGAAATTTTCCTTAGTGATTTTTAATGTTAAAGAAAAAATAGATCTCAGGATGAAGGTGAGAAAAATAGCATCTAATCTCATAGAGTTAGGAACTGAACTTCAATCATTACAGACCAACAGCCTGTCTTCTAGATTTTGGTCATTTCCTACCTATAACAACAAATAACCAATGTCAGGTAGCCAGAGACATGTCTTCTTTACTCTCCTATAGCCACTTAAAACATCTTTTTCCCGCCTTTTTAATTATAGCTAGTTCTATACTGCCTTGCCCCACTTCTTAGAACTAAATGCCCAATGTCAGGTGAAAACTGGTTCAAGGATTAGTAGAAATATTCACCCAGTAGAAATACATACGATGATCCTTTTTTTGTGTGGGGACCAAGGATAGGACCAAAAATAACTTCTAAGATCTTCTAGGAAATATGTAAAGGAAAGTTACCATTTAGATTTGTTTGCCTTTCAGACTTTTTAAAATAACTTTAGTTCAAAGATGAGAGACAGTGAAGTTTTCAATGGGATAGACAAGACACTATCCAGAGAGGCTGGCAATGTCATAGACACCTATAGGCATGCAGTGACTTGTCTCTGAATAAGCCTGGAAAACAGAAGATTCTTGCTCCTGAAATAGCTATTTTTGCTACAGGGGCAAATTTTCCAAACTCTTTTGGCCTCCGTTTCCTAATCTATAAAAGAAGGCAGCTGAACTAGGTAATCTTTATGTTATTTGCCACAATGACACTCTGACACTCAATGAGTGGTTCTTACATGTGTGGTCCTCTCTCTGTTGCACTCTTCATTTTTATTTATTCAACTCTAATTTGAACGTGTTCTCCTCTCTTACTGTGGGAACTCTGTCTTTGGAAGGATGATTGTCTTATGTGAATCAATCTGAAGCTGATTTCTGCAGTGAGCATCTGTTGCCACAGGTAAGAATCTGTGATGAATCTCTGCCTCTCAGACATGTGTGAGTCTGTGTGTGCCAGGCAGGGGAGAGAGGAGGAGAATCACCTGGAAAGACTGAAATGCCCTTAGGAAAAATGGCTAATGCATGCTGGGCTTAAAACCTAGGTGATGGGTTGGTAGGTGCAGCAAACCACCATGGCACACATTTACCTATGTTAACAAACCTGCACATCCTTCACATGTACCCCGGAACTTAAAATAAAAATTAAAAATTAAAAAACAAGAGAAAAAAAGACGGAAATGGTTGAAAAATTATTAAATATCTCCCAGAATCACTCATAAATAGAAAAGCGAAGACACAGACTCAAATACTTGTCAACTGACCAAAGTGTGAAAAAGGAGAAAAAAGTCCTTGTCTCCATGTTCTTCGTCTCCCCCAGAACCAGCCTGTCAGCTGGAGAAGAGAATCGAGGGGAAGTTTGCGCAGGGTTTAGGCTGAGAGGGTGAAGAGAGGGTGCTAGATTCTGTAGTGGGGAAGACAAAGTGATTTTCAAGGGTCAATATTAACATTTAGATGACTAATACAGCTTTGTGTAACTTAGAATAAAAAAGTACTTGAGAAAATCAAGAGTTAAGTTTCAAATAAGCATTGTATGGGGCCTCAGAAAAACTATCAAGGCTGGAATAACTTTTGACTTCTACAAAATGGAAAAAAAAATAGCAGAAAACTTTCCTAAGTGCAGAAAACCTTCCTAAGTACAGCAAGTCTTAAATGATCTTAACAATAGTCAGTATGAATGACACTTTTTCAACCACTAAAAATATCTTTTTCGTGACTCCTTGTACCAGCCATTGCTTGGTGTTGGGAATAAAAATAAGCATACATAGATATGGTCTCTCTCCTCATGACCCTTCTAGTTTAATGAGGAAGACAGATATTGACAAAAATTTAATTTTACATTAAACTTGGATCAGTGCTAAAAATGGAAAAGACAGACTACTGTGAGATCAAGTTGTAGAGAAATGTAACCTAGTAAGCAATATTAGGGATTAATTTCTTAAAAAAATAATGATGAATCGAGACCCGAAGAGCAAATAGTAACTTGAGAGGAGAAGAGGAGCAATCAGTGCTCCATTCAGAAAAACAGCATAGGTTAAAGCTCTGTGGAGGAGGAATAAGGGGGATTGTAGAAGTTGAAGACTAATATACCTGAAATATAATGCAGCTGAAGTGGAGGCATATAGTAGGGGATGAGCAGGAGAGAAATATTACACAATTAGATTACAGAAGTAGGTGAGGGCAAAACATCACAGACTCTTGGGCCATGGTGAGGAACTTGGTCCTTGTCCTAAGACTTATAAGAAGTGTTTTTAACTGAAAGTGGAAGGAATAGGGAAGTTTTGTTTGTTTTGGTTTCTGTTTTGGTGACATGATCAGGTTTACTTTTAAGATAAAATATTTTATTAATAACATGAAATAAAACATATATATTTTTTAAAAATCTCCAGTGTGGAGAACAAAAAGAATATGTGAGAATTATTGTAGACATAGCAATTAGGAAGTAGAAGTGGTAGAAATAAAAAGAAATGCTGGAAAAATGAGAAAGACAACTGGGAGTGAGAATTGCATAACTAGATGTAATAAGGTACCACCCACTGTGACTTTTTTTTTTTTAAAGAGGGGGATACATGGAGAAAACAGTTGGTTCAGCATGGGGCACGCTAATCTTGATGGACTCCTGAAACATTAAAAAGTTTGTCCAAATAGGCTATTGGGAGCTCAGAAGAAATGTCTACCCCAAATATTGCGGTAAAAAAATCTTAGGGTGGTAATACGGTTTGGATGTTGGTTCCCTCCAAATCTCATGTTGAAAATATAATCCCCACTTTTGGAAGTGGGACCTGGTGGGAGGTGTTTGGATCATGGGAACAGATCTTTCATGAATGGCTTGGTGCTATTTTCGTGGTAATGAGTGAGTTTTCCTTCCATGAGTTCACAGGAAAAAGCTGGTTTTTTAAACAGCCTAGCACCTCCTCCCTCTCTCTGTTACTCATGCTTTTTCCATGTGAGTCACCTGATCCCCCTTCACCTTCTGCCATGATTGGAAGCTTCCTGAGGCTTCAGCAGAAGCAGATGTCAGCACCTTTCTTCCTGTACAGCCTGCAGAACTGTGGGTCAGCTAAATCTCTTTTCTTTATAAATTACCCAGCCTCGGGTGTTTCTTTATAGCATTGCAAGAATAGACTAATGCAGGTGGAGAATATCATCTACAAAGAGATCATTGAGTAAGGGGAAAGAGGGCATAGGAGTAAAGCTTGAGGAATTCCATTAATTACTACATAGATGAGGATGAGTCTGCGAAGAAGAATGATAATCAGCCAGAGAAGCAGAATAAAAATCATAATCATGAAGCATCATGGAAATCAAAGGAAAGAGTGTTTTAATAACACTGTCAGAGCTTCTGAAAGATCAAATAATTCAAGTCCTGAAAATTAATGGGGTTAAAGGAGATTAATAGTATGGAAATCACAGGTGGTAGAATGAGAATGGTTTTTAACGGAATGATGAGGGTAGGTATCAGGCTACACTGAATTAAGGATAAAATCACAGTTGAAGAATGGGTATAAAATATAATTATAATAATATACTGTAATAAGAATAAGGGAAATAATATACTGTAATAAGAATAAAGGGAAAATGAGAGAGATGGGGTGGCAATTGAAGATAAATATGAATTTCAGAGAGGGATTTTTATTTTTTATTTGCTTGATTTTTTAATTCTAGAGCTTTAAGGTTATTTATAAGCTGATGTAAAAATTAAGATTATAGAGAGTAATTAAATATACAAGAACATAATTGAAGGGATTTTGTGGCATTAAAAAATTAAGATGAAAGTTGATTATGAGCATAACATGAGATATAACCAGTAAATATCAAAAACAAACAAAACAGGAGCATGTGTTTTAATATAAGGGTGATAGTGGTAGGGACAGGAGGCAGGAAAATTCTGGGCAGAAGAGGGCGGATCCCTGGCAAGGGCTCCATCCTTAAGCTGACAAGCCTGAGACCATGGCCCAAAGTGAGAACTTATATCCTTGTTTTCCCACTTGAATGTTGCTTTTTCCAAAACCACCCATGGCCCCACCCAACCCCATCCTGTGCCTATAAGAACCCCAGACGCATCTGGCAGAGAGGAGAAGCAGCTAAACATTGAAGACTACGGTTGGATACTGGAGAGTAGCAGCTTTACTTCAGCGGGACAGCTTCATGGCATAACTTTGGATAAGAATCCAGTCAGAGATAGTTGGACTTTAGGGGAAGATTACCTTCCCGCCCCATCCCCTTTTCAGCTCCCTTTCCCACTGACAGCCACCTCCATCAGCAGTAAAATCCCCCACATTTACCATCCTTCAATTTGTTCACGTGACCTCATTCCTTCTGGATGCCCAACAAGAACTCAAGAGCCATGAGCGTGGATGTAAATGACGCTTTGCCCTCACTGGCAGAAGGCAGTCACCTCACATGAAAAGGAAGAGGGTCCACTGAGCTGTTAATGCCTAAGCCATCTGCAGATGGCAGAATGACAAGAGCACTGTAACACTGCTTCTGGGGCTTCAGGGAGTTGGAGACACCCCCTGCAAGATGCTGTCACAGGCCCAGCACAGAATTGGCTCCTGCTGGTGCCAAAAAGCACTCGCCCAAGCTCCTGCACCTGCTCACCTGCGTGCCCCCCCTTCTCATGAGGGATGGAACGTAATGAGTCCAAGTGAGAGGAGTTCACTCCTGCCAGTGCCAGCATGGCCAGCTCACTCCAGCACTTGTATGCCCCAGTACTCACCTCATTTGCTCACGTGCTACCTCCTGCAAGGAGTCGAGAGCTGTGGGCTCAGTAAACAGGGCATCCCCTTTATGAGTCCCATGAAGGGATCAGGGAAATGCCAGCTTCAATAGCCTCACTTGCTTTAGAACTGGACAGGTCATCAGTGGCCTGTGGGGTATGCAGAAAGTGTAGTGTAGTGTAGTGGTTAGGATACAGTCTCTGGACACAAACTGCTTAGTTTAAATCCCAGTTCTGCCACTTACTATGGGATTCAAACCAAATGTAACCTCTTCATGCCAGAATTATCTTTCCAGAAAAAGGGGAGTTATAATAGCATGTACTGTTCATGGTCATTTTGAGGCTTAAATATTACACACACATATATGTGTATATGCACATATATACATCTATACATACATATATATGCACATATATACATACATATATATATATATACTTTTTTAAAGTATCCAGTAATATGATAGTAAGCTCAATAAATAAGTGTTAGAAATTATGATATGAGTAACATTATTCTGAAATTTTCAGTAGGACAATTCTGTGTGACATAAACTAATGTTTATTTTGGTCTGTTTTTTTTTTTAACTAGGTTTTTCTTGCCTATATTTGGGAAATGGAGGCAGCTATGCATATCATCCACATTCCATATATTAATGCCTCACTTAAGAATTTTAAGTTCTGAAAGCCCACCAAGCACACTAAAACAATCCATTTCATTTATTCTGTGCATCTGTACAGATTGCTAGTTTATGCCAGGCATTATACTGATAAAATAAAAATGGATATGACACAGCCCCTTCCTTGAGTTGCAAAATAAGGGAGACATAGATATATTGGAAAAAAAATGGCAAAATTTAAGGAAGAAAAAAGATTCTGTGGGAACATGATGAGTTAAGGTCCCCCAGTGGAGAGATAGTGGCCATCTGCTGTAATTTCTTTGCTGGACAAGTCAGGTCTGCAGCATAGTACTGCAGCAAAGTTCTGGCTTACTTGGATGGGTAACAACTTGTTTGCATGCTGTGAAGCATGGATCCAACAGAGACCTGAAAGTGGCATCAAATGGTGAAGCCAGATAAACTAAAACCAGACCTCTCAGTCCTGACTGTGCATTAGAATTATTTGGAGAGCTTTTTAAAAGTATTCATGTTTCAGTCTTCCACCAGAATAATTAAACCAGAATTCCGGGGATGTGAGGTCAGACATCAGCATTTTTCTTTTTCTTTTCTTTTCTTTCTTTTTTTTTTTTTTTTGAGACAGATTCTCGCTCTGTAGCCCAGGCTGGAGTGCAGTGGTGCGATCTCAGCTCACTGCAACCTCTACCTCCCGGGTTCAAGTGATTCTCCTGCCCCAGCCTCCTGAGTAGCTGAGACTACAGGCATGTGCCACCATGCTTGGCTAATTTTTTGTATTTTCAGTAGAGACGAGGTTTCACCATGTTAACCAGGATGGCCTCTATCTCCTGACCTCGTGATCCGCCCACCTCGGCCTCCCAAAGTGCTGGGATTACAGGCATGAGCCACCGTGCCCAGCCCAGTATTTTTTAATACAGTTGGATTTAATGGGCAGCTTGAGTAGAAAACCACTTCTCTAAAGTGTCAAGTCAAAGGAGAAAGGCACAGGAGCAGAAAAAAAGCATACGCACACCATAGATCCTTGCTACCCAAAGTGTGTTCCATGAACCAACAGTGTCAGCATCATCTTGGAGCTCATAGAAATGCATAATCTCAAGGCTCACCCCACTACGTTCTACAGTTTCACAAGTTTCTCTATAATTCCTTTGCATGTTAAAATTTGAGAAGCTCTGCCATAGATTTTTGATAATTTCAATCACCTCCTATCTGTTCTCCCTGCTTCTACCCTTACTGTCTGGATTTTATATTGCTGAGCTTATATTGCTGAGGACTAAGTGTCTGTAATATCTGAGCTTACTTGAATTGCTATAAAAAGAATTGTCTAGATTCCCATTAAAGGAACAAAACCACATACTGCTGAGAACAGATATCACGAAGCAGTCAATGTTGAACCAGAAATCATGGGTGGAGAAACGGCCCTATAAATGCTGAACCTAAAAAGATTGGCACATTTCAGCAGCCTAAGACCAGGACTTTTTTTTAAATCACAGCAGCCATCTTAGCAATAGGGACATTTGTAACTAAAGTTCTATTCTCCTCTTCTGTCTCCAGGCCTTCTTATCAAGATAACAAATTGTAACCCATACTAGGACAATCAGAAATACATCTAATATTCTTTTGACTCATTATTTGATTGGTGCTAAAATCCGGTAATGTACTTGGGTGTGAAGGAAGATCTGCTGCAAAAGCATCACTTTAATTATTAGAGGACCTGATGCTGAAATGAAAAACCTCTTCAAGAATTGGGTTCCTGTCAACCAAATGGGAAAAGAGCTTGAAAATAACTGTCTTTGGAATTGGTGTTTTACACTGATTAAATTTTTCTAACTTTAAGACCATAGCAAATCCATAATTTATTGAGTAATAAACCTGAAGCCAAAAATAGCAGAAATTTCTATTTGTTCTAAACCATAGAATTCAGATACCCACCTATTTCTATCAAAAATTGGAGTAGAGAGTTCAGAAGATTCTAGAATGTATCAACCAAAAACAATATTTTAAGATACAATGTTTTCTTGTTATTTAGCTCTTAATCATCTACAAAATTTTAAAACATATTTTCCCACTTAATCCCTAAAATGACCCTATAGAAAATGAATTACTTATATCAAGTTTTTACTGCAAAAATAATTTAAGATTTGGAACACACCTGGGGTTAAACAAAATCACATAACAGTTTTGGTTAGATCCATATCCGTGCTAAATCTATATCAGAACCAAACCATTTGACACCAAATTTTCAAACCCACTCCATGCCATTAAATGATCTCTCTAATGCTTTCATTAATCACATTCTTGAGAACTGGGAATCTTTCTCTCATTTCTATTGCCCAAGCAGTTTGAAAAAAAGCACCAGAGGTTCTGATCAACTGGCTCCTATGTTTTGCCACTGGCAAAGAGTTCCCAACTTCATTCTCCCGATTCCCTTAAGAAGGGAAAAAGCAATGTCCTCAAAGCATAATCCCAATTCCATTAAAAGGAAATTGTACTTTGTTCGTTGCTTACTGACAGAGCCCCAGTGCCTTCTCAAATCAAATTGATTCCCAAACAAATCAGAGTAGCTTTTGTTTAAGCAATGAAAGCTGTGCAAAGAGAGAGAGAGTCTCTGTTGGTCCTGTGTTAGATTTCAAGCAATTAGTCAGTCACAGTCAGGATTTATGGTACTATTTTAGTCACCAGCTATAAATATAGAAGAGGTCTTGTTTTTCTTGTTGTTGTGATTGTTTGTTTGTTCTGATTTGAATTGAGCACTGATTAGCATAGAAAAATCAGCTCATAAAATGAATGCCAACATTTAAACAACAATTATGGAGATGCAATTAAAACTTAATGTTGGGAGATTTTTGTACCCTACAGGAGAACATCTGCCCAACAGCCAGGTGGGCACATGTGAATGGTGTAAAAGCAAGACAACCTGCTAACCTGATCTTCAGGAGAGTAATCTATACTGCGTGAAGGTCACACTAGAGGGTTGTTTTGTCCTGAAAGGAGAGATTGAGGCAAGGGCCAAATAATGTGGACATATTCTAATTCTGAATCCTTGAAAAGAATTAAAAGCCATCTCTGAGTATAAAAAGGGACAAATTAACATAATTATTCCATTTCCATCCAGTTAGAGAGCATCTGCACTGTATTTATATGTGGATTCTTTCCCCACCTCTGGCTAAATCTTGTCAACTCATGGGAGGTATTCAGTCCCTACCCTTGACCTGATGTTATCTTATTTTTCTTTTCTTTAATTTGTGTCCTTAATGATGTTAACTCATATTCTGTATCTTTACAAACTTCCCCACATTCTTTTTGGGATGGATAGAAAATCAAACAATCATCTTTCTTTTTGAAAAAAAAAGTTTTCTGACAGATTGGCTGTCTATCTCCTTTCTCTCTGTTCCCTAAATCTAAGACTTTGCTTATATTTGTGCTGGTAATAAATCATGTGGGGACCTAAAAGATCCCAACTCAATTCTGTTGAGAGAATTACCGTAGAGAAGACACTATCCACCCAGAATATGCCTCCTGCTTGAAACATCTGGGGGCAGAAACTTCATCTTCTATATTTACATATGCCCACCAACTAGCTCAGTGTTTAGTTCAATATAGCTCATTAGAATTTTTTAATTAAATTGAGGAAGTGCAGGCAAAATGATAAAATGTCTACTGCATGGTGCATGCTCAAATAACCTGTCCTCAGGAAAATTTATATGAAATAGTAACTTTTAGGTTGAGTTTCTAGGCATCTTGAAACTCTGATGTTAGTGTTAACCGAAACTGTGAGATATGAGACTATTACTAAGGCATTGATCTTTTTAATAAAAATTTTAGGCAGCAGCAAGGAGTAGGAAATATAATTTCTGATTGCATAGAAGTATTCCACACTGAGCTGGACAGAAATTCTGGCTCCTACACAGGAGAGTAATTAAATGCACAAGCTGACAGACTCAGGTTTGAAATTAAGTTCTACCATTTATTATTGTTGTTACTTTGGGCAAGTTATTGGAACCCTCCCAGATACACTTCCTTCACCTATAAATTGGAAGAAATAATAATACCTATACTATGGAGTTGTGCTGTAAGTGTTACAAAGGGAAGAGCTTAATGGAATGCTTGCACATGATAGTTCAATGCTTGCAATAAATAGTGGAATGCTTGCAATAAATATTAGTGGTGCTGGTTTTCTCCTCACTGAGTTTGCTCACAGGCTTAAGTCACTTCTTGGGTCAGCATGAGTTTATCCTGTAGGACATTCCTTGCCCACACTCTTTGGCACATCATTTTGTCTCTCTACTGCATTGTTCTCATTATCACATGAGTAGTCTGTAATAACTCTCATTTCTAAATCTCTCCTCTAGTACCCTATGACCCCCTCTAGCTACAGTTCTACTTCGCAGATGCCCTGTATAGTAAACTCCTGGACAGGATATGTGCCATCATGCTGTTCACTTCTGTACTTCCCTTTTTCTAGTAACCCACTTCCATTTGGCCTTCATCTCCATCACTCTGCAAAAGCCACATGTCAAGGTAACTAATATTACCCTCATCTTCTCAAATCCGTTGGTCAATGTTCAGTCCTCATCTTATTTGACCTCTTGGAAACATTTGACACAGTTGGTTATTTCTTCTTTCTTAAACCCTTTAGTCACTCGGTTTCTGGGAAATTCCTTTCTTTTGGTGTCTCTCCTTCCTCATTAGCTGCTTCTCAGTTTTACTTGCTAGGAACTCCTCCTCTTCCCTAAATGTAAACTTTATCAGACCCCAGTCCTTTCCCTCGTTTCTACATATACTCATTCACAAAATAATTTTACCTGATTTCATAGCTTTAAATACATTTTGTTTGCTGATTCCTTCTGCATTTGTATTGCTGTCATTGCCCTCTTCCCTGAGTTGCCACTAATCTATTCAAGTGGTTCAGTATCTCTACTTAGGTTTCCAATAGGTATCTCAACCTTACGTGTTGATTTTGCCCTGAAGCTTCACCCAAGTTTTTTCAGTAGATAGCATCACTCTTCATCCATTTGCTCGGGGAAAGGGAAAAAATAACTTAAAGTACAAACTCTTTATTGTGTTCTCCTTCTTTCTCAGGTATCATCTTATTGATTCAGCAGCACCCACATTGACCATCTTGCTGATCCTTAACTTATATAAAATAGTTCATCCCAGGGTCATTATCTTTGATAATCCTTCATCTTTGATGGTCCTTTTGCCTTCCTGAGATGACCTTTTTCTATATCTTCATGAGTTGTGCTCCTTCGATCATTCGAAATGTCACTTCTTCAGACAGGTCTTTCCTGAACACCTTATCAAATAGGGTTTTCATCATTTATTTCCCCTAATCATCTTACAATTTGTTGCATAGATTTATCTTTTTTAAAATTTTTGGTAATTATATGATTAGTGTATCCATTTGCTTCTTGAGCATCTCACTCACTGAACTGGAAATGCCAAAGCAAAAGGTGCTGCCTAGACACTCAAAGGAGGACACTACACCCAAAAGGCTCAAGCCAATGAACAAAGACATAAGAACTTGGAGGCGTCTCTCCTGCCTAAGACACTGAGCTCCCTCTTTTGTTTTTTGTTTTTTTTTTTTTTGGCTGCTTCCTTTGAACAAACAACTCAGGCATTGACTGTGAACGTAAAGCAACCCACACACTAACACACTATTCCCTTATATATATATACTGCTAGTTGCCTTGTTCCCTTTCTTTCTGCCCTACCCCACCTGCCCGCCTCCCTTCTCTCTCTCTTTCTCTCTCTCTGTCTCTTTCTGTCTGTCTTTATGTCTCTATGCCTCTTTATTTCTGCTTCACATGACTCAGGGATGGAGGACTGCTCTTTCCATTTGACTCGTTGCACCCTCCCTGTCCAAGGTCTGTAAGTAATAAACCCTTGAATGTATTTTATATAGTGTTGGTATTAATTTTGCACCTTCCATCAGAAGAACCAGGGGCTGCCTTAAGCCAGGTGTCCCCTTAAATGCTGGAGAGAACACAAGGTCAGGCTCCCAGTGCCAGACTGATAGGCAAGTACAAACTGGGCATGGGTCAGACAAGAGCCACAAGGATGTTTGCCAGTATAAAGAAGTTTCTATGTGAGGGGCCCCTGATCACAGGTGAGACAAGCAGGCATTAATGCCAGGTAGAAGGTGTATTCCATGAAAGGCACACTGTAAACGGCCACCTCTGTCTTCCTATCATTTCCCATTAGAGCAGGTTTTCTAGCTGCTCTGGTACTGGAACCCCAATTTAGTTGGGGGCTCTAAAAACACTCACCTACCAGAATTTAAGCTCAGATAGACTAAGATCTTTGTCCATTTCTTCACTGTGTCCCCAGCTCCCTGATTATAATAACTTTCCAAAAGTATTTGTTAAATGACTGAACAGACAGGACTTAAGAATCTCATTCATACTCAGGCTTTTGAAAGTCATTTACAAAATCATCATTCTCAGTAAACTATCACAAGAACAAAAAACCAAACACCACATATTCTCACTCATAGGTGGGAATTGAACAATGAGAACACATGGACACAGGAAGGGGAACATCACACTCTGGGGACTGTTGTGGGGTGGGGGGAGGGGGGAGGGATAGCATTAGGAGATATACCTAATGCTAAATGATGAGTTAATGGGTGCAGCACACCAGCATGGCACATGTATGCATATGTAACTAACCTGCACATTGTGCACATGTACCCTAAAACTTAAAGTATAATAATAATAAAATAAAATAAAATAAAGTCATTTACAGAAAATGTATATTCTATATACTTAAAACCTTGATATTTTCATTTGTATCCTCAAAGTTCTCAGACACTGAAACACCCCCTGAAAACAGAAGCGTAAAATTAGTAGCTCTGGCCCTGCCATTTACTATTTGAGTCCCGAAGAAAAAGTCACTTAAACTAGCAACTAAATTACTCAAGTTGTAAAATGGCAACAATGACACCTGCCATCACTAACCTAGAGAATTGTCAAATGAGGAAAGAAGCCATCATTGATCATGCACCTACTATATATCAGGCATTGTATGTCTCTCACACTTGTCTTTTCTGAATTATTACAATGACTTTGTAACTTATTTCATTGACTTCACCCAAGCAATCCATTAAAATGGCCTTGGAATAATTATAAAAATATAAACCTTATCTTATCACTTCTAATGACCAGGACGCTTTCCTGTAGCTCTCCATTGAGTAGGTAATGAAGCCAAAATTCCTTTCAGTTGCAAAGACAACCTTTATGTTCTGGCTTCTGCCTCATTCTCCTTAATTTCCTCCAGCTCAGCTTGTATCACCTGAAGTTCTCAAAATATCACCCACTTGCTGGTCCCCAAATAAAACAAGCTGTTTCTCTCTATTTAATTCTGTATTTTCTGTGTCTTCTGCTTGGATTTCCTCTCCATCCTTTGTCTACATGTCAAACTCCCAGATACAGGTAATCACTTGCATGAAGTCTACACTAGAACATCCCCAAACCTCCATGAGAGTTAATCACCTTATATTATTTCTATATCTTTTATATGCAATCATAATCCTTAATACATTGTACTGTTTTTTGATTGCCATATATTCTACAAGTTACTTGAGGGCTATAACCAAGTCATCTTTATATCTTCAGATAGTAAGCACACAGTAAATGCTCTATAAAAGTTTGTTAGAAGAATTAATTTCCTCATATAATCTTATAACTTTATTCTATCAGGTTGGTGTTACTATTCCCATGTTCATCAAAGAACGTTATACAAATGTGTCATTAATATTGTCTAATTTTATAAATATGTAAGATTAATTTAGACTTTATGTATATCTAAGTGTGAGCCTTTGTAATTTTTTTATATACAGTAGTATTCAGTGATTTGCCCTTGGGTCAAAATAGTACTCAGTGGGTTTTCCAAACCATGCATATCAGCTTTATGCAATTATAAAAGTGCTAGAAGTGCTTCCCAAATACTAATGATACTAAAATATTAAAATATTCTAGAATAATATTAAAATATTCTCACTTTGCCTCCCCATTTCTTCCATAGTCTTTTCTAAAGACTGTCTGGAGCCTTTTGAAATCACTAGGTCCCACGTCCATTTATTGACACTAATTAAGACAAAGAATGAAGCTAATTGATTGGGAGAAGCCAGGGCTGCATTTATTTACACAAGAAAGGCAGTGTAGAAAGAGTGGACAGAGTTTGATGAGTGCTAGCAGACATGAGGAGCAATGAGAGAGATGGGAACAGGATTTGGAATAAGTGACTCTCGAGAAGACAAGTGGGAACGGAAATACTTGAAGAGTATTTGGGGGAAATTTTCCTGTGTTTTATGTCACAAAGTATTTTATGCTGCTTCTCCAAAGGACACAAAATTGCATTTTATTTCAAGGCTCTAGGAATCAACATAGTAACTTTTAAAACACTAGACCACAGAGAAACAGACCTGAAAAAGTAGGAACAGAAGGCCCAGAATTACTTGCTTTATATTGGAAACAGTGAGCCACATGATTTCTCCACTATCAGGCTGTGTGTGTGTGTGTGTGTGTATACACATTTATATATAATGTAATATGTACTTATATTTAATTATAAATAAATATAATATACATATTATATTTATTTATTTTATTTTAACAAGAAAAGTCCAGTATAGATACATTAAACTCACAGAACTATATATACTGAAAATGACTATAAAATGCTCTGGTCCAAATATATCACAGCCTATCATTTCTTGCTAATAGCTCTTATTTATTCATTTGACCTATATTTATTAAAAATTTAAATCTGCAAGAACCCATGTAGGATAGTGAAAAATCTCCTCCTTCACCCCTCACCCCAAAAACTCACACCAGTATGCATGCACACACACACACACACACACACACACACACACTCCCACACATTCCCACTCACACACATATCCAAACACAGGCTTAAGAAGAAAGACAGTGATGAACAAGTTTTAGAATGAAAATTAGATTCTGGAGAAGTGAGTGTTGAAAATTCATATGAAAGAACTGAGAACCTAATATAGGGGAGAGAAAATTTTGGGGGCAAACCCAAGTATGCAGAATGGGAATCAAGGTCTGATATGTGATCTGATGGAAGGCCTGACACAGGAATAACATGGGGAAGAAGAAGAAGGAAGAAAGAAAGAGGAAGACGAAAGAGGAAGATGGAAGATGAAAGAGGAAGAGGAAGAAGAAGAAGAGGATGGGCAGGAGGAGGAGGAGGAGATGGGGAAGGAGGAAAGAGAAAGAGAAAGAAGAGCTGAAGTGGGCGAATCATGAGGTCAGGAGATCGAGACCATCCTGGCCAACATAATGAAACCCCGTCTCACTAAAATACAGAAAATTCGCTGGTGTGGTTGCGCACACCTGTAGTCCCAGCTACTGAGGAGGCTGAGGCAGAGGAATCACTTGAACCCGAGAGGTGGAGGTTGCAGTGAACTGAGATTGCACCACTGCACTCCAACCTGGGTGACAGAGCGAGACTCCATCTCAAAAAAAAAAAAAAAAAAGAAAGACTAAGAAGAGGAAGAAGAAAAGAAGAGGAGGAGGAGGAGGAGAAAGGGAAAACGTACTGGGAACAAGTACTTGGTGGAGGAAAAGGGGGATACTGAACGACTGACTGCCTCAATGCTCAATGACGCAGCAGGAATACAACTATTGGGTGAGTTTGGCTGGTTATGAGCAGAGAGTCAACCCAAATACATGGCTGTTTAATATGGAAAAAGAGTCCTCAGAATATTATATTCTAAATTGGAAGATAAAGCAGATTATAATGATAATCATTATGCTTTGTAGCTATTACATGTTTATTTATTGTTGCTTCTCAGGAATTTTATCAGATACTTCAGTATGAATTGTCCCACTCAAACTTTACAACAACACTGTGAATAGTTAATATTATTTTGCCCATTTTCACGTGGGGGAACTTCAGAGATGATAAATAAGTTATTCAAGTCATTCATGTAGTAGATGAGAATCTAGGGAAAAAAAACTATAATACACGAGCTCCCATTCAAAAACAGCATGAGGTAACCACTACCAAGTACTGTAAAGAAAAAAACAAAATGTGGGCAGAGATACTATTATAATCAGAGGTATCCTGAGATCATTTAGCAGGCTGACATTGATTTGGGCTATGAAAAATGAACAGTAACAATCATTCTCACTTCAGTTAATATAAACATTATTATTCTGATTAGTAGCTCTGGACAATTAATTAGAAATTATTTTTGATAATACACTATCTTCCATACCCCACATCTATTCTGTCAACCCATATTACCAGCTTTATTTTTGAAATATACTCAGATATACCAATTTGCTGCTATAATGGAGGATTGTGTAGCAGACTGAGGCTCTCATCAAAATAAACTAGAAAGTTGAGATAAAAATTACAAACAAATCAACACACACACACACACACAGAGCTGAATGTGATAAGGACATGCCAAGGTAATAAGGACTTGAGAAGTTAAGATTTTTGAAGGAGGAAAGTCACACAGAGGTGGGCTAACAGTCTGCATACTAATTTTCTTCTTGGGATATTTGCCTATTTGTGGCCATATCAATGTCCTTCTTAAATAGAGAAGTCAGCAGAATTTTTAGCTATAAGATAGGGATGTGAAGATGGGAATTGGAGTCTGGATTTTCAAAGACAGCCAGGACCTGATGGGCTAGTACCCTAGACAGAAAAAAAAAAAAAAAAAAAGGACTAAGGAAAAAAGGCTAACAGTTCTTTTCCACTTAACCTATTTACCTATTTCTTAAGCTATTTAGGGATAAAAGTTAAGAAGTTAAGCAGAAAGCTGCTTAAAAGTAAAGCAAAATTTTAAGCAACCTCAAAGAGCTTAGCAGAGACAAATGAGGTATTAGACCTTCCAAGAAATAAGAGCCCTTAAAAATACCAGAGGCCATCATTTTAGGGTCCTAGAGAGACACATCCTAGGCAGGAGCAAACTATAGATAGATAGGGTTTTATTTTTTTTTTTTTCAGTCAAAAATGAATAGCATACCAAAGAAGAGGAAAAAAAGAAAAAAACACACATTAGAAACAGACCTATGGATGGAATTATCAGAGATTTTAAAATTGTGATTAATATCAACAATAAAATAGATGACAAGAAGTAGTATTACACAGAGAACTGGGCTCTATAAATATAATCAAATTGAAACTCTCAAAATAAAAAATAAATTAACTAGAATTAATTAAGAATTGAATGGATGGATTTTACTACAGATTGAATATAGTGAAAGAGACATTTAGTGAAGTAAGAGATAGATCAGAAGGAAATATTCATGCTGAAGAACAGGGACCAAACAGAATAGAAAATACCAAAAAGAGAGTATAATAAGTTTATGAAACAGAGCAGTTCCAGAATGGGATGAGATAGCAAATGCATTATATTTAAATGCATTATATTTAAATGCATTATATTTAAATATAATGACCAAAAGTCTTCAAAAACTGATGAGAAGACATTAATATATTGAATACAAGGGTAGCTATAAGTAACAAGCAAGATAAATACAAATAAGTAATTCCTAGTTATAACAGAGTAAAAATACTAAGATATAAAGACCAAATTAATAAAAGCAAACCACATAAAATAAAAGATATAATACTTTAAAGGATCAATAGTAAGATTTACCACTGATTTCTCACAGAAACATGTAAGCCAGGACAGAACAAAATGACAGACTTTAAATATTTAAAATATGACTGTCAGTTTATCCTATAATCAGTAAAAATGTCCTTCAAAAGTAATAGTGAAATAAAGACATTTCCAGAAAAACAGAAACTGAGATAATTTGTAGCCACTATACTCACTCTAAGAGAAATACTAAGGGGAGTATATTCAAGCATAAGAAGAAATACTAAAGCGGTAAGAAAATTAAGCCCAGATGGAAATATGAACATGAAGCGTGGATTACAGAATGATAGAAAGGGTTAATATCTAAGTAAATCCAGACAGATATTACCATCTTAAAGAATAACACTACAAATATTTGTAGAATTAAAATGCATGACGACAATAACAAAAAGGCAAAAGGAAGGTAGAAAGAGTTAAAGTGCTCTAAGGTCCTAGAAAATTTATTCACTTGTATTAAATTATAATAAGTCAAAAGTGATTGCTGTAACATCTCAGAGAAGCACAAATTAATAGTAAATTATTTAGTATAAATAGCAGTGAGATGTATAAATAACAAGAAGAAATAAAGCAATAAAATATTTCATCCAAGAAAAGCCAGGAGATGAGATAAAATGAAACATTATACATGTAAGAAAAATTTTAAAAAATAGTAAGAGAGTAAACATAAAGCCAAATATATTAGCACTTATGTTGAAAGTAAATGTCTCACCAAGTGGCAATGACCAAAAAAAAGTGGAAAATAATAGTGGGGGGTGAGAATGTGAAAAAACTGGAATACTCATACACTACTGGTGAGAATGTAAAACCGTGCAGCTGTTGTAGAAAAACTGTTTGGCAGTTCCTCAAAAAGTTAAACAGAATTACCATCATCCAGCAAGTTCACTCCTAGGTATACACACCAAATAATTGAAAACAGGTATTCAAACAAATACTTGTACATCAATGTTCATAGCAGCACTACTCAGAACGGCCAAAAGGCAACCCAATTCACAACAGCCAAAACAATACAAATGTCTATCAGCTAATGAGTGGATACTGTGGTATATCTATACAGTGGAATATTATTAAGACATAAAAAGGAATGGAGTACTGACACATGCCACATTATAGATGAATCTTGATAATGTGATGTGAAGCAAAAATGTCCGAGACAAAAGGTCATGTATTATTTCATTTATATAAAATATCCAGAATTGATAAATTCATAAATATATAAAGAAGATTTCGTGGTTGCCAGTGTTTCTGGGGATAGAAAAATGGGGAACAAGTGCTTAATGCTTATGGGGTTTTCTCTGAGGGTGACGAAAATGGAGACTAAATTGTAGTGACAGCTGTACAACTTTGTGAATGTATTAAATGCATTTAATTGTACACTTTAAAATGGTAAATTTTATGTTGTGAATCTCACTCAATAAAATATTTAAGTACACACTTATTTCAATTAAGAGAAAAAGATTTTCAGACTAGATAGTAAAACCCAAGTATATGCAGCCTATAATAAACATAATTTAAAAGTCACAATATAGAATGGCTGGAAGTAAAACAATGGAAAAGTGATTCCATCAAGTCACTAACAGAAATAAATCCTCAATGGCTTTACTAATATATCAGACAATATATATTTAAGAAAAAAAGCATAGCAAAGGCATTTCTTAATGATAAAATAATTATTTGGAAAATAGAACAATTCTACATTTGTATGTACTAATAACATGCTTTCAAAAAATATAATATAAACATTGAGTTCACTAAAAGGAGATACAGGCAAGTCCATAACCAGAGAGGGCCCCTAGATTTATTGGGGTTTATTGATGAACCACCCAGACTCTCTTTACCAGGTTGTTAAACGCATTCTCTAGCTACTATGCATGCTGGCTGTTCTATGTGCCCCTTCTATAGAGTGTCGTTAGCCCAAAGGATGGTTAGTTACCTGGGAAACTAGACTCCCAACCCCTGCAGCAGCCCACACCCAGTGGGCTGGTGTTTTGCCTCAAAGTAGTGCCTACTTTGTGTTGCAATTCATGCTCTTGATCTCCTCATGGGATCAGGCAGAAGGCAGTCTCCTGCTTATATCACGCCCTTGCTTGGCTTCTTGCACTTACCATACACCACTTCCCTCATTCTCAACACATCACCTTCCCAAGAATCCCCATCTCAGACTTGGGATCTAGGGAATCTAACTGAAGACAGAGTTTACAGGCTTTTGTCAGTAACTGATAGGAGACCTGGATAAAAGAATAACAATATTTGAAAGACATAGAAAATACAAATAACAAAATTGACTTAATTGACGTTTGTACAAGAGTGTACCCCACAATAAGAGGATACATTATCTTCAAGCATACATGGAGTATTTATCAAAATTAACATATAATAAGTCAAAAAGTAAACGTCAAAGAAATTTAAAGTATTGAAATTATTAAAACTATATGTTCTGATCACATCAAAATTAAGCTAAAATGAAAAATAACTAGAAAGTATTCAAGTTTTAGTAACTTGAGCAATGCATGTCTAAATAACTCCAAGGTCAAAGAAAATATCACAATGTAATTTTGAAAGTGCTTTAAACTAAATGATAGTGAAAATACACCATACAACATTTGCAGGATGAAATTTAGAGTGCCTATAGAAGAAAATGTCAAAACTTAAATGCATATCTTAGAAAAAATGAAAATTGGTGACTTAACTATCCAGAAGTTAAGAAAAAACTCTGAGAAAATATAACCCATACAAAGTAGAGGAAAGTAAGAATAACAGAAATAATGTAAGAAAAAAATGTTGAATAAAGAAAATCAACAAAGTTAAAAGCTGTTGCTATGAATGGATGAATAAATGTGAAAATCTCCTGCCAAAACTAATGAAAAAAATAAAACAGAAATTATTAAATCAAGAATGGAAAAGAAGGTATCATGTAGATTTTATGGACACCACTTTACACCAATGAAGTTAACAATTTAGATAAACTAGAGAAACAAAATTTTGTATTACTGAAAAATTGAGAAATAGAAAATATAAACAATCTTATATTTATTAAAGCAATTGAGATTGTAATTAAAAACCCTCTCATCCTGTAATAATTAGACCTAGAGAAACTGTCTGGTGAATTATCTGGTGGCCTCTAATAGGCCAAATAATTTATTACACAAACCAGGATACATTGGGGCATGAAAAAGAGACTATTATTATTGTTATTATTATCTTATAAGGCAGGGTCTTATTCTGTCAACCAAGCTGGAATGCAGAGGTTTGATCATTGCTCACTGCAGTAATGACCTCCCGGGCTCAAGGGGTCTTTTGGCCTCAGCCTCCAGAGTAGCTGGGATTACAGGCATGTGTCACTACACCAGGATAAAAAGGTGCTATTAATTTGTTTGGAAAATAGACATAAACCAGGACTGTTGCAAATAACGGGCTTTTGGCTACCACACACGAAAGGCCCTACGTAACCTTGTCCTGCTTTTCCTTATGCACTGCACTTCAGCCTGTTTGGCCTCCCCAGTGACCCTGGAGCACCCCAAGCATGCTTCTGCCTGGGAGCATTTGCATTGGTATTGCCTCTGCCGTTAATAGCATTTCTGTTAGATATCTTGGTGACTTGCTCTTTGCTTCTTTCAAGTTTCCTGTTAAATGATACCTTATCAGAGTTGCCTTCCCTGACTACACACTCCAACCCATCTCATTCTCTATCACCTAAACTTTCTTTATTTTTCTTATTGCATCTATTTGCTGAAGTAGGTTTGAGATCATAACCCAAGTTTCGATTTACAAAGCACGAACAGCTAACCAGAAAGGGGATGTTGGTACTGGCATAATGAGAACTTTGAAAGCTTCAAAATGGTTTGCATACAATTTAGTCAAAACTGTGGTGCCTCTGATAATTTTTGACCAGGCAAATGAAATGATGGAAGTGTGCTTTAGGAGGATTAACAAGGTAAACCTGTGTCAGTGGAGCCCTGGGCTCTAAGTAGCTACACCAGTCCCTCAAAAATGGAGTTCTGGAATTGTACTCCTACTGCCACACACTTGATTTCAAATATGGTTTATGCCTTTTCAGTTCTCCTGCCTTCTGGTTAGAGAATCTGGATATTAACATTGGTCTCAATATGCCTGAGTCCACCACATCCAATAGTAGTAACTCATAAAGGGCCATAGTATCCATAGGACCCCTTCCAATGAAGCCAGCCCTCTACAGCTGGGCAGATACTCCAATACAGTTTCTACTGTTACACCTTCCTCTCCTCTTCCATATTCAACAATATGGTGGTCCCAGAGTGCCTTGCCACTGAACCAGCTTGAATTAAACCAGAAGTAACAGAGCTTGACAAAATTTTGAAATGAAAGAACAGGGAAAAGGGGGAATCATGACGAATACCAAATTTTCAATCCTGAGTAATGGGAAGCATAATCATTCACTTGCATGAGTGGAAGAACAAGAGAAAAACTGATTATTTCAGTTTAAAGCATATTGATTTTGAGGACATGGCAGAATCTTCAGGACAAATATCTAGAAGATACCTAGGAATGTGGGGTTCAAAACTAGGAAGTAAGTCTGTATGTGGGACTCAGATTTGGAGATCATTGTATCAATGTGATATTTGAAGCTGAGAAAGCAATGGAGATAAGCAGAAAGGAAAAGTAGGAGGGAGTAAGCCATTTTTTTGTGAGATATGAGGGTGAATTTAATCAGGATGATGAGGAAAAGAAGTAAGAGATGAAGTGTACTAACTTAAAAAAATCTATATATTTTTAAAGGAGAAGAAGACTTCATTTCTTATAAGGCATTACTGCCTGCAAGGTGACTATCCTGCAGACTTGAAAGTATGTCTCTGGCCAAGACCAGAGACAGGTACTTTGAAGTAGGAGGGGATGGGGTAGGAACTTTATGTTAAGTGGGTTGGCTAAACATACATATTCAACAGGTTATAGGAGGAGCTATAAATATTCATTAAGGTGGTCCTAACACATGCATATAAAACAAGCATGCATGTAACATATGGCCTATGTTTACTTTGGGTGGAGACTTAACATTTAAATGTATTACAATTAGGCCTTATATGTCCAAAGGTCTTTTCAGGACAAGGAAGCACACAAGTGCATGACCTCTATAAACCACTACAATCAGACCTTGGCCTTTGGCTTTTTTTTTTTTTTTTTTTTTTTTTTTTTCAGACCGAGTTTTGCTCTTGTTGCCCAGGCAAGAGTGCAATGATGTGATCTCAGCTCATCGCAACCTCCGCCTCCCGGGTTCAAGCAATTCTCCTGCCTCAGCCTCCAGAGTAGCTGGGATTATAGGCATGTGCCAGCATGCACAGCTAATTTCATATTTTTAGTAGAGATAGGGTTTCTCTATGTTGGTCAGGCTGGTCTCGAACTCCTGACCTCAGGTGATCTGCTCACCTCGGCCTCCCAAAATGCTGGGATTATAGGTGTGAGCCACCACGCCCAGCCTCTAGTCTTCTTATCTGGAAGGAAGTCACTGAAATCAGTCTCTTGTCCAATAACAGCTACAGTTATGGCTGGTAAAACAGGTTCAGTTAGCGTCTGTGAGCTAGAGTTGTAATTGTTTTAAGACTGCTTATTTCAAGGCCAGTGCTTGTTTAGCTACCAGAGAAAAAGAAAAACCTTATGGAAATCAGAACACGTTATTTAACTATAGGGGTGCATGACTTAACCCTTGTCTGGCATGGCCTCAGAGCCTGTTCATAATTTTTTTTTTTTTTCAGACGGAGTCTTGCTCAGTCACCCAGGCTGGAGTACAATGGGGCGATCTCTGTTCACTGCAATCTCCGCCTCCCGGGTTCAAGCAATTCTCCTGCCTCAGCTTGCCAAGTAGCTGGGATTACAGGTGCCTGCCACCACACCCGGCTAATTTTTGTATTTTTAGTAGAGACGGGGTTTCTCCATGTTGGCCAGGCTGGTCTCGAACTCCTGACCTCAGGTGATCCACCCACCTTGGCCTCCCAAAGTGTTGGGATTACGGGTTTCAGCCACCGTGCCCAGCCCGTGTTCATAATTTTATATTTTATTGCTGCAAAGATTCTGTTATTTCAGTCTTATGATCTCTACTTTAACATTAATACTGGTCAGTTGTTGTGTCTAAACCACAAAAGGAAGGGGGTATAATGAGGCATATCTGATCTCCCTTCCCATCATGGCCAGTAACTCAGTTTCAAGATTTTTCTGGGGTCCCTTTGGCCAAGTCAGTGGGGGACTTAGGATTTTATTTTAGTGTACAAGAGAAAAGGGCAGGTCATTTTAATAGCATGTGAGTGGTGGATAGGCATAGACATTGGAGTAGAATATCTGGAAGAGCTGCTGTAAGGAAGATGAGTAGACTCACAAGAGAATAGCATGACAATCAGCTAAGAGGACCTAGGTGAGATCAATCTATAAGAGACAGAGATGACGTGGTTTTATGATTATACTTTGTGTAACTACCTCAGATAGGAGTAGAAAAAGCAAGCAGTGGGAGCTTACTCAAATTGTCATTTACCCCACAGGCTTAGAATTGATCTGGTATCTGCAGATTGACAGTCTACATGAGCTGTCAAGATGTAAGGCATTCTAGGGGATGAAGTAGCATTGAGCTGACAGCTCCATCGAGAAGTCCTGCCTTTTGTTCAAGTCCTGAAGTAATCACCATGGTCAATAAAAATCTAACTATAAACTCAGAGTGAGGAAGTAACAGAATCACAGAGTATCAAAGCTGGCAGAAAGATAACTCTAAGCCTTCTATAGATTTATTAAGCTGCTGATTGGGTGATTGAATGATTCAACAGGTCTTGAGCAGAGACAATGTAGCAGGCACTGTCCTCAGCCCTGGCAATGCAGATGAGAAATGTAAGGTTCAGAGAGGTGAAGCGACTTAAAGGAAGTCTCACAGGAAATTTGTGACAAAATCATGAGTCTTGCATCTGTTCTTCCACCCTTTGTCCAGTTTCTCACATTTCTCTCTAAGTGCTAGTTTATTTTGTTCCCAAATACAGACTAATTTCTTTGGAAGTAATTGGATATTGTGGCATTTTCTAATTTGTGCTGATTTTATAGCTTGCTTCATTTACTCAAAACCCCTTTTCTCCAAAATAATGGCATAAATGCAACTTTCTCTTGCTTAGACATGATAAGCACGACAGAAATAAAGTCACCTGAGATTTAAAAAAAAAAAATACTATGAAGACAAAGGCAGATATTTAACATTACAAATAAAGTCACCTTCTCTTGCTATCAAATGTTCATTTAAACAGCATAAAATAGAAAACTGATTTTATTGAAGTTCTATTTTAGAAAGACATTCATTTCTCTCTAGCTGTATCATAAAAGTGAGAGTGGAAAACATCATTCTTTATACCTGAAACAAATAGAGAATGGCTGGTTTCATTTCACTAAGAGCTAGTTCATGTGGGTTGGCTCTATGAACAGTACAGGAAGGAAACCTCCTCATATAAAAACAATAATAATATTTTATTACATACAACAGATTCTTTGGGAAGTAAGTGTTCCTGCTCAGCACAATTTAATAAATTTTCTCCACCCTGACAATGCTTCGTTGTTCTGTTGACAACTTGGTTACACTGCGAACTGCATTTCCCAGAACCCTTCCCTGTAAGGTTCTGGCTTAGGGACAGACAGAGTTGAATGATTTCTGGGAGGAGTGATTTCTGGGAGGAAAAAGTAAAGCGACAGTCATTATTACACTCATTATTATGCTCTGAAGTGTATCGTTGTTTAAAAGTAATGAGAGAAAGACACAGCGTGTTGGCAGATTTCAGTTTGGCTAGGTTCTTCTCTACTACACATCAAGCTCTCGTCTCAACTGCTATTTCTACAGTGGTAAGCATAATTCTAAGACAGATTCAAGGTTTTTGCTGCAAGGTATACTCTTCTTGAAAAATGCACTCCTCTTGAGTGTGGGTGGAAGCTGTGAATATGATAGAATATCACTCCCACCTTTAGGCTCCTAATCAGTTGACTTTGAATTAATCAAAAGGAAGCTTCTCTGAAGTGAGTCTGACATAATCATAGGAGCATTTAAAAGGCAGTGTCAAGAGGTTCACTTCTTACTGGCCCTGGAGACACAGTCTCCATTAGTTCTACAAGGACAATGAAATCAATTCTGCCAAGAATTACATGAACTTAAAAAAGACCACAAGCCTCAGAAGACACCCCTGGGCCTGGCTGACACCTTGATCATAGCCTTTTATTACCCTAAGGAGAGGAGTGGGCTAACATGTGCACAGACCCCTGACCCATGGAAACTATGAGATAATATGTGCTGTTTTAAACTGCTAAATTTAAGGTAAATGGTAATGTCAAAATGGAAAATGAATATATCTGCTCACTAAAAGAAATCTCAGGCCCACTATCAGATGCCTTGTTGCAAATTCATAGAGGCAGTAGCCGGGAAGAACAAATAACATTTACAAACTTCTTTACCAGTCTGTCTTAAAGATCTTACTCTAACAATCAGATATGCCAGCTTCAACATTTCCCCGAAAGTTCCAGCTTTCCAGCTCCTTCCACAATTGTTTAATGTCTAATTACTTGAATAAACTTCTCATTTTATAATAGTCATCATGCTCCGGCTTCCATGAATGAACCTTGACTGATACAGTTATTGGTACCAGAAGTGGTACTAGGACAACAGAATCTTTTATTATATTTTCATTTTTTAAAACTTTTATTTTAACTTCAAGAGTACATGTTCAGGTATGTTACATAGGTAAACTTGTGTCATGGGGGTTTGTTGTACAGATTATTTTATCACCCAGGTATTGAGCCTAGTACTCATGAGTTATTTTTCCTGCTCTTCTCCTCCCTCCTCCCACCCTTCACCAGCAATCCCATTACTGGGTATATACCCAAAGAAATATGGCACATGTATACATATGTAACTAACCTGCACATTGTGCACATGTACCCTAAAACTTAAAGTATAATAATAATAAAATAAAAAAAAGAAATATAAATCACTCTATTATAAAGACCCATGTATTCATATGTTAACTGCAACACTACTCACAACAGCAAAGACATGGAATCAACTTAAATACCCATTAATAAGAGATTGGATAAAGAAAACATGGTACATATTCATCATGAAATACTATCTAGCCATAAAAAAGAATGAAATCATGTCCTTTTCAGGGACATGAATGGAGCTGGAGGCCATCATCCTTAGCCAACAAAACAGGAATAAAAAACCATATACCACATGTTCCCACTTATAAGTGGGAGCTAAATGATGAGAACATATGGACATAGAGAGGGAACAGAATCTTTAGAATGGGAATCTAGAATTGGTTTTATGACCTAATTAGACTTAAGAACGTTAGTGACCTTGTCACTACTGTTAAAGAGCATATTACTGGTCCAAGGCATTCAGTGACAAAACTATTTATACATCCATGGACATCTGTATGCAGGCATCCATATAAGGCAATTTTTTGGGTGACCAAATGGTTGCTGCTATAAAAATTTTTAGTTAAAAAAGGCATTTTGACATTAGTTGGTCAATTGTAAGTTTATAAGAGAACTTAGAGAAAGAAACTGATGATCTTTGGCTTTAAATTCTCATTGAAAGGTCCAGTACAAAAAAATCATAAAGCTTGTATGCTTATCCTAAAAAGAAATCTCCTGTAACCACTGGGACAAGATTTTTGAAAATCAGACCAGAAGTCTAATCCTGTGTGTGGCTAAAGTACAATTCAGATTGAATCTATAACCTCATACGGCTTCTTATGATAGGGGATTGAGCCGTTGACTGGGGAAGGAAAAGATCTTGAGACTTTTGATGAAGACCTTTAATGGGTACATTCTAATGAAGCTGAAAACATCACACCATGAACACTCTGCAGAGCCTTCTTTTCCAGTAGAAGCAGACTTTGCCCCCTTGTCTGAGTAGATTAGTCTCCTGATAGCTAAAGAATATGCATTAGATTCCCCTGAGATAGTTACCTACAAGGGACTGCCGATCCCGTGTAGGACCCACTCCCACCATTCACTGCTTCCAAATTTATAACTGGATTAAAGTCCTGGCAGGAAGCATGGGGTAAAATGCAAAACATGACCCATGAGAATGTTTCAGACACACCTAAATAAATGCAAGTTTCTCCCAGTTTATATTGAATTAAAAACTATCAAATACTATGGAAATGAATCCTAAGCATGCTGGATCAGGGTAGAATGAATAATTGTTTGAATCAAGCTAAATGCATTGATATAAGTGCATGTAGCAAAATCTCCAGATTTAGTGTGCTTGCTTGAATGGCCTAGAGTAGCAGTAATAGTATGCCTGAAAGGTGAACTAAAACTTAGATCCAGACATAGCCTACAATGAATATTGTTGAAATGCTGGGACTGACTTTTTTATATGTAAAGAAAGGTATCCAAGTCTTAGAAATATCAGAATTATGCACATAAATTCATTATGTAACTCTCACTGAACTATACCCTAACTCTCCTAACTCTGCTGTCCAGGAGAGTCTTGGGACTCTCCCTTCACCAGGGCTTTGAGAAACACATTAGAAAGAGAGCCCCCACACACACTTGAACAGCTCTTTGGTGACTATTCTCTGCAGGGCGGGAATGATACTAGGGGCTGCTGACATTGATCTGGACTCTCCAAATTCAGAAGGAATGATGTGATTTTACAATGGCAGAAGTAAAGTATAAGCACTTCTGTACTAGAAATAATGTGAATATATCGGTTAAAGTTCCATCACAAAAATAGAACCACTAGGTACAATATAGAATCTGAGATTTCTTATAGGATCTTGACCTTATGTGCTTAGAGAAGCTACTGAATTAGTTTAGGTTTAGTTGTTGCTTCTGCATCTCTTGTAGGGCCTAGACCACAAGATAGGGAAGCTAAAGGAAAAGATCAAGAAGAAGCGGAAGGAACATCACTTTTAGCTGCTGCCCCAGAAGATGTACATGCAAAGCCACATATCAGAGATGAAAAGGAGGAGCTCAAGCCTGAACTGGAGGAACTATCATGAACATGAATTGAAAGGTCAGCAAGAGCGTGCATGAGCTGCTACAGCACATGGTGCCCCAAGACTGGCCTTCTAAACATACACTACTATGGCTGCTCCCTCTAGTCTGCCTTCCAAATTTCATGCAAAATATTTCTAGAGAACACAAACACAAAACTATTTAAGAAGCGGAATTCTGCAGAATAGTTCCTTCTATAATGATCAGAGACAAAGCAGTGTTTTTCATAATAATTGAAACCACTGAGATCTTTGGTCTTGGCTAATTGATTATGTTATCCTTGGGACTAAAGTAAAACGGCAGCAAATCAGAATCTAGCTTTTATCAGTGAGAAAAGCTCTAGGTCAAAGAGAAATGTGTCTTTCCTTGTCAAAATAGATTTGCAGCCCCAACTGGTTCCCAAACTTGAGCCAGTTTGCTGATCCAGACTTAGTTGAATGAACAGGAAGCCAGGGCCCCTTAAGAAAGAATCCTACTACACTGCCAAAATTTATACTTCAAATCTTTCTCCTAGTCTTCCTTAGTATGATGATTAACCATTTGTCAGGATGATTTGAATAGAAGAGGGAATATCCAGACGTTTCAGGAATTATTAGACATTAGCTCTGAAATGACAGTTATTTCTGAAGACCAAAAATATCACTGTGTGTGCTCTATCAGTCAGAGTAGGGGCATATGGGGGTCATATGGTTATGAAGTTTTGACCTATGTCTATTTCACAATCAGTGCTATGGATCTCCACCCCCAACCTATGTTTATCTTCTCTATTCCATAGTGAAAAGTTGGTAGCTCAGAAACTGGCAGTCTCCACACTGGTTTCCAGACATATAAGGTGAAGTCTATTATTATAGGAAAAGTCACACAGAAGCCATTAGAATGGACTCTGTTTACCAAAATAGTAAACCAATGCAATCATACTCTTGGAGAAATTAGAAATATCATTGCCACTGTAAAGGTGATATAAAATGGAGTGGTAATCCAGACAACATGTCAATTCCACTTGCCTATCTGACCTGTGCAGAAGACAGATGGATTTTTAAAAATTAACAGAGAATTACTGTAAACTTAACTTGGTGATAGACACAATTGCAGCTATTCGAGTAGGTAAACATATTCCCAGTACCTGGTACCCAGCTATTGTTCTGGTGAATGATACTTAAAATTTAATAGCATTGACCACTAAAATTAATTTCCTTTCAGTTGGCAAGGTCAGCCTTGTTCACTGCACTAGCTCAGGGTTATATAAACTCGTAATCCCTACAGCATAATCTTGTCTACAGCATCGAACATTGCCTCTCCTTTCCTTACACTGGTCCATTTTATGGATGATATCACATAACATTGCTTGTGAACCAAGAAACTCATTTTTGGGAAACAAAGTGCCTTGTATTTATGAAATTTACTGGTGTAAATTTCCCTAGCCCTGAAACAGTCAAATTTTAGAATGGGGTTTTGAAGACTTAGTGTGCTAGTTAACACCTTGCAGGGCTGGGTTGATCACCTTCAAGATGTTGTAAATACTCTTTATCTGTGACCATGATGCTATTTTCCTTTGCAACCATATGGTCCTATTTTTCCTTAGCCGGTATTTACAGATGAGGGATTCGGTAGGTGGAAATGAGAGTAGCTAAACCCTAGTGCTCCTAATGATCACCTAGCAAAATGTTTCCCCAAATTCATAACTTCATGGGTTCTGCAGGTTTTCAAGTCTTAATTCCTAATGGAAGTAGGAGACTTCCAGCAGGTGGCATAGTAATTATGTCATTAAGGCTGCCTGGTAATTTTGGTCTCCCTGAGCCAGCAAAACAATGAGCAAAGATAGGGCTGCTGTAGTGTTGAGGTGACTGATCCCAACTATCAAAAAGAAATTACATTGCTTCTAGACAATGGAAGTGGGGGGAAATCATGTCTAGAATGCAGGAGCTCCTCTGGTGCATCTGTTAATTGTCCCATGTCCTGTGGTCAAATTTAATGGAAAACTACAAGAACTCCATGTAAAAATAAAGGTTTTGGTCATCTTCATGGACAAGAAAACATGACTAGCTGAAGTGCTTGCTGAAGGTAAAGGGAATATGGTACAGGTGTTGGAAGAAAGAAGTTATAACTGCCACCTATGATCATGTGAACAGCTTCAGAAAAATGAACTGTGCTATGAAGAGTACTTCTCTCATTGTGATGTGAGTATATTTGTATATGGATATTAACTGATTCTTTTGTTTTCCCTCATTTTTCATTTTTCCTTTCTTTTTACATTCCATAAGTCAACTTTATAACTCACTATTTAAATAACAGGATACCAAGGGAGAATGTAACTCAGCTAAAAGAGGAATAAATATCACTCAAAATATGGTTAAATTGAGACTCTATGTATCTTCTTTGGGGGAGAATATAAGTGTGCTTGAAGTCTTACAAAAAATAGCTATATCATGTTAGACAGAATCCTCATTTTGTTATTGTCTTTACATGAAAGTTAAATATAGGTTAAAAAGTGTGTATGTATGCCTATTTGATGAGGTGTGTATGTATGCCTATCCACTGTACTAGATTGTTCTCTTATCAACATGGTTATGCTGAGAACTACATTTCCCAAACTTTTCTTTTCTATATAATTCTGGATAGGAGTTTGCTAAAAATTAAGCTTTATGAGACAGAAGCAGCAGCCACCATTCTGTGAAGTCAGAGATGGTGAGAGATACAAAGGTCCCAGAAGATTCTAGTTAGCCCAGGCTCTTTCTCACTCTGTATCCAGTTTTTCTTCCCAACTGCTGGTCATGTTGACTAATAGCACCCCAGGCCCATTACCAGATGCCTTGCTCCAAACTCACAGAATTAATAGCCTTGAAGAACCACCAGTCTTCCATTGGCATTCCCTTTCCAGACATGCCTACCATCCAGATTTCCCTGCAAGCTCCAACTCATTCATCCACCCCTGGGCTGGTTACTGATGTGTCATTCTGATCTTAACTTTTTTTTTCAGACTTTTAATTATCCAGGTCCTCTCTCAAGTATATAAGGTCTATCTCCAATAATAAATGTCTTATACCATAATTCTCATAATTATTCTGCTTCCACTCAAACTCTGACTAACACACTGGCCTATAAATAAAGAGCAACGTTCCTTTCTTTTGGAAATAAGTGTTACTCTTATAATTAATGGAACACACAATATCCCTAATATCAGAGTCAATGCTAAAAACAGAGCAAACATCCATACCTCACTTCTATAAATTTGCTTACCTGACTGCACAGAGAATTCTCTAAAATCCTCTGCAAAAGTTTCCATTTCTTCTGAGAGTTTTCAGCAGCAGACTGATGAGATCCTTTTCTTGGGGTAGCAGCTGTCTGGCCAACTCAGCCACTCTGATCAATAGTATTGATTCTATCCAGGAGGCCAGAATGAATAGTATTTAAATCTATCCCAGCTTATCTGAGTGAGCCTCATTATATGTGCACCTCCTCACTTACTAAACTGGGCCAAAGAGGTCCAGAAGACAGAGGCAAAAAATGAGGAATCCAAGCATTGATATCTAGGGAAACGCTCAAGTGGAATCTACACGTCTGTAAAATATAATAGAACTGATTTAACACATAAATTATTAAAATAGTTTACCCTGGCATAGAGCCCTGAAGTAGCTGCCACTTCACTGCAAGTATTCACCAGGCTCTGAGTGAAATGTAGTCAGCACACTGAACAATCATGATTCATGGAACAAAATCAGAAAGCCATTTTATTTTATCTGTCACCATCCCTACCCATTTGTTTAGTGAGGCTCTGCCTTTTTCTGTTCCTATAGAAAATTCAGGCTCACTCTTTTATATGCATGATAATTCTTAATTTACTTTCTTTTTTTTGTTAATCCTACTAGATTATAATTATTTATTGTATTTGTCTGCTCCCTCACTCCTGCTTAATAACAGCAAACATTTACTTTGTCAGGAACTGTGTGACTTTACACTTACATCTCACAAGAGTGCTTCGAAATAAGCTCTTTTTTTTTTATTATTATACTTTAAATTTTAGGGAACATGTGCACAACATGCAGGTTAGTTACATATGTGTACATGAGGTATACCTAATGTTAAATGACGAGTTCATGGGTGCAGCACACCAGCATGGCACATGTATACTTAATTTACTTTCAATTTAAGAATTGATATGTCCCATTCTACATATGTTCAGTACTCCAAACAGCCTCAAAAGTAAGGCATCTGCTGCCTCTCCACTCCCCCACACCTCCCTGCCAGCTCTGAACTATTGTTAAAAGAAGCCTGTAGTGAAGGAAGAAGGTATAGGTGGCTTCTTTTCTCCTTACTCACCATTGTTCCACCTTTTAGCTGCATTTTGTTAGTTTCTGGCCACTCTGGGTTGAAACATGAGAAATAAAGAGGAAAAAAAGGTTAAGGAAAGTCCTTACATCAATAATGGCTTTTTCTGGACCTGGCGAATGTTTAGAGTGATGCTTCCTTTGATGCTCCCACAGAACCTGGAGCCATGCTCAGGAGTGTTCACCTGCAGTTCCTCTGATCTCTGTTCTAGTGAGTTTGGTCACTCGCTCCATTCTCAGGTGCTGAAAATCAGGCTCTTTGGTTTATCTCTGCAGATATTGCTTTGCCTCTTCAGGCAACCCTCTGGCTCATACACAGCTCTATCTTATACCTGGTCTATCACTGGTCCATGAGAAATGGTCATGCTTCCTTTCCCCCTAGTGAATGTTGGGTGCACAGTCCTCCTAGTGTAGCCATGCCTAGGCCTCTTTTGTCTGCAGCTACTCAGACTATGTCTTACTCTATTCTCAGGCAGAAATTAGACACTAGTGTGTACATCAACTCTGAGTGGCCCCAGTGAAATCCTTCTCATAGGCTCAGGGTAAAAAGCAGCCATAAATTCCCTTTTCCCTTGAGATGAGTAGGAGAACTCAATGTACTTCAGTGGCCTTCCTCAAAATCCCCTTTACAACTTCTGCTTTCATTCTCATCTTTAGCCCATTTATATCTGCTTAATGTGGATAAGAAGTGTAATTGCCTTAAACTGCCTAACCAGTTTTCAGCTACCTTTTTTTTTGAATCCTCCACTAAAAATCATCATGTTCCCTTTGGTTTTTGATACCTGTTTGCTTACATACTAGGAGAAAATTCCACTGTAAAGCACCATCTCATTAACCAATTCCTTTCTTGAATCACTAATCCTTGCATAACCTATGTCTCAATTTTTAATCTGTTCCCTCAGATTGCCCAATTACTAATTTTACTTTTTAAGGCATAATTACATTATTTCCTCAACTACTTCAAATAAATGTGTATTTTCCTTCAGATAGTTAATGACTTGCTGAATATGATTTCTATGTCTTAGCTTCATTCATTCATTTGAATATTTTCTATTAGATTATACAATGTGCAAGGCACTATGCTAAATATCAGAAAATCAAGAATTATTAATTATTAAACTATAAGTCCTGCCTAAAAAGAGATCATGCAATTGTCAGATACAAATTATTAAATGCTTATGTGGAAGATATTCTGCTCACACAGAGAAGAGTCCCTAGAGAAGATGGTGCATGAGTATAGTCTTCAAAAAAGAATAGAAGTCAAAGGGGTAAAGGGCCATTTCAGAGACAACAGGTGAAATATGTGTCAACGTAGGGAGGCATGAGAAGGGATAGAATATTGATTAGCCAGTTTTCACACTGCTGATAAAGACATTCCCGAGACTGGGAAGGAAAAGAGGTTTAATTGGACTTGCAGTTCCACATGGCTGGGGAAGGCCTCAGAATCATGGCAGGAGGTGAAAGGCACTTCTTACATGGTGGTGGCAAGAGAAAATGAGTAAGAAGCAAAAGCAGAAACCCCTGATAAACCCATCAGATCTCATGAGATTTATTCACTATGATGAGAATAGCATGGGAAAAACTGGCCCCCATGATTCAATTACCCCCACCCCAGGTCCGTCCCACAACTCATGGGAATTCTGGGAGAAACAAGTCAAGTTGAGATTTTGGTGGGGACACAGCCAAACCATATGATTCCAACCCTGACCCCTCCAAATCTCATGTCCTCACATTTCAAAACCAATCGTGCCTTGCCAACAGTCCTCCAAAGTCTTAACTCATTTCAGCATTAACTCAAATTCCATAGTCCAAAGGCTCATCTGAGACAAGGCAAGTCCCTTCCACCTATGAGCCTGTAAAATCAAAAGCAAACTAGTTACTTCCTAGATACAATGGGGTTACAGGTATTGGATAAATACAACAGTTCCAAATGGGAGAAATTGGCCAAAACTAAGGGGATACAGGGACCATGCAAGTCTGAAATCCAGTGGGGCAATTAATTTTAAAGCTCCAAAATGATCTCCTTTGACTCCAGGTCTCACATCCAGGTCACACTGATGCAACAGGTAGGTTCCCATGGTCTTGGGCGTCTCCACCCCTGTAGCTTTGCAGGGCACAGTCTCACTCCCGGCTGCTTTCATGGGCTGGCATTGAGTGTCCACAGCTTTTCAAGACGCACAGTGCAAGCTGTCAGTGGATCCACCGTTCGGGGTTCTGGAGGACTGTGGCCCTCATCTCACAGCTCCAGTAGGCAGTGCCCCAGTAGGGATTCTGTGAGGGGGCTCTGACCCCACATTTCCTTTCCTCACTGCCCTAGCAGAGGTTCTCCATGAGGGCACCGCCTCTGCAGCAAACTTTTGCCTCGGCATCCATCCAGGCATTTCCATACATCTTCTGAAATCTTGGCAGAGGTTCCAAAACCTCAATTCTTGACATCTGTGCACCCACAGGCTCAATACCACGTGGAAGCTGCCAAGGCTTAGGGCTTCCACCCTCTGCAGCCACAGCCCAAGCTGTACACTGGCCTTTTTCAGCCACAGCTGGAGGAGTTGGGACACAGGGCACCAAGTCGCTAGGCTGCACACAGCAGGGGGACCCTGGGCCTGGCCCACAAAACCACTTTTTCCTCCTAGGCCTCCAGACCTGTGACGGGAGGGGCTGCCATGAAGGTCTCTGACATGGTCTAGAGACATTTTCCATATGGTCTTGGGGATTAACATTAGGCTCCTTGCTACTTATGCAAATTCCTGCAGCCAGCTAGAGTTTCTCCACAGAAAATATGTTTTTTTTTTTTGTTTTCTATCACATTGTCAGTCTGCAAATTTTCCAAACTCTTATCCTCTGTTTCCCTTTTAAAACGGAATGTTTTTAACAGCACCCAAGTTGCCTCTTGAATGCTTTGCTGTTCAGAAGTCTTTTCTGCCAAATACCCTAAATCATCTCCCTGAAGTTCAAAGTTGCACATATCTCCAGGGCAGGGGCAAAATGCCACCAGTCTCTTTGCTAAAACATAACAAGAGTCACCTTTGTTCAAGTTCCCAACAAGTTCTTCATCTCCATCTGAGACCACCTCAGCCTGAACTTTGTTCATGTCTCTATCAGTATTTTCATCAAAGCCATTCAACAAGTCTCTAGGAAGTTACAAACTTTTCAACATGTTCCTGTCTTCTGAGCCCTCCAAACTGTTCCAATCACTGCCTGTTACCCAGTTCCAAAGTCACTTCCACATTTTTGGGTATCTTTTCAGCAACATCCCACTCCCAGCACCAATTTACTGTATTAGTCCATTTTCATGCTGCTGATAAAGACATACCTGAGACTGGGAAGGAAGAGAGGTTTAATTGGACTTGCAGTTCCACATGGCTGGGGAAGGCCTCAGAATCATGGCAGGAGGTGACAGGCATTTCTTACATGGTGGCGGCAAGAGAAAATGAGGAAGAAGCAAAAGCAGAAACCCCTGATAAACCCATCAGATCTCATGAGACTTATTCACTGTCACAAGAATAACATGGGGAAAGACTGGCCCTCATGATTCAATTATCTCCCCCTGGGTTCCTCCCACAACACATGGGAATTCTGGGAGATAAAATACAAGTTGAGATTTCAGTGGGGACACAGCCAAACCATATCACCATAGATAGTTCAGTATGCGTGGAACACATACAGTATAAGGCAGGCAATGATAATTGATGAGCTGAACAAGTATATAGAAGATATATCCTAAAGGAGTTTGTTAAAGAGTTTAAATTTTATCTTCAGGAAAATTGGAAACATCAAATTGTAAGCAGAGGTGTGTTGTATTAGATTTAAGTTTTAGAAAGGTCATTCTGACTAAAGAACTACTAATAATTGGTGGGGAAAATGGTAGTGAAATATACTATGACAAAGCATTGACATTCTCTAAAAAGATCTCATACACATATGTAAAAAGATAAACATCGCAAGAGGAGAAAAAAAGAAGGAGCCAATGAAAAAGTACTCATTGTTACATAAAAATCGGGAAAAAGCAAATTAAAAGTGAGATACTATTTTTCACACATAAGATAAAAAGCCTTTAATGTCAAAAATGATAAGGTTTAGGGGAAGTAATTTCTTGCCGTGTTATGAGAGTGTGAATTGGTAGAGTCACTTTGGAAGGCAATTTGGCAGTATCTATTAAAACAGAAAATGTGCACACCTTATGACTCAGCAGATCCTCTTCTAGATATCTTCATTATAAATACTCGTGTGTACAAGAAGGTTGGCATAGTATATTCAGAACAGCATTGTGTGGAACAATAAAAACTTAGAAACAATTGTAAAAAGATGATACAAGGTACAAAATGAGATTTTTTCCTTTTTTCTAGAACTAACTATAATATACAGCTAGGAACAAAGGCATTAAGGGCCTCACATTCTTTAAGTACAGAAAACTGTCCCATATAGGGGGACAACCCTTTCCCCTGGAGCCTGCCCACAGGCAACATTTCAGTAGAACTAACACATGACCACCACCCTCCTCCATTCCTACCCCAGGGAGCAGAACTGGGAGGAAGATAAAAGTTTCTGGGAGAGGTTCTTCCAATTCCCACAGCCAGGAAAGTAAGGGCCAGGAGAACTCCTGTGATATGGTTTGGCTGTGTCCCCACCCAAATCTCAACTTGAACTGTAGTTCCCGTAATCCCCATGTTTCATGGAAGGGACTCAGTGGGAGGTAACTGGATCATAGGCGCTGTTACCTCCATGTTCTTCTTGTGATAGTGAGTGAGTGCTTATGAGATCTGATGGTTTTATAAGGGGAGTTTCACCCTCTTTCATTCTGCATTTCTCTCTTGCCTGCCGTCATGTAAGACGTCACTTTGCTCCTCATTCACCTTCCACTATGATTGTGAGGCCTCCCCAGCCATGTGGAACTGTGTGAGTCAATTAAAAAAACCTCCCTTTATAAATTACCCAGTCTTGGGTATGTCTTTATTAGCAGCATGAGAACAGACTAATATACCCTAGGAATAGTTCAGAGATATCTAAACAAGAAAAAGAGACTGACATTTTATCTCTGCTTAGATTTTTGGTGAGTCACCAGAGATACCATGCTACAGGTACCAGGGAACAAACATAAAGGAGAGGTGGCTTAGATGGGCAGCCACAGAGGTTCGGGACACTGACAGTGCCCTCCAATTCCAAGTTCCCATAGGTGTAAAAAGTAGATGCTGTGATGATGAGCATTTTTTCGTGTGTCTCTTCTTTTGAGAAGTGTCTGTTCATATCCTTCACCCACTTTTTGATGGGGTTGTTTGTTTTTTTCTTGTAAATTTATTTGAGTTCTTTGTAGATTCTGGGTATTAGCCCTTTGTACTAGAACTGAAACTCCTTTTAAAATAATTGTGCAAACTCAATATACTCGGTGTCCAACAATAAGAGAAAGGATAAACAAATCTGTATGTACAGACACTATGAATCCAGATAGGAATGAAGGGGCTCAATATTATCAATATGGAATTTCAAAAACATGTTGACTGAAGAAGTAAAGATTTGAAGAACAATGCAGACACAAGACTATATACTTTTTGTAGATGCATTTGTATCCATATGTGGGTATGTATGTATAATTTTTAGAAGTTTCCTTCTCAAACTCATGTTAGTTTTTAATTTGCAGAAGAAGTATAAATAAAAATGGAAGGATCAAAGTTGGGACACTCTAGCTTGATGTACAATGTTCTTTTTTATTAAAAGGGATAGGATAGAATGTTTTCCTATATTACTTGTATAAATGAACCAACTTACAAACATTTAAAATACTGAGAGCAATTTTGCCAAAATAAAAGCAGTGGTTAATTCTGTGTGATGAGTATTTGAGTGACTGTCATTTTCTTCTTTGAATTTTTTTATATTTTTAAACAACTGTACCCTCCAAGGAAGGAATAAAGGAAGATAAATAAATAGTAAATTAATTCACAAAAAAACAAAAGTGTCAATGTGAAAAATGTTAATCAACCTTATTAGATTATATAAATTCTAATTAAATAACAATGAGATATTATTTCCCAACATATTGATTTTTTAAATTATGATAATCAAGGTAATCATATATGGCAAGTAGGAGTATATATTTACATGTTCCTCTGGGCAGCAATTTGGCAAGAAGTATAATGGGCCCTTCAAAGACTTTATGACAATGTATGCATAAAACATTTCTAAAAGATTATATGGCAAAATATTAACTGCATGAATCTTTAAGTCTAAGAATTATGGATATTTGCTTGTCCATATTAATATGTTTTTCTATAATAAACATTGTTATTTATGTCATATGTATACATATGTAGATTCACATATTTAAATATTATACTCTTTTACTTAGTAATTCTACACGTAGGAATCTATTGTAAGGAAATAATAGGAGATTTGTTAAAGATTTAGTACAAAAATATCCATGGAAACACTATTCATAACAGCTTAAAGCTGGAAACAACCTTCATACATAACAATAATAGAATGTTTAAATACATGTAAACACAACCGCATGATAGAATAGAAAAATAAAAATGTCCTTTATGAAATGGTGTTTTCAAAACACATTGAATTTCATAGGGGAAATTATTCTGATAGAGTGTTGTGAGAAAGAGAAATGAAAGACAATTAGAGATGAATTAACAGATTGTCAAGGGGTCTAACCAACTTTAAAATCCATGCATTTGTAAAGGCATCAATCAGGCTAGCAGAAGGATTTTTCTCTGATAGTATTTAATATCCCAGACACAGAAGAACAGAAGACGGGCATCCACTGGAAAGCTAAACCAATGCCAAATGTAATAAACCCTGTCTTTTCCAGGGCTTTGAGTTGTTGTTTTTAACTACTCTGCCAAAAGCACCCTAATTCTCAAAAGACCAGTCACCAGTAGGTTCTGAAATCCCACTGCCTTGAAAGCACCTCCACCCACCAAACTTGCCATCCTGCTGTCACATGTAGAAATGACAAGGCTTTGGTGTCTGCAGTAGGCCAATACCTTTGTTTGTGGGTATCTGGAAGAACTTTGAGAACTCTCTGACTGAACTCCCAAGCGTCTGCAAGGCAGAGTATTTACAGGGTTATTATTCTTATTGTATTTTCTCAAGCAAGATCCAAAACCAAATATTTCACCTTCTCTGCCATGTCATTGTTCAAGCAGAAACGTTGAAGTCCCTCCCATTTCATTGTCTTTGTTCTTCTAGTTGTTGTTTTGATTTGTCTCGATTTACCTCCTTACTAAATAGCTATGTGAGACAAATATTTTAGATTAAACTCAGTACTTTCTGGCAACATGACTGAATTCCATTCATCCAAGGGGGTATGCAAACTATAAACTTCGGACTCAAACTTCCTTCTTTCCTTTGAAGATACTGCAGGGTGCTCACAATCGCCAAACAGAATTCAAGCCAGACACAAATGAAGATCTTCAGGTGAATCTTTCTTTTTTTTTTTTTTTTTAATTATACTTTAAGTTCTAGGGTACATGTGCACAATGTGCAGATTTGTTACGTAGGTATACATGTGCCATGTTGGTTTGCTGCACCCATTAACTCGTCATTTACATTAGGTATTTCTCCTAATGCTATCCCTCCCCCATCCCCCCACCCCACGCCAGGCCCCGGTGTGTGATGTTCCCCACCCTGTGTCCAAGTTTTCTCATTGTTCACTTCCCACCTATGAGTGAGAACATGCGGTGTTTGGTTTTCTGTCCTTGTGATAGTTTGCTCAGAATGATGGTTTCCAGGTGCATCCATGCCCCTACAAAGGACATGAACTCATCGTTTCTTATGGCTGCATAGTATTCCATGGTGTATATGTGCCACATTTTCTTAATCCAGTCTATCATTGATGGACATTTGGGTTGGTTCCAAGTCTTTGCTATTGTGAGTAGTGCCACAATAAACATACGTGTGCATGTGTCTTTATAGTAGCATGATATATAATCCTTTGGGTATATACCCAGTAATGGGATGGCTGGGTCAAATGGTATTTCTAGTTCTAGATCCTTGAGGAATAGCCATGCTGTCTTCCACAATGATTGAACCATTTACACCAACAGTGTAAAAGCATTCCTATTTCTCCACATCCTCTCTAGTATCTGTTGTTTCCTGGCTTTTTAATGATCGCCATTCTAACTGGTGTGAGATGGTATCTCATTGTGGTTTTGATTTGCATTTCTCTGACCAGTGATGATGAGCATATTTTCATGTGTCTGTTGGCTGCATAAATGTCTTCTTTTGAGAAGTGTCTGTTCATATCCTTTGTTCACATTTTGATGGGGTTGTTAGATTTTTTTCTTGTAAATGTAAGTTCTTTGTACATTCTGGATATTAGCCCTTTGTCAGATGGGTAGATTGCAAAAATTTTCTCCCATTCTGTAGGTTGCCTGTTCACTCTGATGGTAGTTTCTTTTGCTGTGCAGAAACTCTTTAGTTTAATTAGATCCCATTTGTCAATTTTGGCTTTTGTGGCCATTGCTTTTTGTGTTTTAGTCATGAAGTCCTTGCCCATGCCTATGTCCTGAATGGTATTGCCTAGGTTTTCTTCTAGGGTTTTTATGGTTTTAGGTCTAACGTTTAAGTCTTTAATCCATCTTGAATTGATTTTTGTATAAGGTGTAAGGAAGGGATTCAGTTTCAGCTTTCTATACATGGCTAGCCAGTTTTCCCAGCACCATTTATTAAATAGGGATTCCTTTCCCCATTTCTTGTTTTTGTCAGGTTTGTCAAATATCAGATAGTTGTAAATGTGTTGTGTTATTTCTGAGGCCTCTGTTCTGTTCCATTGGTCTATATATCTGCTTTGGTACCACTACCATGATGTTTTGGTTACTATAGCCTTGTAGTATAGTTTGAAGTCAGGTAGCGTGATGCCTCCAGCTTTGTTCTTTTTGCTTAGGATTGTCTTGGCAATGCAGGCTCTTTTTTGGTTCCATATGAACTTTAAAGTAGTTTTTTCCAATTCTGTGAAGAAAGTCATTGGTAGCTTGATGGGGATGGCATTGAATCTATAAATTACCTTGGGCAGTATGGCCATTTTCACGATATTGATTCTTCCTATCCACGAGCATGGAATGTTCTTCCATTTGTTTGTGTCCTCTTTTATTCCATTGAGCAGTGGTTTGTAGTTCTCCTTGAAGAGGTCCTTCACATCCCTTGTAAGTTGGATTCCTAGGTATTCTATTCTCTTTGTAGCAATTGTGAATGGGAGTTCTCTCATGATTTGGCTCTCTGTCTGTTATTGGTATATAGGAATGCTTGTGATTTTTGCACATTGATTTTGTATCCTGAGACTTTGCTAAAGTTGCTTATCAGCTTAAGGAGATTTCAGGCTGAGACGATGGGGTTTTCTAAAGGATACAATCATGTCATCTGCAAACAGGGACAATTTGACTTCCTCTTTTCCTAATTGAATACCCTTTGTTTCTTTCTCTTGCCTGATTGCCCTGGCCAGAACTTACAACACTATGTTGAATAGGAGTGGTGAGACAGGGCATCCCTGTCTTGTGCCAGTTTTCAAAGGGAATGCTTCCAGTTTTTGCCCATTCAGTATGATATTGGCTGTGAGTTTGTCATAAATAGCTCTTGTTATTTTGAGATATGTTCCATCAATACCTAACTTATTGAGAGTTTTTAGCATGAAGGGCTGTTGAATTTTGTCAAAGGCTTTTTCTGCATCTATGAGATAATCATGTGGTTTTTGTCATTGGTTCTGTTTATGTGATGGATTACATTTATTGATTTGCGTATGTTGAACCAGCCTTGCATCCCAGGGATGAAGCCAACTTGATCTTGGTGGATAAGCTTTTTGATGTGCTGCTGGATTTGGTTTGCCAGTATTTTAATGAGGATTTTTGCATCAGTGTTCATCAGGGATATTGGTCTGAAATTCTCTTTTTTTGTTGTGTCTCTGCCAGGCTTTGCTATCAGGATGATGCTGGCCTCATAAAATGAGTTAGGGAGAATTCCCTCTTTTTCTTTTGATTGGAATAGTTTCAGAAGGAATGGTACCAGCTCCTCTTTGTACCTCTGGTAGAATTTGGCTGTGAATTTGTCTGGTCCTGGACTTTTTTTTGGTTCGTAGGCTATTAATTGAGAATCTTTTTTTTAAATTTAAACTGTTACTTTAGGTTCAGGGGTACATGTGCAGGTTTGTTATATAGGCAAACTCATGTTGTGGGGTTTTGTTGTACAGATTATTTCATCACCCAGGTACTAAGCTTAGTACCCCATAGTTAAGGCAAATTCATTTTGTGGGGAATTGTTGTACAGACGATTTCATCACCCAGGTACTAAGCCTAGTATCTATTAGTTATTTTTCCTAATCCTTTCTCTCCTTCCACCCTCTATCCTCAGGTAGGCCCCCATATGTGTTTTTCCCTTCTTGGTGCCCATGAGTTCTCATCATTTAGCTCCCAGTTACAAGTGAGAACATGAAGTATTTGATTTTCTGTTTCTGGGTTAGTTTGCTAAGGATAATGGCCTCCTGCTCCATCCATGTCCCTGCAAAAGACATGATCTCATTCTTTTTTATGGCTGCATAGTATTCCGTGATGTATATGTACCACATTTTCTTTATCTAGTCTATCATTGATAGGCATATAGTTTGATTTCATGTCTTTGCTATTGTGAATAGTGCTGCAATGAACATTCACACGCATGTGTCTTTATTGTAGAACAATTTATATTTCTTTGGGTATATACCCAGTAATGGGATTGCTTTTGTTTGTTTGTTTGTTTTAGGTCTTTGAGGAATTGCCACACTGCTTTCCACAATGATTGAACTAATTTATACTCCCATAAACAGTGTGCAAGTGTTCCCATTTTCCCACAACCTCAGCAGCATCGGTTATTTCTTGACTTTTCAATAGTAGCTACCCTGATTGATGTAAGATGGTATCTCATAGTGGTTTTGATTTCCATTTCTCTAATGATCAGTGATATTGAGCTTTTCTTCATGTTTCTTGGCCACATGAATGCCTTCTCTGGAAAAGTGTCTGTTCACGTCCTATGCCCAACTTTTAATGGAGTTTTTTTTTTTTGTAAATTTGCTTAAGTTATTTATAGATGTTGGATATTAGGCTTTCGTCAGATGCATAGTTTGCAAATACTTTCTCCTGTTCTGTAGGTTGTCTGTATACTCTTGTTGATAGTTTCTTTTGCTGTACAGAAGCTCTTTAGTTTAATTCGATCCCACTTGTCAGTTTTTGCTTTTGTTGCGATTGCTTTCAGCCTCTTCATCATGAAGTTTTTTCCTGTTCTTATATCCAGAATGGTATTGCCTGGGTCATCTTCCAGGGTTTTTAAAGTTTGGGGTTTTACATTGAAGTCTTTAATCCATATTGACTTGATTTTTGTATTGGTGTAAGGAAGGGGTTCAGTTTGAATTTTTTTCATATGGCTAACCAGTTATCCCTGCACCATTTATTGAATAGGGAGTCCTTTTCCCATTGCTTGTTTTTGTCATCTTTGTCAAAGATCAGATGGTTGTAGGTATATGACCTTATTTCTGGGCTGTCTATTCTATTCCATTGGTCTATGTATCTGTTTTTGTACCAGGACCATGCTGTTTTGGTTACTGTAGCCCCACAGTACAGTTTGAAGTCAGGTAATGTGATGCCCTCAGCTTTGTTCTTTTTGCTTAGGATTGCCTTGCTTATTTGGGTTCTTTTTTGGTTCTATATGAATTTTAAAGTAGTTCTAGTTCTGTGAAGAATGTCATTGGTAGTTTGATAGGCATAGCATTGAATCTGCAAGTTGCTTTGGGCAATGTGGTTATTTTAATGATATTGAATCTACCTATCCATAAGCATGGAATGTTTTTCATGTTTCTGTAATCTATTTCTGTAATTTGTTTCTGTGATCTCTTATTTCCTTGATCAATGTTTCGTAATTCTCATTATAGTGATTTTTCACCTCCTTGATTAGCTCTATTTCTAGGTATTTTATTCTTTTTATGGCAATTGTGAATGGGATTGTGTTCCTGATTTGGCTCTCAGGTTGGCTGTTGTTGGCGTATAAAAATGCTAATAATTTTAGTAGATCAATTTTTTGTCCTGAATCTTTACTGAAGTTGTTTATCAGCTGAAAGAGTGTTTGGTCCAAGACTATGAGGTTTTCTAGATATTGAAGCATGTTGTCTACAAACAGGGATAGTTTGACTTCCTCTCTTCTTATTGGGATGCCTTTTATTTCTTTCTCTTGCTTGATTGCTCTGGCCAGGACTTCCAATATTATGTTGAATAGAAGTAGTGAGAGAGGGCATACTTGTCTTGTGCCAGTTTTTAAGGGGAATGCTTCCAGCTTTTGTCCATTCAGTATGGTGTTGGCTGTAAGTTTGTCATTGTTGGCTCTTACTATTTTGAGGTATGTTCTTTCAATACCTAGTTTATTGAGAGTTTTTAACATGTAGGGATGTTGAATTTTATCAAAAGCCTTTTCTGAATCTATTGAGGTAATCATTTTTTTTATCTTTAGTTCTGTTTATGTGATGAATCACATTTCAAAGCATGTATTCTAGTATTTTTTAATAGTTTCCAGTCTTATATTTAAGTCTTTAATCCATCATGAGTTAGTACTTATATATGGTGAGTGATAGGGACCCAGTTTTATTCTTCTGCATATGACTATCCAATTTCCCTAGCACTATTTATAGGGTGTCTGTTCCCCCAGTATATGTTTTTGTCTTTGTCAACTTTGTTGAAGGTCAGTTGACTTTAGGTATGTGGCTTTATTTCCAGGTTCTCTATACTATTCCATTCATTTGTGTGTGTATTTTTATGCCAATACTATGCTGTTTAGGTTACTATAGCCTTGTAAAATTTGAAGTCAAGTAATATAATTTAAAAAAAAATTAAAACAATGCACATATTATGTTCAAGTCTCACCCTTTAGTATACTGATTCAAAATTCTGTGAGGTAAATAGTTGTTTTAGTACAGTTGTGTTAAATAAGGCTAATCTAGTTACCTTGCCATATTTCTCCTTCAGAAAAAGATTTATAGCCATATTCTAGGAGATATTCTACTTTCAGAGCTGGCCCTAACATTTTGATCTTGGACTGGGGCTCCTAGCTGGGTCCTACTTTTAGATGAGCCTATTTAAAGTCCCCTAAGCTTTGGTTTCCCTCTCCTACTTCAGAGTTTACACAGAGAATTCGTAGAATACTTCAAGTGCTGCCACCTCCTAAATGATCACTTCATATTCCATAAGCTCCTCAACACCTTCCCACTGCAGAATAACTGTGGTTTCTGCTCCTACCAAGCCCCCACATAACTAAACCTCATCATCAAGAGCACCCATAGCTCTCTGGAGTTTGGGCCCATCCTGACTCTGTAGTTTTGGATACCAAAATTCCAAAACCACTATGAACAGCATGCACTTGGCTCTGCTTACAAAGAAGATTCAAATGCATGCCATTAATTCACACATTCAGTTTTCTGAATATCCATGACTTATTCCTCACTTCTTTCTGTTGATTTCCCAAGTTGCCATGCAGCCTGAACTGTCATGTCCACGAGTCGCTTTAGCCGAATACATGTTCCAGTATTACTGAACTCACATCTTTATCCTTGTCATTGCCATTTTAAGATAATGAGTAATTTGAACATGTTTATAGGATGAAGGGAAGAAGTTAGTGGAGGACAAGAGAATGAAGAATCAGAAAATATGGGAAATATTGATGAAACTGAGTTCCTCTTTGTGGGATGGAATTAAACCTGGAGCAAAAGTAGAATTGATATCACGCAGCGTTGGGAATAAAATGTGCTTAGGGAAAGACTTGAGCACTGAATTCTGAATCTCCCAATTATGTTCTTGGCTGTTCACTTAACACTAACTCTCTTCATTACACCTCAAGGAAAATTAATGGACAAGAAAAATAAAGGGACCTGGCTTCATTATCATTCCCTCTATTTTCTGATTTTGTATCCTCTCTTCCTCTACTAGTTCGTTCACGATAGTCTAAAATCATGTTCAAGTTATTTATTATCTAACTTGACAACTAGAATCACAGCAAGGGCAAAGATGTGACTTGGGTAAAACACAGGTAAGTGCTGTCATTTGATTACTATGAGGCTTTGATTCAAAAGCTCAGCACAGCAGCCTGTTTGGCTGGACTTGTCCTTATGTAATATTTTTTGCTTGGCTAAAGATGAGCCTGAAACCTTGAAGCCAAACAGATTGAACCCCCTTTGTTTCTGTCTCTATAAACTCATGCCTGAATTCTAAGCCGCTCTGTCATAAAATTCTGATGAAAGGAAAAAGTGGTCCAAGCAGAACCTGTAGCCAGGGAGAAGAGACAAGCAAAATAATATAAGAGAGTTTACAAATGCCTAGAGCAGAGATGATATAGGCTTTATGCCACACAACTTTGTAATAGAAGGGGCAGCTTCCAAAGCTTCTGGGCTCCAGGCTTTGTGGGGAAAATCCAGAGGGAACAAAGAAGAGCACAAGAGAAAGAGAAAAGGATGTCAGAATCTTTATCCAAGGATTTCTGCCAAAGAAGGAAAGAGACACAAGAGAAACAAAACCCTAAAGCTGAGTTTTCTTTAGAAAGCTCTTGGGCAAAAGAAGATACAGACTTATTTACATTCTTCCTAAGACTCCATCCTTTGAAAAAGTATAGTCCAATGAGGTTCTTGGAACTGACAATTTAAGGCATTTTTTTTCCTCCTCCGGAGTTGTTGTAAACTGCTACTTGTCTGACAAGTAGATGTTAACCTTTTCCTCAGACATAATAGGAAAAGAAATAAGTTTAGGTGAGACTGTTGGTAAAAGTTGAAGCCAACAGTATAGTTCTTAGAATGAGTTCGGAAACATGTCTTACTCTAGAGGACATATTACAAGCAAAGTACAAGTGTATCCAAATTACTTTTTTTGAGGTTTAAGGGATTTATTTTTTAAAATTACAAATAATTGCACTTGATGAAAACCAAAGCCATCAACTATAGAGACTATGCTTTAACTCTGACTTAGGTTCCTGCTATACAGAGAAGAACCTACCAGGAAATGGGGTGGCAGGTGCAAGTGAAAAAGCAGCCATCATTAAAGTCCAAGGTCTGGGGCAGGATGGGAATTGGGCTCAGAGCAGCCTCAGCCAGAGCTACCCCTGCAGCCACACTGAAGACCCTTGATGATCACTCCCTCATGCAGCTTCAAGCCCAGCAAATGAAGTGGGTTCCAGAGTTGGCACCTTGAATATATCATAGGCAGCACAGGTCCGCATAACCTTCTCTGTTCCATTTGGCAATCAGACTTTCATCTGCATAGCCTTCTTTTAATGTGGAATTTATATAGCTATTGGCCTGTGACTTTCTGTTTTCAAAAGAGGTTGTATATGTTGCAAGTTTTCTGAAGATGGGCCAGAGGTTTTCACATTACTCTTTCCTTTCTAAGGTTCAGTTTTAGCTTCTTTCATCTTCTAACTCATCCAGTGTCAGCTCAACAAACCCTTAGCCATCTAGAAGAACTTCCCAGCTTCCTTTGACTTTGAGGATTTTTTTTTTCACAAGATGATTTGCAAAGATGCTATGTCATTTGGAAGGTCACATTCTCTCTGTGGTCATTATTCTCCTCATTGGATGTCTATCACCTTCATCTACCATTTCATAATCAAAACATATATTTTTTAAATTAATTAAAGCACATTCAAGGTTAGCCTTATAATAATCTCCATGTCACCAATTAATAGCTTTCTGGAGTGGAAAAGCAAATAGTAAAGTTAGTGTGAAAATAGTAAAGTTAGTGTTCTGTTCATAAAAGAGGTTTCCTTCTTATAAAATCAGGAAAGCTGGGGCTTTTCCGAGTCTCAAGCCCAGCCCAAGGGAGTGGTTTCTGTAACACCATGATCATTATTTGTGTAGCTTGTTAAAAAAAGAATTGATCTAACACAACCGTCAGAAATTTATAAATGAGAAGCAGAGAAATAAGGTGATTTACCACATGTCAAGGAGTAAATTAAAGGTAGAAAGGGGATTAGATTCTCAGAAACTCCAGTTTAAGCCATTTCCACTATAAAGCTGTACTATGTAAAAAGTTAACCAAAACATGGGAAGGCTATAAAGTAGCAAAGTGAAGGGTAAGAGTTGGCTTGTCAAAGCTTGGTTAGAATGGAGAGTTAGAACTTCAAATTTCTCCAGGTCTCCTACCCAAACCCCATAATGATAACTTGTCCCTGTAAACTAACCTGTCCCTGTAAACTAAATTGTCTAATATATTTTGGACTCTTAGAATTAGAGAACACTTAATATATATTCTGAGTAATAAGAAAGAGCTTGTGATTTTTGCTTTGACCTGCCATTCATTTTAATTTGACTAAGCTACTCTTAACACATAATTCAGATAATGCTGAAATGTCAGTACATTTCCCTATTCAGAAAGCTCCTTAATGTGCTGTTCATTCATTCTCCACATTATCATAAGAAAAGCCTTTCAATTTACCAAAGGAACAACAACTAGTGGAAGCACCAGTCTTCCTGTAAGTGAGAAAATCATTAGCTTTTCCCACCAAGTAATTATTGCCAATATCTCTAGTGAGTAGCAAATTCCCCTTCACAAAGCTATTATTAGTGTCCTTCTGAGGTCAGAGGCATGAAGATTGAGGAGTAGGAATGACATATTTCAATGTAACCTTTAAAAGTCCCCTTTGAAAGATTTTGTGTAAAAGAAAAATCTCCAAAGACCTGAACTATTGCCAGTCAGTAAACAGTCACTAGTCATTCCCTTTGAAGTCTCCCCTTAGGGGCAATTTAATGAGTGAGAAGAAGAGCATTTGTCAGGATTTCCTACTTGATCTTTTGATCTCCTCATAAGCAGGTTCATAACAGATTTGTCTCCAAAACACAGGGTGAAGGAAAAGCCCTGTTACTGGTTATTGCTGTCATAAAATTAAGCAACATTAATAACTGCAGCTTATACTATATGTTTATGAAAAAAATTAGACAAAGTGTCTCATTTGTTATTGACAACAACCCTGAGAACAAAGGTGGTGCTATTACTACCATTTATAAATGAAGACTCAGGCAGATAGACTGGGACTGAAAATAGGTTACATACTGATTATGCATCAAATTCTGTTTGCAGCAATTTCTGGTACTGATGGGCACTCTCCAAACCTGGAACAATATTTCACTATGACAATTACAGCCTACAGCTGGAGGTTACTAATTTTTGCTCATTTATCTTACAAAATAATTTTGAAAGCTATGTAACCTATCATACAGTTTTATATTATGACCAAACATTTCTATCATAAGATCAAATAACTATAAATTACATAATTCCTAGCATATTGTAAATATTTACTTTTTTAAATAATAGTTTCTTTGTGTTTTTAATATAGCCAAAGAAATTTAAATCCTGATTCTCTGACACATGTCTTTATCTGTTTATATATCACATGAAATAGGTCTTCTGTAACATTTAGAAAATTGCATCATTTCATTTCCTTTTGAATACATATACTTCTTTCACTTTCTAAATGAATTTTGCCTTTCTGTAGTACATTTTTCTATACAAAATATTGTTATATTGTCATTTGATCATACATTTTATAATGAAAACATATAGCTGCACAATATATTTTTTGAATTTTCTATAATCATAGAAATCATGTTAAATCCATGCCCTTGGATTAAAACATGAACATTTATTAGTAAAAAATTGATTTCATAAAAATATTAACATTAATAAAGAATTTTTAATATAAATATTAAAATTTTATTTAAAATTCATTCCAATGAGGTGGAAGGGGGTTATGGTAGACAGCATAATAACCCATTCACAAATGTTCATGTTCTAATCCCCATAATCTGTAATTATGTTACTTTACATGGTAAAAGGACTTTTCAGATGCAATTAAATTAAAGATCTTGAGATGGAGTGATGATCCTGGATTATCTGGGAGGATCCAACATAATCACAAGAGTCCTTATAAGAGGAGACGAAAGGGTCAGAGGCAGAAAAAGAAGCTGTGATGACACAGCAGGTATTGGAATGATGCACTTTGAAGACTGAGATGAGCCAAGGAATGCAGGTGACCTCTGGGAGCTGGAAAAGGCAAGGAAAGGGATTCACCTCTGGGGCATTCAGAAGGAACACAGCCTTGCAGATACCTGGATTTTAGCCTTGTAAGACTCATATAGACCCCTAACCTGCAGAACTGTAAGATGTTGAGTTTCTGCTGTTTTAAGCAAAGAAGCTTGCAGTAATTTGTTACAGCAGCTATAAGAAACTAATACAAACAATTACATAAAAGTATGTCTTTTTCTTTGGATGATTATGATTTATTACTAGAATAAGAAAGGATTGAGCATTCATTTTATGCCTACTTTTCAATTTATATACATAAATTATATATATAATATATAACTCAATTTATATGAAGTACACACACACACACACACACACACACACACACACACACACATATGGAAAGTCAGCATAAAATGGATATACATATATGCCAGAAGAAGTCTATTCCTAAAGATAGAAATTGAGCAATGGTAGTCATTCCTTTGAACCTCTTCTGAGTTACACAACAAAAATTACAAACTGATATAAGATCAAAAGGTGTCTTTAATGATCTATCAGTTAACATTTTAATTGTGTCATACTGTGGTCAGGGCTGGGGGAGACAAGCAAGGAGGCACTCTTTTGGGGTCATGCAAGAGCAGGGTGGGCACTTGCATGGCTCTGAAACTGAATGCCTTCTTAAGATTTTCTCTCAAAGTGTCTCGTTTACCTCACCCTGGTCATGAAGTTGGGTCCTACTTGAATTTTATAAGAAACAAAGAACCACAACACAATACAACAACAATACACATCTGAGATGTGTATCAAAAAAATATACCGAGACTAATACATGTCTATTATGTTTTTTCTGGAAACTTTTAATTTAAAGACATCTGGCTTAATTTGATAGACTTAGATTATTGGGAAAAAATAAAATAATGTTAATTTTAATGCATTTTTAAAATATTACATTTTGGATTAAGAGCTTTTATGTTTTCTTGTGCTTGAAATATATTTTGGAAAATGTTGGAGCTGAACATTTGGTTCATGGGAAATGCCTGCATATAAATTAATTAGCAAAAGCAATTAGGCAAATAAGACATATTTTATGTGAGAAAGAATGTCATTATGTATCTACTTTTAACTTTTTTAATTACTTAATTTTTAATTCAGATAAACTTGTCAATATATATCCCCATGATGACTATTTTACTTCTTGATCCTAAATTAGTCTGGGACAGCAGGCATTGGGGGATCAAGTAGCTAAGATATTTAGTCAGTATAAGGGCAATGACAATTATAAGAATTTAGGAGGAAGACGTCTTATTTTTACAGCAGTATAGAACAGGAGAACGAAACTGGAGAATGTAGATTCTAGCAGTCAATTGCAATTTAAGGCATGCTTTCAAAGCTAGAGTCTCTATGTCAGATTTAAAGAAGACTCATATCCTGAAACTGCAGAAAATACCTAATTTATGGTGCTTATAGAACCGAGATCTAGGGGCAGCCAAGGAGGGTACTAATCACTATGTATAGGGAGAGGCAGAGGGAGAGGAAGAGGAAGCGGAAGCAAAAGACTTAGATCAGCTGTGACAATACAAAAAATGTAGGGTTTCTTGATTTTAGATTGAAGTCAGTTCATGAAGCCAGAACCCATTGATCAAAGTGGAGGATGGTTGCTTTTGAAAAGGACCATAAGTATATGCAATAAGTATTCCTTTTCTCAAATTCTTCAGTTTCCCAGGTGATTGTGCATTAGAGATGTTTTAAACTATGAGATACTGTGAGATATAACCTCCTAGGTTTACAGTGGGACTTAGAAAGGTCAGGTGATTAGGACTGAGACCAGGGTAAGGTGAATGAGATGCATAGGAAACAAATGTTAAGAAAGCACTCACTCTCATTGTTATGCAAGTGCAGGGTTTGTACTTGCACAGCCCTGAGAATAATTTTCTCCTCAGATTTTGTTCCCTAAGTGTTTTGCTTGCCTCACCTAATTCTTGACCCTGCATGTAGCATGGAATTTTGAACCCAATCTCTCATATTATGTCCAATTCATGTGAACCCACCTTGTAGTTATCTTCAGGTTTCTTACATGTAAAATTAGGATTGATATACGTAACACCTGGCAGGAACTTATGTCGCTTTTCTGATTTGTGGAGTAAGGGCCATCATAAAAGAGTCAAGTGGAAAGCCCTCAACATGCCCTATTTCTCCTGTGCCAAGAAAATAAAGGAAACAGAGCAATTCAGGAAAAACTGAAGATTAGGATCACTAAAATTTAACAAATACAAGAGACTTACTATACCCATATTCAATTCATCTCTCTAGTCTCTGCAAAAAAGCAGATGAGTTGTAGCAAATGATAGTGAAATACTATAAACATAACCAAGTGTTGGTTCCAATTTCAGATGCTGTTCAAAATGTGGCCTAGTCTTTACTGTAATAGATTAACACAATTTATGTTGCATAATTTATAGTGACTTTGTAAATGATGGTTTTTCTTGTTCACCATCATCAGGAAGACTCAAAAATTGTTCACCATTACACAATAAAGACAACAATACACTTCTACTGCCTTTTACTCTCTTGGCCCAAGGCAGTGTAATTTTCTTCTCTTTGTCATAAAGTAGTTCTATGGGAACCTTAATCATCTTGAAGTTCTTCACAGAATGAGAATTTAACCCAATCAGTAGAGAATGAATGTGGTAAAGTTTTCAAGCGTCATATATGGTCCAGAAGATACAGAGATATTCCCTCTGAGGTCAATGCAACTGTTACACTTCACATCTCTCACAGCATGTTATGAGCTTTTTGAAGGAGGACAGGGGATTTTGGAGACCGCATTCATCATACTTAGAAAACTGCTCCAATCCATGTATTGAATGAAGAATCCTTCAAGTTTCAAGTGTGGTCAAGAACAAAGGAAATATTTGCAGCATGTCTAGGATACAGTATAATCTGTCCAACCTCAAATCATAGAACGCATTAGATTCAATAGTGCTAGACCAGTTTCTCAACCTCAGTACTATTCACATTTTGAGCTTGATTATTTTTTGTTGTTGTGGAGAAAGAAGTATCCAGTGTATGGTAGGATGTTTAGCAGCTTCTCTGGTTTCTACCCACTGGATGCCAGTAGCAATCCCTATTCAAATTATGACAACCAAAAACATCTCCAGATAGCTACAACTTCCTCCTGGGAGATAAAATAGCCCCCAGTTGAGAAATACTGTGCTAGAGTGACACGTAAGGATCCTTATCTTGTCAAACCCCAATAGACGATAATAGAGTACAGATCTCTTGGTTTCTGGAGTAAAATTATGCCCTCCACATCACGAGATTACTTTTGGTTTGAAAAAATAACCTTGGCATGCTACTTGAATCTAACTGAGACTGAGTATTTGAATATGGAATGCCAAATGAATACATGGCCTGAGAAGCCATTATCTGATCCATTTTATCAGATAATATTTGTGGGCACAGCAAAAATACATTATGTAAGAGAAGTCATACATTCAGGATCAGGCTTGAGTATATACTGATGATATAATTAAATTACAGAAATAGGCAGTCTATGGCATCTACCTCTGATGCACTGGTACTTCTTGCTTAAAGCACACCAATTGCACCATAGAATGGGGATTCCCTATGGCCAGCTGATGCATGCTGACTTGGGCATCATTCAAAAATGTATTGAAGTAATGCTTATCAATTACTGGGAATTGACATCTTCTACAATACAGCCCCATTTAGTGAGGATTGTAGCATTGGGAAATCCTTCTTGTAGTCAGGGGTATGAGCAACACAGTTGACTACCCACTTCATTTGGAGGGAGCTTGGTCTGAGGTTAGAATGTGCAATGACTTTTGGGAAAAGGCAACTAGCCTACTAGTGTTCCAGGAGTAATAATACTGAAAAATGAAGGATGAGAAAGCCTTTAGAAGAAGTATGTGAGTGAGAATTTTGGAGTAGGCACACAGCATGCAAAATTTTGTGTTTCATATTAATCACCTAAACGAACTCAGGAATTTCTCAACAGCCAGTTGGACATGATGACATGTCCCATGGGTATCAGCCAGTCTTTCATCTTAACCACCTCAGGGCTCACATAATGGCCTCATGAGCCAACTTAACATGAGGATGAATGGTATGCACAGGACCAAGAGCGTCACCTCTTTTCCAACAATGTCACAGCTGCTGTTCAAGCCCCAACTGCCTACAGTACAGAATGACACTGTGCACTCAATATGGCAACACCCCTTGAAAACAATAGCCGGTTGCTTTTTTTAGTCTGTTCTCACATTGCTATAAAGAACTACCTGAGACTGGGTAATTTATAAAGAAAAGTTTAATTGACTCACAGTTCTGCAGGCTGTAAAGGAAGCACAGCTGCTTCTGTTTCTGAGGAGAACCTCGGGAAGCTTCCAATCATGGCAGAAGGCAAAGGGGGAGCGAGCATCTCCCATGGCAGGAGCAAGAGAGTGAGAGAGGGGATGCTATACACTTTTAAACAACCAGATCTCACAAGAACTTACTCACTATTGAAGCGGCGTCACTGTCTGGGGTAATACGCGAGGTTCATTGTCTCACAGCCATGGAAAACTAGGACACAGACACACCAGAGGGAGGTTAAGAGCAGAAGTTTAATAGGAGAAAGAAAGAAAGAGCTCTCTGAGCAGAGAAGGGTCCTGGAGAAAACGGGTCACTGCTTCCACAGTGAAATGCAGAAGGTTTTGTAGATGAGCTTGAGGGGGTGATATCAGATTTACCTAGGGCACAAAAGATTGGTCTAACCAGGTGTGCCATTTGCATAGCATCCAAAGAATTTGGCCACCGCACCCTAACATTTGATTATGCAGATGGGTTCTCTACCTGGCCAGTGCCATGTTGCCTGTTTCTTTACTGTACACATGGTGACAAAGAAAAGGGAAGATGGAGCCTCCATGCTGAACATACCTGGATTCCAGGTAGCCCTTCTCAGATTACAGACTAACTTCATTGTATACTCCCTGAGCAAATGCCATGACCCTTTAAAAAGTATGCCTCTAATGTTCTTTAAAATACCTCTGCTTTTATTAATATATTGTAATACTTTTACACATTGAATATGCCTTATGATTCAATGTATCTTAAAAAATACATTGATATTTTCACACACCAACTTTTCTTATGAAGTCTGCCTAATCCTGATAACAAAAGATAAGGACGTTAAATGAAAAGTATAGACTTCTTCTCTAATGAAATTATGTGCCAAACTTCTGAAAGAAGGAAGAGAAAAGGAAAGAAGACAGAAGGGAGGAAGAAGAGAAAAATCAAATACAGTGATATCATAACATAGGAGAAGTAATATACTATGACTAAGTTAACTTTATTGCTTTTTAAGATTCAAAATCAAGCAACTCACCATATGAACAACTAAGGAAGAAAAACATATAATAATCTCAATAGACACAGAAAAAGTCATTTAATAAAACCAACAATCATTCATGATGCACTCTCTAAAACTGAGAATAGAAGCATGTTATTAACAAAATATAAAAAAAACAAACTTCATTCTGAATGGTGAAATAAAGATCACTTTCCTTCTGAAATTGTGAGGAGATAAAATGCTTGTTTACATTCACTTCTAGTAAATATTATTTAAAAGGACCTGATGAAATAAAACTGTCCTATTCACAGATGATATTATTATATACATAGAAAATTCAAAAGAATGTACAGAGTAAAACTATTACAAATAAAAGTACATTTGATGAGGTGTTTGGACAAAAGGGCAATATTTTTAAAAATCAACTGTATTTTTAAATACTAACAACAAATATAGAACATGAGTATTTTAAAGATACATATTATTATATGTATAATAGTATCAAAAATCTAGGAATAAATCTGTGAATTATGTGCAAGACTTATGTAGAACACTAAAAACATGCATGATTAAGAGAAATTAAAGAAGACCTAACTTAATTGTGATTTGCCATGCTCTTCAATTATAACTCTTGTAAAGATTTTAATTTTTACTTCATAGATTTATATATTTAATGCAATCCCAAACTCAGTTTTTATGGTGGAAATAAATAAGTGGATAATAAGATATATGCAAACATAGAAAGGACTAAAACTGGAGGACTTACTCTATTGGATATTGAATTTTCATAATGCTACAGTATTTCAGATAGTACAAAGGCAAACAGACAAATGTAGCGTATTAGTCCATTTTCACACTTCTGATAAAGACATACCTGAGACTGGGCAGTTTACCAAAAAAAGAGGTTTAATTAGACTTACAGTTCCATGTGGCTGTGAAAGCCTCACAATCATAGCAGAAGGCAAGAAGGGGCAAGTCATGTCTTACATGGATGGCAGCAGGCAAAAAAAGAGAGCTTGTGCAGGGAGACTTCCATTTTTGAAACCATCAGATCTCGTGAGACTTATCCACTAGCATGAGAACAGGATGGGAAAGACCTGACCTCATGATTCAATTACTTCCCACCAGGTTCCTCCCACGACACACAGGAATTGTGGGAGTTACAATACAAGTTGAGTTTTGGGTGGGGACACGCCAAAACATATCATGTAGCAAAAGAGAGAGTCCAGAAATAGGCCTATAAAAGTGTACCAATATATGACAAAAATAACAGTGCAGCACTGTGGCAATATGATAGTCTCTTCAATACAAAGATGGGTCAATTGTATGTGCATCAAATAAATATTTACCCTTACTCCTCCAGATCGACTGGAGAGAAAAATGAGACAGTTAAAATAATACAGCTTCTAAATAAAATATGCTAGAGCATCTTCATTTCCTAGAATATGAAAATAAAGCTTATTTGTAGTGTTTTAAAATTAAGAATTAAATAGTCTAACAATACTACATGTCAGCAAGGATGTGGTTTAACTGAAACTGGAGTAGTTATGTCAATATTTAGAATGACTCTGAAAAATTGGATATGTCAGAATGCACTAAAAGCTCAACAAAAATCTAGGACTATATTCAACAGAAATGTATGAATTAACCAAAATACATGCATAAAAATGTATATCTCAGCACCATTATTAAAAGCCAAATAATTGAAAGAAAGACAAATATATGTCATCCACAAAGCAATTAATTATATTTATACAATAGGATTTATACAAAATGAGAATGAAATTTGCAACAAAAAACAACATAGTTGAAACTCATAAATGTAACATTAAGTTAAATAAACTATATTCTATTTATATAAATGTTAAAAACGGGCAAAAGTAGTATATTGTGTTTGAAGTCACCACTGAACTTGGCCCTCTTCCAGGTTGCCCTAAAGCTTTTCAGGGATTTTAAAATGAACTTTCAATCAATTCTCCTACTACATTATTCTCCAGATTTTCTAAGATTGATAAATTTACTCACCTTTCTTTTCTAACCTGAAAACTAAAATTTAACTAGAATCCATGTGGTCTGGTAAAACATTTTGTGGTATTCTGGTCAGAAGTTCTCGGTTTAATCCTGACCTCACCACTTATTAGCTGAATAATTCTTGTCAATATCTTTGAAATCAAAAAGCCCCAGATCACTCACTTATATGACAGAAACATTAGTCTCTGCCTTCTTGTCATTCCACAAATGTTTCACAATCAGTTTTGGGGCCAGAATGGACTTTAGAATCCTCTGGCTCAATAGCTTCATTCTACAAACTGGGAACAAGGGGTACAAAGATCTGAGTTCGCTTACCCAAATTCACATTACTACAATAGCATATTAAAAATTAGAAGGTAATGGGTGTCACTGGGCTCACCTCCAAGCCACAGTTTGAATATAGTTCTGCTTTACTTGTCTTGCATGCCTTTGAGTCAGCCATCTACACAGGGCCTCTTTGCATTATGGTGATGCTGAACTGTAAGATCAAGCCCAACCGTTTTCATAGCCCAAAGATATCTAGGTATAGGCCTGAGATAGTCACCCGACCATAGTGCCTTAATCTGAACAGGACAATGATACCTGTGAATATCAGTGAAATGAGAATACATATAATTGGATTTCATTTCCTACTCAAGCCTATTTCTATAAGCTTCAAATGTGGCATTGGAGTATAGGATGCCCTCATGAAATGCAATCAACACTCATTTCCTTTTCCTTGTTGAAAGCTGAACCAAGGCTTGAAATGGGGAACCAGGTAGTTGTGTTTCATTTATATAAATGTAGTGTGAAAGCCGGGTAATATTGGAAGTTCTATAGCCGAGGAAATTGACCAGCCAAAAGAGCCAAACACAAATTTATGTCATCAATTCAAGGATTCAGGTCAGGGATCACAAATAGATTTTGATTCATATACCTACTCTAACTTACTTGAAATGGCTTCTTGGATTTCTGGGTTGAGAAGAATTCTGAGGCTATGTTCAGGCTAAGTGAAAAATGGAGCCATCATCAGTTACAGATAGCAGTTGTGTAGAAGGGTGATGTGGCCTAGACAGAGGGCAGACCAAAATGGAAATACTACATTTTAGAAAACCTGAATAAGAGACTGAAGCGAATCAGATCAGCATAGGTGAAACAGAAAATATCATCCAACATTGAACGATGTGGAGCACTGACACATATTATAGCTCTACATGAAGATCCAGTAGTACTGAGGAGTCTTGGTTTAAAAGAGTGTGATTTTTGTAGCAGAGCCATGCTGTTCTGGTTACTATACTCTTGTAGTGTAGTTTAAAGTCAGGTAACATATGTCTCCAGTATTGTTCTTTTTGCTTGGGATTGCCTTGGCTATCTGGGCTTTTTTTTAGTTCCATATGAATTTTATTTTTTTCTAATTCTGTGAAGACTGTCATTGTTTGATAGTCGTAGAATTGAATTTGTAGGTTGCTTTGGGCAGTATGGCCATTTTAACAATATTGATTCTTCCTATCCATGAGCATAGAATTCCTTTCATTTGTGTTATCTCAGATTTCTTTGAGCAGTGTTTTTTAATTCTAGTTGTAGAGATCTTTCCCATCCCAGATTAGCTATATTCTTAGCTATCTTTTTTCTTTTTGTGACTATTGTAAATGCAATTACATTCTTGATTTGGCCCTCAGCTTGGATGTCATTGGTGTATAGAAATGCTACTGATTTTCATACATTGATTTTGTATCCTGAAATTTTGCTGAAGATGTTTATCAGATCTAAGAGCCTTGGGGCAGAGACTACAGGGTTTTCTAGGTATAGAATCATGTTTTCTATAAACAAAGAGAGTTTGACTTCCTTTCTTCCTATTTAGACACCTTTTATTTCTTTCTCTTGCCTGATTGCTCTGACTAGGACTTCCAGTACTATGTTGAATAGGAGTGGTGACAGGGGGCATCCTTGTCCTGTTCCAGTTTTCAAAAATAATACTTCCAGCTTTTGCCCATTCAGTATGATGTTGTCTATGGGTTTGTCATAGATGTCTCTTATTTTGAAGAATGTTCTTTCAGTGCCTAGTTTGTTGAGGGTTTTTAGCATGAAGGAATGTTGAATTTTATCGAAAGCCTTTTCTGCATCTATCAAGATGATCGTGTAGGTTTTCTTTTTAGTTCTGTTTATGTGATGAATCACATTTATTGATTTGCATATGTTGAACCAAACTTGCATCCTAGGGATAAAGCCTACTTGATTGTGGTGAATTGTCTTTTTTATGTGCTGCTGGATTTTGTTTGCTAGTATTTGTTGAGGATTTTTGCACTGATGCTCATCAACAATTGGCCTGAAGATTTTTGTTGTTGTTGTTGTTTTGTTTCTATCAGGTTTTGGTATCAGGATGATGCTGGCCTCATTGAATGAGTTAGGAATGAATCTCTCCTTCTTAGCTTTTTTGGAATAGTTTCAGAAGGAATAATACCAGTTCTTATTTATATATCTGGTAGAATTCAGCTGTGAATCTATCTGGTCCTGGGATTTTTCTGTTTGGTAGGCATTGTATTGCATTGTATTGTATATTTTAGTTCTGAAGTACATGTGCAAGGTGTGCAGGTAGGCTTTTTATTACTGATTCAATTTTACAGCTCTTAATGGTCTGCTCAGGGATTCAATTTATTCCTGTTTCAATAATGTCACACACTTACAACCATCTGATCTTCAATAAAGTTGGAAAAAACAAGCAATGGTGAATGGAATTGTTATTCAATAAATGGTGCTGGAATGACTGACTAACCATGTGCAGAAGATGGAGACTGGACCCCTTCCTTATACCATATACAAAAATCAACTTCAGATGGATTAAAGACTTAAATATAAAGGCTAAAAATATAAAGACTCTGGAAGATAACCTAGGAAATACCATTCTGAAGGTAGGACCTGGAAAAGATTTTATGACAAAGACACCAAAAGCAATTACAACACAAAAATTGACAAATAAGACCTAGTTAAACTAAATAGCTTCTGCACAGCAAAACAAACTGACAACAGAATAAACAGACAACCTACAGAATGGGAGAAAATATTTGCAAACTATGCATCTGAAAAAGGTCTAATATGCAGAATTTATAAGGAGTGTAATCAAATTAACACCAAAAAAAAAAAAACCCAAACCATTAAAAAGTGGGCAAAGGACATTAACAGACACTTTTTAAAAGAAGACATACATGTGGCAACAAGCATGTGAAAGAATGTTCAACATCAGTAATCATTAGAGACATGAAATTCAAACCCACATTGAAATACCATTTCACCAGTCAGAATGGGCATTATTAAAAAGTCAAAAAATAACAGATGCTGCCATGATTACAGACAAAAGAGAATGCTTATACGCTTCTGGTGGGAATGTAAATTAGTTCATCTGTTGTGGAAAGCACTGGGGTGATTTCTCAAAGAATCCAAAGCAGAATTACCATTCAACCAAACAATCCCATTATCAGGTATGCACTCAAAATAATATAAATCCTTCTACCATAAGGATGCATGCACGTGTGTGTCCATGGCCATACTATTCCCAGTAGCAAAGACATGGAATCAATCTACATGCCCATCAACAGTAGACTGGATAAAGAAAATGTGGTATGTATATACTATGGAATATTACACAGCCATAAAAAAGAATGAAAGCATGTCCTTTGTAACAATATGCACGGAGCTAGAGGCCATTATTCTAAGCAAACTAACGCAGGAACAGAAAACCAAATACTGCATGTTCTCACTTATGAGAGGCAGCAAATCATTGAGTACACATGAACACAAAGAAGGAACAACAGATACCAGGACCTACCTGAGCATGGAAGGTAGGAGGAGGGAGAAGACAGGAAAACTAACTATTATGTACTATGCTTATTACCTGGGCACACCAAACCCCTGTGACACACAGTTTACTTATATACCAATCTGCACATTTACCCCTGAACCTATAATAAAAGCTAGAAAAAATTGAAAAGAGAAGAAATTTGAGGACTGAGCCTGAGAACACTTCAACATTTAAGGGTCAGTAAGATAAAGAAGGTTCAGCCCACAAAGATGTGTAGTAGTTACCAGTGAGATAGGTGGAAAACAAGGAGGGTGGTTTCCCTGAAGCCAAGTGAAGAAAGAATTTCAAGGAGGATGGAGTAATCAACTATGCCAACTGCTTCCAAGAAGCTGAATAATATGAGGGCAAAGAAGGAAACATTTGATGTGGCAACATGGAAATCACTGAGGACACTGGCAAAAGCAGCATCAGTGGATCTGTGGGAACAACAACTTGACATAAGGGGTTCAAGAAAGAATGGCAGGTGAGGAAGTGAAGAAAGTTGGTATAGATAACTCTGAAATTTTGCTGAAAGAGATATGGGTCAGTGGGTTAAAAGGAATGTATTTTGTTTAGATGTAAAACAATGCAGCATGTTTTCAAAGGAATGATATCAAAGAAGGGTAAATAGATGATGCAAGAGAGGGGACAATTACAGATTCAAGTCATTAAATAGATAACCTCATAGAGCGGTGATCTTTAGGCAGGAACCAGGACAACACACCTGCTGTGACCCAAGAGAAGGCACAATGTATGGGCACCAATGCAGGTATGATGGCACATTTGGTGATAGAAGGGAAAATGATTCCCCTCTGATCACTTTGGCCAACATCCAGCTGATCCACTGATATGCAAGCAAGCCCAGCTAAAATGAGAACTGCACAGCCTAAATCATCAACCTACAGATGATTAAGATAAATACATATTTATTGTGTTAAGACACTAAATTTTGGATAATGTGTAACATGGCATTCTGGTGGACACAGATAACAGAGGCAAGGAATGTTTCATGTCTATGGGTTCATATAAAGCTGCCTCATTTTTTAATAAATGACTACAAATAGCATTGAAAAAAAAGAGAAGAATGTGAAACTCCAGCATCCTTTGGCATGTCCAAATAGCCCTGTTTCTGAGACAAAGAAAGTCTAATAAATGAGTCTGACTCCGTGCTAGGTTCTGGGAATACAAAATTGAATAACATACTCCATCCCCTTGAGGAGTTGAAGGATCAGTGGGATAGAGATGTGAATAATGATACTCAACCCTCACAGGCACCAGAATCAAATAGGAAAGTTTTTATAAATATAGATGTCAGATACAACTGGCCTAGGATGGAATCTAGGGACAGTGTTTCTTAAAACCATCTCCAGGGTACTATAATAATTGAGGATGAAGAAGAAGAATGGAAGCCTTGGAAACTTTGGATAAAGCAGAGGAGAGGCAGCCAAGGCAAACAGGACAGTATGTGTGAGATTATGGAAGTATAAGATAGCTTAATACTTTCAAGAACATACTATAAGTTTTGTTTTGTGTAGCTAGGACAGAGTATGTCTGGAGGAGCAAGGGGGTTGATACCAGGGAGGTGGGGAAGAACCAGATAATGAATAGTGTCCTGTGACAGCAAAGATCTTTGAACTTTTGCCATTCACCTAAGAGAAAAGCTCTGAGATTTACAAAGCACTCTACAAAAAGGAAATGCTCTGTTTTTACTATTAACAGCTAGCAGTAGTCTTCTGAGAGGTACATGTTTGTATCTCTCTTTCTCTCTCTCTCTTTGAAATCTCAAACAACACAAAAAAAGAGATCTGCCTTAAGGAATTGAAGGATAAACCACTTGAAGCATACAAAGGAAACTAAACCACAGAGGGACATCTCAAACGCTCTTTTTAAATTTAATTTTACCCATTCTTCCTCTCCACAAGGCACTGTTTGCTATATCTGACTATGTGAAAGGTGACATGGTATAAGAAAGAACAGTCATCACCAGATGTCAAATGACTTTGGCTTTAGTTTGGCCCAGTCACAAAGAAGCTGTATGTCTCAGCTTCCTCATTCAAAGAAGGAATTAGTGATATCTACCTAGCCTTTCTAACGTGGCTTTGAGTGATTTAAATTACACTAACATTTACTGAGCTCATTAGACCTTCTCACGTGAGATAATAAGATAATCTATGGTAAAGTACATTATAAACTTTAAAGTGTTATACAAATGTTAAGAGATAGTCATCACTAAGAAATAAAGCGATTTACACAAACTGCTCACAATTTAGGTCAAATTACAGCACAGACAAATAATGACGAAGCATACCATTAGCTATGTGTCAGATGATTTGTTGTTGCAAGTTTTATTTCGTTACAAAACTAAACTGCTTATGTCTGTAAAGCATTTTTTGTCTGTTTTGCCCAGATAGCATGGTTGTCTTCTCACAGCTTTAAAAATTAGGAATGTTATTTCTCTTAATCCATCTCAGTGAGTGAACAACTTGGTTTTAGCAAATAATGCAGTGAGTCAGTAGTGAAGATGGGCTGTGAAAGGGAGTCTCTGAATTTTGAGACTATTACTTAGCACAGTAGGTTCATGTGCCTCCAGGGATCATTGAAACTCCCTAAACTGGGGAGGTAAAGAGACCAACTATACATTTGATGTCTTACTATTACTATTAACGCACTTGGGTAATGGGTAATTTTGAGATATGTCTCTCAACCTCTCTTTCTCCTTAAGCTGTCAGTCACTTTTTTTTTTTTTTGATTGGGAGATTGTTTCTGGAAAATGTAGGATACTGAATTGTTCATTCTTTCAGGGAATAATGCCTCATTTTGCTTCTGAGAAGTATGTGTTTTTGGAATTCTATCTGTGAGCAGGAGGGAGAATAAACTACTTTTGTTATTGTTTTATTTATCATTTGGGGAAAATCAGCATGTCCTTTAGATAGTAGAGGTCAAATGACATATTGATACATGATTAATATGAAAATACCAAAAAGATCTAAATAAAACACCATTTCTGCTACATAAGGGCAAATGGTTTCTAACAAACCCATAGTCTATAGTTTCCTAGTTATAATCTTTGACTCTGTACTCAGTCAAGCTAGATTTGAACCTTGGATTTACGACTTCTCAGGTGTGACATCTAATTCTCCTCCAAACCTTTTTGTTTTTCATCTAGAAAATGAAAATATTAATAGTGCCCACTACCCAGAGTTGTTTAGAGAATTAAATGATATCATACATTGGAAGTGCGTGGCACATAATAAGTTCTCAAGACGGTGTGCTCCTATTATTATCATTGCAGAACTTTCACACTCTAAGCCCCCAAAAGTATTTTAGAGACATAAAGGAGAGTTAGGATTTTTGTCCAGACAATGGCAACCCCTCTTCAAAGTAAAAGTGGAATAGAGCAGAAGAAGTATGAAACTTGGAAGTCTAGAGACTTTCGTCTTAGTCTCACTTCTATCATTAGCTGGTTGTATGATTTTACGCCTACTGACTCAATTCCTAATCTTCCCACCTTTTCCCCCACGTTTTCTTACACATTTTCTTACACTAAAGAAAGCAACAAAGCCACAATGAGTGAATAGCTATAGATAGTATCTAGACCCTCCTTCCAGTTAAAGTGATTAATGAAATACACCTGTGGGTGAAACCTATCCAGGTCCACAGTCAATCCTAATCCCAGGAGTGCTGTTTCAGTAATCCCTGTCTCACCAGCATGGAGTTAGTTGTGTCTGATGAAATTCTCATGATCTTCTACTGACACGTGTTATTTTCTGTTGGAAGAGTCACAACTCTGACATAGGTCATGATATTCTCTGTACATCTTAACAATTTCCACATAGACCTCAGGACCAACTAGAATCTAGTTAGCAGTGGATTTATTAATGGCCTTAAATCACAGTGATAATATGTTATTTATGCTTATGACTGTTTTGGGTGGGAATTCTTGCTTTGCCCTCTTGGCTAGTATTATGGCCTAAATGTTTATGTCCATATTAAATACATATGTTGTAGCCCTACCCTCCAGTGTGGCTGTATTTGGACATGAAACTGCTAAATAAGTAGTGAAGGTAAATTGAGGTCATAAGGATGGGACCCTGGTTCCACAGGATTAATATCCTTATAAGAAAAGAAACCAGAGGCCTAGCCCTCTCTCTCCCTTGCTTTCTCGCTTTCTCGCTTTCTCTCTCTCTCTCTCTCTCTCTCTCTCTCTCTCCCTTCCTCCCTCTCTCTCTTTTCATGCACGCAACTTGATCTTGGGCTTTCAGTCCCTAGAACTAAGAGGAAATAAATTTATGTTGTTTAAACCACTTAGTCCATGGTATTTTGTTATGGCAGCCTATCTTAATCTGTTGGGGCTTCTATAACAAAATATCTTAGGCTGGGCAACTTATAGCAACAGAAATTTCTTGCTTATAGCTCTGGAGGCTGGAGGTACAAATCAAGGTGCCAGCAGCTTCAGTATCTGGTGAAAGCCTGCTCTCTGCTTTAAAGATGGCACTTTGCCATTACAGCTTCATATGGTGGAAAGGGCAGAAGGCTCCCTCAAGCCTCTTCTATGAGGGCACAAATCACATCCGTGAGAGCTCCACCCTCATGGACTAACCACTTCCTAAAGACTTTACCTCGTAACACTACCACAATGATGATTAGGTTTCAACATGAATTTGGAGGGACACAAATATTTGAACTACGGTACAGCCTGTGCAGACTAAGACAGCTGTCTTGGACTCTGTTGGCACTGGGAATTATCTGAACTAAGTCTGAGACTATGGTTCTGTTAGGATGGGGTAAATGTCTGAATTCCACATCCTCCTAAGGGCCAAGCTAAGGATAATCAAAATTAGTCCTCATAGTCCCAATTTTATCCCCTTGCAAGTTTCTTCCTGATCCCAGTTGCCTGGGTGATAAGGTGCATTGTTCTTGACATTACTTGGAGCTGGTCAAGATCATGAAGACAATGACTTGTAAATGTGCTACCTGCAAAGATGTAGTCTCTAATTTATTATTAAGAGAATATTTAGAAAAATCAGCTAAACTATGGAATTTGAGTAACAAAGGCCTGAATTTCTTCCTCCTAAGTTAAGATGTAATATTTATCTGCAAATAAGCATTTTGAAGAAGAAAGAAAACAAAGAAATGGCCAAGATTTTGTCTATTTGCCTACTGGGCATATAAAATTTAATTCTTTATTAAATTGTGATAAACAAATTTGGGGATTATCTGAACTATGTCTGAGACTATGGTTCTGTTAGGATGGGGTAAATGTCTGAATTTCACATCCTCCTAAGGGCCAAGCTAAGGGCAATCAAAATTAGTCCTCTTAGTCCCAGTTTTACCCCCTTGCTAGTTCCTTCCTGATCCCAGCTATGTAGGTGTTAAGGTGCGTTGTGGTAAACAAATTTTATTTCCAAAAGGATTCCATGAAGAGTGGTAGACTGAAGGAAATCATACAAAATAAATAAATGAATAAAATAAAAACAGTTTTGAGGAGGGTGGAAGCTGAAGGGTATAGTCTTACCCACAGGATTTGTTCTCAAGATACATAACATCATATAACTTCTGTCCTGGTTGGGTCTTTAATTATGTCTGGAAACTCTTTTACAAAACCTTGGTTTCCTCCTTCGGCTTTTCACTATGATTCTTCTAAATATTTTTCATTTTATTCAGTTATCAATTCTCCTCTCACCCCTCCCCCATCCCCTCATCAGAAGACCTTGCCTACAATTTCTTTGGGAGAATAACTATAGAACATAGTTTCTGAATCACATTCCCTCTGGTCTGAAATGTGTGCATTCTTTTAACTTTTGTTTTCTTTTTCTTTTTTGCCTCTCCGAAAGAAGATATTGACATTTTCTTTCTAAAATCTCAATGGTACCCCCACCTATGTTTGCAACTTTTTCTCCTCTAAAGCATTGCTCCATCAATTATTCTGTCTGTTGGATATTTCAAGCCTCCTTCATTGGCTTCTTCCCTTGATCCTACAAACATGTTGAAATATCTACTACCTTAAAAAATTCAAAATAAAACATTTCCTCAACCCTGTTCTCTCCAAAGTCACTGTCTCTCACTCTCCCTTCCTTCTTTCCTGGGTTTCTTGAAAAACTCAGTACTTAATTCCTCCAAAGCTGAGATGTTTGGTTGAACTACAGGGGGATATGCTAATTGCTGTTGGAAGAGACAAAACTTTTAAAAATAGTAATGCAATGATGGAGGGGATGAAAATGAAAGCAATAGTTTCTTTTGAAAATGGCAAGAAAATTTGGGTCATGTTACAAACTGGTAAGAATTCTCTCAGGGAAAGAGCAATGCCTGAGGCTTGAATAAGGCTAAATGTGATCATTAGAGAAAAAATATGTATTTTTTTTATAGGCTGTATTAGAGAGGTGGCATAGAGCAACAGTCTGTAAAAGACTTGCTAAATCGAAAGGCTGGCTCTACTAGAACTCCCAGTAGAGCATAAGCTCCATGGTAATAGCATCTTGGACTTCACTGGTATTACTCACTGCTGTATCCCTGGAGTCTAGAATAGTGCCTACCACATAGCAAGTACTCAATACATACACTTGGGACTGAACAATATAACTTAGCTATTTAACTTAAATGTAAAGGTGGGTAGGTGACACACTAAGTGAATGAGTTTCTCTGCAGTTCACAATCTGATCTTGGACAACCGTGTGATAATTTCTAAACTATCTCATACAAGCCACTTCAGCACTAACTTAAGTACCCATTGCACACCAGGTACTTGAGAGTAGTAATACAGTGAACAGGAAAAAAGTCTCGTTTTCCAGAACCTCACAGTATACACAGACAGGGGAAATAGAGAAGTCAACAATGTTAGTGATGTATTAGAAGAATCTACATAGCTAAATGGAAACCGACAATAAAATGGCCTAGACTTTCTTGCTTGCAAGTAGAAATTTTAAAAACTCACAGAGGAATTGAGAACTCAGATGACAAAAATTACTGCTTTACTTCTGGGTAGCATTTAGTGGTCATGGGATTGACAGAAAGAGAAACACATACAACATATAATGGCATGAGGTCATGCTGCAACTTTAAGAAAATTAACTTCCATTAACCCAAGTTATTTTAGCTGTAAAACAGAAAAATATATATTACCTACCTCAAAGAGTTTGGGGAAGGATTAAGTAAAAAAATTGTGTATACACCCACACACATGCATATAGCATGGCTTATCAATATGGAACAAATATTGTTTCCTCTCATATTTGCTAAGCACCCGCTATATGCAAGAAATTCTGCTTAAAACAGGAACCAATATTGAGGAAAACAGATATGTTCTCTTCCCTGCTTGAGCTTATGGAATAGTGTGAAAATGATCATGTTCCTAGATATCAAACATGATACAGGCTATGCCAGAAGAATATAGCGAACAGAAGGGATGCAAGCTAGAGACTGACTTCTTCTGTAGGATCAGAGAGGTCTTTCCTGAGAAAGTACAATTGAAACCCAGATCTGATGGAGAAGGAGGAAGAGCGATGAAGAGCAATGCATGAAAGAACATCCCAGGCAATGTGTAAAGGTCCAGAGGGAGAGGGAAACTTGAGATTTGGGAGGAATAATTGAAGGCCAGAGGGCCTGTAACACAGAGAACAAAGAGGAAGTAATGAAATGAGGCTGAAGAGGCAGAGGCCAGACCTGGCTGGTAAGTTTCTCCGCCATTCCTGATCTGACCTTGGCCAATCTGTTTAATAATTTCTGAACTGTCTTGTACAAGCAATCTCATGTTAACTCCATTGAAACATTCTTAATCTTTGGAATGCTTTATTCCGTTTTGGACCTAGATGCTATTCTTCACTTGCAATGGCTTTCACCACCCTTCTCATACTAAAACTACTTTCCCTTCAAAACTCAGTTAAGTGCCTCCCCTGATGTTTCAGTCTCATTTAAATGCTTGTCTTTCCCCAGCAAGACCAATGCCTATTTTACCTAAAGACTACATCACATTGCACTGAGATTAATAACTCCATTCCCTGTTAGACTCTTAAGTTCCTTGAGGAAAGATAGTGCTTCCTGTAACTTGTGTTCTCACAATACCTGGAACAAGGTAGACATTCAGTAAAAGGAGGTTGGATAAATTTAAGACTAGATGAATGTTTTGCCATCTACTTAACTTTATCTTGTGTTGAATACAGAACATTGTAAATAGGTTCATAAGTGCTTTACAATGAGGAACACAGCTTCCAATATCCAATAGGACATCAGAATGGCACCTGTGCTGATTTTGTTCCCTGGTTCCAATGCAGAGGAAATAAAAATCATTTGGGAAAATTTCCATCATTTGAATATGGTATAAATAACTATAGAAAGTCAAAGAAGTTATTAAAAGGTTGCCTTTTAATTTTCATACTGAAGCCAAGGAACCATAACATAAGCAGATTTTAAAAGTCCTGTTCACCTCCAGGACTGCTTTGGAATCCTTTATCTGAAGAATTCATGGGTGGGGCCAGGCAACTCCTTGTTTACTGTAGAACCCTTTTGGACATTGGTCATTTAGAACCAGGTGCTTCACGGTTATGATAATGGCATATTGACAGCTCCAGGCCAGTTCTGTTGCATTACCTCCCACCTTCACACCTGCACGGAAAACTTCACACAAATATTATCTCACAATTAAAGTATGCTGATTTTTTTTCTCCACTCCCTTAAGAAAGGAGCCTTTGCAAATCATAATTCCTACTTCATTTAAGCTGAAAATAACATGCTGAGTTTTATAATCTGGGACCATAAGGAAAATAAAAAAAAAATAAGATCGTGTACCTATCCTTTGTTAATTATGATGTGAAGAAATTCCCGTGAAAAATCAAGGCCTGTTTGGAAACAGTATCAAATATAACGGGATTAACTGGGAACAATTTAAGTATATAACAATAGAGGAAGATACATAAACAAGATACACAGATTGATGAACCTATTCATTGACAGCGATAGCTATAAGGAATACCTATGTTATATTACATGAAAAGGATACACACACAAACATGCACACACACACATAAACATTGGTTCATTCATTCAATAAATCTATATTATATCCTGAGTGCCTTCTCTGTGTTTACGACAGCTGATAGGACTCAGTAGTAAGACCAACAGACATGACCCCTGCAGCATGGTGCTCATGGACCAGAAGCATCAGCATCATCTGAGACCTTGTCAGATGTGCAAAATTTTGGACCCCATCCAAGATCTGCTATATCAGAAATTTTGAAGGTGGGGTTGAGTAATCTATGTTTTAGCCAGCCTTCCCATGATTTTAAAGCAAGCTCAATTTTGAGAATCACACTGCTCTACCAGAGAAGACAAATATTAAACAAAGTTGTTTATGATAATTACATCAAGTGGTGTAACAGAAAGTTGAGAAATTGTAAGAGAGAGTATGAGGACAGGATGTGAAGTCTTTGCCTCTCTGGGGATTCAGAGCAAGTGCCCCTGAAGAACTGTTAGAATAAAAGTGGGCCATTAAATAGAAGAATGGATAATAATATATATGTAATAAAGCAAGCATAATAAAGTGTTAATGGTAGGATCTATGTGGTAGGTATACATATAAGAAGATTTTACTGATACAATATTTCATCCTTTGGAAATTATGATAATAATATATCAAGGAAAATAGAGTAGGCTTTGAGGAAGATTAGAAGTGGTAGAAGGGTGAGTGAATGAGGAAGAGTGAAGGCATTCTTTGTGTGTGTGTTTTTGTTTCGTTTGTTTGTTTCGAGACAAGTTTCACTCTGTTGTGAAGGCTAGAGCGCAGTGGCACGATCACAGCTCACTGTAGCCTTGACCTGCCGGGCTCAAGCAATCCTCCCACTTTAGCCTCCTAAGTAGCTGGGATTACAGGTGTGTGCCACCACACCTGGCTGAATATTTATTTATTTATTTGTTTATTTATTTATTTATTTTTGTGGAGACAGGGTCGGGTCTTGCTTTGTTGCACAGGCTGGTCTTGAACTCCTGAGCTTGAGTATACTCCCACCTCGGCCTCCCAAAGTGCTGGGATTACAGACTTGAGCCACTGTACCCAGCCAGCATTCTTGATATAGGGAAGAACATGTTCCATGCTACAAAAATTCTCATTCATCTTTCGATCAAGTTTTTTTTTCTTTAAATACAGACTTAGGGGATACTAGTGTACTTTTGTTCCACAAATATATTGAGCAGTGGTGAAGTCTGGGCATTTAGTGTAGCCATCACCTGAATAGTGTACATTGTGCCCACTGAGTAATTTCTCATCATTCAACCCCCTCCCACCCTCCCACCCTTCTGAGGCTCCAATGTCTATTATCCTCTCTATGATCACCATGTGTACACATTATTTAGCTCCCACTTATAAGTGAAAACATGCAGTATTTGACTTTATTTTTCTAAATTATTTCACTTAAAATAATGTTCTCCAGTTCCATCCATGTTGCTACAAAACACATGATCTCATTTTTTATGGCTGAGTAGTATTTTATTGTGTTTATTTTATTGTATGTGTGTATGTATGTGTATATATACATTACATATTCTTTATCCAGTAAGTGGTTGGTGAACACTTAGATTGGTTCCATGACTTTTCTACTGTGAATAGTGCTGCAATAAACATAGGAGTGCAGGTGTTTTTTGTTTGTTTTTTGGTTTTGGTTTTGGTTTTGGTTTTGGTGTGTGTGTGTGTGTGTGTGTGTGTGTGTGTGTGTGTTTTGTTTTTTGTTTTTTTGAGATGGAGTCTCATTCTGTCGCCCAGGCTGGAATGCAATGGCACAATCTCGGCTCACTGCAACCTCTGCCTCCTGGGTCCAAGCGATTCTTCTGCCTCAGCCTCCCAAGTAGCTGGGATTACAGGCATGCGCCACCACGCCCAGCCAATTTTGTATTTTTAGTAGAGACGGGGTTTCACCATGTTAGCCAGGCTGGCATCAAACTCGGACCTCAGGTGATCCACCCACGTTGGCCTCCCAAAGTGCTGGGATTACAGGTGTGAGCCACCGTGCCCAGCCGCAGGTGTCTTTTTTTAATAGTGATTTATTTTCCTTCAGCTAGGTATCCAGTAGCAGAATTATCGGATCAAATGGTAATTCTTTGAGAAATCTGGTTCTTTGAGAAATTTCAATACTGTATTCCATAGAGATTGTACTAATTTACATTCCTACTAATAGTATATAAGCTTCCCCTTCTCTCTGCATCCTCGCCAATATCTATTATTTTTTGATGTTTTAATAATAACCATTTTGACTGGTGTAAGATGATATTTCCTTGTGATTTTAATTCACATTTCTCTGAATATCATGAGTCTTATGAGTAACCAAAAGGAAGATGTTGGTGCCGGGGCTTAGTGACTAAAGAGGAGGCAGGCATAAGAAGGCTAAAACCAGAGGTAAAGATAAGCAATGTAGAACTGGGTTTTAAAAGGCCATATGAAAAGGTTTGTTTGTATAATGTATTAGTAGTTACTTTATTTTTATTGCTAAGTAATATGGAAATACATAAATATACCAGCTTGCTTTTTTGTTTATCCTGAGTGGTGGCCACTCTGTGCCTTGTATAGCTGATGGGAATCAGCAGTAGGTAAGACAGATGGGATCCCTGCAGCCTGGTGCTTACAATCTACATCAGTGGTTCTCTGCTGTGGTCTATGTACTAATAGCATCAGTATCACCTGGAAACTTATCAGAAATGCCCAACTTTGGAAACCCATTTTGGAATTCTGAGTGAAGGTATTGTTGATGCAGGAAATGACATATTCCTGTTGATGTCTCTTACTGTTGGACATTTGCGTTGTTTGCAGTCTTTGACGACTGTGAATAAAGATGCTGTGAATATGTGTGCACAAGTCTTTAGCAGACATATGATTTTATCTTCCTTGGAATGGAATTGCTGAATCATAGAATAAATGTTTTAAAAACAGCTAAGCAGTATAGCAGTTTTCTGAGGCAGTTGTGCCATTTTACAGCTGCACCAACAATGTGGATATATAGTGAGTATATAGTGGGATATTATTGGTTTCAGTTTACATTTACCTGATTACTGGTGTTGAGCACTTTTTCAGGTGCCCATTAAACACTGGAACATCTTTCTTTGTGAAGTGTTCTTTCAAATCTTGCTATTTTTAATCAAGTTTTTTTTATGAATGAGTTATAGTACTTCTTTATATATCATGGCTTGAAGTCCTTAGTCAAATATATAAGTTGTGAATATTTTCATCCAGTTGTTTCCTTACTTGTTTTCCTGATGTGCAGAGGTTTTTAATTTTGAAGTTCAGTTCATCAATATTTTCATGTTCTGTCTTTTCTGTATCTTTTCCAAAAAAAAGAAAAATGGGCCTTTCAAGGTTGTGAAGATATTCTTTCATGTGTTATTTGAAAAGTTTGATAGATTATGCTTTCATGAGTATGTATGCATTACACCTAAAATAAATTTTATTATATAGCATAAAGTAGGTTTTGAGTTTCATTTTATCTTTGGAGATATCCATTTGTTCCTTTGTATCTGATTACTCTGTGTCCACCTCAACCATTTGTTAAGAACACTTTGCATTACACATTGAATTGCTATGGCACATTTCTATTTTTACATATATGTGTGAGTTCATTTTTAGACCTTCCACTCTATTCTTTTGATTTAAATGTGTATGGTTTTGACAATCCAAATGGCCTTGATTACTGTTATAGAGAATCTCGAAATCAGATAGTATAAAAAATACAATTTTTTTTTAAGTTTTTTGTTGGTGGTGGAAAAGAGGTCTATTTTAGGGTCTTGCATTAACATATAAACTTTGAAAACAAATCTTTAACATTTTCTTTTTTTATTACACTTTAAGTTATGGGTTATATGTGCATAATGTGCAGGTTTTTTACATAGGTATACACTTGCCATGGTGGTTTGCTTCACCCATCAACCCATCATCTACATTAGGTATGTCTCCTAATGCTATCCCTCCCCTTGCTCCCCACCCCCTAACAGGCCCCAGTGTGTGATGTTCCCCTCCCTGTGCCCATATGTTCTCATTGTTCAACTCCCACTTATGAGTGAGAACATGTGGTGTCTGGTATTCTGTCCCTGTGTTAGTTTGCTGAGGATGATGGTTTCCAGCTTCATCCATGTCCCTATAAAGGACAGGAACTCATCCTTTTTTATGGCTGCATAGTATTCAATGGTGTATATTTGCTACATTTTCTTTATTCAGTCTAACATTGATGGGCATTTGGGTTGATTCCAAGTCTTTGCTACTGTGAAAAGTGCTGCAATAAACATGTGTGCATGTGTCTTTATTATAGAATGATTTATAATCCTTTGGGTATATGTCCAGTAATGGGATTGCTGGGTCAAATGACATTTCTGGTTCTAGATCCTTGAGGAATCACCATACTGTCTTCCACAATGGTTGGACTAATTTACACTCTCACCAACAGTCTTAAAGCATTCCTATTTCTCCACATCCTCTCCTGCATCTGTTGTTTCCTGACTTTTTAATATCGCCATTCTAACTGGCATGAGATGGTATCTCATTGTGGTTTTGATTGGCATTTCTCTAATGACCTGTGATGAGCTTCTTTTCATATGTTTTTTGGCCACATAAATGTCTTCTTTTGAAAAGTGTCTGTTCTTATTCTTTGCCTACTTTTTGATGGGGTTATGTTTTTTTCTTGTAAATTTGTTTAAGTTTCTTGTTTTCTTGTAGATTCTGGATATTAGCCCTTTGTCAGATGGCTAGACTGTGAAAAATTTTCTCCTATTCTGTAGGTTGCCTGTTCAGGCTGATGATAGTTTCTTTTGCTGTGCAGAACTCCTTAGTTTAATTAGATCCCATTTGTCAATTTTGGCTTTTGTTGCTATTGCTTTTGGTTTTTAGACATGAAGTCTTTGCCCATGCCTATGTCCTGAATGGTATTGCCAAGGTTTTCTTCTAGGATTTTTATAATTTTAGGTCTTACATTTAAATCTTTAATCCATCTTGAGTTAATTTTTGTATAAGGTGTAAGGAAGAGGCCCAGTTTCAGTTTTCTGCATATGGCTTCACAGTTTTCTCAACACCATTTATTAAATAGGGAATCCATTCCTCATTGCTTGTTTTTGTCAGGTTTGTCAAAGATCAGATGGTTGTAGATGTGTGTTGTTATTTCTGAGGCCTCTGTTCTGTTCCATTGGTCTACATATGTGTTTTGGTACCATTACCATGCTGTTTTGGTTACTGTAGTCTTGTAGTATAGTTTGAAGTCAGGTAGCATAAGATCAGAGCAGAACTGAAAGAGATAGAGACACGAAAAACCCTTCAAAAATCAATGAATCCAGGAGCTGTTTTTTTTTTAAAAAAGTTAACAACTAGATAGACTGCTAGCCAAACTAATAAAAAAGAAAAGAGAGAAGAATCAAATAGACACAATAAAAAATGATAAGTGATAAAAAATGATAAAAAATGAAAAATAAAAACTGATCCCATAGAAATACTCACTACCATCAGAGAATACTATAAACATCTCTATGCAGATAAACTAGAAAATCTAGAAGAAATAGATAAATTCCTGGACACATATACCCTCCCAAAACTACACCAGGAAGAAGTCAAATCCCTGAATAGACCAATAACAAGTTCTGAAATTGAGGCAGTAATTAATAGCCTACCAACCAAAAAAAGCTCAGGACTCGATGGATTCACAGCCGAATTCTATCAGAAGTACAAAGAGAAGCTTTTACCATTCCTTCTGAAACAATTCCAAACAATAGAAAAAGAGAGACTCCTCCCTAACCCATTTTATGTGGCTATCATCATCCTGATACCAAACCTGGCAGAGACACAACAAAAAAGAAAATTTCAGGCCAATATCCCTGATGAACGTCGATGCAAAAATCCTCAATAAAATACTGGCAAACCGAATCCAGCAGCACATCAAAAAGCTTATCCACCATGATCAAATCTGCTTCATCCCTGGGATGCAAGGCTGGTTCAACATATGCAAATTGATAAATGTAATCCATCACATAAACAGAACCAATGACAAAAACCCCATGATTATCTCAATAGATGCAGAAAAGGCCTTTAATAAAATTCAACACCACTTCATGCTGAAGAACACTCAATAAGCTACGTATTGATAGAACATATCTCAAAATAATAAGACCTATTTATGACAAACCCACAGCCAATATCATACTGAATAAACAAAAGCTGGAAGCATTCCACTGAAAACCAGAACAAGACAAGGATGCCCTCTCTCATCACTCCTATTCAACATAGTATTGGAAGTTCTGGCCAGAGCAATCGGGCAAGAGAAAGAAATAAAGGTATTCAAATAGGAAGAGAGGAAGTCAAATTACCTCTGTTTGCAGATGACATGATTGTATATTTAGAAAACTCCATCATCTCAGCCCAAAAACTCCTTAAACTGATAAGCAACTTCAGCAAAGTCTCAGGATACAAAATCAATATGCAAAAATCACAAGCATTCCTATACACCATTAATAGACAAACAGCCAAATCATGAGCAAAGTCCCATTCACAATTGCTACAGAGAGAATAAAATACCTAGGAATCCAACTTACAAGGGATGTGCAGGACCTTTTCATGGAGAACTACAAACCACTGCTCAAGGAAATAAGAGAGGACACAAACAAATGGAAAAACCTTCCATGCTCATGGATAGGAAGTATCAATATAATGAAAATCACCATACTGCTCAAAGTAATTTGTAGATTCCATGCTATTCCCATCAAGCTACCACTGAGTTTCTTCACAGAATTAGAAAAAAATATTTTAAATTTTATATGGAAGCAAAAAGAGCCTGTATAGCCAAGACAATCCTAAGCACAAAGAACAAATCTTTGACATTTTCTTTGTGAAAATGTTAAAGTTTTAATTCAGTTTCTTAAATAGATATGTCATTCAGATTTTTAAATTTTTCTTCTAATGTTAGTTTTGGCAAAGTTGTATTACCCAGGGAATTTTTATTCATTTCATCTAAGTTGCTAAACTTACTCACACAAAATTTTTCATATAGTAACCCTTCCCCTTATTATTCTTGTAATGTTTGTGGAAACTGTGATGATGTCCTGTCTTTCATTCCTGAGATTGGTAGTTTGTTTTTTTCTTAATCAGTCTTACTAGGTTTTATCAATCTATGAAACATTTCAAAGAAAAATTTTGATTTTTTCAATTTTCTATATTTTTGCCCATTTTCTATTTTTTATTTCCACACATATTTTACTAAATACTTTTTTTCTACTTCTTTTGGGTTTAATTTAGCTTTTCTTTTATATATATATATTTTTATTACACTTTAAGTTCTAGGGTACATGTGCACAATGTGCAGGTTTGTTACATATGTATACATGTGCCATGTTGGTGTGCTGCACCCATTAACTCGTCATTTACATAGGTATATCTCCTAATTCTATCCCTTCCCCCTCCCCCTACCCCACAACAGGCCCCGGTGTGTGATGTTCCCCTTACTGTGTCCAAGTGTTCTCATTGTCCAATTCCCACCTATGAGTGAGGACATACGGTGTTTGTTTTTTTGTCCTTGTGATAGTTTGCTCAGAATGATGGTTTCCAGCTTCATCCATGTCCCTACAAAGGACATGAACTCATCATTTTTTATGGCTGCATAGTATTCCATGGTGTATATGTGCCACATTTTCTTAATCTGGTCTATCATTGTTGAACATTTGGGTTGGTTCCAAGTCTTTGCTATTGTGAGTAGTGCCACAATAAACATACATGTGCATGTGTCTTTATAGCAGCATGATTTATATTCCTTTGGGTATATACCCAGTAATGGAATGGCTGGGTCAAATGGTATTTCTAGCTCTAGATCCCTGAGTAATCACCACACTGTCTTCCACAATGGTTGAACTAGTTTACAGTCCCACCAGCAGTGTAAAAGTGTTCCTATTTCTCCACATCCACTCCAGCACCTGTTGTTTCCTGACTTTTAAATGATCACCACTACCTTTTTAAGGTGAAATCACACATCATTGATTTTTTTTCTTCACTCCAATATAGTCATTTAAATTTTATATTTTTCTCAGCTGCTTCCTACAGATTTTCCCATATTGTTTTCATTTTTATTTACTCAAAATATTTCACAATTTTCCTTGTTTCCTACTTAATCCATGGGTTATCCCCTGGTAAGTCATTTAATTTTGAATTATTTGAGGATTTTTCAGACATTGTCCAGTTATTGATTCAAATTTTAATGCCACTTTGGTAAAAGGACAATCTCTATTTGATTTTACTCTTTTAAAACATATTAAGATTTGTTTTATAGCCCAGCATATAATATAATCTTACCAAACATTTGATGTGCACTTGAGCAAGAAAGTTAAGTTCTCACTCATTTTTTTCACTGGTCAGTTAAGGCTCTGTCACGCATCACAATCATTCTGAGACCCACTTTGGTAAGGAAGCCCCTTTCTGATGCATTGTTTGTGTCATGTCAAAGGAAATGCGAAGTAGAGCAAAACATCCACTGGCTATTACAGATTCTACCTAGACATGACATATAATATATTCATCCACACTTCATCAGCAAAAAAAGTAACATGACTATTTCTGATGTCAGTCAGAAAGGGATGTATAATCCTCCAGTGAAAATGAGGAGCAAATAATTTGAACACATATATAGTCTATAACAAAGACATATTAGACTTATATGACATGTTGATATTACCTCCAAGTGTCTCTCTAATCAATCATTTATCTACATTCCCATTGCCCACACTGTTGACCAAATCACTCATAGTCCATCTGGATTGCTCCAAAAAAGCTCTTAATAGATCTGTCTGCATCCACTTTGGCTCCCTGAGCACAGTTTTTCAACAAAAATCTGACCCCGCCACATACATTCTCTTCCCACCGTCTTCATTATTATCCACCAGCCCTTGCATTTAAAACCCCTAATGGCTTTTCCTTGCATTTAGGTTAAAATGCAACTTCTTTACGTGGTCTACAAGGTCTTGCATAACTTGCCCTCTCAGACCACTTCAGGCTCACCTCTAACCATTCTGGTCTTCACTCACCAGCCTCATGGTTCTCTTGGTTTCTTGAATGCATCAATCTGTTTGCAACATCATAAACTTTGCAAAGGCTATTCATGCTCTCTGGAATGTCCTTTCCTATACTCTTCCTCTGACTCACTTTAACATCTATGTTAGAGCTTTCCCTACCCCTGCCTATTCCTAATCATAGCATCTTTTTTATTTGATTCATACCGGCTATTATAGTTTCTAATTATAGATTTATTTGCAAAATTATTTTTCCCCTTTGTGGACCACAGAATTGAGTTAATCATATGAGTCAATTCAGGAGTACAATTATCTAAGGTCCATGTCAGACAATTTTTATGTTTTACTTTTATCTTCCATTAATTTTAGCACTCATTTCTCCCTCTTCACATTAGTTTCTAATTCTAATCCATTTATAGGGTCTCTGTCCATTTTTCATTACATATGTCAACTTTACACACACATACAATATTTTGTGTGTATTCTGATTCTTGCTTCCCTTATGCAGTATAAAATTTCTAACATCTGTCTATGTTGCTGTTGAATATCAAGTTCATTATTTCCAGGTAATCTGCTGGGGTTATTATTACCACTTTACATACGAGAAAAACAAAGCTCCATGAGGCTGAGTAGTGTCTTGAGTTTTGTATTAGTTCATTTTCATACTGCTATAAAGAAATGCCTGAGACTAGGTAATTTACAAAGGAAAGAGTTTTAACTCACAGTGGCTGGGGAGACCACGGGAAACTTACAATCATGGCAGAAGAAGCAGGCACCTTCTTCACAAGGCAGCAGAGACAGTGAGTGTGACTGAGTGTGGAGGAACTGTCAAACACTAGATCTCCTGAGAACTCACTCTGTATCATAAGAACAGCATGGGGGAAACTACCCCCATGATCCATTCCCCTCCCTCCCTAGACACATGGGGATTACAATTTGAGATTAGGTTTGAGTGGGAATGCAAAGCTAAACCATATCAAGTTTTATATATCCATAAACAGAATCCAGGTTACTGAATTCTCATGGCAGTACTCATCCCCACCCTTTCTATCAAGTCATCTTTGCTGTCACTATATTTTTCTTAGAAATATAGAAATTTGATACCAGAAGGGATAGATGATTTCCCTGAATGGTAGCCTTAGACTTAAAATCCATTTTTCTCTCACTATTGTACAGCACTACCTCATTTCTTGAATGGGTTAGTTATCTCTAAACACACTAATTAAATTCAAGGTCCAATCTGCTGCCCTAATTTTATAATCCAGAGTTCTTTTTCTCTTCTTAAAACCAACTGCAGAAACTTACTGAAAACCCCAAGCCCTGTGCCAGCTTTTAGCTTTGTGCAAAGCTTTCCTGTTTGCCCAGCCTCAAACCAGCTATTTGGAATCGGCAAAGCTGTTTACTTTCAAGCCTCCATTGTCAATAGATCAAGTGGAAACATTGATAACTCAATGAAGCTCTGGGCATCCTGCCCATCAGAAGCATCAACATGATACATTTCTATGTACAGGAAGATTTATCTCTGGAAACTAAGCAAACAGGAATTCCTGATTCTGATCCAGAATGAATATTAGCGTTGTCCACTTCTACTCTTGCCAGAAAAGTGACGAAGCTGTGCAAACATCTATCTTGGCTAAAATAGCCTTTTGGACCTTGTAGAATGCCAGTAGGCTTGGGGCTTAATAGGCATGAACAAACAGCTTCCAGGGACTGGAGCTGAGATTCTCAAATGATAGGTGAAAGAGGCTACAACTTTCTCTCTCACGACAATTATTTATTGAGTGTCTGCTGTGTGGCCCAGGATGGAATAGAGTCCCTGTACTCAATGTCATCACAGCCCAGTGAGAAATAAGTAAAGCAAGTGAAGGAAGTAGAGCCATCCTACCAATGCTGTGCAGTCCCCTCCAATGCCTGAGAGATCTAAGTCCTCTCTGACAAGGTAAACCTCACAGTGGTGTAGAGAAGACAGCTTCTGTTCCTGATGGCTATTTATGTTTTGAGCACCTTGACAAGCCTAGTGGAGACAGATCATAAAGCTGCAGCAGGCATAAGACTGAGATTTATTGGTGATGCTATCTGTGTTAGGCATTCTGGAAATTAACTTCCAAGAGGTGTCAGAAAACACATTAAAACTTTCGTTTCCTAAATTTTCTTATTTAAGAAGAGAAATTTGGCTTACTCTATTTGTAACTTGCAAGCCACATGAGATGACTCACCAAGGATAATTATATAAAACTGAGATTATATTTATATATTTCATTGTTATTTTGACATCTGGTTTTCCATTAGATGTTCACTGAGTAGTTTTTTTTTTTTTTTTGCTTCTATACTCTTCCTGAACACTCAGTGTCACTCTCTGCGGCTCCACTCTTCCTGCCCACCTTCTTTATTACTTTTTTAATCACTTACTAAATATAGGAAGTAAAAATTTGAAACTACTAATATTATACAAGTTTTTTTTTACTGAATAACTGCCACATGTTCACCCAATTTATTTATTTTATAATAGAACATTGTGTTTTAGAAGCATAATATACCTTTCAGATGTTGGGATTTATGCTTCTTTGATTATTGCACTTTAATCACTATTCTTAGGCATTTTAAAACCATAGCTATCTCTTCTAGGAGAAAACAAAACTGTATGTCTAAGCCAAGGTCACTACCTATGGTTACACAGATTACTTCAAGAGGTGAAATTCACATTATGGTCTAGTGAAAGGCACCTTGCAGTTGTGCAGTGTACAACTCAGGCAGCTATACATGCCAGTCATGTCTAGACCTACATATTTAGGAAACTCTTGTATAAAATTAAGGAATTGAACACAATGATATCTTTTTATTATTATTATTATACTTTAAGTTTTAGGGTACATGTGCACAATGTGCAGGTTAGTTACATATGTATACATGTGCCATGCTGGTGTGCTGCACCCATCAACTCATCATTTAGCATTAGGTATATCTCCTAATGCCATCCCTCCCCCCTCCCCGCCACTCCACAACAGTCCCCAGAATGTGATGTTCCCCTTCCTGTGTCCATGTGTTCTCATTGTTCAATTCCCATCTATGAGTGAGAACATGCGGTGTTTGGTTTTTTGTCCTTGCGATAGTTTATTGAGAATGAAGATTTCCAATTTCATCCATGTCCCTACAAAGGACATGAACTCATCATTTTTTATGGCTGCACAGTATTCCATGGTGTATATGTGCCACATTTTCTTAATCCAGTCTATCATTGTTGGACATTTGGGTTGGTTCCAAGTCTTTGCTATTGTGAATAGTGCCGCAATAAACATACGTGTGCATATGTCTTTATAGCAGCATGATTTATAGTCCTTTGGGTATATACCCAGTAATGGGATGGCTGGGTCAAATGGTATTTCTAGTTCTAGATCCCTGAGGAATCGCCACACTGACTTCCACAATGGTTGAACTAGTTTACAGTCCCACCAACAGTGAACACGATGATATCTAATGAAGGGATTCAATATGATGGTAACTTACATTTCCTCCTATTCTAATGTCTCTGATTCTAGGAATTCTACACATTTGAAAGAAATCATGAGAAATCTCATGATTTTGTCTTGTATACAGCATTGAATCTAGAAGACAGAATTTAGACTAGGATCCCTGAGAAAGAACTGATTGTAAAACAAGGGCCAGATGTAAGACTGAGCTGTCCCCAGCGTGCCTAACAGTCTTTAATTATTTAACTGAATTCTGATGTCACTGTGCAGACAAGAGGCAAATGCCAGTAAGACAATTGGTTTGGTTTTGGCATTCAAAACCATTAGTGAAGAGGTAAGTGGTAAGCAAGATATTCCACTCAGCAGAAGTATTCACAAACTATTGCTATAGTTGGATTACTTTTCTGTCTCTCTCATTAGATTGGCCATATTGAGAGCAAAACTTTATACTCCATGCCTTGCTGTCTTTCCTATTGCCTAGATCTTCCCTTCAGAAAACTAATCATAAACATTGGCATAGTAAGCATCTGAGAAGACCTACACATAAATAAACTAGCTTAATTCTGTTTGAGCCACTATTTCCAAACTAATATGACTACAAAATCACTTTTTTTTACACCCCAGGTGTTAATCTCACAAAACCCCCAAGGAATAATCTAGACACCACTACTCCGAGTACTATCTTCCTCTTTGTCTCCCAAATTACATGATATACCAGAGCTGTCAATCCCTACAATCAGGTTACATTAATGCCTAAGGCATTGTTAGGTATGGAAGCATAGGTGCTAGAAATTATGCTTTTTCTTAGTGTCATTCACTAATATGTAGCTGTTAAAACTCCAGCCATAGTTAAAGGACTCAGGTCAAAGTTACAGAAAGTTGTTGGGAACCTCCATGGTCACTCACTCTTTCTTGTTACTGCATTTTGCATCAGGCTTCATGCAAAAGTCATACCACCCAGAGCTGCACTTATCCCAAATGATAGAATCTGGAGCTGTCCTTCAAGGGTAAAAGGTAGAATTAGGAGCACTGAGATAGTTACATATTTCGATGCATTTTCCTCTTTTGGTAACTGTTGTTGGACATTTAGCCATGTTTCCATTTTCTCTAATTCCCTTTGCCTGTTCTTCTATGCCTGGTTAAACTTGAAATTTAATACTAGCCTTTCTTACTCTCATTCCTAAGAGTCCTATTTCAGTCCTATTTCCAAGCTACTGTTTTCTTTCTCCAGGGCTAAGAGTTTTTGCAACCAGTGATATATATCATTATCTAGTCCCAGGATTTGACTGGTTCTTTTTCATACTCTGGACTCTTTTTGCTACTGGACTCTTTTTGAAATCAGCAATGTTTTTCATGGGGTTGTAAGAAATTTTTTATCCCAAATCAAGAGAGTCTGAAAAAAAAATTTTCAAGGTGGCATTCTGTGTACCTGAGCATGCCAACAGCCCTGCAGCATCTTAAAGTAATAAAATCTACTCTTGTCATTCTTTCCTTTAAAATTCTTCAAATGCTCTCTAGGGCATAAAGTGTTAATAACAATAGTAATTAGCCTTTATCAGGGATTCACATTGAATGAATCTCTGTTCTAAACTCTTTAATCCTCACAGCAACCTACAAAATGTATGTAATTATTTTCCCCATTTTATGGGTGAATAAACTGAGATTTAGGCTTTCCTACAGATACAAAAATGGTAAGTGATGGAACCAGCATTCAGCCTGGGCAGTCCAAATAGTGCTCAGGCTTAACCACCAAGAAATAATGACTTATTTTAAGCCTGGATGAATTACTAAGGTCTTACCTTGACAAATTAAGATCCTTCCAATGTAGGTCCCAAATTACTTTCCGCATATTTGTCCTATCATTCTTATTCATGCAGCCTACATTCATTCATTCATTGAACATTTACTGAACACCTACTGTATTCTAGGAACTGAGCTAAATATCACACAGTGGCCACACTAATCTGACTGTCTTAGTCTGTTCAGGCTGATATAAAAAAATGCCATAAACTGAGTATCTTATAAACAATAGAAAATGATTTCTCACAGTTCTGGAGTCTGGGATGTTCAAGATCAAGGATGAATCAGTATCTGGTGAGAGCCTGTCATCTCCTATGGAAAAAGGGCAAGGTAGCTTCCTGGTACCTCTTTTTAAAAGATACTAATCCCATTCATGATGACTTGCCCCTCATGATCTAATCACCTCTTAAAGATCCTACTTCCTTAATACCATCACTCTAAGGGTTAGGAGTTCAATATATGGATTTTGGAGGGACACAAACATTCTGACCATAGCACTGGGTATAGTATACACCATGATCATCCTGCATATACCTGTGATTTTACAAGTACCATCCCTTCTTTCTGCAATAAGATTTCCCTCCTTCCTTTTCTTTTTGGAAAAGTTTCTGTATACCCTTCAAGACCCCATTCAAAAGTCACTTTCTTTTTTTTTTTCTTTTTTTAAAATTATTATTATACTTTAAGTTTTAGGGTACATGTGCACAATGTGCAGGTTAGTTACATATGTATACATGTGCCATGCTGGTGTGCTGCACCCATTAACTCATCATTTAGCATTAGGTATATCTCCTAATGCTATCCCCCCCCTCCCCCCACCCCACAACAGTCCCCAGAGTGTGATATTCCCCTTCCTGTGTCCATGTGTTCTCATTGTTCAGTTCCCACCTATGAGTGAGAATATGCGGTGTTTGGTTTTTTGTTCTTGCGATAGTTTACTGAGAATGATGATTTCCAATTTCATCCATGTCCCTACAAAGGACATGAACTCATCCTTTGTTATGGCTGCATAGTATTCCATGGTGTATGTGTGCCACATTTTCTTAATCCAGTCTATCATTGTTGGACATTTGGGTTGGTTCCAAGTCTTTGCTATTGTGAATAGTGCCGCAATAAACATACGTGTGCATGTGTCTTTATAGCAGCATGATTTATAATCCTTTGGGTATATACCCAGTAATGGGATTGCTGGGTCAAATGGTATTTCTAGTTCTAGATCCCTGAGGAATTGCCACACTGACTTCCACAATGGTTGAACTAGTTTACACTCCCACCAACAGTGTAAAAGTGTTCCCATTTCTCCACATCCTCTCCCGCACCTGTTGTTTCCTGACTTTTTAATGATTGCCATTCTAACTGGTGTGAGATGGTATCTCATTATGGTTTTGATTTGCATTTCTCTGATGGCCAGTGATGGTGAGCATTTTTTCATGTGTTTTTTGGCTGCATAAATGTCTTCTTTTGAGAAGTGTCTGTTCATGTCCTTTGCCCACTTTTTGCTGGGGTTGTTTTTTTCTTGTAAGTTTGTTTGAGTTCATTTTAGATTCTGGATATTAGCCCTTTGTCAGATGAGTAGGTTGCGAAAATTTTCTCCTGTTTTGTAGGTTGCCTGTTCACTCTGATGGTAGTTTCTTTTGCTGCGCAGAAGCTCTTTAGTTTAGTCACTTTCTCTATGAAACCTCATGCAGCTCATCTAGCCACAGTGCCTCTTGAGCTATCACTGAAGTTTGTATGTACCTCCTTTATACCGTGAATGTCTATCTGTCTAGCTATTCCATCCATCTACTTCTTTCCTGGTCTTTTGCTCTTGCATGTAATAGCCTCAAGGACTCTTGAGCCATGTCTTCATAATTTTTCTACTTCCTTGCAGAACATCTGACATTTATAAATATTATGAAACCAAATTTGCCTGCTACTCTAAAGCCAGAAAGAAACACCAATTGGATGATCTAAAGGGGTTGTATTTGTAAATAACCTTTAGGCTACATTTTTAAGTGATTTACTCAATAATTACGCATCATCAAGAGTCTCCCAGTCTAGTAAGAAACAATCATAAAAATAAATAAACAAAGAAGAAAACAAACTTATTGTTATGAACTGAATGTTAATGCCCCCTCTCCCTGCCAAACTGATATGTTGAAATTTTAACCTCCAACGCAGTAGTATTAGTAGCTGGGACCTTTGGGAGGGAATTAAGTCATGAGGGTGGAGGTATCATGGATGCGGTTGCAGCCCTTATAAAAGAGGCCCCAGAGAGCTTTCTAGCTCTTTTTCTGCCTCATGAGGACACACAGAGAAAATGGCTCTCTATGAACCAGGATGTGGGACTCCAACAGACACTGAATTTTCCAGTGTCTTAAACTTGGAGTTTCCAGCTTCCAGAACCGTAAAAAAAAAAAAAAAAAAAAAAAAAACAGTTTGTTGTTAAAACCACCCAGTCTATGGTATTTTGTTATAGCAGCCAGAACTAAGTAAAACAGTTATACTTGTGACAATAATGAGGCAGGTACAGTGGTAACAGAGAATGGAGGAGAAAGTTATACGCACCTGAAGGAGTCTGGAAATGCTTCTTTTAGGAAACAATAATTGTGCTAGGACATAGACAGTGAGTAGGTCTTAACGAGGTCGACAGCAGGGTAAGTATCTTTTAGGTACACAAATGTGCAGTCCATGTGCATGTGGTCTATTCAGGGGTCCAGGAAGTGCAAAAGGATAAGTGTGTAGGTGTTTAGAGGAAAGCAAAAGGAAATAGAAATAAAGTACTATAAAAAGCCAAATTACAAAGGGTCTGACATGCCATGAAATAGAGTTTTGATTTTTTTTCTACCAAAATAAAGGGAAGTTATGAAAGCAGTTTACATCTAAGTGGAACGATCAGATGTTCAGTTATAAAGATAACTCTGGCGATAATGTAAAGGGTAGAATTTTTGGAGAAGATTGCATTTATCATCCAGGAGACTGTTATCACTTCTTTCATATGTAATTGAAATCAATTACATATGAAATCATATCAGCTTTTCATATGTAATTGATTTTAAAAGCCATAGAGCAGCCCTCTGGCTCAAGAAGCTCAAAGTCCCTGGCCCAGTCCCCTGGCTGATACTGTTCCTGGAGGCTCTAGGCCTGAGACACTCTCCCCCTTGCTTTGTGGTCTCCTGACTTGTTTTGCTTCCCAAGGAAATTTCAATTTTTTCTTATACATCCCCTCTATTTAGAGAACGCCTAATCATCTATAGCTGGGTCCCCAAAGATTTCTAAACTTTCTATTTTCAGAATGCAAAAATATAAATCCCCTATTCTAAGACATTCTTTATTCGTTAGGATGAAGATTATTTTGCTTGCAAGTGACAGAAACCCAACTTAAATTAGCGTATGTAAAAAAGTGAATTCATTTGCTTATGTAATCAGAAAGTCTCAGAGGGCTGATTCCGGTCAGGTAAAACTAGACACAGGGTTTCAAATTGTCAACAGGACTCTCTTCACTTCATGGCTGTACTATCCTCTCTGCCTTAGTTTTACATACACTCTCTTCCTAGGGTAGCAGATGTGGTGATTAGCTGTTGTTCATTTACATTGTCTGCACAGCCTTAATTCCAGAAGAAAGTGAATGGCCCTTTGCCCACAAACATCCATACAGATTCCTCAGAAAGTTGTTAATCAGTCTTGTCTGGACTTATGTACCTGATTCTGAACCAATCACTATGTCCAGAAGGATAGAAGGTATCGTGATTGGTGTGTTGGTGGTGGCTTAATGAAGCAGGCTTGTATAAATTTGGCACAGCCAATTTCATGCCCCTCTCCCATGTCCACATCTAGTGATGTCATGTTATTAGCTTGAAGTCAGTCATGGTGGGAGAGTGGGGGTGTTTATACCACAGAGACACTACAAATGCTAGTGCTACAAATCAGGAGCTCCTTGTTTGGAGAGGCAGGTTATTAGCATGTCTTTGACTGTTAGTGTCATATGTTCCTCATCCTCATCTTACAAACTAATGCATTTCATGAATGACACCTCCACTAGGATCATCTGGAGTAAGGAAAGTCCAAAAAGGAAAGCATAAAGAACAGATCAAAAAGCAGCTAGCATCTATCACATTTAAAAAGTATTTGGCTTTTGGTCACAAAAAGTAAAACCTGCCCCTTTGGGAGGATGAAAATATAGTTTCCCATGTCATTTCAAATGCCCATGTCCCAGGGACCTGCTTGTAGTTACTATCTTTAGAAAACAGGGGAAGGATGGAGAGAAGAACGAGACTTCTCTTCTTGCCTTTAGGGCTCTCTCCACCGAGGAGTGATCTACTGGAGAATGTGAAGATCTGTAACAATAATCTTACCCAATAGAAGCACCACCCAACACATTGTGGAAGTTCAATAAATATTTCTTAAAATAGCATGACCAGTGGCCATCTCAGTTTTATCAGATGCCTTATATTAATATTTGTATACTTCATTAGCTGAACCGGAGCTAAATTAGCCAATATATAGACTATGGTGACACCTCCTCCTAAGACATCTTAGAATATCTTAACTTTCAAGAAGTGAGGGAGATAGTGAAGTAGGTACCCAGAAATATCCATTGCTTTGACTGTAACCTAGGAACCAAAAAGGCAAAACTTATCTGTAATTATAACTACCTCTGCTAAACTGTGTTTCCTTTTCCCTGCACAACTGGAGACACAGATGACTCAGAAAACAAACACTCACCATTATGAACTGAAGAGACTATCAGTGTAGGGCAGATTCCCTTCCCTGACCTATGTGTTACTGTATAAACACATGCTTATTCTCTCACCCGTCCTATTAGGGCAGATTCCCTTCCCTGACCTATGTGTTACTATATAAACACATGCTTATTCTCTCAGCAGCCCTATTGTCCTAAGTGATTGTTTTCTCTCAGAAGAAAACAACTTTTGCATAAAAACATAATTGCTTCTAGGACCCCAAGCAGCTTTTCTGTTGAACCCCTCAATTAAAAATTAAACAGAAATGGCAGATTTTGGTGATATAGAAGAGACCTGCAGTAACATAGGCTTCCTAGGGACTGCTTGGGGAATCAGAAGTCCAGGGCAAGAGCAGTAATGAGGAAAGTGGCCTGAGACAGCAGACCAACGCTGGGCACATAAGCAGAGGAATCACAGAACACTGGGTAGTAAGATACCCTATGCCCCACCAAACACCAGAAGACTCAATAGAAGAAAGCAGCCTTAACTAGTCACCAAACAGGGAAAGAATATCTAAAAAGCCTTTGGGGTTCTCTACAATATTAATACAGGAAACTTCCTAGAAAGCAAGGACCTTCCTGATAGTCAGTGTGTAAGGACTCAGAACACCTAAATGCTGTTCCTTACTGTAAAATGTGACCACAGTTTTAATTACCAGCTAGTGGAGCCTGTGATATTTAAGTTAAAATCAACTATTATTAACAAGGTATAAAGATGGTGAAAGTAATCGAGTGATTTCCTATATGATTCTGTTTTCCAGTCATGAAATCTGATGATACAAATTCTCCTGATTAGGCAATTCCTTATTAAAAACCCTTCATTAGTTGCTTGTTTCCTGTTAGACAAGAGCTCCGTCTAACCTGTCTTGGCATGACTCTGTCTTGGTGTGATACCCTTGTGGTATGACTCCTGCAACTTTCTCTAGTCTTATCTCCTTCTTCTGTCTCCTATATATCCTGAAATATGGTCATGTCGGCCTGAATCTGTGTCAAGGAACACATGGTATATATGTTCTGATGCTTTTGAATATGCTGTTCCTTCTCCCTGGGATTCTTCACATGGCTGTATCCTCTCCATTTGGCAACAACTTTCTCATTCTTTAAGAAATAACAGTTTGGGGGAAGGAGCCAAGATGGCCGAATAGGAACAGCTCCGGTCTACAGCTCCCAGCATGAGCGACGCAGAAGACGGTGATTTCTGCATTTCCATCTGAGGTACCGGGTTCATCTCACTAGGGAGTGCCAGACAGTGGGCTCAGGTCAGTGGGTGCACGCACCGTGTGCGAGCCGAAGCAGGGCGAGGCATTGCCTCACTTGGGAAGCGCAAGGGGTCAGGGAGTTCCCTTTCTGAGTCAAAGAAAGGGGTGACGGATGGCACCTGGAAAATTGGGTCACTCCCACCCGAATACTGCACTTTTCCGACGGGCTTAAAAAACGGCGCACCACGAGATTATATCCCGCACCTGGCTTGGAGGGTCCTATGCCCAAGGAGTCTCGCTGATTGCTAGCACAGCAGTCTGAGATCAAACTGCAAGGCAGCAGCGAGGCTGGGGGAGGGGCGCCTGCGATTGCCCAGGCTTCATTAGGTAAACAAAGCAGCCGGGAAGCTCGAACTGGGTGGAGCCTACCACAGCTCAAGGAGGTCTGCCTGCCTCTGTACGCTCCACCTCTGGGGGCAGGGCACAGACAAACAAAAAGACAGCAGTAACCTCTGCAGACTTAAATGTCCCTGTCTGACAGCTTTGAAGAGAGCAGTGGCTCTCCCAGCATGCAGCTGGAGATCTGAAAACGGGCAGACTGCCTCCTCAAGTGGGTCCCTGACCCCTGACCCCCAACAGCCTAACTGGGAGGCACCCCCCAGCAGGGGCACACTGACACCTCACACGGCAGGGTATTCCAACAGACCTGCAGCTGAGGGTCCTGTCTGTTAGAAGGAAAACTAACAAACAGAAAGGACATCCACACCAAAAACCCATCTGTACATCACCATCATCAAAGACCAAAAGTAGATAAAACCACAAAGATGGGGAAAAAACAGAACAGAAAAACTGGAAACTCTAAACAGCAGAGCACCTCTCCTCCTCCAAAGGAATGCAGTTCCTCACCAGAAACGGAACAAAGCTGGATGGAGAATGACTTTGACGAGCTGAGAGAAGAAGGCTTCAGATGATCAAATTACTCTGAGCTACGGGAGGACATGCAAACCAAAGGCAAAGAAGTTGAAAACTTTGAAAAACATTTAGAGGAATGTATAACTAGAATAACCAATACAGAGAAGTGCTTAAAGGAGCTGATGGAGCTGAAAACCAAGGCTCGAGAACTACGTGAAGAATGCAGAAGCCTCAGGAGCCGATGCAATCAACTGGAAGAAAGGGTATCAGCGATGGAAGATGAAATGAATGAAATGAAGCGAGAAGGGAAGTTTAGAGAAAAAAGAATAAAAAGAAATGAGCAAAGCCTCCAAGACATATGGGACTATGTGAAAAGACCAAATCTACGTCTGATTGGTGTACCTGAAAGTGATGGGGAGAATGGAACCAAGTTGGAAAACACTCTGCAGGATATTATCCAGGAGAACTTCCCCAATCTAGCAAGGCAGGCCAACGTTCAGATTCAGGAAATACAGAGAATGCCACAAAGATACTCCTCGAGAAGAGCAACTCCAAGACACATAATTGTCAGATTCACCAAAGTTGAAATGAAGGAAAAAATGTTAAGGGCAGCCAGAGAGAAAGGTCGGGTTACCCTCAAAGGGAAGCCCATCAGACTAACAGCGGATCTCTCGGCAGAAACCCTACAAACCAGAAGAGAGTGGGGGCCAATATTCAACATTCTTAAAGAAAAGAATTTTCAACCCAGAATTTCATATCCAGCCAAACTAAGCTTCATAAGTGAAGGAGAAATAAAATACTTTACAGACAAGCAAATGCTGAGAGATTTTTGTCACCACCAGGCCTGCTCTAAAAGAGCTCCTGAAGGAAGCACTAAACATGGAAAGGAACAACCGGTACCAGCCGCTGCAAAATCATGCCAAAATGTAAAGACCATCAAGACTAGGAAGAAACTGCATCAACTAATGAGCAAAATAACCAGCTAACATCATAATGACAGGATCAAATTCACACATAACAATATTAACTTTAAATGTAAATGGACTAAATGCTCCAATTAAAAGACACAGACTGGCAAATTGGATAAAGAGTCAAGACCCAACAGTGTGCTGTATTCAGGAAACCCATCTCATGTGCAGAGACACACATAGGCTCAAAATAAAAGGATGGAGGAAGATCTACCAAGCAAATGGAAAACAAAAAAAGGCAGGGGTCGCAATCCTAGTCTCTGTTAAACAGACTTTAAACCAACAAAGATCAAAAGAGACAAAGAAGGCCATTACATAATGGTAAAAGCATCAATTCAACAAGAAGAGCTAACTATCCTAAATATATATGCACCCAATACAGGAGCACCAAGATTCATAAAGCAAGTCCTGAGTGACCTACAAAGAGACTTAGACTCCCACACATTAATAATGGGAGACTTTAACACCCCACTGTCAACATTAGACAGATCAACGAGACAGAAAGTCAACAAGGATACCCAGGAATTGAACTCAGCTCTGCACCAAGAGGACCTAATAGACATCTACAGAACTCTCCACCCCAAAGCAACAGAATATACATTTTTTTCAGCACCACACCACATCTATTCCAAAATTGACCACACATTTGGAAGTAAAGCTCTCCTCAGCAAATGTAAAAGAACAGAAATTATAACAAACTATCTCTCAGACCACAGTGCAATCAAACTAGAACTCAAGATTAAGAATCTCACTCAACACCGCTCAACTACATGGAAACTGAACAACCTGCTCCTGAATGACTACTGGGTACATAACGAAATGAAGGCAGAAATAAAGATGTTCTTTGAAACCAATGAGAACAAAGACACAACATACCAGAATCTCTGGGACACATTCAAAGCAGTGTGTAGAGGGAAATTTATAGCACTAAATGCCCACAAGAGAAAGCAGGAAAGATCCAAAATTGACACCCTAACATCACAATTAAAAGAACTAGAAAAGCAAGAGCAAACGCATTCAAAAGCTAGCAGAAGGCAAGAAATAACTAAAATCAGAGCAGAACTGAAGGAAATAGAGACACAAAAAACCCTTCAAAAAATTAATGAAACCAGGAGCTGGTTTTTTGAAAGGATCAACAAAATTGATAGACTGCTAGCAAGACTAATAAAGAAAAAAAGAGAGAAGAATCAAATAGACGCAATAAAAAATGATAAAGGGGATATCACCACCGATCCCACACAAATACAAACTACCATCAGAGAATACTACAAACACCTCTATGCAAATAAACTAGAAAATCTAGAAGAAATGGATAACTTCCTTGACATATACACTCTCCCAAGACTAAACCAGGAAGAAGTTGAATCTCTCAATAGACCAATAACAGGATCTGAAATTGTGGCAATAATCAACAGCTTACCAACCAAAAAGAGTCCAGGACCAGATGGATTCACAGCCGAATTCTACCAGAGGTACAAGGAGGAACTGGTACCATTCCTTCTGAAACTATTCCAATCAGTAGAAAAAGAGGGAATCCTCCCTAACTCATTTTATGAGGCCAGCATCATTCTGATTCCAAAGCCTGGCAGAGACACAACCAAAAAAGAGAATTTTAGACAAATATGCTTGATGAACATTGATGCAAAAATTCTCAATAAAATACTGGCAAAACGAATCCAGCAGCACATCAAAAAGCTTATCCACCATGATCAAGTGGGCTTCATCTCTGGGATGCAAGGCTGGTTCAATATACGCAAATCAATAAATGTAATCCAGCATATAAACAGAGCCAAAGACAAAAACCACATGATTATCTCAATAGATGCAGAAAAAGCCTTTGACAAAATTCAACGCTTCATGCTAAAAACTCTCAATAAATTAGGTATTGATGGGACGTATTTCAAAATAATAAGAGCTATCTATGACAAACCCACAGCCAATATCATACTGAATGGGCAAAAACTGGAAGCATTCCCTTTGAAAACTGGCACAAGACAGGGATGCCCTCTCTCACCACTCCTATTCAACATAGTGTTAGAAGTTCTGGCCAGGGCAATTAGGCAGGAGAAGGAAATAAAGGGTATTCAATTAGGAAAAGAGGAAGTCAAATTGTCCCTGTTTGCAGACGACATGATTGTATATCTAGAAAACCCCATTGTCTCAGCCCAAAATCTCCTTAAGCTGATAAGCAACTTCAGCAAAGTCTCAGGATACAAAATCAATGTACAAAAATCACAAGCATTCTTATACACCAATAACAGACAAACAGAGAGCCAAATCATGAGTGAACTCCCATTCACAATTGCTTCAAAGAGAATAAAATACCTAGGAATCCAACTTACAAGGGATGTGAAGGACCTCTTCAAGGAGAACTACAAACCACTGCTCAAGGAAATAAAAGAGGATACAAACAAATGGAAGAACATTCCATGCTCATGGGTAGGAAGAATCAATATCGTGAAAATGGCCATACTGCCCAAAGTAATTTATAGATTCAATGCCATCCCCATCAAGCTCCCAATGACTTTCTTCACAGAATTGGAAAAAACTAAAGTTCATATGGAACCAAAAAAGAGCCCGCATCACCAAGTCAATCCTAAGCCAAAAGAACAAAGCTGGAGGCATCACACTACCTGACTTCAAACTATACTACAAGGCTACAGTAACCAAAACAGCATGGTACTCATACCAAAACAGAGATATAGATCAATGGAACAGAACAGAGCCCTCAGAAATAATGCCTCATATCTACAACTATCTGATCTTTGACAAATCTGAGAAAAACAAGCAATGGGGAAAGGATTCCCTATTTAATAAATGGTGCTGGGAAAACTGGCTAGCCATGTAGAAAGCTGAAACTGGATCCCTTCCTTACACCTTATACAAAAATCAATTCAAGATGGATTAAAGACTTAAATGTTAGACCTAAAACCATAAAAACCCTAGAAGAAAACCTAGGCATTACCATTCAGGACATAGGCATGGGCAAGGACTTCATGTCTAAAACACCAAAAGCAATGGCAACAAAAGACAAAATTGACAAATGGGATCTAATTAAACTAAAGAGCTTCTGCACAGCAAAAGAAACTACCATCAGAGTGATCAGGCAACCTAGAAAATGGGAGAAAATTTTCGCAACCTACTCATCTGACAAAGGGCTAATATCCAGAATCTAAAATGAACTCAAACAAATTTACAAGAAAAAAACAACCCCATCAAAAAGTGAGCGAAGGACATGAACAGACACTTCTCAAAAGAAGACATTTATACAGCCAAAAAACACATGAAAAAATGCTCATCATCACTGGCCATCAGAGAAATGCAATTCAAAACCACAATGAGATACCATCTCACACCAGTTAGAATGGCAATCATTAAAAAGTCAGGAAACAACAGGTGCTGGAGAGGATGTGGAGAAATAGGAACACTTTTACACTGTTGGTGGGAGTGTAAACTAGTTCAACCATTGTGGAAGTCAGTGTGGCAATTCCTCAGGGATCTAGAACTGGAAATACCATTTGATCCAGCCATCCCATTACTGGGTATATACCCAAAGGACTATAAATCATGCTACTATAAAGACACATGCACACGTATGTTTATTGCGGCATTATTCACAATAGCAAAGACTTGGAACCAACCCAAATGTCCAACAATGATAGACTGGATTAAGAAAATGTGGCACATATACACCATGGAATACTGTGCAGCCATAAAAAATGATGAGTTCATGTCCTTTGTAGGGACATGGATGAAATTGGAAATCATCATTCTCAGTAAACTATCACAAGAACAAAAAACCAAACACCGCATATTCTCACTCATAGGTGGGAATTGAACAATGAGATCACATGGACACAGGAAGGGGAATATCACACTCTGGGGACTGTTGTGGGGTGGGGGCAGGGCGGAGGGATAGCATTGGGAGATATACCTAATGCTAGATGACGAGTTAGTGGGTGCAGTGTACCAGCATGGCACATGTATACATATGTAACTAACCTGCAGAATGTGCACATGTACCCTAAAACTTAAAAGTATATTTAAAAAAAAGAAAAAAATAATAATAAATAAAAAATGAAAAACAAAAACAACAAAAAAAAAACAGATGATGCACACACCTTCATTGTATCCAAAGCTTCTTACTAGCATTAAATTTCAGTTACCACATTGGTGACCGTTAGGTAAGAAGTGTAATAATGGCTTCCTTTCCATCCTGACTTTACTCTGTATTTCTCTACTTAAAAAAAAAAGTAATAAATGTGAAAAAGAAAACTGTTAAGTTATAAAAAAAAAAAAAAAAAAGAAAGAAATAACAGTTTTCAGCTTGTCCCTGACCCCACACTTTCTCCTTGTTCACTCCCTTCTACCTCAACCCACCCTCAAGTGATGTTAGGTCCAACCCCTCTGCTCTCCTCCTAAGTAACCTTATAAGAGTATTTACCATGGTATTTTGAGTTTATGCACATCGTATTGACTGTATCATGAGTTCCATCAAAGCAGGGATTTCTCTCTGGATCCTTTTCCTCATTTCTTAAGTCTATCACTCTGTTGGGTACCTAGTAGGCACTTACTACACACTAGGTACATTTAAACAGTCAAAAATGTAATGTTTGAACTTGAAGAATATTAAAAACTCAACCAAAAATACTTTTAAACTTGTATTTTTTTAAATAATGATGTATATTCAGATTTTTAACATTCATATTAAAATTGCTTACAACTCCATATGTAAGTAGAAATTATAGAAAAAGCTACAAGTTGTTTTATAATGTTTACAACACTATTCATCAAGCAGAAAGAATGCCTCATAGTGGAGTAAAGCACATTACTAAATACAATAATTAATTGATTCTAGATGAAGAAGACATATTGAATTGTTAATTATTATGTTCATGTCATCAGAGCAAGGGCCATTCAGTAGATAAATGAATGGGAAAATATCTATTTAGTTACATGAGAAAATATGATCAGAGAAATTCCAGCTATACCAGCAATAAATCACAATAATTTGCAAATCATTTTAAATACCAAAGGTGCAGTGATTTTTTTTTCCAAGAGTAACAACATTTTTATGTGGAAACTTTCCTGTAGTAAAGGTAAACATTAAAGCAGAATTAGCTTATTTTCAAAAATGAATATATATATACTCATATATAAACAAGTGTATATATGTGTTTACTCAAAAATTAAATTTATTTTATGAAAGGTAATTGTGAGTCTTGAGTCTGTATTGATTTGACTGACATTTAAAAGCCAGAGTGTTAATTTTCAAAAGTAAGCCAAACTGAAATTAGAGGCTTTAAATATTTGTTTGCTATTCTTATTGTCCAATAAATGTTGTGGCTAAATATTGAATGTGGGAGGAGCAGGAAATACAGTAAATAAATCGTTCACTGAGATGTTGCTTCTGGACATTTCATTGGCACTAATTCATCAGAATCAAAAGCAGATGGAGGCTCACTAGTCACATCTCATCCCCAGGTGCTAACCCTCTTCAATTTGAACATAGACTTACTTGCTAAATTGAAATTAAATGTTTACCAAGTGCCTAATATGAACAAGACATCGTGAGGAACTTAAACATAAGATATAGTCCCTTCCCTCAAGTGGCAAGTAATCCCCCCAAAATAAAGAGATGAATACGTTTACAAATATATTCTAACGATCATGCATTAAGCACCTATTATTTCTAAGGCATTGGTCTAGTATCCACATCAGAGAGGTAAAAATGATCCAGTTACTGACTATATTGCTCTGACTGGAAGAATACCTAAGTTCTAAAATGTACTATATGTTCCCTGGGGTAGCATTGACTCCTTAATCTATAACGGTCTTATTTAAGGTACCCAGGAGAAGAGTTTTACTTAGAATTGGAAGGTAGAGTCATAGAAGCCAGAACTCATTAAAGACATGGAGGGACTCAGGTAAACAAAAAGAAGTAAATGTTGTAATCAATGCTCTGCATGAGACTTAGTAAGGTCTATTATAAGTATCAATGACTACAAGCCTAAGTTACTGGAAACGCCTTGCAGATTGTATATGTCTTATATTAATCTGTTCAAAGCTAAACAGTCAACAAAGATAGGAAAAGACTCATTTGCATAACAAACTCACTAGAACTGCAAAGCCTAATATGGCAAACCAAGAGGTTAATATGTTACATTAACTATGTTAGTGGGTATAGACTAAGCTGAGCTGTGGTAACATTGGCCCTGTAATCTCTGTGGTGTAACACAATAAAGATGTATTGCATGTTCATGCAAATTCTGATGTGAGTTGGAAGAAGAGATCTCTAGAGAAGCTGTGCTGCTCTAAGTGACTGTAATTCAGGCTGTTGTGAACTTGTTAGGTGGTTCTTTATGGGGAAAGGAGATATGACGGGTTGAACACCAACTTTTAAATATTTTATTCTGAAAATGATACATTTTCCCCTTTATATTCCCCTGGCCAAAGCAGTTTTATGGCATGCCTCACTGCAAGGTTGCTGAGAAATATGCAGGAGTGCATGGCTGTTCGATAAGCAATAAACGTTTATGCCACATTGACAATTAATGCAAGTCCAGTAAAGAGGATGGTAGCCAGGATGAAATGACAGAGACCTGTTGAATGCATGCACTGTGTGGAACAAGTAAATACAAGAAGAAGTTTGCCCTCAGATGTAGGGAATTTTGCTATTGCAGGAAAAGAGGATAAAGTTACCAGGAATTAGTCAACAAGATCAGCACATAAAATAATAGTTGGAATTTCAGATGAACCTCTAAGTCAAGTTAGGAAACACATTTTTTAAAAAAATGGCCAGACACAGTGGCTCATACCTGTAATCCCAGTAATTTGGAAGGCTGTGGCACAAGGATTGTGGCCAGGAGTTCGAGACCAATGTGGGCTGTTGCCCACATTGCTCCATCTTTACGTCCATGTGTTCCTATTGTTTAGCTCCCACTTATGAGTGACAACATGCAATATTTTTCTGCTTCTGAGTTAGTTCACTGAGGACAATGCTTTCAGCTCTATTCATATTGCTGCAAAACACATGATTTCATTCTTTTTATGGCTGCATAGTATTCTGTGGTATATATACATCACATTTTCTTTAGCCAGTCAACCATTGGTGGACACCTAAGTTGGTTCCTATGGGTTTGCTTTTGTCAGTAGTGCTGCAATAAACATATGAGTGCAAGTGTATTTTTTATGTAATAAAAAATTTTTTATGTAGAGATAGGGAGACCCCATCTCTAAATTTTTTTAAACTTAGCCAGGCATGGAGGAGTTGGAGGCTGCAGTAAGCCATGATTGTGCCACTGCACTATAGCCTGGGAGATACAGTGGGACCTCCAACTCAGAAAAAAGAAAATTGGGCACAGGGATGAGAGTAGTACTACTAGTAAAACAACATTTCAGAAAATTATTCTCAAACTTTCTTAATATTTGCTTATTTTAAACCAAGAAGTCTGCAATGAGACAGACACAGGATAAGTATTTTGTAAGTAACCCAGAGGATTCACGTTTGATGGGTCCATGGATTCTATTTAGAGATACACTGGTTCAAGGGATAAGAGAAGCCAGGATTCATATACAAAAGAAAGCAAAATGGTAAGATCAAATAATACCAGTTTTATAAAGTGTTGTTCAACTGGTAAAGTAAGTACTCTTTTGGATAAGTGCTCACGTTGAGTAGAAACTAGTTACCCGGGATCTAAAGTGGTGATATCACATCAGTTTGTAGAATGAATGTGTTATTCTTTTATAATTTATCTTTTAAAATTATTTTTATTTTAGATTCAGGGGGTATATGTATTTGTTTGTTACATGGGTATATTGCATTGTGGTGGGACTTGGGTCTCTAGTGTACCTATTGTCCAAATATTGTACCCAATAAGTAATTTTTCAACCCTTACCTCCTTCTCATCCTCCCCACTTTTTGGAGTCTCCAGTGTCTATTATCTCCATCTTTAGGTCCATGTGTTCCTATTGTTTAGCTCCCACTTATGAGTGACAACATGCAATATTTTTCTGCTTCTGAGTTAGTTCACTGAGGACAATGTTTTCAGCTCTATTCATATTGCTGCAAAACACATGATTTCGTTCTTTTTATGGCTGCATAGTATTCTGTGGTATATATGCATCACATTTTCTTTAGCCAGTCAACCATTGGTGGACACCTAAGTTGGTTCCTATGGCTTTGCTTTTGTCAGTAGTGCTGCAATAAACATACGAGTGCAAGTGTATTTTTTATGTAATGATATCATTTCCTTTGGATAGATATCTAGTAGTGGGAATACTGAGTTGAATGGTAATTCTACTTTTAGTTATTTAAGATAGATCCATACTGTTTTCCACAGAGGTTAAACTAATTTGTATTCCTACCAATTGCATATAAGTGTTCCCTTTTCTGCATCCATGCCAACATTTGTTGTTCTTGACTTTTTAATAGTAGCCATTCTGATTGGTTTAACGTAATATCTCAGTGTAGTTTTAATTCACATTTCTCTGATAAGTGATGTTGAGCATTTTTTCATGTGTTTTTTGGCTACTTGTATTTCTTCTTTTGAAAAATGCCTGTTCATGTCCTTTGCCCAGTTTTTAATGAGATTGGTTGCTTTTTTTCTTATTGAGCTGTTTAAGTTCTTTGGAGATTCTGGATATTAATCCTTTGTTGGAGGCATAATTTGCACATATTTTCTCCCATGCTGTAGGTTACCTGTTTATTCTATTGATTATTTCTTTTGACGTGCAGAACCTTTTTCATTTAATTAAGTCCCATTTGTCTATTTTTGGCTTGTTAAATTTGCTTTTGGGGTCTTTGTCATAAATTCTTGTCTTAGGCTGATGTCTGGAAGAGTTTTTTCTAGATTTTCTTCTGGGATTTTTATAGGATAAATGCTAGTTTCTTTTCCTTTTTCTTTTTTTTCCCAAAATGCTTGGTTTTTCTAATTATTTCTAACTATATTAATATTAGATCTCTATCTTCTTTTGAGTAGTTATGTTCTATCTTATTTTAAGGACTCCATGATTTCATCTTTGAGAAATTGAAGATGTGAGAAAGTCAAAAGGAGTTATCCCAGTTGAGTGGTACATAGTAACTGTAAGGAAGTAGGGAAAGGTGGGAGGTTTCAGGATGTCAATCAAATAAGTCACCTACAAATATAAATCCATATAAGAAGGAATCAGTAAAAAGTAAAACTGGGTAGAAATACAATATTAAGGTTCAAAAAAGGAAAATAATAGGGTTAAGATGATGCTATAAGGTTAGAGGTACAATGTTCTACAGCTTATCTAAATTCAGGGGGCTAGAGGAAACTAGAGGAAGAGTTCACTCTATAGCTGTCCAAATAGATACAGCAGTTTTTATCCCAAATCCACCTAATATTAGAATTGTTTATCAAAAATGTCAAATATGCATGCACAATATGAGATTGATATTAATTATTAGATTGATATTAGATATTAGATTATTAGTTCTGTTGCTAACTAAAAATATGTATATATGCCTTGATATTGGGAAAATTGAATATACATATGCAAAGAAAAAAAGAAGTTAGACCCTTACCTTACATCATATACAAAAATTAACTCAAAATTGATGAAAGAACTAAATGTATGACCTCAAACTTTAAAACTTCTAAAAGAAAACATAGGGGAAAAGCTTTATGACATTAGACATGGTAATGATTTCTTAGCTATAACATGAAGAACACAGAAAAGAAGCAAGCAAACAAATGGAACAACATAAAACTTGCAAACTTTTGTGCATAAAAGGGCACAATCAACAGAGTAAAAAAGCAACCTATGGAATGGGAAAAATATTTGCAAATCATATATCTATAAGAAATTAACATCTGGGATAAACAAAGAACAACAACTCAACAACAAAAATAGCAAACTGAGAAATTTAACCCAATTTAAAAATGGCCAAGTGGGATTTATCCCTGGGATGCAAGGGTGGTTCAACATTCTAAAATCAACCAATGTAGTACACCATATTAACAAAACAAAGAATGAAAACCACATGGTTATCTGAATAGATGCAGAAAATGCATTTGACAAAATTCAATACCCTTTGATGATAAAAACTTTCAACAAACTTCTTATCAAAAAATTTACTTCAACAAAATAAAGGTCATATATGAAAAGCTCACAACTACCATCATAGTCAGTATTCAAAAACTGAAAGCTTTTCCTCTGTGATAAGGAACAAAGCAAGGATGCCTATTCTCACCACTTCTATTCAACATAGTACTGTAATTCCTAGCAAGAGCAAGCAGGCAATAGTAAGAAATAAAAGGTATTCAAATCAAAATGGAAGAAGTAAAATTAACTCTGTTAGCAGATTACATGATCTTATATGTAGAAAATAGTAAAAACTACACACACACTCACACACACACACACACAAACTTAGAACTAATAAATTAAAGTTTCAGAATACAAAATTAATATGCAAAAATCAGTTTGATTTTATACACTAAAAACTAAACTTTAAAAATTAAATTAAAAAACCAATCCTATAGTAACACCAAAAATAATAAAATACTTATGAATAAACAGCCCAGGAGACCAAAGAGACTTGTACACTGAAAACCATATGACATTGTTGAAACAAATTTTTTAAAAATACACAAATACATGAAAAGACATCCCAGGTTTATAAATTGGGAGACAATAATGTTAAGATGTTCATACTATCCAAAGTGATCTCCAGATTCAATACAGATTCAAAAAAATCTAAAAGTAGAACTGTCATATGCCCCAGAAATTCCACTTCTGGGTATTTAGCCAAAATAATTAAAATTAGAATCTCAAAGAGATATTGGCACTCCCAGGATCATTGGACTATTATTCAAAGTAGCCAAGATGTGAAAACAACCTAAATGTTCATCAGTGGATAAATGGACAAATAAAATGTACCATATACATATAATGGGTTATTAGTAAGCATTGTAAACAGAAGGAGATCTTGTCATATACAGCAACGTGAGGGGAACCTTGAGGACATTTATTCTAAGTTAAATAAGCCAGTCACAAAAAGCCAAATACTATATGATTTCACTTATATGAGGTACCTAATGTAGTCAAAATTCATAGAAACACAAAATAAAATGGTTGTTACTCATGGATGGAGAGAGGAAAAGAAGGGGGAGTTGTTTAATAGATACAGATCTTCACTTCTGCAAGAAAAAAAGCTCTGGAGATTGGCTTCACAACAATGTAAATATACTCAACATAACTGTCTGTACACTTACAAATAATTAAGATGGTAAGTTTTATAATATGTGTTTCTTACCACAGTTTTTTAAAAAGTACCATAAGCCAAGCTTTGTGATCTCATTCTTATATCAAATAATAAAAATAATAGTAATTAGAAATAAATTCTATGCCTCAGTTCCACATCTCCATAGAGAAAAGTTCTTGCCTTGACCAGCTCACTGAGTGAGGTCAATCAGGTTATATTGTGAGTGTCAAATAAACTGATTTGTTTCAGTGTAATTTGAAAATAATATATAATATTCATTTTTTTACAAAGCACAGGAGCTAGTAATTAGTAATTACAGAGATTTTGTAATTGTTTTAAGGAATCTCTACGAAATACTTGTTGGAAGTTTGGAATAGGTACAATTTAAACTATGTAGAAGGTGGGTCTCAACAGGAAATAGGTGGTACTGTAAAAAAAAAAAATCACACCCTAAGTAATTTGTAATAAAGAAACTGGGCATTGAGTTATACACAGAGTCAAGAGAATTCACCAAGGGATTATGAGATCCCTAGAAATAAGCAACAAGGAAAATTGTCACCCACAAACACACACATACACACACCTCATACCCTGTCTTCACCCCAGCCTGCAGGTAAGAGGAGGGAACACAGTTATTGGAGCCCAGCGTAAGCTTAGACCATGGACATGGACAGGGTGCTGTTCAACAGGAGCTGTAACTATAAAGGAATACAACCACTCTTAGAACTGCAGCAAGGCAGGAAGAAAATGAAGAAGTTAAAGACTGATCTCTCCTCCTACCTTCTAATATCAACCATTGGCCAAACGCAAACATAAGCCAGAGTACAAGAGAATACAAGAAATACAGTTTAGAGATGTCAGTCCCCTAGAAATAAAAGCAGAGGAGACAAGACCAGGGAAGGCTGGTGAGAGTGGGGAAGGCAACTAGATTATAAGCAACAAAAAAACACATGGAGAAGCTCAACAGAAAAGCAACTCAAGTGTCAATGCTACTTTAAAAATGTGACAAATGTGTCTGTCTTTCACAGGTCAGGTAGGTCTTAGGTTATAGGTAACATCTATTTCTGACAACAATGGTGTGAAACAAATGACCACAAAAGCTCAGTAGTGTATAACAGCAACACGATGATAAGAATCTCTTTGGCTCGCATGCCTGTGCACTGCCCGGGAGTCAGTGCCTGAGGCTGGGCTTAATCAGAACAGTTCTGTTTCTTGTGTCTTTCATCCTTCTCCAGGATGTCAGACAAGCCCACTGATGCCCTTCTCACAACAATAACTGGCAAAAAGAAAAGACCAACACCAACTGTACAAGTGCTTTTCAATGTGTTGGTCACATCACTCACATTAACATCCAACTGGCCACAGCAAGTCATGAAGCTGTAGCCAAAGTCACCTACAGTCCATACTCTATCTCTTTGATGGGCAGAACTGAAAAGTCACATAGCAAAAGAAGCAGTTATGTGGAGAAGTGAAGAATTGGGGCTGTGAATGTGTTCTTCTACATGTATATATTAAAGCCTTTTGTTAAATACTACTATTATCATATCCAGGTGTAGGCAGAAAGAATAGATACCTTTTATACATTCTGCATTATCCCCTGAAAAAGACCATTTAGACTTTTAAAGCTGGTTATCACAAAAAACAATGTTCAGAAAGAATTGGAAGCCATCATAAATCATGACCTGGGCCCACATGGCCTGACCATTTTTAAGTGTCCATGGGTAACAAAATTACATCTATTAAAGCAATGCTAATTCCTCAGGCCAGCACATTATGGGATGTTAAAAATAATAAAGAAAAAGAAAACAGCAAGCAAGAATGTAGCAAGACTTTATGGTACTAAACTCTACAATCCAAAGGTCTTGGTTGTTTGTTAAGTTATTGTATCCCAGAATTCCTTCAGCACCAGAGACCATTTTTATTACCATGTGCCCCTTCAGTATCTTTTTTGAGCTTCCCTTCTCATCCTTTGATTTTCCTCCTTAATAGCCAATGCTCTCTGCCTGGTAACCATCTTTGCTTCACACTATTGGCGTCAAAGGGCTTCTTGCATTTGTCATCTTAATCATCTGATAATTTTGTTATTGCATTTCTGAAGAGTCTGCCCTCAAAAGGAATATAGAGACAGGTATTATGATGCAGGATTCATGAACTTGACTGTCAGAGTAGCGTGTCTAATAAAAAAGGGGGTGAAGCAGGAGAAAAATCTGACCCCATAGGATGTGATTCTCCTAAGGGAGTTCACCACAATAGAATCTGGCCATTCCACTGACAGATTCTGAACTTTAAATATTATTTTAAAGTTGGTCTTATTTTCATGATTGCATTATACATACTCACAAAAGAGGGAAATACATAAAAAAGAATTCTAAAATGGAAATTATAATTGCATTGTTGTTGTTGGATGGAGATTGGGGTTTCTAAGCAAAACTATGATTTATGCTGATTGTCTTCCTTGAATGTTCAACAGATAATCAGGAAATCTGGAGCTTCCTTTTCTTTTGCCACATGGGAGATGAACAGAAGGAATAATTCCATAGAGAGGGCAGGATTTGGGCTCTGGATTGGTGGTTTGGTTTTGGAGGATGGGAGATGGCCTAGGACTGAATGTACATTTTTTCTTGGCTGTGGGACCACAGTTGAATTGTCTCTTCTCATAATCTGTCTCAATGGGACATGTTCAGAGCATTTCCTTCCCACTCTCTAGAGACCTACCTAGTTGAAAAGCGAATAGGAAAAACAGGGAAACAGGTATTTTTAGGTAGTCTCTCCTGTGTCATAAGCTCAATTATCTCTTCACTGTATCTAATCTCTCTATACACACACACACACACACACACACACACACACACGCACATATATATGCGTGTGTATATACAGATACCGTATAGCTATATATAGAAATGTGTATATATGATGTATGTGTATATATACATGCATATTTGTGTAACTATATATAACAAAGTACAATGCCTTTCCTAAGATCATGCAGCTGGTAGGCAGTCAAATTGAAATTTGAACCAAGGTGAGCTGGAGGTTCCTGCTTCATTGTCTTTCCAAGTGTAACAGATTGATTAAAAACATTTATGCTTTTTTTTCCCAATGTCTTTGGCTAGATTAAGGAACTATAGCTTTTAAAACCACTAAGTCCTTTGAGAAACTCTGAAAGATAGCTCGTAAAGCCCTAAGTTTCATGGAGGAGAGTGGGTAATCACTGGTCAAGAGGCTCTGCATATTCACTTTGTAATCCATCTGAGTGATTCTGAGAAAGAGCTGGGAATATCTAGAGAAGTAGACTCACAACTTGTCCTTTTAAAGAATTTTTCCTGAAGTAAGACTTATTTTACCCCATGTACACACATGAGATGTAAAGCAGATGATTTATGGAAGAAAAAAAACGAAGTCAATACTTTAGAGTGTTTTCTCTGTGCCAAGCACTGTACAGGTTCCTTCACACCCACTTCTTCGTTTAAGTTTGGGTCATCCTTCCTGATGAGAACTCGAAGCTCTGCTCTTTAGTGCAATTTACACCACCTTTAAGAATTTTATTAAGTTTTGCTTTCTATTGTAAATGGTGAGCAGGCTGAGGTGGAAGGATACCCAAGCATCAGATAAAGAAAGACAGAAAGAATGCTTGGAGATATGAACAGTTGCCTTGGATCAGACTGCGGGCCACACTATGCACCTGCGCATGCTGGTCTGCTGAATTAATGAATTAACTTCCAACAAACATATCTAGAAATATCTTTCAAGCTAAAAATAAAAAACCAAAGAGCATCAGAGAAAAAAACTCATAGGTTACAGTTTAGGAAGAAAATATTTTTTCCAAATAAACATATGTAATGTGTGATAGGAAATGAGAAAACCTCCCCTTTAAAGTAGTTATATATTACGTGTGTACATACACTTACTTCAATAGAGCCAGCTCAAGTTTTGTCTTTTTGTTTGTTTGTTTGTTTTTGTTTTTGAGATGGAGTCTCGCTCTGTTACCTAGGCTGGAGGGCAGTGGTGCGATCTCGGCTCACTGCAAGCTCTGCCTCCCGGGTTCACGCCATTCTCCTGCCTCAGCCTCCTGAGTAGTTGGGACTACAGCCGCCGGCCACCACTCCCGGCTAATTTTTTGTTTTTTTAGTAGAGACGGGGTTTCACCATGTTAGCCAAGATGGTCTCGATCTCCTGACCTCATGATCCGCCTGCCTTGGCCTCCCAAAGTGCTGGGATTACAGGCATGAGCCACTGTGCCTGGCCAGAGCCAGCTCAAGTTTTAAATATAAAACTTGATTCTGCTTTTATAAAATCACTTTTAGAATTCCTCATAGCACATTCTCTCGCCATTTTTGGTCATTTAAAGATGGATTGAAACTTGGAAAACAATCACTTTACCATAATGGAAATTGTATTGACTTTGGAATTAAACAATTCTGAGTGTGAATTTACACTGAGAAGCTCACTGGAGTGACAACTAAAATGTAGGGATTATCCCCAGGATGACTGTTCCCACCTTGAATGTCGTTGAAAAATGCAGAGCTCAGGGACTTAACATACTTAACAAATTCTATTATTATTGTTTTCATGAAAAAATAACTTACATCATTGATAAAGTTGGGCAATATAATTTGGCAACCAAATGTTAGATGCCTTTTTTATTTGTAATTTGTAACTGCCTCTGAAACCACGTGAAGAGAAAAATTCCCAATATTTTGCCTAGTGGGAATTAATACAGTAAGTGCATTTGCAAGGAAATAGCCTCCAGTAGCATCTGTTTTAAAGGGCACCATTATTTTGGATGCCAAGCTGCAGGAATACTTGTTTAAAGAGCCATCTCTGTGCTTCATAGTCACTCCAAGCTCCCAGATGCAGGCTCAACGACAGGTAAATTCCATGCAGACCTGCCTCTGAGGATCTCTGTAGATAGCTACAACTTGGCTGGCAGAATGTTGCCTGAGCACAAGACTCTCTATTTGCAAGCTTGGTTCTTCCTCCAGGCTAAAAGGATCTCTTTGTTTTTATTCTCCTTCGCGGGACTCAGACATATTTCTGTCTTTTTGAGGAGATTGCAGAAACCGGCCAAAGAGAACTGAGGCCACACCTCTGCAGTTGCAGCAGAACTTCCCTTGACCCTCGTTTTCTGATTGACTGAGACCCCTCCCATGTGACACGAGTCTGTTTCATAGGCAGTGAGGCCATGTTTTCATGCCATTCAGATGCTGCAGGTAGAAGGATTTAAAAGGGTAGGGGTGTTAGGAAGGGGAGTGACCCACAGCTGCTCTGGGGAAAGTGTGATGTGACAATAAACTTGACAAAAAGTCTCCACGCAGATCACCATAGCATAGATCACCAAGTTATAGTCAACTTTCCCCTTTGGGCTTGCCCTAGCAGTGTTCAGAGATTGGCATCAGAGATTAAAAAGGCAGGAGCTGGAGGTACAAAGGAAGGGGCTGTCCAGATTTGTTACAAATAACAAAAAATAGTTCACATGTATAACGTAACAGTTCAGTGTATAAAGTTTTCTCTCTGGTCCATCATCTCCCTGGGGCTTTTATTATACTTTTTTAACACTTCTGACACAAACCAAAATCTAGAGAGGTTTGGAGATTTTTCTGAGTTAAACTGGAAACTATTAGGGCAAAGACAGAAACCCAAAGCTCCGGAGGCCAAGCTGTTGGTTTATTCTCCTTTGTCACCTACTTCTGCTGCCCAGGCTGTAGCCACACAACCATGTTGTTTCCCAGTGGGCACTACAGGAAGCTCCCTAGTAATAATAATAATAATTTCTATTAATAATGATCATCTGCATTATTTACTATGTGCTTCCTGTGGACTGGGCCGAGTGCTCAGCACTTTACTTAAATTATCCCATTTAATCCTTAAAAACAGTGAATGAAGTAGATATGATTATTATCTTCATTTTAGAAATGAAAACTGAATTAGGAGGTTAAGAACTTGACCAAGTCACAGAGCTAAGAGTCCACCCTCATCTGTTTAATTCCATGGCCCCAAAATGTAAATCTTACATTCCCATAGCTGAGAGACACCACACCCATCCTGCTGACCCACAAGCCCAGGGATTTTTCAACACACCAGAAAGGATCCCATCTTCAGAGCTTCCACTTTGAGCTTCTGATTGCCCACAATCCATATATGTGGGAACTGAAAGGAAAATTGAGGAGAAGGCATTGATCTAGAGACCCAAGGATTTCAGAGCCTCCCCACAAAAGATAATCTTTTTCTTTACTCGCTCCATTCTGTAGCAAATATTTCTTCTCTTTTATTTCACCCTATTGCTGTATACCTGTCTGAGGGATCCATGGGCTTAATAAAATAGCCCCCAAACAATATAAAAAACAAAGCCAAGCTAAAATGAAGTTGTAGGAAAGAAAGTACTGCTAGCTCAGAGGGTTTCCTTGAGCTGTTTTTCTTACTACCTTTAGCACTGATTCCTCTCTGTGAACCTTTAGGCCCCTATGGCCAGCCCAACCAATTATTTTTTTTTCAGTGTATCACCAGTGGGGCCAGATTTCTTTTTAGGGCTCTGATAACTTAATGAATCTAATTTTATGGCTTCTCCAGATACTTTTCTCCTATCCCCTCCCCTTAACTAAAAGGCAGTGCTCACCGTAAGTCTCAGTATGAAGTCTAGTTTCCCGATGTGGTCTAAATATGTGGAGCCTGGACGTTTACTCAGGCAGCATGGATTTAAGAAGAGGGTCAGGCAGCAGAGTCAAGTGGTCTGGAAGTCAGAGGTTCTTGGTTTTAATCTTTTCCCTGTATCTCATTTGTTTCATTCAGGAAGCATCTATGGGTTTGTTTGCCCCTTGCCGGTTACTGTGCTGCTGGCTGTGTAAACTGTTCACTTTCACTTTCCTTCTTTTTATCATGTTCCTTCCAGCTCTAACATTCCTGGCTTGGAAGCTCTTGAAAATGGTAAAAGTTGATGTGAAGTTGCAGGTTTAGATGGGCGTCTTTATTTGGTGGTATGAGAAGCAAGGGAGGAAAGGTTTGAAAGAATTCCATAGAGATAAAGAGGCAGACAAATTTAGTTTTGCACTCATACCCTATCCCTCCCTTCTCCTACTTTATTTTCTCAGGGTCCTCCATCACTGACGCATTTGTTCTATCCTAGGGATAGGAGTCATGACCATCATCACATGACATCTGACAATGCAGGCAGGGAGTCATAAGGGTCCCCTTCCTTTACTTAACGGAGGAACTCCACGGTATGCACAGCGGGAGAGCTTAGGCCATTGAATTATCCTTTGCAATGAATCCCTCCTTTTCTCTTCATCTTTCTACTATTAACTTAGCACAAGCTCTTGTCAATGCATTCCTTGATTACTACAACAGAGAAGAAAGTTAACTAGTCTTCCAATCTAAGTTCCTTCTATGGTTCTACTCTTTCTAACCCACAGTGTGTTTCTGCTTTTGTCTTCTAATTCTAAACACACAAATAAAGTGCTTCACTGGCTCCCAGTTTCCTCTCATACCTGGCCCAGACATTCTCCTTTAGCTCCTCACTAGACACTCCCTTCACTGTACACCTTCTGTTTAAAGCTCAAGGGTCATTCCCACCTCCTCCCCGTTTTCTGTCAACTATCATCCTATCCAGTCCTCAAAGTCCAGCCTGTGTCTCTGCTTCATCATTGGGGATTATTCAGACTATTTTATTCATCTTTTTCCCACAAATAATTGAAATAAGCAAATATTAATTTACTCATCATGTGTATTAAAGAAACTCACAGTATGTGTGTGAAAAAGCAAGGTTCTTAGCCCTCCTTCAGTGTGATACAGTAAACTTTAAATTCCTTTACCTTGACCTCAATAATACTTAGCTCTCTATGGTATTTTCTGTTATATTCTTCCTATTGTGTTCTATGTATGGAAAACTGATGACTGTCAACTCTTTTAGGCCGTTCTTGCATTACCATAAAGGAATATCTGAGACTGGTAATTTATAAAGAAAAGAGGTTTAATTGGCTCCCAGTGCTGCAGGCTGTACAAGTATGGTACCAACATCTCCTCAGCTTCTGGTGAAGGCCTCAAGAAGCTTATAATCACAGCAGAAAGTGAAGTGGGAGCAAGGGGGAGGAAGATGCCATGGTCTTTTAAAGAACCAGATGTCACACGAACTCAGAGCGAGAACTCACTCATCACCGATGGAATGGTGCTAACCCATTAATGAGGGATCCACCCTCATGTTCCAATCACCTCCCACCAGGCCCCACTTCCAACACTGGGAATCACATTTCAACATGAGATTTTCAGGGGACAAACATCCAAACTATATCATTCCACCCCTGGCCCCCCACTCCCAAATCGCATGTCCTTCTCATATTGCAAAATACAATCATCCCTACTCAATAGTTCTCCAAAGTCTTAATTCATTCCAGCATCAACTCAATCAAAAGCCCTAAGTCCCAAGTGCAAAGACTCATCTGCAGATGAGTTCTTTCCACCTATGAGCCCGTGAAATCAAATACATGTTATTTGCACCCAAGATACAATGGTTACACATATATTGGGTAAACATTACTATTCCAAAAGGGAAAATTGGCCAAAAATGGGCTACAGGCACCATGCAAGTCTGAAATCCAGCGAGGAAGTCATTAAATCTTAATGCTTAAACATAATCTTGTGTGACTCCATGTCTCATGCTGATGCTAAGGGTAGGCTCCCAAAGCCTTGGACAGCTCCTCCCCTATGGCTTCCCTGGGTACAGCTTACACAGCTGCTCTCACTGTTTGCAGTTTTCAGTGCCTGCAGTTTTTCCAGGTTCAGGGTGCAAGCTGCTGATGGAGTTATCATTCTGGGGTCTGGAGGGCTGTTGCTCCTTCCCAGAGCTCCATGAGGCAGTGTCCTGGTGGAGACTCTGTGTGGGGGCTCCAGCCCCACATTTCTTGTCAGCACTGCCCTAGTAGAGTATCTCCGTGGGGGCTCTGTCCCTGTGGCAGGCTTCTGCCTGGGCACCCAGGGTTTTCCATACATCCTCTGAAATTTAGGTAGAAGCCGCCAAGCCTCCTTCATGTTTGCATTCTGAGTATCTGCCGACTTAACACATGGAAGTTACCAACGCTTATGGCTTCTGCCCCCGCAAGGCTGTGGCCTGAGCTGTACCTTGTCTGCTTTGAGCCAAGGCTGGAGCCAGAGCAGCCAGGATGCAGGGAACAGTGTCCTGAGGGTGCCCAGGAAAGTAGGGTCCTGGACCTGGCCCCCTAAACCATTCTTTCCCCCAAGGTTTCTGGGTCTAATTCTGCGCATAGGTTGTTAGAAGCAGCCACACCATTTCTTGAATGCTTTGCTGCTTAGGAATTTATTCTGCTATTCAGTATGTGCTCTGTGAATCAGAAGCACTAACTAATTTGGGAGTTTGTTAGAAATGCAGAATCTCAGGTTCCACTCCAGACTTACTAAATCAGAGTTTGCAATTTAACAAGTTATTTTCATGTGCTCATTAAAGTGTGAAAAACACTGGTGAAAAGAACCACATGCAAAACACGATAAGTATTAAATGGACATATGTTTGCAGAAATGAAAGAAAAAGAGGCAAAGCCAAAAGGCTAACTTTGACTGAGCCAGGCAGTATACTAGAATCTTTCACATAACTCACACATCTATCTCTTAACCCCACAAGTGAATATGTTATTAAAGAGATATCATTTTTCTCATTTTTGAGAGGAGAAGACTGAGGCTGAAAAAGATTCAGAGTTTTGGCCTAGGTTACACAGTTAATAAAAAGGAGAGCCACAGACTAGGGAAACATATTTGTAAAACACATATCCAGTAAAGAATGTGTATCTAAAATATACAAAGAAACTTAAAACTCAACAACAAGAAAACAAAACAAACCACCTAATCAAAAAATGGGGCCAGGCTTGGTGGCTCACGCCTGTAATCCCAGCACTTTGGGAGACCAAGGTGGGTGAAGCACCTGAGGTCAGAAGTTCGAGACCAGTCTGACCAACCATGGCCAACATGGTGAAACCCCGTGTTTACTAAAAATACAAAAATTAGCAGGACATGGTAGTACATGCCTGTAATCCCAGCTACTTGGGAAGCTGAGGCAGGAAAGTCGCTCGAACCCAAGAGGTGGACATTGCAGTGAGCCCTGAGATATGCCACCACTGCACTAGAGCCTGGGTGACAGAGCCAGAGTCTTTCTAAAAAAAAAAAAAAAAAAAAAAAAAGAAAACAGAAAACTGGGCCAAAGATCAACAAACAAGGTAAACCCAACAAATAACACATAAAAAGATGCTCAGCATGATATTTCATTAAGGAATTGCAAATTAAAACAAAAATGAGCCAGCATTACACACCTAATCGAATGGCCAAAACCCAGAATACAATAACACCAAGTACTGAAGAGGATGTGTAGCAACAGAAACTCTCATTTATTGCTGATGAGAATGAATAACGAATAATGGTATGCCGTGTTAGAAAACACAGTCTCTGCAAAAGTAAACATAGTCCTATCATATAGTCTAGCAATCATGCTCCTAGGTATTTACCCCAGTGAGTTGAATACTTATGTGCACACACAAAAAAACTTACATTCATACAGATGTTTATAAAAGGTTTATTTATAATTCCCAAAACTTAGAAGCAACCAAAATATTCTATAGTAGGTAAAGGAATGAACTTTGGTACACCCAGGCAAGGGAATATTATTCAGCAACAAAAATAAATGAGCTATCAAGCCATGGGAAGACATGAAAGAAACTTAAACATCCATTACCATATGAAAGAAGCCAGTCTGAAAGAGCCACATACTGATTCCAACTATACGACATTCTGCAAAAGGCAAAACTATAGAGACAGTAAAAAGATCAATGGTCACCAGAGTTCGGGGGGAGAAAGGGCTGGATGAATAGATAGATCCCAGGATAAGCTTAGGGAAGTAAAACTCCTAATGATACTGTAATGGTCCAATACATGGCATTATACATGTGTTGAAACTCAACTGTACAGCATGAAGAGGGAACCCTAATATCAACTATGGACAAGTGAACCATATTAATGCAAAATGTTAATAATAGTAGAAACTGTGGGGGTGAAAAAGGAATGTATGGGAATTCTCTACTTTCTGCACAATTTGCACAATTTTATCTGTAAATCTAATTTTTTAAAATAAAGCCTATTACAGAAAAATCAGAGGCAAAGTTAGAATTTGAACCCACGTCTATCTGATATGAAATAATACTCCAGGAAGGTGCCAAAAGGGCACTCAAACTTCAGCAATATGGGAGTAAGCTTCCTTTAGGTGGGAGATGGTGAAAAAAGTGAGTGGTTCCATCTTAATCTTAAAGTTGCTCCCTTTCATAAAACAAATTCCCTCTGCAGTAACAGTGATGTAAATACTGAGTGAGCACCCATGAATTAAATCCCAAAGAGCAATAAAGAAACTAATTTCATGCAGATCCTTCCAGAAAATAGAAAATACTTCTCAACTCATGTTATGAGGACAGCATTCCTCTGATTCCCAAATCAAAAACATTGTGAGACAAAAAAAGAAAAAAATCTTATGATTCAAGTGTGTGTGGCCTTTCCTATTTTTCTCTACAAATTCTCAGATACAGCTCAGAAAGACTATCTGACTTGGATTCATGTGTGAATTTCCGACAAAATGAATTCAATTACCAACAAAGAAGCGAGGAGAAACAGCAGTGATGACAAAACTGATAACACCTGTTAGACCTCAATTTATAAGCGCAATAGAATATGTGAATAATATAAACCTTCTGTACCTTCTCACCAAAAGTCAACATCGTTAAAATGCACACCTCCCTGCTAGCTTGCTGTAAGGACATTATGAAGACATCTCTGTGGTTGAGCTCTGTAAGTCTGATCAATGACGCCAACACCTGTTTAATTTTGGAGCTGGTGCTGTTGTTTCTAAATATTTTATTCTAATTCCAGTTGTTTATGAAAAAATTAAGGTAGAAGTTAATGGCAAGTATTTACTTTTCCATAAATTTGGAATCTTCAAAAAACTCTAACCCATAAGATATAAATCTTTATGATACCATATTAGTTACTCAATCATAGTAATAATTTCTTTTAATTTCTCTTCCTGGGTTATCTAAAATGAATCTTTTTTTTTTCACTCTACTGCATTCAAAGGGAATTTGACTCCCAGTTTAAGACTTGATGGTAGCCTATACAGACTCCAAGCTGAAAGCTGTCCCAAGCCTTCGGCTTAAACTCATATCCTTAGCAAACTCCTCCCCGCTGATTTTTCTGACTTAACTAGGATGATTTCTACTGCAGCTCCCCAAATGAATCTTCCGGTCTTTCTGAAAGTCTGCTGCTGATCCTTGTGACAATATTTGCATTTTTCTTCATTTAGCACATTAATTGTCAACCAAACACCAGGCAATGTGCTCAGCCCTGCCCATCTGCCATCATGATGTAATTTCTTTCCCATCTACCTTCACCCAGGTCAGTGACACCAGTTCCCCTTTGTCCCAAGCTCTATAGCTGCAGAACTGGAACCTCTCCACTCTGCAAAGTAGGTTAGAGCCCCCTTTGCTCAGTGTCTGACACTGAGGACCACTCTCACAATTACCCGCATCCCTGAGGCCCACCAAGACCCATTCTAGGCCAATAGTTAGTATTCAATGAATACTAACCTGAAGCCTGGAGATTCGTTGAGCTCCTACTTATTTCAGTTGCGGAGCTCACTGGAATATTGCAGCCCTGGGTGAATATGCTGCTTGGTCGTAATCTAGAATGTACTTAGCCCTATGAGTGGAGATAAATGTCTGAGGCTTTCAGTGATCATTCTGCCTTCTAGCACCCTCTAGCACAATCTAAAGGACCAATAGCCAGTACAGGGAGGCCCAAGTCCAGGGTAAGTCATTTACATGGAAGACCATAGGAGTGTTCTCCAAGTTCCTGAACACAGCAGCAGCAGTGAGTGGTGCCAAAGACTTGTTCTAGTGTTGCTGTCAAAGGCAATGGCATAGTAGTGCCCTCTAGTGGCAACTGAACTGTGTCCCATAGGCTGTGACGTGAACTCAGCCTGGAGAATCCCTTTTTCTCCTCTGAAAGTGAGATGGTGTAAATAATCTGATGCCTGAGTCATAGGTACCTTGTCAAGAACAAGTGCTCCCCTTAATGAGACTCATGCTGGAGTCTTTCAGAGTGCATGAGGTCTCTTCTTTCTCTGCAAAGGCCCCTACTGCCCTTTTATTTATTTTTAAACAGCTCTCTTGAGATACAATTTATATACCATAAAAATTCACCCAATTTACATGAACAACTCGGTATATTTTTTCAGTATATTTACAGGGTTCTGCAACCATTATCACAATCTCGTTTTAGAACAGTTCCATCACCCCAAAAAAGAAACCCTGTGCCCACGTGCAGTCCCTCTCCGTTCCTATCCCCAGCCCTCAGCAACTGCTAATCTACTTTCTGTCTCTGAATATTTGCCTGTTCTAGACGTTTCATATAAATGGAATCACACAAGCTGTGGTCTTTCGTGTCTGGCTGCTTTCACTTAGCAGAATGTTTTTGAAGTTCAGACATATTGTGGCCTGCATCAGTATTTCATTCCTTTTTGTGGCTGAACAGTGTTCCATTGTATGGATATACTATATTTCATTTTTGAGATCAAGTCTCACTTTGTCACCCAGGCTGGAGTGCAGTGGTGCAATCTTGGCTTACTGAAGCCTCCGCCTCCTGGGTTCAAGCAATTCTCCTGCCTCATCCCCCCAAGTAGCTGGGATTACAGGTGTGCGCCACCATGCTTGGCTAATTTTTGTATTTTTAGTAGATATAAGGTTTCACCATGCTGGCCAGGCTGGTTCCGAACTCCTGGCCTCAGGTGATCCACCTGCCTTGGCCTCCCAAAGTGTTGGGATTACAGGCATGAGCTGCCGCACCCTGCCGGATATACTACATTTCATTTATTCATTTGTCCTCTCATGCTCTTTGGGAATAAAAGTATTTATGAGCTGAGGCTTCAATGCAGTCACCACCTGTGACTTTCAGGTTGATTCTGAAAAGTTCCAAAACTTGACTTTCAGAAAATTGAAAATCTTCATTTTGTCCTTTTGTAGTAAGATAATAAGGGTATAAGAGCTTTCCAGACTCACTGTTGTGAAAAGTGGTGATGCCATTTAGCCTCTGCAATATCCCTGTTCCACTACAGTACTTGATAGACAGTACATCCCATGTCCTGTTGCAGCTCAGGGTTGTGTGTTACCTTGAAAAATCCTGATGCAGTAATTCTAGAATTTCCCACATATTTTAATACATAACAGAATTTATATTATTCATTTTCATATTTTAACCCCCCTAATAGTCCTAAAACCTAACATAATTGACCATAAGTAATGGAGAATTTTGTATAATCCCTAAAAGCTTCCATAGAACTAAGATGGTTAAGAACTTAGTTCTGTCTTCAGCCCTATACCACCACATTCTCATAAAGCCCTATCTTGCATCTTCAAGACAGGCCTCTTACCCAGCATTATAATTTTTTTGTATCCAAGCAAGATCCCAGTTTCCTTGAGAGAGAATACCTACCTTAATTCTTAATACTGTAGTCCCCTAACAATATTGACTACCTGGCCAGTGATGCTAAAATTTTCTGGCTATGGTGGGAATAGAAAATGCGGTGTATTCAAAAGACACAATAGAACCAACTCTCAGTCATAATTCCACCAGGAACATTTATTCTAAAACCTTCGAAGCTTATGTGAAACAAATGACTATACTTTGCAAGAAAATATTTATTGAAAGTTCAAAAACTGGAAAATAGTTTTTTTTTTTTTTTTTTTTTTGAGATGAAGTCTTGCTCTGTCGCCCAGGCTGGAGTGCAGTGGCGTGATCTCGGCTCACTGCAAGCTCCGCCTCCTGGGTTCACGCCATTCTTCTGCCTCAGCCTCCCGAGTAGCTGGGACTACAGGCGCCCACCACCACGCCCGGCTAATTTTGTTTTTGTATTTTTAGTAGAGATGGAGTTTCACTGTGTTAGCCAGGATGGTGCGATCTCCTGACCTTGTGATCCGCCCGCCTCGGTCCCCCAAAGTGCTAGGATTACAGGCGTGAGCCACCATGCCCAGCCAAATAGTTCTTTTCTACTATTGCTATAGCAGCAGTTTGGATCTGAAGCCAAAATATCAAACACCCATACTTGGCTTTTTTCAGAATTCTGAGATTCTCTAGTGTCAAACGAGTAAAGTGGGCTCTAAGAAACAATATTTGAGTGGTTGATGTTTCAGGGTTTTTTTTTTTTTTTTTCATTTTCTAAGGACTGTGTTAAAACAGGAAACTGCCCTTCCAAAACAAGGTTAAGAGTGGCACTGCCATTCATCATGGAGCTAGCTAACACTCTGTTGTAGCTGTGTAATGCAGTGTAGGTGACACGCTTAAAATTAAGTTCAGTTGCCTTAACTGGAAAGCGAGGGGGAAAATGTCTGTTTCTGTCATTTTTCCTAGAACTGATGAGAAGAAAGATTGATGAGTACAGTTTTAGGATAGCAAGAGACAGAGATTTCAGACACTGGGTTTTACTCTCAAGTCAAATAAGGCTGGGATGGATGACATTGCTTAAACTCTCACTGTATCTCAGTGAACAGCTTGGGCGCTATAATGGAAAACTGCAGGGCAGCCCAGGTGGTACGGATGTTTCTTATGAGGGCAATAGCTATGACTAAAAATCTAATAGCAATCAAAAGTGAATCCCGAGGGGCAAATTCCCTTCCTTCAATGTTGCTGAACAATAGCAGCAGCACTTTTGATGCTTGAGAGCTGATGAATGACCAAGGTTGCTGCAGTGTTGTATAACTTTTCAAAGCCATTTCTGACATCAGAAAAATTGAGACATGTGGTAAGCAAGCCTAAAAATGGCAAAGGCTCTAAAATAGACTCTAAAAAAATAATGAGAAACTGAGCAGCTGAAGCATAATCTAATACTTAAAGAATAGTGAGTCTGCTATCATCATCCAGCTTTGCAAGGCTCTGCAAAAATCTTAACCCTACTTCCCTACCTCTTAAATGCATACCTCTTTCTCCTCTTCCCATCACCTCTACCTCCAAAACCAAAAAATAGGGTTATAGGGGTCAACCTGCATTCATAAACGGCCAACTTGTTGCATACTGAGTTTCCTAATGTGATTTAATTAAAAATCTGATTTAATTAAATCGTGAATATACATAAATCTACAATAAAAACCATTATATTAATAGGGTTTGAAGGTGACATCTCATTTAATTCTTACTTTTAAAAACTATAAATGTATGTACTATTAGTAGTGATGCAGAATATTTTCTTGATCCCATCACAGGACTCATAGCAGTGGTGCTCTGTTTACTCAGCCCACCATGCTCAAACCCTCTTGGGAAGGAGCACATGAGCAAACAAGTGTGGGAATTGGCTGGCCGCTTTGGCACTGACAGGAGCAAAGTCCATTTACTTGGGCACACTGCATTCCACCCCTTGCGAATGGGAGCACACAGGCAAGTGAGTGTGGGAAGTGGCTGGCCTCTTTGGCACCAGTAGGAGCAAACTCTGTGCAGGCCATGCATGTTACAGTGCTCTTTTAGCTCCACCATCCACAGACAATAATGTTATCAGCTCAGTGGGCCTTTTGCCTCATCGCATGGGGCAGCTGCCCTCCGCCAGTGAGGGCAAAGGGCCAGTGTGACAGCCTTTTTGGGTACCCCCGTTTGGTGGGTCCTGAATTCTTGTCTGGTGCTCAGGAAGAATGAGGTCACGCAGATGAATTAAAGGATGGTGAATGTGGAGAATCGTATTGAGTGATGAAAGCAACTCTCAGTGGAGAAGGGAGCTTGAAAGGGGACAGGAAGGGCAGGTCGTGCTTCCCTAAAGTCAAGTCACCTCTCTGCCTCTCTCCGCCAAAGTCAAGTTGCCTCTCTCTGACATCCAGCCATTGTCTCTGAAGTCGCCTCTCCCCGATGTCCCCCCAACTCCAGTTACTTCTCCAAAGTCAAGTTGCCTCTCCCTGACATCCAGCCATTTCTCCTCTCTGCCAGCTGAGTCTGGGGTCTTTATAGGCACAGGATGGGAGGCGGGCCAGGCCATAGGTAGTTTTGGAAAAGGCAACATGCAGTTGGTAAAAAGACATTATTCAAAAAGAACCAATCTGGAGAGAGTGGACAAACAGGAATAGAAGTTCTCACTTTGGGCCGTCGGTTTCAGGCTACTTTTGGCTTGAAGGTAAGGTTTCCACTAGGGTCCCACCTCTGTCTCCCTAAATTTCTCTGCCTCCTGCCTCTCTCATTAGTACTGTTTTACAAAAGAAGAAATTGGGATTCAGATTGATTACATAACTTGCCCAGAGTTATTCAGTTAGTAAAGGACAGAATTATAATTTGAGCCCAAATTTTTGAATCCTTATTTGCTATAGTTGCTGGCACCTCATAGTTTTAAGTGAATTTTGTTAACAAAGCATATCTGATACACCAACCTCATAGCAGGTGTTCAATAAATGTGTTTCCCATTTTGCCTCTCTTTGGGGAACTAAATCTTCCCCTCTCCAGTAAATTCCTATTTGAGTTCATAGTGCCTTGAAAGTCCCTCTGAAGGAGCTTAACCCAATGTTTGCAAAACAAACTATGGGCCAAGGTCACTGGGAACAATTGTTTGCAAAACGAACTATGGTCCACACCCATAGGGAGCAACTGCTTACTAATTGTGCCAAAGGGTGTGCATTGTTTTATCTTACAGAAACTCTGAGACTGAAGAATGGCACCCTTTCTCTCAAAGCCTGTGGCACACGAGTGTTAGGTAGGATGTTGAAAAATTTTTTGAGGAACGTCTTTGTACATAAAATATCTGAACCCTAGAATCCAGCTAAGGAAGGTGGGGAAAAGCCTCTGGAATTGAAAAGATTTCCATGTCCACTGGTCACCACACAGTCTATTGTTTCTCCAATCTTTAATGATGTTTATTCTTAAAATTGATATAAATTAAATGCTTTTAAAAATCAAATTATATTTCTTTGTTGCCTTATATTTGAATTTCAGAGATGAGACTCAAAAGCAAAAGTGGCCATAAGACACAATCCAAACTGTATCTGAGGATTTAGCAAATGCCACATTTAAAGGCAAATGGTATGCATGAACTGATGAAATATTGATATGCTCAGTGTGCACCTTCAGCAGGACAGGCCTGGGCTTAAAGGAGTGGAGCTGCAATGGAAGACTGACAGCTATCACAGGGCAGGTCTCCTGTGGGCATGAGTCCATACACTGATCTCCCAGGTACACAGCCTTAACAGCTTACTTGTAGTAATTTAGCCCCAGGAAACCGGGCTCACACCAATCAAAGTCACACAGGATTTATTGGTATTAGAAAGCTACTTTAATAAGTTACAAGAAGAAATCTTGACTGCCAAGATTCCAGCTATCCACAGTAGCCAATCAGTGTACTTTCTTCCCAGTGGGGAAACCTGCTTGAGAGACCAACTGCACCACAGGCATTTGCTAGAGAATTTAATCATAAATTGATGGGAAGCCAGTGTCTGCTAAAGGATTATTTGAGACAGCTGATATTAGAAGAGAATGAATCCAATGGACTACGTAAATAATCTATTCTTCTAGATTTTCCAAGTTGCCAAATTATCAGAAAGCAAAGTGCTTGAACTATATTAGCTTACCATTCTCCATCATGGAAGATGTGGTCTGCTGTCTCTTAGATTCCAGTATTCACATTCAATGAATGAGTGTTGTGATCAAATAGTCCTCACGTATAGGGTGTGCCAAGGAGAAGATAAAATTTTGACTCTGCGTTTGAAAACTGCAAGTGACTTATGTTTCCTTTAGTTAAACTGTAAAATAGATATCATTAGTCTCCTACTAGGTGTTAGGTGCTCTGCAAGATTCTGAAATTATAAAGTTGAGTAAGACACAGTCCCTATCCTGGGGGAGTTAATAGTCTGTGAGGAAATCACATACTTAAGACAGCTAACATAGTTGGGATTGGGCAGGGGCATGAACAAAGGGTGGAGTCACTAAGTTAGCCGGGATGCAATAAAGGAAATGGTTCAGGAAAGTTCTACTGAGGAATTCAAAAATAAAATAGCACTTCCTAGATGCACAGAAACATACAGGCATTCCAGGCAAAAGAAAACATGATATGTTTACTGGACAGAATGCTTCTGAATGAAAGTAGAGTAGATATCCAGTACAAACCAGCTTGGAAAAAAAGCATATTGGCTTATAAAACTAGAATATCTATGAGGGTATACAATGTTCACGGTTCACTTCAGGCATGACTGAAACCAGGCACTCACACTTCAGGCACCACTGGTTTCTTTCTTGTTGCCTGTACTTCCATTTATATTGCCTTCATTTTCACAGAGGCTGTCTCCACGTGACGGGAAAGACAATTAACAATTTCAGCTTGCATTGTCCCTTTGCAGCCTGTGATTCTAGAGGATATTAAGGAACATCTTTCTCAACAAAATCCTGCGAAAGTACAGGAAAAATGCTAGGTCTGGCTTGTACAGCATACCTATACCTGAAATAATTGCGATATTCCTTGTGTTGAAATGCTCATAACTGGTAAGTAAGGTGATGGAGGCTGAAGAGGATTATTATGACATTAAAGTAGGGTATTTCCTACAGAAGGGAAAGCTGGAAAGATATATCCTATGTATCCACAATGCTACAAAAGCCTAAAGCCTAAATACACATTGTATTTTGGAACTCATAGGTGTGACAAGTGAATACAGTTCAGAAAATAATATAATGTTGGTCAATAAAGTCAGGTGGTTCTAATGAAGATTTCAGCATATTAAGGTACCTGACAACATGATCTGTAAATAGTTCACATACAGAGATTGGTGTTTATTCTAAATGTCACCAGGAAGCAGCTGCAATTTGTAATTTAAAATGTGCCTAGTACCTTGTAAATAACTTTCTAGTACAATCATTACAGTGAATTCTTAAAATTTCCTATAAATTAAGTATCATTCTCTTCATTTAAAAGATGGAAAAAAGAAGCTCAGAGATTAAATAATATACTCAAGTCATAGGACTGGTAAGTAGCAGAATCAGTATTCAAGTTCTGATGCAAGTTTAAGGCCCATACTTTTAGTCCCTATGCACACACATATGTTGCAGATTTTTTGCTCCTTAGTTCAGCTAAATCCAGGTTCTTGTGTCATGACCAGGAAAAGTTAAGCATGCAGACACATTGAAGGGTGAGGGGAAAGGAAGTCATTGGGCAAAAAGGGGGACAGTGGGGGGAAAGCTCTCAGCAAAGCGAGAGGAGGTCCTGCCAGCCAGCTTCCAACTCACAGATTGAATACCAGGCTACCACACAGGAACTGAAGAGGCCAGGCTCCTCCCCTCTGCAAAAGTTGGGAACGCCCAGGGGCTCCACGCCATCCATCCAGCATACAGGCCAGTCAGAGATTCTCCTGGGACTCTTCCCCCTTATCTGCCTCTTGCATCTATTGCATGTATGTCATAGTTTAGGTGAGCCTGCCACCATGAAGAAGGGTGGTTTTAAAATGTCAGGTTTAAAAAAGGGGAACAGTCTTTACTGAGAAAAAGATGAGTTGAAAACTCTTTAGCAATGATCCAGGGGCCTGCTCTATGACTGTCTGGATGGCTTGGCTGGATTATATTTAGTAAGGAAGTATGATTTAACAATTACCACAACTTAATTTAAAAAAAAATTCCGTAAGAGCAGCCTCTTGCTTCTGATCTACATTTAATGGGCCAGTAGTTCCCAGTACAGGTTGTGCATCTGGCATTTGGGTTTTAACAAGCTCCACAGGTAACATTGATGCTCAGGCACATGTGGGGCCCATAGTACCAACAATATTCCCATTTCAATGTGCTCCCTTTCCCTGGCTGAGGTACAGTGATTTTTATCCCCAGGACAAAATGTTGAAATGCCTAATAAAAATGTCTGGTATTTTATACAACCTTATGCTTAGGACAGAGGGTAGCTGCCCTCTCATTCACTAGAATTTATAGTATCTTGGTTCAAAATGAGCAAAGCTAATTTCCCTCCTCGGGTATTTGCTATTTCAAAGTTTATTTGAGAAGGTTTATTTACCCTAGCCATTCTGAAAATTTGGGAATTGGAGTGGATTCATCTGTTGCCACTGTAAATTTCCTTTGACTTTTGAAAAGCTGTGATTACCTCAATATTTTCTCAAGTTTTTGTTTTTCCTACTTTCTACTCATCTTCGAAGATGTCTCTTCGCTGTTTATCTTTCCTTTAATAAGTCAAAACTATTTCATTTTAAAAGCTTTATGGTTATATTTGGAACCAACATTTATTTCCTTGTTCTTAGCACTTTCTCAGATAATCATTCTTAGTTTATTTTGTTGTGTGTTTTGAGCTTCACAGATCCAGCAAAAATGTCAGTGAAAAACAAACTATCAGGAATGAATTGGTTAAAAATTGATACTTGAGGCACAGGAGTCTATCAGAAGCTTCCCTAAAATTGGATTAAAAAGAACAGGAAAGGCCGGGCGCGGTGGCTCACGCCTGTAATCCCAGCACTTTGGGAGGCCGAGGCGGGCAGATCATGAGGTCAGGAGATCGAGACCATCCTGGCTAACGTGGTGAAACTCCAGCTCTACTAAAACTACAAAAAAAAAAAAAAAATTAGCCGGGCATGGTGGCACATGCCTGTAGTCCCAGCAACTCAGGAGGCTGAGGCAGGAGAATTGCTTGAACCTGGGAGGCAGAGCTTGCAGTGAGCCGAGATCATGCCACTGCACTCCAGTCTGGGCGACAGAGCAAGACTCCGTCTCAAAAAAAAAAAAAAAAAAAAAAAGAACAGGAAAGACTATAAATACTACGTGTATCTTAACAGAATGAACACAAAAGGAAGCGGGAACATGCACAGAAAGGGAAGATTTGAGAAAGGAAAGATAAACATTATCTGTTTCATAGTTTCTTAGAATGTTTCCCTAATTGAGTTCCTTAATAATTCTCAGAAATCTGAATATTTCCTGGAGAGAAAACATGGAGCTAATTTATTAATTTTTTTATATGGATCTCTTTTCCAACAGAGGGCAAGTTCAAGAACATATATTCAGTATTTCCAAAGACCTCCATATAAAAACAAAAGTAACTTAATAGTTTAGAGATCAAAGCACTTAGAAAATGTTGTTTATCATCCCTCTATGAGTAAGTGGAGAATCATCACATATAAGAATATTTAGTAGTATGCATTTCATTAATATCAAATACTAGTGGGAGTTATCTGAGTGTGGAGAAAAAATAACTGACCTCAATCTGTAGGAAAAGCAAGCAAATTTTTGGGATGGGAAGGAAAATTAAAGTTTAATTATCAGACATTTTCTTAAAGTTAATTTTCCTTGCCTTTGTCTGATGCAGAAGCTCTCTATCAGAGACATGATTTATGGGCATCTTATATTAATTAGCAGTCTGGAGGTAAATGTTCTGTGAAAAGTTGAGTGTGTGTCCTCACTTTGCAAGGTTGCAAGGGGAACACATTGTGAAATATGTCACACAAGCTTACTAATGCCATATGTTATATATTCAGTATCATTTTGCTTTGTTTTTAATTGCATAAATGTGACCAGGCATGTGTGAACCCTAAAGCTAATAAAATGCAAGTTTCATGGCCCCTACCTTGCACAGATTCTTCCCAAGGCCCCAAGAGGGGCCTTAGCAATGGCATCTGGTCATATGTTTCTGTAAAATTGGTTAAGTAAGATATATTTGCTGCATTCTTTAAGATCAGGTTTCCTCAACCCAAACTGGTATTCCCTAGTGCCATTTGATAGTGATATAGTCATGGCCATTTCTGAAATCCACTTAAGGGGAAGAGGAGTTGGGAGATACATTTATTTTGCATTTAGTGAAATATAGTTATGAGCTTCAGAGTCCCTTCTGTGTATAGTTACATTATTGCCAAACACCTCAGTGTTGAAATGACTTCCAGAAATATCTTCCTGCTAACTGTGAAGATTTACTATGTGATATGGTTTGGCTCTGTGTCCTTGCCCAATTCTCATGTCAAATTGTAATCCCCTATGTTGGGGGTGGGACCTGTGGGAGGTGATTGGATCATGAGGATGGATTTCCCTGTTGGTGTTCTCGTGATAGTGAGTTTTTGTGAGAGGTGGTTGTTTAAGTGTATAGCATCTCCCCCACTCTCTCTCACTCCTACTCCAGCTATGCGATGTGTGTGCTCCCTCTTCACCTTCCTCCATGATTGCACATTCCCTGAGGCCTCCCCAGAAGCCAAGTAGATGCCAGCATCATGTTTCCTGTATAACCTGTGGAACAGTGAGCCAGTTAAACCTTTTTCATTTATAAACTACCCAGTCTCAGGTATTTCTTTATAGCAGTGTGAGAACAGACTAATACACTATGCCATGTTGAAAAACTACAAGGCTCAAAGTGATATCATAGTCTGCAGGTATGCCTCAAATCTCTATAATGGCGGTATGTGAAAAATCGAAGAGAAATAAGCTTTGAATTTTATGGAGCCATAAGCTAGTCTCTGGAAATTTCTTCCGAATATCACATGCATAAAATTATAAGAAGAGGATTTGTTTCTTAATGATGCCTCTTCAAAACAGAAGTTTTCTTGTCATGAATATATGAGATAATGCAGATTATTATGATAAATGTACCAAGCACCTCTATGGAAATCATGCAAAATAAAATTTATCAGAATTCTGGTGTTTAGAGAGAGCAGACCTGTAGCAGATATATGAAACAGAGACAATACATGTTTGAGAATTTTCAAGTGTTATGAATACCCAATATGAGTAATTTTTTAAAAACTACTTTTGTTTATTTATACTAAAGGACTGAATAATTTGTCCAGACTCTACATAGAAAATCTTTTTAAATTCTTGCCCCATAAAGTGGTGATTTATTAAAGAGTATGTGGTCAAAAGTTGTCAAAACTAAAAGTATTATGGTGACATATGATCAAGTTGTTCATGAATAAAAAAGTTGAGTTATTTTTCTAGATTTTGTGATATTTATTATATTTGTCAGCCTTATAAAATTTTGTAATTTATTCTGGTTTCTTTTCAATTTTAAATATATCCTCAATTTCATATTTTGTATTCATAATTCTATGAGTTTATTTTTATAGACAGACTCCAAACTGAATAAACCTGAATTTTCCTGCATAGGCAACTTCTTCTAGGAACGAGGTCTGCAGAAATGGAGCAGATAGCTCCTTACTTGCAGAAGGGAGTCATTCTCCTTCCTAAGGAGTATGAACAAGTAGTGTTTGTTCCAGTAATATCAGAAAGGTTAACTTTAGAAAAATCTGTTAATGTAATTTACCCCCATTTATTGATTAAAGGAGAAAAATTCTGAGATCATTTCAATAAATCCAAAAATATATTAAATAAAATACCCAGGAGAGATAAAATTCATAGCAGACTAAATATGGAAGGAATCATCCTTAACCTGATAACACTTGCCTACCAAAAGGCTATAGCAAGTGTTGGACTTAAGGTGAAATAATAGAATCAATCACTTTAAGATCAGGAACAGAATGAAAAATCTCTACTATTACTGCCAACTAAAGCAACAAGACAATAAAAAGCAATTTGAAGTGAAAGCATTGGGAAGAAAAAATAATTTATAATCTACCAATTACATATTTGTCTTCCTCGACTATTAAATACAATCTATAGGAAAAATGCTAGAAATAATAAGCAAGGCAGTTGTTGCATTGAAGATACAAAAATTAGTTACATCCCTATGCACTACAGCCATTAAGAAAATATAATTGTTTTCAAAAACATCATTCACATTAGCAATAGAACCTATCATGTAGCCAGAAATAAATCTATCAAAAAAGGTCCAAGACCTATATGGAGAAAATCAATAATATCTTTATTGAAGGCATAAAAATCCCCTAAGTAAATGAAGAGAGATACTTTTGGTCATGGATGGGAAGAATCAATTTCATAAAGGTGTCAATTCCCTCTAAATTAATCTATAAATTTAATGACTTTCTATCATAATCCCATCACAGTTTTTTATAGACTGTGACAAGCTAGTCTGAAAATGCATATGGAAAAGTGCACAGCCAAGACTGGTTAATTTCAAAGAATGAGCAGGAGGAATTTTCCCTATCAGGCTTATAAAGTTATAGTAATTAGGAGAATATTTATTCAGAGGTAGTTAAATTGACCTTTGAAATGTAATAGAACAATTCTGACACAAATATGAGGAATTTATGTTTGACAAAGGTAGCAATTTACAATTCAGCAGGAAGTTGGACTGCATAATAGGTAGTGCTGAGACAGGATGCAACCGGAAAAAAATACAAAATTATTGATGTAGTTTATACCAGTGGTTCTCAATTGGGATGATTTTGGCCCACTGTGGCAATGTTTGGAGTCATTTTTGGGAGTAACAACTGGAAGGGAAAGATATTATTGGTGTCAAGTGGATACAGGTCAGGAATGTTGCTGAATGTTCTACGAAGCATAGTGCAGCTCCCCACCCTACCCCTCCCAACAGAGAATTATTCAGCCCCAAATGTCACAGTGTCATCACTGAGAAACCCAGCTCTAGCAAGAACAGATTTCTCCCAGATAACCAGAAGGCTGGGTTGTGGTTATCTGGGAGAAATCTGACATCCCTTTTCAGATCTTTTCAAATGTTGCCTTCTAAATACAACTTATCTGAATCTCATTTATTTACTTCTTCTTTCATTCACTTAAATTTCTTCTTCATGGCATTTTTTAAATTTTTTAATTTCAGTTTTTATTTTAGATACAGGGAGTACATGTGCAGATTTTTTTTACATGGGATTATTGCATGATGCTGAGTTTGGAGTACAGATCCCATTACCCAGGTAGTGAGCATCATACCTGATAGTGAGTGGTACCAGGGGTACCACTCCTCCCCCTGCCATTCTCTCGTAGCCCACAGTGTCTATTGTTCCCCTCTACCTAAAATTAGAACCTCCATTCCTCCTTCTATAACATTTCTGATCCCTCGATTCTACTCTCCTTTTTCAGTATTCTACAGCACTTATCATAGTCTAACATTCAACAAAATGTACTTATTATGTCCATTGTTTATTGTCAGTCTGCTAGAATGTCTTTTGTTTACTGAAATATCACAAACACCCAGAATAGTGCTTAGCCTGCAGTATTTAATCAATAAATATTTAATAAATAAATAAATACTCCCAAGTGCTAATTACTACATACAGTGGCAGGATCGTTCATAACCTTCTGGTGGATAGTGTCATTTTGAAGAGGACTGTGGCATTGTCAATTACATTTGAAGATGCACATACCAAGGAAGTCAATGTGAAGATGGAGGTCAAAGTTCATCACAGAACTTTTTCCCCCAGCACCTAACCAGATGAGCCAATAAAGTTGGCTCCAAGAAAAAGAGTCACCAAGTTATTCTGAGTAATAACTGAAATCCATAAAATTAATGACATGTAACTAATAAAAGAAGCAGAAGATTAAGAACAGAAGAGAATTGTAGCGTATCAGGGTTCCTATCCCTGACTACCTCCCAATCTGTATGCCATGATCTTTAGAAACATTTTTATTTTTAGGCAATAAATAGGAACTCATATTTGCCTTTTTCTCATAATTTAAAACAAATCGGCATTTAAAAGCTATTATTCAACAGCACAAATCTAGAATCATATGAGACACACACACATACATACAAATATGTGTGTGCCTGTGCATTTGTATATGTGCGTATAAATATGTATGGATATTTATATCCTGATGCTCAAACTCAGACCTTTTGAAGTAGAGTCTCCTGGTATGGACCCTAACAATGTGTGTGTATGTGTTCTTGTTTGTTGTTGCTATTGCTCTTCAGTTGATACTGATGATCAGCGAATTTCTACAACTTTCCATCTAGCAGGTTTTCAAATGTGTTCCAAGAAGCCCTAAGTATGTGAGTATCTGTGGAGATATCTGTGGAGTCATATATTTGGTACTCTGGTAAATAAGATGGTTTTATCTCTTTTATATTTTATGTATATTTACAGATTTTGTGTAAGATATTGATCGGGAAAAAAGTATTTTTTAAAGTTAATATTCTATTGATTCAGAGAAACCTGGTAAACTGAATGATGTTTAAAGTGTGTGGTAGGTGCTGTAATGGACCACACAGATCCGCAGGAATGAGGAAATTTTTCTTCCAGCTGTTGAGAGTGCTACCAGAAGATGAACCTCAGCTGCTGCCACCATCTTTGAAGATCGCTTCAGTTGAAGAAAACGGCCTGGTCCAAGGTCAGCTTCCTTCTAGGAAAAGCACTTACCCAAAGACTGATCTATGTGGGTGTAAAAAGTCCTGGCTCTCTTACTTCGACTCAGCATAACTTTGAACAGTGATCCCAGTCTCCAGAACACCCTCTGATGGGGAGCTGAGTCTCATTAGGACAGCATCACAGCTGCCTCTGCCCAATCCTGCTCCCTTTCCATCCTCACTGTTAAATTCCCAGAGCTCTCCCTACTAAGCATCCTGCTAATTAACGTGCATCTCAGAGTCTGCTCCTGAGAAACCAACTTACAACACCAAGTGAAGCCAGATCATGTGAATATATGATGCGCTGTAGTGCGTCATTGCCCAAACGAGTGAGCTGACTAAAAGACTGACAGATAAAAAAAGGAAAAATGTACCACATGCCAAAATCAGGCTGTTCTGCATTCATTAACACATGGAAACTAACAGTCTTCCAGTTGCAAGTTCGCAAAACAGGAGGTTTGAAAGGCACACTGGCATGATATTACATGGATACACATATATAGCATTAGCTTCAGCCTTCGCCTGCTTAATTAGAGACGCTATTTGGAATATCTACTTGTGACAAAAGTTGGAGAAAGATAAGAGCAGGCAATTATCAAAGTCTGGGAAATGAAACTATTGAAGAGAAGTCAAAGAATTTGTTTTAAACATAGCAGTCCTACCTCTGAGACCAGTGGGAAGAATTAAATGAACTGTACCCACCTTCCAATTTGTAAAAAAAAAACTACATGCAATAATTGTTTTTTAAAAGATGACATCTTAAATAAGTTAAAATACATACACAGTGATGTCAGATAAAAATGCACACCAAAGTCATGGACCAGTTGCAGGGTTCCACTGGCGGTGAAGGAGACCCAGACAACACCATTCTGGGTAAGGATATGAGGCCACTGTGGGAAACATTGCCTCCCAGTTCCTCTGTATCGCTCACATCTTCTGAGGCTATGTGCTCTCTGAGTTCCTGTTTTATTTTGCAGATTTATAGTTGCCGCTGTTTTACTCAAATAAATTCCCATCTAGAGAAACTTCAGTTAATGTCATAAGAAAGCGTTCAGATGAAGAACCATTGAAAGAGGTGAAAAGATCACTGTTAACAGTGAAAAAAGCACACTCAGGGAGATATTTGACAGTGCTGCCAAGACGAAAGGATGTAGTAAGGCTGGAACCACCGCATGTGAAGAGGACTCCCTATGCAAGAATATCTATGACAGAGATGATAGAAGATAAAAGAACTAATACTGTGGTTTTATTCTGTGGCTCGCGTCACTCTTTCTAACTTTTGTTCTCATAATACAGATTTCTATGCATTCATTGTTTCCAAATCTGTGTGTTTATTGTTCCAATGAGTAAATGTGGCAAAAACAAAATACAACTTCAATATGACATTTTTCAACCTTTTGTACCATTGATTCAGCTTGTTTACTTCTCATGAGAATATGTAGTTTAAATTTTTTTAACTTATTTCCACTTTCTATGAGTCCAACTAACATGTAAATAAAAAGACAAACATGATATTGTAAAAAACCTAGTCAGTATTCTGGAATTCAACATGTTATCTACCTAAACTTTCTCCAGTGCCTAAAATGTGTCTCAATACTCCTAGATGAACAATATTGCTTTGAATTCTTAAATATAATCAAAAAGCTTAGATTTATTTCAAACTTGAATAACTGCTAGAGATAAAATAAAAATGCTCTTCTCTCTTCAATAACTCTTTATTATAATAGGCTATTTAATAAAATAGAGTATGAATTATTTAATTGCCCATCATAAGAAATGAAAAAGACCTGTGAATTGGTGGTGAGATTGAGAAATACAATTAAACTGTAAAATAAAATCACTTTACCTAGATGGGTAATGGAGAAATAATACACATTGTCTAAGAATTTAATTAGACCAGAGTAATTAGATTCACAAAAGGAGCCCCTCACTAAGCCTATATGGGAAAGGAATAGAAAAAGCTAATGCTGTGTATAAAAATACAGAAATATTTGTTTTTATGTCTGCAAAGAAAGGGGCCTAGGAGGAAAGATGAGGAGAGACAGAGCGAAAAAGAGAGAAATGGGCTAAGCGGATGGCAAGAACTAGGATCAAGGTTTGTACAAATGGCTACAACATTGGAAGTCTGTTTGTGTGGTTGTAAACCTTTCCTTATTCCCAAACTTTCAGTAAAGTATCCTACACCCACAAATGCCTTCTATGAGTGGTGTGTGAGTTGTATGTAAGTGCATTCATATGTATGATAAACAAAAGAACAGAATTCTACATGTGGACCTCCGTGAGAAAAGGCATATGCATAGGACGGTGAGCAGTGGCAGAAACTCAGATCAAGGTGAACTTGAGAAAAGAATCCTCCTGGGAATTTACAGACATCATAGGGAGAGCCTTAGACTGCACCAATCGTAGAATGGGTTTAGCTAGTCTTACTTAGGATATTATAAATTCACCCAAGCTGACATTTGCGGTTCAGATCTGAGCAGGTCCTGGTACAATCTATAATTTAAAATTCAACAATGCCTGTTCCTGCTAAATATAACTGGTATTCTCAAAGGGCTTGGCTTAACTTCATCATGACTCTCAAGGGTAGAAATCTTCTGAGTTATGCTGATGCAAACATCTATTGAAAGCAGTAAAGACAATTTCTCTCTCCACCCCAACCCTCTCCACTGCATCAAGAGGCTGATGTTTACTCTCCAGTTAGATCTTAATTAATGTAAGCTTTCTACACCACTTTGGAGCCTCAAGACCTGCCGTTCCCATCACTCCATTAAGCAATTTTTGTTCCAATTTTCTACAAATCTCTCTTTCATGACAAACTCATGCATTTAAAGAAAGGCACATGTTATTACCAATACAGGCAGATTCTCTCAAGAGGCTCTCTAACCAAGAATCCCTGTTGAAGACTACTTCTGTCTCTTGTACCCCTCCATTCTCTTCCTTCTGCTTGGAAAATTCATTACTTAATGAAATATTTAACTGCTCTTTGCAAATCCTCTTCAACTTTCCGAGATTTTTAGCATTTTACTTTCTGTTGATAGGAACTGGTTCTTTTCCTCCTCCCATTGAAAATATTTCCTGTTTAGAAACCTTTTTTAAAAATGAGTTTACAGTTGTTTCATCACAGGGTCAGATAGGTAAAACTGAGAAAAAGATGGTAATTCATCTTCCTCCTCCCTGCAACTCTTCTCAACAAGGAAATGACTATAAAATAGTGGAGAGAAAATACCAAAATTTGGATTATTTTCATTAGCATTGTAATTCACTGTATATCTTCTGCCTGCTGTAAAGCACATACTGTCTGGAACATACTTTTTGGTTCTTCCACATTGAAATAGCTGTATGATTGTTTCTTCTTTGCCCAAGTTATATATGTGCATTTTAAGATATAATTGAATATTGATATAAATAATTAAGAAAGTTAAAACAATCACACATAACTATCATGTCGGTACAATTTGTTGTCCAAACTGGGACCTTTTCAGAGTGAAAGCGGTGTAATAGTTACTTTGGGAAAATAGACTGTTCCAGGAGAATCCTGATGTGGTCACTCTAACGTCAATTGATGTGAAACCTTCCAGAATTTATTCTATGAATATACACACTATACATTACCTATTTAGAAAAAATGAAATATGATGCATAGTTATGTAAGTTTTATATAAAATAGACTTACTTATTTCTACATCAATAAGTACAGAGCTACACAATTATTTCAATGGCTAGAGTGACTTGCATTTGTTAAGTGCTACATAAGTGTTATTAGTTTTAGAATTTCTGTGTTGTTATAGTATGCTTTTGCTTAGTAAATCAAATTAGTTTTACATCCTATTAAAGATACCATTATATTTTTGCTATATAATCAATACTGTGATAAATATTTTTGCCCTTCCTTAAGGTAAATTTTTGCCCTTCCTTAAGATAAATGTCTAGAAGATGAATTTTGGAATTTAAAGTACGTAATTTTACATTTGGTGACATGCTCGTGTACTGTTTTCTTAAAACCAATTGTTTTGTATGTTTTTAAGAACAAGATAAATTTAAATGTATCAACATGCATACCCATTGGAAATGTATGATTGCCAATTTCCCTATAACCCTGAGAGCAATAAATGTTATCAACAATTTTGACCTTTTTTCAATTTAACAAATAGAAATGGTTTTGTATTTTAATTGTACTCTTTGGATCCAGCTAATTAATAGTCACCCTGGAGGTGGGGATCGAGTAGATAACTCAATAGAATAGAGCTTATTGTAGAAAATAGGAATAGGGACAGAAAATAGAAGCTACAATGTACCCTACAAAAGCAACCAAATTTTAGAAAATTTTAAGTGGCTAAATATAAAAAAGTATGTTGTCAGAAATTTATTTTTGTGAGATGTAACATAGAAATCTAATTTAATGTTATTCAAATAATTAGTGATTTGTTCCATACTAGTTACCCCTACTGATCTGATGCTTTATTATTATGTCCAAATTTCTAAAATGTGTTTCAAGCCATTTCTGAACGTTTTATTCTTTTCCCTTGATCTGCTGCTAATCTATTCTGGTATCAGTCTCATAATATATTAATTACTACAGTTTGACAATATACTTTTAACACTTTGAAGAATATGTCCTCCTCTCTTACACTTTATTTTTTGTGTTATACACTCTTTTTCTGGCTAAATATTTTGGAATGTTTTTCATATTTTATGGAGAGTAATATAAAAATAAATCTTATTGTGATAACTAGTACTACGTTTACTGAGAAATTGGGGAAGAATTTACATAGTTAGAATATTGAATTTTTTCCTTGAATTACATATATGTCTAGGCATATATTTAAATTTTTTTGGTTCTTTCAGTGTCTTTATGGCTTTATAATCTCCATGCAATTCTTAAATTTATTCTTTTATAATTTCTAATCTTACTGCTTTGAAGGGCATTTTTTTTTTTTTTTTGAGACAGAGTCTCACTCTGTCACCCAGGCTGGAGTGCAGTGGTGCGATCTTGGCTCACTGCAACCTCTGCCTCCCAGGTTCAAGCGATTCTCCTGCCTCAGCCTCCTGAGTAGCTGGGACTACAGGCGCATGCCACCATGCCTGGCTAGTTTTTGTATTTTTAGTAGAGATGGGTTTCACCATGTTGGCCAGGATGGTCTCGATCTCCTGACCTCATGATCCACTGGCCTTGGCCTCCCTAAGTGCTGGGATTACAGGTGTGAGTCACCACGCCCGGCCTGAATGGTATCTTTTAACAATAATTTTATTTTTTTGGAAATATAATATCAATATACTTACACTATACCTTACTACATTACTGACATCCACTTTTAAAATTCTGTAATATGCACTGAGGCATAATTACACAGAACAAAATATGCCAGTTATAAGTATACAATTTGGTGAGTTTTGATAAATGTAAAAAGTCATGTAACAATCACCATCTGGAACATTTGCTTTTGTCACTTAGTGTTCAATGCCCTTCCTCCACTCTCTGGATGCTGGAAATCACTTATTTGTTTTCTATAACTGTAGTTTGCCTTTATTAGAATTTCATATAAACTGAATCATGCAGTATATGAGGTTTTGTGTCTGGCTTTTTTTCCATTCAACATATTATTTTACTTTTTATTTTGATCTAATTTTAGGTTCACATGCAGCTGTTAGGAAATCATAGAGATTCCATATACCCATTACCCACCTCCCCCTATCTTGCATAACTCTAGTACAATAGCATGACCTTGAAATAAACATCCATTAAAATCCATCATTTTCAATTTTCACTAGGTTTATGTGCATTTGTGTGTGTGTGTGTGTGTGTGTGTGTGTCTAGTTCTATGCATTTTATCACATGTATAGATTCAAATGACCTTTGCCACATCAAGGTACAGAATAGTTCCATACCACAGATCCTTCATGCTACCCTTTTACAGCCAGAGCTACCACCTTCCTGCCACTCCCCTCCAACTTCTGGCACCCACTGCTCCTTTCTACATCTCTATAATGTCATTTCAAGAATGTCACACAGTAAATCATACAGTATGAAATGTTTTGAGGGTTTTTTTAAAAAATTCAATAAGACTTCTTTGAAATCCATTTAAGTTGACCTACAGATCAATAGTTCATTCATTGCTGAGTAATATTCCATATATCAATCTACCACAGTTTGTTTAACCATTTACCCATTGAAGGGCATTTGGTTGTTTCTAGTTTGGGGCTACTACAAATAAAGCTGTTGTAAACATTTGTGCATAAATTTTTGTGTGAACATAAGTTTTTATTTATCAACATAATATTTTTAAAATTTTCTGTTGTACATGTATCATTAGTTTATTCCATTATATTGCTATATCATTGGTTTATTCCATTATTTTTCATTGTGAATATACCACCAGTTTTTATCTATTCATTAGTTAATAGATATTTGCATTCATCCTAGTTTTTAGCTATAATTCATAAAATGTCTATGAACATTCCTGTACAATCATCTGTGTAGCCATGTTTTTAAATCTCTGTAGTAAATATCCAGGAGCAGGATTGCTGGGTCATATGATAAGTGTATAATTACCTTTAGAAGAAATTGCCAAATGGTTTCCTAAAAGCATCTCACCATTTTTATCATCAACAATAAATGAAAGTCACAGTTGCTTTCGATCTTTACTAAGACACAGGATTGTCAGTGTTGGTAATTTTAGTCATTCTAGGGAATGTGTAGTGGTTTCAATTTCTATCTTCCTAATGACTAATGTTGTTCACCATATTTTTATGGTCTTATTTGCTATGTATGTATCTTCTTTTTGAAGTACCTATTCAAACCCTTTCCCTCATTTGGGATTTTGTCTCATTATTTAATTGTGAGAGTTCTTCATATGTCCTGGATACAAGCTCTTAATCAAATATAGCTTTCAAAAATTATTTTCTCCCAGGCTATAGCTTGTATTTTCATTTCCTTAACAATATTTTAAAGAGCAAAGATTTTAATTTTGATGATAAAAAATTGAGTATTTATGTTTACACTTTTTGTTTCCTACTTAAGATACCTTTGTCTAAACCTGACGTTTTAAAAATTTAGCTCACATAATTTATTGAACTGTCATCCTTTCCACATTCAATTGCCTTAGTGTTTTTTTCTGAAAATCAACTCGCCATATTAGTTTGGGTCCATTAATGGATTTTCTATCCATGTCCATTCATCTATATATTTTTGTGCCAATACTGCATATTCTTACCCTGAGTTTTTAAATTGCCTTATTGCACTGTATAGGACCTAGATGCCCTTTATTAGGTTGAATAACTTTTCCCTATTTCTAGTTTACTGAGAATTTTTGTCATGAATGTATATCAACTTTTATCAAATGTTTTTCTGTAACTATTGAGATGACCATGTATTGTTTCTTCTTTAGTCTGTTAATATTGTGAATTATATTGAATGATTTTAAAACATTAAATTAGTCTTGCATTCCCAAGATAAACTTCACATGGTCATGATGATTCTTTTTCAATATAATATGTATTGCTAAGTTTGAAGTGCTAACATTCTGTGGAGGATTTTTGCACCTGTCATCAAGAGGGCTCTGTAGAGGTGATTTTTGTTGTAAATTCTTTGCCTGGTCTGGACTCACAAAATGAGTTAGTTACAGTTTGTTCCTCTGCTATACTCTGGAAGATTTTCATGCAAAACTAGGACCCCTTCTTCCTAAAATACTTGCTAATATTCACCAGTAAAGCCACCTGTATCTGGAATTATCTTGGTAGAAAAGTTTTAACTACAAAATCAATTTCTCAAATACATGTGCCCCTTCAGGTTATCTAACTCTTCTTTAATGCATTTTGATAATTTTTGTCTTTTACAGAATTTCTACAGTTGCTCAAAGTTGTTGATTTATTGGCATAAAGTTTATAATAAATCTTTATTATTTTAATGTCTGTAGAGTCTGCAGTTATGTCCTTTGTCTTTTATATAGTTAAATAATACCTGTCTTCTGTTCCTCATCAATCTAGCTGAAGTTCTGTCAATTATGTTGATATTTTTCGAAGAAGCAACATTTGATTCTATTGATTTTCTTTTTCTGGTTTCTATTTTGTTGAATTATGTTATTTATTATTATTACCATTTGTTTCATTTTGCTTATTTTTTTCTAGTTTCTTAAATTGGAAGCCTAGTTCAGTCACTTATTCAAGACCATTTTTCTTGTCTAATATAAGCATTTGATGCTATACAACAGTTCTCTAAACACTATTTTAGCTGGATCCCACAGATTTTTATATATTGTTATCATTTTTTATCAATTCAAAACATTGTCTAAATTTTCATGTGTGTGTGCATGTGTGTGTGTTGTCCTATGACCTATTTAAAAGGAAGTTGTTTAAATTTTCAAATATTTGGGATTTTTTTGCAGATAATTTTCTATTCATTTTTATTTTAGCTATATTATGATCAAAGAACATAGTATGCATTATTTCTGTTTTTTGTAATTATTGAGATGTGTTTTATGGCCTTGAATGTGGCCTGTCTTGGTCAGGGTTTGACTAGTACTTGAAAATAATGTATATTATTACATTCTCCATTAATTAGAGCATTCTATAGATATCAACGAGATCGAATTGTTGATTATTGAAAACTTCTATTTTTAAAATACTTTACTTATTTTATTACTGAGAAAGATCTTGAAATGCTCAACAATAGTTGTAAATTTTTAAAATCTATGTATTTATTAACAGAAAATTCTCAAATTCTTGCTCATTGTCTAGAGTTTAAATGATATGAACATTATGTTATAGTACTTAGTAACAAAGGTTCCTATAAATTAGTACTTCAAGGGGAGAATAATTATACAAAATAGTGTCAAAGACAGTATTTAAGGCAAACAAGATGTTGAGCTCCTCTGATTTCTCACTTCCAATTCAAGTATTATTAGTGTAAATAGTACTATGAGAACTATTTACTATTTTCTCTCAGCTGACTTCTAATTGTACTTCATTCTTCTAAGTACACGCTTACATGAAAGTCTGCCTAAGCATTTATTAAATGAATAATGCGAAGATAGAAACATCATTTTAAAAGATGCTGGTGGAAATTCAGGGTCAGCTGTTTTAAAATTTATGAACGCAGTAGTAATTTAACTTGTGATGGAAAGAATTTTATTCCCATTTCCAAGAATGCTAATGTTCACATTTCAGTTATTAAAATTAATCTGACTCAATTATGTTCTGTAGGTGTGGGTTCAGCTGTACTGATTGAGAATAGCAACAAACATTAAGTATGGTTTTGTGATCTGTGACACTCTATGGCTGTTAACACCAAATAGGAATGGGTTGATAGAGTGTCCTTTTGACCCAAAATGCAGAATTCATTAGGAATTAATGGTAAATGATATTCCAAAGAAAATGTCATTCATTTACTTGAGAAATATTTACTGAGTCTTTCCATAAAACCATGCTTAGGGAAGGGAGACTAACATTTACTGGAGACTCCAATATATGCCAAGAACTGTTAGGCTTTTTCTAAACGTGATTTAATCCTCATGGCAACAGTATGAAAATAGGTATTATTATGGTTTACAGGTGAAAAAAATATAAATGTATCAAGGTTACCTTGCTCAAATTCAAACAAAAATAAGCAGTAGTACTGTAATTCACATCCATATCTTCTGTAATCCCAAATCTCAATTCTTTTTATTATGCCATGTTCCTAGTAACTGGGTGGATTTCAAGAAGCATAAGACATGAATTGTTTCTATTATCAAAAGCTTACAGCCTAATTGAAAAGACCTGATATGCAAATGGCCATTCATTCAACAAATACATTTAAGCCACTGCAATAAATAATGTTTTATACAGGTGGAGAAAAATTAGTTCCATTGTAGATGCAATTTATATCCCATGCATTGAGAAATTCCTGAATTATTTTTTCTTTTAGGAGCAAATAAAATTATTTATGTTTAAAAAAATCCACTTTATAGACCCCATGGGGTGAAGTAATAATAAATGAATGAAAAATTTAAAAATCTACTTTAATAAAAATGCTTTCTTCTTAACTGTAAGGTGAAACATGAAGTTTTCCAAGGAGTAACCACTTTCTGATGCTTGCAAAGTTAATCAGAGCATCATATTTAACTTAAAACATAAGAACTGCTCATAGACATTTCAGTGGAAACTTTAATTCATGAATTTTCTGGCACTGGCTTGGACATGTTTGTACATGTATGAGACAATGAAATTTTATTGTCCTTTACATTTGTTTAACTAGCTCAAGTTATTTTTTATATGTCACTTGGGAATCAATAGTGTATTCATTGCATCCAAAATTAAAGTCCCAGTTTATATCCCCAAATTTGTTCCAATCCCAAGTTTTCCATCTCAGTGAACTGCAAAACAAAAATAGAAAAGTTAATCTCTAACTCTTTCCTTTTGCTATCATTCCATCACCCCTATAATTAATTCATTTTTTCATTCTACATGTCCACAATATATACCAAAAATACATATTTCTCTCCAGTTTTACTCCTTCTACCATAATGTACCCCATTACCACCTGAAATTTGGTCTATGGCAATAACCACATAACTCATCACTCTGCTTCTATTCTTGCCCCACCGTATCTATATCTTCTCTACACTATAGCCAAATTGAGCCTTTTTTATTCTTTTAAATATAACTCAAATATTATTTATTCTATATTTTAACACTTAATAAACTTAAATTCATTGATTGATTAATTTCCAAGGCTCTGAAATTCCTTTGACTTTAGAATAAAATCTAAATTTCTTATTCTATAGGAACCCACAAAAACTAATGCCTCTTGGCCCTTCATCTACAAAACATAGGTTAGTACATGATAGCCATTTTCTCCATTGTTGGAGTTGGTAAACCAAGTGCTTAAACCAACATAATCACTACTTCAATCAGCAGCTTGTTATAGAACCAACAGGTTCATATGCCTGCTGCACAGTGACATACCAATACACTGAGACAGCAGGGTTTGCAGCAGAGAATAAGTTTAATGATCTCAGGGTAACCAAGCAGAGAGACAGGAAAAGGCCCTCATATCCTTAGACCTGAGGAGTCCAGAGCTGACGTTTTTAGGGGGAATGTGGATGAGGGGCTGGACAACGGGTCATTTATTGGTCAGGGTAAAAGGGATTAAATCATCAGGATATAGAAACTTCATTCTTTAGTGAGTCAGCTCCTTGTTGGATACTTCAGACCAGCTGACATCAGTAGTTTTGCTAGTATACAGGACCTGAACGAATATCTCAGATGGAAGGCATAACATTTCATAATGCTGTTGTCTACAGAGGAGTTAAGGGGAACTATAATCTTGTGACAAGGTCTACATAATTGGCAGCAAATAGCTATGAAAAAGTGAATCAGAGCAAGCTGACCTAATGATTATTGCTGAATGTGCTGAATCGGCAATTTATTTTCAATTCTTACCTCTCTTCTTCCCTGGTTAAGTTTATAAAGTTAATAGAAATGTTTTCAATCTCATGTCTACATCATGTTCACCAGGTTGTTTATAGTATTTTATTTTTATAATTGCTAGTCTGGGCAAGCCAATTATATAAGATTTATATATAATCATTTTAGGGCTAAACTAGTCCTACTCATATGCTTAATATAGATGGAAGATGTTTGGCTTCAGAATGACACTTCAGATAGAATCTTGGTTCTACCACTCCCTTTCTGAACATACTTAGTTATTTCACTTCTCTTTGTTGGTCTCTTAAACTATAAAGTGGGAATAATCAACATATATTTTACAAAAGTGTGTTTAAGTTAAAAGGAAATAAATTGCAAAAGAGAAACTTGGAGTAGAAATTTAACCAAAGTCAGTTCCTTTTATTCCCCTCTCCTTATAACACACAAGCCAAAACTAAACTTTTCTATAGCTTAGTCATGGCCATTTAATTTTATAGCCTAAATTATGCTCAATTGGTTAATTTTACCAACCAGCATTGCTTTCTTAAAGTAACTAATTGCTTTAACAATAATCTCAGCTTAAACTTTTTTTTATTTTATATTTTCAGTTCTGAGGTTTTTTCCTTTTAATATGCTAGAGACAGCAGCATGATATTACTAGCTATGGTACAAACACCCTATGACATCGGGCATAGTTGCTCACATCTCATATTTCAACTCCACTGGGAACTGGTACTGCAGCAAGAACAGGAGACTTCTCTTTTGATTGTTTGAGATAAATTGTGGCTGCACTATATGTTCAGCAGCTTTTGGTTTTCTTGGCTTGAATATAATCATTTTCATAGCCTTTGTCCAGAGACTAAAATATTCATCAATCCTCAGGGACAGGGGGAAGAGACCATACTTTAAGGCAAAATATACTCCTTAAGAAGAATTTGTAAAACCTTTTTTAATAAAATGATTTCTTTTTTTAATTTTTGAGACAGGGTTTTACTGTGTCACCTGGGGTGTAGTACAGTGGCATGATCGTGGCTCACTGCAGCCTTGACCTCTAGGGCTTAAGTGATCCTCCCACCTCAGCCTTCCAAGTAGCTGGCCTACAGGCATATACCACCACTCCTGGATAACTTCTGTATTTTTTTGTAAAGCTCTGCAAGGCCTGCTGCCTCTGTAGACCCCACGCCCTGGGGGCAGGGCATAGCTGAAGAAAAGGCAGCAGAAACTTCTGCAGACTTAAACGTCCCTGTCTGACAGCTCTGAAGAGAGCAGTGGTTCTCCCAGCACAGTGTTTGAGCTCTGAGGACAGACAGACTGCCTCCTCAAGTGGGTCCCTGACCCCTGTGTAGCCTAACTAGGAGACACCTCCCAGGAGGAGCTGACTGACACCTCATACAGGTGGGTGCCCCTCCGGGACGAAGCTTCCAGAGGAAGGATCAGGCAGCAATATTTGCTGTTCTGCAATATTTGCTGTTCTGCAGCCTCCGCTGGTGACACCCAGGCAAACAGGGTCTGGAGTGGAACTCCAGCAAACTCCAACAGACCTGCAGCTGAGGGACCTGACTCTTAGAAGGAAAACTAACAAACAGAAAGAAAGGAATAGCATCAACTTCAACAAAAAGGACATCCACACCAAAACCCCATGGGTAGGTCACCAGCATCAAAGACCAAATGTAGAAAAAACCACAAAGATGGGGAGAAACCAGAGCAGAAAAGCTGAAAACTCTGAAAACCAGAGCGCTTCTTCTCCTCCAAAAGATCACAGCTCCTCGCTAGCAACGAAACAAAGCTGGATGGAGAATGACTTTGACAAACTGACAGAAGTAGGCTTCAGAAGGTCGGTAATAACAAACTTCTCTGAGCTAAAGGAGGATGTTCGAACCCATCGCAAGGAAGCTAAAAACCTTGAAAAAAGACTAGAAGAATGGCTAACTAGAATAAACAGCATAGAGAAGATCTTAAATGACCTGATGGAGCTGAAAACCATGGCACAAGAACTACGTGACGCGTGTACAAGCTTCAATAGCCAACTCAGTCAAGTGGAAGAAAGGGTATCAGTGATTAAAGATCAAATTAATGAAATAAAGTGAAAAGAGAAGTTTAGAGAAAAAAGAGTAAAAAGAAAGAGCAAAGCTGCCAAGAAATGTGGGACTGTATGAAAAGACCAAATCTATGTTTGTTTGGTGTACCTGAAAGTGACAGGGAGAATGGAACCAAGCTGGAAAACACTTCAGGATATTATCCAGGAGAACTTCCCCAACCTAGCAAGGCAGGCCAACATTCAAATTCAGGACATACAGAGAACACCACAAAGATACTCCTCAAGAAGAACAACCCCAAGACCCATAATTGTCAGATTCACCAAGGTTGAAATGAAGGAAAAAATGTTAAAGGCAGCCAGAGAGAAAGGTCTGGTTACCCATGAAGGGAAGCCCATCAGACTAACAGCAGATCTCTCAGCAGAAACACTACAAGCCAGAAGAGAGTGGGGACCAATATTCAGCATTCTTAAAGAAAATAATTTTCAATCCAGAATTTCATATCCAGCCAAACTAGGCTTCATAAGTGAAGGAGAAATAAAATACTTTACAGACAAGCAAATGCTGAGAGATTTTGTCACCACCAGGCCTGCCTTACAAGAGCTCCTGAAGGAAGCACTAAACATGGAAAGGAACAACCGGTACCAGCCACTGCAAAAACATGCCAAATTGTAAAGACCATCGATGCTAGGAAGAAACTCCATCAACTAATGGGCAAAATAACCAGCTAACATCATAATGACAGGATCAAATTCACACATAACAATATTAACCTTAAATGTAAATGGGCTAAATGCCCCAATTAAAAGACACAGACTGGCAAATTGGATAAAGAGTCAAGACCCATCAGTGTGCTGTATTCAGGAAACCCATCTCACGTGCAGAGACACACATAGGCTCAAAATAAAGGGATAGAGGAAGATCTACAAAGAAAATGGAAAGTAAAAAAGGCAGTGGTTGCAATCCTCGTCTCTGATAAAACAGATTTTAAACCAACAAAGATCAAAAGGGACAAAGAAGGCCATTACATAATAGTAAAGGGATCAATTCAACAAGAAGAGCTAACTATCCTAAATATATAGGCACCCAATACAGGAGCACCCAGATTCATAAAGCAGGTCCTTAGAGACCTACAAAGAGACTTAGACTCCCACATAGTAATAATGGTAGACTTTAACAGCCCACTGTCAATATTACACAGATCAATGAGACAGAAGGTTAAAAACGATATCCAGGACTTGAACTCAGCTCTGCACCAAGCGGACCTAATAGACATCTACAGAACTCTCCACCCCAAATCAACAGAATATACAGTCTTCTCAGCACCACATTGCACTTATTCCAAAATTGACCACGTAGTTGGAAGTAAAGCACTCCTCAGCAAATATAAAAGAACAGAAATCACAACAAACTGTCTGTCAGACCACAGTGCAATCAAATTAGAACTCAGGATTAAGTAACTCACTCAAAACCACACAACTACATGGAAAGTAAACAACGTGCTCCTGAATGACTACTGGGTAAATAACGAAATGAAGGCAGAAATAAAGATGTTATTTGAAACCAATGAGAGCAAAGACACACTGTACCACAATATCTGGGACACATTTAAAGCAGTGTGTAGAGGGAAATTTATAGCACTAAATGCCCACAAGAGAAAGCAGGAAAGATCTAAAATTGACACCTAACATCACAATTAAAAGAACTAGAGAAGCAAGAGCAAACAAATTCAAAACCTAGCGGAAGGCAAGAAATAACTAAACCAGAGCAGAACTGAAGGAGATAGAGACATAAAAAACACTTCAAAAAATCAATGAATCCAGGAGCCGATTTTTTGAAATGATCAACAAAATTGATAGACTGCTAGCAAGATTAATAAAGAAGAAAAGAGAGAAGAATCAAATAGATGCAATAAAAAATGATAAAGGGAATATCACCACCTATCTCACAGAAATACAAACTACCATCAGAGAATACTATAAATACCTCTACACAAATAAACTAGAAAATCTAGAAGAAATGGATAAATTCCTGGACACATACACCCTCCCAAGACTAAACCAGGAAGAAGTTGAATCTCTGAATAGACGAATAACAGGCTCTGAAATTGATGCAATAATTAATAGCCTAACAACAACAAAAAAGTCCAGGACCAGACAGATTCGCAGCCAAATTCTACTAGAGGTACAAAGAGGAGCTGGTACCATTCCTTCTGAAAGTATTCCAATAAATAGAAAAAGAGGGAATCCTCCCTAACTCATTTTATGAGGCCAGCATAATCCTGATACCAAAGCCTGGCAGAGACACAACAAAAAAAGAGAATTTTAGACCAATATCACTGATGAATATCAATGAGAAAATCCTCGGTAAAATACTGGCAAACCAAATCCAGCAGCACATCAAAAAGCTTATCCACCAGGATCAAGTCGGCTTCATCCCTGGGATGCAAGTCTGGTTCAACATACACAAACCACTAAACGTAATCTGTGACCTAAACAGAACCAAAGACAAAAACCACATGATATCTCAATAGATGCAGAAAAGGCCTTGGACAAAATTCAACAGCGCTTCATGCTAAAAACTCTCAATAAATTAGGTATTGATGGAACGTATCTCAAAATAATAAGAGTTATTTATGCAGCATTCCCTTTGAAAAGTGGCACAAGACAGGGACGCCCTCTCTCACCACTCCTATTCAACATAGTGTTGGAAGTTCTGGCCAGGGCAATCAGGCAGGAGAAAGAAATAAAGGGTATTCAATTAGGAAAAGAGGAAGTCAAATTGTCCCTGTTTGCAGATGACATGATTGTATATTTAGAAAACCCCATCGTCTCAGCCCAAAATCTCCTTAAGCTGATAAGCAACTTCAGCAAAGTCTCAGGATACAAAATCAATGTGCAAAAATCACAAGCATTCCTATATACCAATAACAGACAAACAGAGAGCCAAATCATGAGTGAACTCCCATTCACAATTGCCTCAAAGAGAATAAAATGCCTAAGAATCCAACTTACAAGGGATGTGAAGGACCTCTTCAAGAAGAACTACAAACCGCTGCTCAACGAAATAAAAGAGGACACAAACAAATGGAAGAACATTCCATGCTCATGGATAGGAAGAATTAATATCGTGAAAATGGCCATACTGCCCAAGGTAATTTATAGATTCAATGCCATCCCCATCAAGCTACCTATGACTTTCTTCACAGAATTGGAAAAAACTACTTTAAAGTTCATATGGAACCAAAAAAGAGACGACATTGCCAGGACAATCCTAAGCCAAAAGAACAAAACTGGAGGCATCACGCTACCTGACTTCAAACTATACGACAAGGCTACAGTAACCAAAACAGCATGGTACTGGTATCAAAACAGACAGATAGACCAATTGAACAGAACAGAGGCCTCAGAAATAACATGACACATCTACAACCATCTGAACTTTGACAAACCTGACAAAAACAAGAAATGGGGAAAGGATTCTCTATTTGATAAATGGTGCTGGGAAAACTGGCTAGCCATATGCAGAAAGCTGAAACTGGATCCCTTCCTTTTACCTTATACAAAAATTAATTCAAGATGGGTTAAGGACTTAAATGTTAGACCTAAAACCATAAAAACCCTAGAAGAAAACCTAGGTAATACCATTCAGGACATACGCATAGGCAAGGACTTCATGACTAAAACACCAAAAGCAATGGCAACAAAAGCCAAAATTGACAAATGGGATCTAATTAAACTAAAGAGCTTCTGCACAGCAAAAGAAACTACTATCAGAGTGAACAGGCAACCTACAGAATGGGAGAAAATTTTTGCAATCTACTCATTTAACAAAGGGCTAATATCCAGAATCTACAAAGAACTCAAACAAATTTACAAGTAAAAAGCAAACAACCCCATCAAAAAGTGGGCAAAGGATATGAACAGACACTTCTCAAAAGAAGACATTTATGCAGCCAACAGAAACATGAAAAAATGCTCATCATCACTGGTCATCAGAGAAATGCAAATCAAAACCACAATGAGATACCATCTCACACCAGGTAGAATGGTGATCATTAAAAAGTCAGGAAACAACAGGTGCTGGAGAGGATGTGGAAAAATAAGAATGCTTTTACACTGTTGGTGGGAGTGTAAACTAGTTCAACAATTGTGGAAGACAGTGTGGTGATTCCTCAAGGATCTAGAACTAGAAATACCATTTGACCTAGCAATCCCATTACTGGGTATATGCCCAAAGGATTATAAATCATGCTACAATAAAGACACATGCACACGTATGTTTATTGCAGCACTATTCACAATAGCAAAAACTTGGAACCAACCTAAATGTCCATCAATGCTAGACTGGATTAAGAAAATGTGGCACATATACACCATGGAATACTATGAAGCCATAAAAATGGATGAGTTCATATTCTTTGCAGGACATGGATGAAGCTGGAAACCATCACTCTGAGCAAACTATCACAAGGACAGAAAACCAAACATGTTCTCGCTCATAGGTGGGAATTGAACAATGAGAACACTTGGACACAGGGCAGGGAACATCACACACAGGGGCCTGTCATGGGGTGACGGGCAGGGGGATGGATAGCATTAGGAGAAACACCTAATGTAAATGACGAGTTAATGGGTGCAGCAAACCAACATGGCACATGTATACCTATGTAACAAACCTGCACGTTGTGCACGTGTACCCTAGAACTTAAAGTATAATAAAAAAAAGATTTTCACTTTGCATCCTCAACACCACATGAATTTTTATTAGTGAATAGCTTTATAGCTATTTGGAATATTAAGAACACTCAGGGAGCATTCTTACAGAAGTCATAACAATGCCAGAAATTATGACAGGTACAGAGTTTAAAATAAAATCATCAGAGTAGAAGCAAACAAGTGAGCAAAGGAATAATGTATTGTCACATTTGTCTGTTTACTTGTTTATTTACCTTGAATATTTTGAATACATGAACAGAGGTAAAGGTAAAGCTAAAACTAAGATCAGAAATGAAAACAAGAGAAAAATAATTACAGGCCAGGTGTGGTGGCTATCGCCTGTAATCCCAGCACTTTGGGAGGCTGAGGCGGGCGGATCACGAGGTCAGGAGTTCAAGACCAGCTTGGCCAACATAGTGAAACCCTGTCTCTACTAAAAATACAAAAATTAGCCAGGCATGGTGGTTCGCGCCTGTAGTCCCAGCTACTCAGGAGGCTGAGGCAGGAGAATCACTTGAACCTGGAAGGTGGAGATTGCAGTGAACTGAGATCGCACCACTGCACTCCAGCCTGGGTGACAGAGCGAGACTCCATCTCAGGGGAAAAAAAAATTATAATATTTGAGCAATATATTGAAGCCTAGGTTCCCAAAGCAAAACAGGAAAGGGGGCTTTACATAATAATGTACACAAGTTTTCCTGTCTGATAAAAGAAAGCTTATAAAACCTTTAGAAGAAAGTTTTGCTGGCACTAAAGACTAAAATTAAATTATCTTATGGAAACATTTTTCCTTTAGCAAGGAATTATCAAGATGTGACAGTGAAGAGCATGAGCTTCAGAATACACTTCTTGAGTTAAAAGACTCCAATCTTGCTCTGAGACTCAGTTTTCACATCTGTTATATGGTGGTAAAAACATCTACCACATAGAGCCTCTATAAAGATTAAATGGAAAATAGGCCGGGTGTGGCGGCTCACACCTGTAATCCCAGCACTTTGGGAGGCCAAGGCTGGTGGATCATCAGGTCAGGAGCACAAGACCAGCCTGACCAACATGGTGAAACCCAGTTACTAATAAAAATTAAAAAAAATAAAAAAATTAGCCAGGCGTGGTGGCACGCACCTGTAGTCCCAGCTACTCAGGAGGCTGAGGCAGGAGAATTGCTTGAATCTGGCAGGCAGAGGTTGCAGTGAGCTGAGATTGCACCACTGTATTCCAGCCCGGGCGACAAAGCGAGACTCCATCTCCAAAAAATCAAAAAAAAAAAAAAAGATTAAATGGAAATTAAATGAATGTAACGCAAAATTTGAGAAAAAATGTAATACAAATATAAAGAGCTTAGAATAGTGCTTGGCATGTAATAAGCACTATGAGTGTCATGATGATGATGAAAATGATGATTACTACTATTATTAAAGGAAGACTTGTAGTAAAAATCAAGTTTCCTGCCACAAACCTCTCCTGTCCTGTCTAGCTCCCAGGAAATTCCTATATGTTTTAACTATTTTTATATTGATTGCTTCTGGTTGTTCATTTCAAAGTGCTAAATAACATTCTAATATGTATTATCAACTTACATACTTTACCCCCACCTTCTTTTCCTCCACTTCTGTGTCACTATTCTCACTCCTCCACTGAGCAACTCTCCAACTCTAAAAATTATCTCTCCAAGCATCAGTTACTTATTCATTCAAGCCAGACAGCATCTCTTGACTCTTAGGTTAAGGGTAATAAGTCATGTTAAAGAAACTGTCTTTAATTGTTATACAAAAACTGAAAAACACAGGTTACCCAGAAAGTTTTTTCTATTGGCCTCATATAAATAGTAATGGCATAGTATCAAATCACTTTTCTTGTATAATTTCTATGATACCTAAGCTAGCAATATTAAAAATGCTTTGCTTTCTGATGATGTGACCTGATAGGAGAATTTTGTGAGAAACCAGAGAAATAGGTGAGCTCACTCAAATGTTATTCGGCTTAACCATGCTTTTGACAGGAAACAAACCATGTGCACTTTAAGATTATAGTTTAGATATTACATGCTTGAATACTGAAAAGAAATGTATGTGCTTAAATGGCCAAGCTTTCAGATTGAAGGCTTAACATTCTGTTTTAAGAAAGGAAAGTCTTTTGTTGCCTACCATGTGATTTATTGCATAGAACTCCAAAAGCACAGGCAACAAAAGCAAAAATATACGTATAGGATTGTATCAAACCAAAAAGTGTCTGCATAGTAAAGGAAATAAATAACAGGGTAAAGAGACAGAACACCGGTTGGAAGAAAATATTTTCAAACCATGTATCTGATAAGGGATTAATATCACAAATAAGAAACTCACACAACTCAAAAGCAAGAAAACAAATAACCAAGATTAATACTGGGCAAATGGTCTGAAAAGACATTTCTCAACAGAAGAGATATGAATGACCAAGAGATATTCAACATCTCCAATCATCAGAAAAATGCAAATTTAAGACCATAATATGGTTTGGCTCTGTCCCCACCCAAATCTCATCTTGAATTGTAGCTCCCACAATTCCTACATGTTGTGGGCGGGACCCAATGGGAGGTAATTGAATCATGGGGGCAGGTGGTTCCCGTGCTGTTCTTTTGATAGTGAATAAGTCTCATGAGATTTGATGGCTTTATAAAGCATAGTACCCCTGCACAAGCTCTTTCTGGCCTGCTGCCATGTAAGACATCTCTTGTACTTCCACCATGATCATTAGGCCTCCTCAGCCATGTGGAACTGTGAGTCAATTAAATTCTTTCCTTTACAAATTACCCAGTGTAAGGTATGTCTTTATTAGCAGCATGAGAACAGACTAATACAGACCACAACAGAATATTATTTTACACCTGTTAGAACAGTTATCATCAAAAAAAACAAACGATAACAAGTGCTGGTGAGGACGTGGAGAAGTTGTTGAGGTGATGGATATACTAATTAGCTTGACTGAATATTTCTACAATGTATACATAGATCAAAACATCACATTGTGCTGCATATATATATGTAATTATTATTTGTTAATTAAAAATACATTATTTTTAAAAGAAGGAAAAGGAACTAAAGCATACTGATATTTGTAACTTGCTTTGAGATGCTTGAAAATTACGATGGATCAGTAGATGGGCAGATGGGAAGATAGAAGGATGAATACGAGACAAAGCAAATGTAACAAAATGTTAACATTTGTAACATTTACATGGTAAGTGTATGGGTGTCCACTGTATAATTATTTCAACTTTTCAAGATGTTCCACAATTTTTATAATGATATATTGAGGAAAAATAATAGAAATTCCTGATTATCAATGCAATGAAAATGCATTGAAGTGGTTTGTGTGAATGAAAAGCAACGTTGTTTCCAGAAAAAAAAAATTGAAGATTTACCTGTTTAAAATTTAAATGCACAATCTGAGGCTCTTAAAGTCTATATTATAAAGCAAAAATGAAAAAGCTCTGTCTTACATTTACTTAAAATAGATATTAACCATGAGCAAATTTGATGGCTAAGGAATCCCAGTGCAACTCTCCTAGGCCATATAGTTTCCAATGACATTGTCTTCTAGTAATCTCCTAGCATAACGAGTGAGCATCAAAATTTATCCCCCAAAACTGCATATAGACCTGTGAGTAGATTTTTTTAAGTTTATCTCTTAAAATGTTAGGTAGTGTCAGTAAATAACAAAATTTAGCTTAGTACTGAAGTATAAATATTTCTTAATCTAGAGTGAAAGAAGAGCATTCCAGGAAGAAAGCTCAAAGCAAAGCACAGAAATGTAGAAATATGAGGGTTGGTTAGCAAATGGCAAGCAGACAAGTATGGCCAGAGTAGAAGATGAAGGGAGAAATTAATAAATGGGTCTGGAAACACAGAGCAAGATGGTGGAATAGAAGTCTCCACAGATAGTTCCCCCTCCTCCTGCCCAAGGACACCAATTTAAAGACTATCTACACAAGACAAGGACCTTCATAAGAAATAAAAATCTGGTGAGCACTCACAGTTCTGGTATTAACTTCATATCACTGAAACAGGCACTGAAGAGGCAGAAAAATACAATCTTGAATCACTTATGCCACCCCTCATGACCCCCCGGAGTGGTGACATGGTGCAGGGAGAATTTCTGTGGCTGGCAGAGGGCGCACACAGCAATAGTGAAGCATTAAACTCAGTGCTGTCCTGTCATAGCAGAAAGGAAAACCGGACCAAACTCAGCTGTCACCCCCCACCCACCTTGCACACAGAGGGAGCATTTCAGCCAGCCCTAGCCAGACAGGAAACTGAGATCCCAGTGGTTGGAGCTTGAGTTTGTGCAAACCTCACCACTGTAGGCTAAAGTGCCCTAGGGCCCTAATAAATTGTCCAAATATAGTAATGTTCAGGAATCCAAAATAGTAATGTTCAGGAAACTCAAAGGAATTCAAGATAGCACAGAGAAATAAGTCACAATTCTATCACATAAATTTACCAAAGAGATTGAAATAAGTTTAAAAAATCAGCAGAAATTCTGGAGCTGAAAAGTGCAATTGGCATATTGAGTAAAGCATCAAAATATTTTAATAGCAGAATTGATCAAACAAGAAAGAATTAGTGAGCCTGAAGACAGACTATTTGAAAATACACAGTCAGAGGAGACAAATGAAAAAAGAGTAAAAAAAAAAAAAATGAAGCATGCCTACATCTAGAAAATAGCCTCAGATGGGCAAATCTAAGAGTTATTGGCCTTAAAGAGGAGATAGAAAAAGAGATGGGGGTAGAAAGCTTATTGAAAGAGATAATAACAAAGAATTTTTCAAACCTAAAGAAAGATATTGATATCCAAATACAAGAAGGTTATAGAATGGCCAGCAGATTTAACCCAAAGAAGACTACCTCAACTCATTTAATAATCAAATTACCAAAGGTCAAGAATAAAGAAAGGATCCCAAAAGCAGCAAGAGAAAAGAAACAAATAACATACAATGGAACTCCAATACTTCTGGCAGCAGACTTTTCAGTGGAAACCTTACAGGCCGAGAGAGAGGCATGACGTATTTAAGGTGCTGAAGGAAAAATATTTTACCCTAGAACTGTATATCCTTCAAACATGAAGGAGAAATAAAGACATTCCCAGATAAAAGCTGAGGAATTTCATCAACACTTGACTTGTGCTACAAGAAATGCTAAAGAAAAGACACTAAAGAGCAATAAGTAATCACCTGAAGGTAAAACACTCACTGGTAATAGGGAGTGGTTATATCAGGCCTTGGATGAGACCCAGTACTGTGCTGGATACACAGAAAAACCCAAAATACTATAGCCCTGTAACTGTGGTATGTAAACTACTCTTCTTATAAATAGAAAAGCTAAATGATGAACGGACCAAAAATAATATCTACAACTTTTTAAGACACAGACAGTACCATAAGATATAAATAGAAACAACAAAAAGTTGAAAAGCAGGGGAACAAAGTTAAGACAGAGTTTTTATTGGGTTTGTTTTTGTGTGTTTGTTTATACAGTGTTCATTTATTATCAACTTAAAATAATGGATTATAAGATGATACCTGCAAGGTTCGTAGTAACCTCAAATCAAAAACCATACAACACAAAAACTAAAAAGCAAACTAAATTGTATCACCAGAGAAAATTACATTCACTAAAGGAAGACAGAAAAGAAAGGAAGAAGGAAGAGGGGACCACAAAACAACCAGAAAATAAATATTGAAATGGCAAGAGTAAGTCCTTACTTACCAACAATAACATTGAATATAAATGGACTAATCTCTCCAATCAAAAGAAACAGACTGAGTGAATGGATTTAAAAAACAAGGCCCATTGATCTGTTGTCTACAAGAAACACACTTCACATGTAAGTACACACATAGACTGAAAACAAAGAAATGGAAAAATATATTCCATGGCAACAGAAATCAAAAAAGGAGCAGGAGTAGCTACATTTATATCAGACAAAATAGATTACAAGACAAAAACTATAGGAAGAGACAAAGAAGGTCACTATGTAATGAAAAATGAGTCAATTAATGAAGATGATATAATAATTTTAAATATATATGCACCCAAAACAGTTGTGCCCAAATATATAAAGCAAATATTATTAGAGCTAAAGGGAGAGATAGGCCCCAATACAATAATAGTTGGAGACTTCAGCACCTCACTTTCAGCACTGGACAGATCTTCCCAACAAAAGATCAACAACAACAAAAAAATCAGATTTAATCTGCACTGTATACCGAATGGATCTACTAGATATTTACAGAGCATTTCATCTAACAACTGCAGAATACACATTCTTTTCCTCAGCACATGAGTTATTCTCATGGATAGGCCATATGTTAGGTCACAAAACAAGTCTTCAAACAATGAAAAAAACTGAAGTAATATCAAGCACCTTCTCTGACCACAGTGGAATAAAACTCAAAATCAGTAATAAGAGGAATTTTGGAAACTATGTAAATACATGGAAATTAAACAATACATTCCTGAATGACCAGTGAGTCAATGAAGAAATTAAGAAAGAAATTGAACAATTTCTTAAAACAAATGATAATGGAAACACAACATACCAAAACCTGTGAGATAGAGCAAAAGAGGTAAAGAGCTTCTGTACAGCAAAAGAAACTATCATCAGAGTGAAAAGGGAACCTACAGAATGGGAGAAAATTTTTGCAATCTATTCGTCGGACAAAGGGCTATTATCCAGAACCTACAAAGAACTTAAACAAATGTACAAGAAAAAAAACAAGCCCATCAAAAAGTGGGTGAAGGATATGAACACACACCTCTCAAAAGAAGACATTTATGTGGCCAACAAACATGACAAAAAAGGCTCATCATCACTGGTCGTTAGAGAAATGCAAATCAAAACCACAATGAGATACCATCTCACACCAGTTAGAATGGCGATCATTAAAAAGTCAGGAAACGGTCAGGTGCAGTGGCTCAAGCCTGTAATCCCAGCACTTTGGGAGGCCAAGGCAGGCAGATCATGAGGTCAGGAGATCGAGACCATCCTGGTTAACACGGTGAAACCCCATCTGTACTAATAATACAAAAAAAAAAAAAAATTAGCCAGGCATGGTGGCAGGTGCCTGTAGTCCCAGCTACTTGGGAGGCTGAGGCAGGAGAATGGCGTGAACCCCAGGAGGCAGAGGTTGCAGTGAACCGAGATTGCATCACTGCACTCCAGCCTGGGCGACAGAGCGAGACTCTGTCTCAAAAAAAAAAAAAAACCAAAAACCAAAAACAAACAAACAAAAGTCAGGAAACAGATGCTGGAGAAGATGTGGAGAAATAGGAATGTTTTTACACTGTTGGTGGGAGTGTAAATTAGTTCAACCATTGTGGAAGACAGTGTGGCGATTCCTTAAGGATCTACAACCAAAAATGTCATTTGACCCAGCAATCCCATTACTAGGTATATACCCAAAGGATTCTAAATCATACTACTATAAAGACACATGCACACATATGTTTACTGCAGCACTATTCACAATAGCAAAGACTTGGAATCAACCCAAATGCCCATCAATGATAGACTGGATAAAGAAAATGTGGCACATATACACCATGGAATACTATGCAGCCATAAAAAAGGATGAGTTCATCCTTTTGCATGTCCTTTGCAGGGACATGGATGAAACCGGAAACCATCATTCTCAGCAAACTAACACAAGAACAGACAACCAAACACTGCATGTTCTCACTCATAAGTGGGAGTTGAACAATGAGAACACATGGACACAGGGAGGGAAACATCACACACCTGGGCCTGTCACGGGGTGGGGGCTAGGGCAGCGATAGCATTAGGAGAACTACCTAATGTAGATGACGGGTTAATGGGTGCAGCAAACCACCATGGCACATGTATACGTATGTAACAAACCTACATGTTCTGCACATGTATCCCAGAACTTAAAGTTTAATAAAATAAAATAAAATAATTAAGAAAAAAAATGAATACCTATAAGTGCCCATCAAGTAAACCATCTTATGATGCATCTTGAACTGACCATTAACAAGTAATGAGATTGAAGCCATAATAAAAAGTTTTCCTGTAAAAAAAAGCCTGGGATCCAGAGGCTTCATTCCTGAATTCTACCAAACATTTAAATAAGAACTAATGCAAATCCTACTCAAACTATTCCAAAAAATAGAGAAGGAGGGAATACTTCCAAACTAATTATATGAGGCCAGTATTACCCTGATACCAAAATCAAAGACACATCAAAACAAAAAAGAAAAAAAGAAAACTACAGGCCAATATCTCTGAAGACTATTGATGCAAAAATCCTCAATAGTGAATCCAACAATACATTTGCTCATTTATCGTGACAAAGTGGGATTTATCCCTGAGATGCAAGGATACTTCAACATATGCAAATCAATCAATGTGATACATTACATCAACAGAATGAAGGACAGAAACTATGTGATCATTTCAATCAATGAAGAAAAAACATTTGGTAAAATTCAATATCCCTTCCTAATAAAAATACTAAAAAAGTGGTTATAGAGGGAACATACCTCAATATAATAAAAGCCATATATGACAGACCTACAGCTAGTATCATACTGTATAGGGAGGAAATGAAAGCCTTTCCTCTAAGATCTGGAACATGCCCACTGTTACCACTGTTATTCAAAATAGTACTTAAAGTCTTGGCTAGAGCAATCAGACAAGAGAAAGATATAAAGGGCATCCATATTAGAATAAAAGAAGTCAAATTATCCTTGTGTACAGATGATATGATCTTATATTTGAAAAATCCTAAAGATTATACAGACGAACTATTAGAACTCAAACAAATTCAGTAAAGTTGCAGGATACAAAATCAACATACACCATGGAATACTATGCAGCCATAAAAAATGATGAGTTCATGTCCTTTGTAGGGACATGGATGAAATTGGAAATCATCATTCTCAGTAAACTACCACAAGGACAAAAAACCAAACACCGCATGTTCTCACTCATAGGTGGGAATTGAACAGTGAGAACACATGGACACAGGAAGGGGAATATCACACTCTGGGGACTGTTGTGGGGTGGGGGGAGGGGGGATAGCATTAGGAGATATACCTAATGCTAAATGACGAGTTAATGGGTGCAGCACACCAGCATGGCACATGTATACATATGTACCTAACCTGCACATTGTGTACATGTACCCTAAAACTTAAAGTATAATAATAATAAAATAAAAAAAAAATCAACATACAAAAATCAGTAGCATTTCTGTATTAAAAATATAAACAATCTGGAAAAGTAATAAAAAAGTAATCTAATTTGTAATAGCCACAAATTAAATTAAATATCAAATAATTTTATTCAAATAAGTGAAAGATCTCTGTAATGTGAACTATAAAACACTCATGAAAGAAATTGAAGAGGACACCAAAAAATATGAAAATATCCCATATTGATTAGAAGAATCAATGTTGTTAAAATGTTCATATTACACAAAGCAATCTATAGATTCTATGCAGTTTCTATCAAAATACCAATGAAATTCTTCACAGAAATAGAAAAAGCAATCCTAAAATTTCTATGGAACCACAAAAGACCCAGAATAGCCAAAGCTGTGCTAAGAAAAAAGAACAAACCTGGAGGAATCATATTACCTGACTTCAAATTATACTACAGGGCTATGGCAACAAAAACAGTATGGTACTGGCATAAAAACAGACACATACACCAATGGAACAGAATAGAGAACCCAGAAACAAATCCACACACCTACAGTGAACTCACTTTTGACAAAGGTAGCATGAATATACACTGGGGATAGGATGGTCTCTTCAATAAATGGCGCTGGGACAACTGGATATCCATATGCAGATAGACTCCTTTATCTCACCACATACAAAAATCAAAAAATGGATTAAATAACTAAGTCTAAGACCACAGACTCTGAAACTACTACAAGAAAACATTAGACAAAATCTGCAGGACATTTTTCTGGGCAAAAATGTCCTGAGTAATACCCCACAAGCACAGGTGACCAAAGTAAAAATGGACAAATTGGATCACATCCAAAACTTCTGCACAGCAAAGGAAACAATCAACAAAGTGAAGTGACAATCCATAGAATGAGAGAACATATTTGAAACTACCCATCTGACAAGGGATTAATAGCCAGAATATATAAGGAGCTCAAATAACTCTATAGGAAAAAATACAATAATCTGATCTAAAACGGGCAAAAGATCTGAATAAACACTTCTCAAAAGAAGACATACAAATGGTAAACAGACATATTAAGAGGTGCTCAACATCATTGATCATCAGAGTGAATCAGAACTACAGTGAGATATCATCTCACCTCAGTTAAAATGGCTTACATGCAAAAGATAGGCAATAACAAAAGTTAGCAAGGATGTGGAGAAAAGGGAAGCCTTGTACATTGTTGGTGGGAATGTAAGCTGCTAGTACAACCACTATGGAGAACAGTTTAAAGGTTCCTCAAAAAAATAAAAATAGAGCTACCATATAATCCAGCAATCCCACTTCTGGGTATGTACCCCAAAAAAGGAAATTAGTATGTCAGAGACATATGTGCTCTCCTATTTTTGTCCTGCCTTTGAAGCACTGTTTACAATAGCTAAGATTTAGAAGCAACCTAAGTATCCATCACCAGATGAATGGATAAAGAAAATGTGGTACATACACAATGAAGTACTATTCGGCCATAAAAAAGAATGAGATCCTGTCATTTGCAAACAACATGGATGAAACTGGAGATCATTACATTAAGTTAAATACACCATGACAAATATCACATGCTCTCATTTATTTGTGGAATCTAAAAATCAAAACAATTGAACATAGAGAGCAGAAGGATGGTTACTAGAGGCTGGAAAGGGTAGTCGGGGGCTGGGGAGGTGGGGATGGGGATGGTTAATGGGTACGAAAAACGTAGAAAGAATAAGACCTACTATTATATAGCACAATAGGGTGACTGTAGTCAATGGTAACTTAATTGTACATTTAACTAAAATAGTATAATTGGATTGTTTGTAATATAAAGGATAAGTGCTTGAGGAGATGGCTACCCCATTTTCTATTATGTGATTATTGTTCATTGCATGCCTGTATCAAAACATTTCATGGACCCCATATATATATATGTACCCACAAAAATTAAAATAATTTTTATTTTAATACTATGTACCCACATAAATTAAAATATGTATGTACTATGTACCTACTATGTACCCACAAAAATTAAAATAAAAAATTTTAAAAATGGGTCTCAGAAGGTGGGAAGTGTCCCAATAAATAAACATGATCGGTTATTTAGACTTCCTTCCACATGTAATAAGAAACTGTCACTATTGAAGATTCTGTGCAAAAGTGTGTGACTAGATTTGCAGTTTAAAAAAGTATCCTGGCATAAAGGAAAATGGAATAGAGAGAGGATAAAATTAAAGTCAGAAGATCAGGTTAGTTAGATATTATTCTTTCCTCCATCAGCCTTTCACTATCCCACTTCACCTTCCCTTGGCCCCTTTCTATGTTTTTGGAAAACACTGGCATCTATTTATTTGTGCAACTATATATGTATTAGGTTGGTGCCTGACTGAAAGTGATGCCATTGAAAGTGATGGCAAAACAGCAATTACTTTTGCACCAATTTAATATATATGTGGATGAGTGTGCATGTTCAATATACTGTCTCAAACATTCGTGTGCAACAGAATCCTCTAAGGAGCTTGTTAAGAATGCAGATTTCACGGTTCCACTCAAGATCTAGAAACAACTGAAACAGCTCATTAGTGAGACATTCCGAGCATTACTAACAAGCATGTTACACAAAATAAGGTACCTATAAATGAACTTTTAGCAAGTCTTCCACTGATCATTTCATAAGGGCAACATCTGTCCTGCCTTTGGCTCAGTGTTCCATTGAATTTTTATGAAAAGTAGAATTTGTTGTCTGTTTTGAGCTATCTCAGAAATTAGTGCTTTAAACAGATTTGCCTGAGGGATTACCATCTAAGAATTAACAATGACTTCATTATCACAGTGAGTTGGCAGTTAAAGTCTTATTACAGGAGAGAAAACAAAGCCAGCTGCCATTTCTTGGAAGTCTGCATTGAGAACCTCACACCTGATTTTACGTGTTTTACATTAGTAAACTATGAAAATATAAGCAGCTTGAGGACAGGGTGAGGTCCATGTTGACATAGACAAGAGACTTAGTACCTAACACTGTAAATTAATGCTATTCTTGTTAGAAAAGACAGATGTGCATCCCTTCAGCACTGCTTACTCTCATTCATTCATTTACCCATTCATTCAGTCAGTACTCATAATACTTACATCTAACAAGAGGATTTAAAACAAAAATTATCACAATATAAAAACTCAGATGATTAAGTCTTGCTGGGCTGAGGCATGGGAGCCTAATTTAGAAGAATCATTTTACTTATCACAACACATAAAAACATCTCCTGCTGACAGCCCCAACACAGAGAAGTGAGAGAACCTTTTGCAGTTTTAGGAAATGACACCTAGCTATGTGATTATCAGCTACTTCCTAATAAGAGGTTAAATCTCATTCACCATGAGACAAAGGATGAGGTGTTAAAATGAAGGCATTATTCTTCAAAGATAAATGTGCTTCAAAGATACCTCATTTATGGTGAGTAGACATCTAAGCAAAGTGGAATGTAATTTCCTATAGGTCAGAGAATCTCAGAAACATGGTATAGCAAATTAAAGACTGATGCAAATTTTTGGACACTCCTCCCACCTAGTGGTATGATCTATGACTTCTTCTCTTGAATCTGGGCAAGTTGTGGGGCTGCTTTGACCAACAGAAAGTGATGTCTCAAATTTTAGGTTCATACTTTAGAAACATGTTCTACCACCTGTTCTTGGAACATATTTGGAACCCAGAGCCCTGATTACCTGGAAGCTGCTTCTGCTGTGTGAAAGCCCAATACAGCTATGTAAGGAAGAAGTCAGATAGAGACAGGAAAAAAGAGACGGACAGAGAGAGAGGCCCAGCCAGGCCCCCCATTGTTCCAACTCCAGCCATTTGAGTCATCTCAGCAGAAGCAAGTTTTGGGGTAGTTTGTTTGACAGCAATAGATAACCTATGTGGAAGTCTGTGATAGTGGCCACTGAGGAAAGGCCTCGAGAGATCAGGCAAACAGTTCCCATGTCTGAACTAATGCAGGAGGGAATGGTGTACCAAGGGAGCTTCCTGCCCTCAAGATCACGAAGCCTGGGCAACTGGCAATGGCATTAGTGACCACTATGGCAAAATGTCATGACCCTATCTCAGGAGTCTTTGTTTTATCCAAAGAAAGGGAAAGCAACCTTGAAAGATGACTGTTGCTGTACTGCCTGCCAACCTTGGTGGAAGGAGAACTGAACTAGGTTTAATCTAAACTAAATAAAAAATATCACAACTCGCATCCAAGTGTGAGTAAGTGTCACTGGTTAGAAATACATTGAGTTCTTTCTATCCCTTCCTTGAAGAATGAACTTGGGAAAGCCATTGAGACCCTCTGTTCTCCTTCTATAAAACAGAAACAACTACATTACCTAATTTGGAGAGTTATTGTAAAATCAATGAAATACTAGCCATGAAATCATTTTGAAAACTATAAACAACACACAGTACAATAAATAAAACTGACCACCTAACCACCATTATTCTATTGTGTTCAAATATGTTTTGAAACAAAGGAAAAGGTAATCCCTCTGCTTCCTGTATATATGTTTATGTACATACACACACACACATACATGTGTACTCCTCCTCCTTAGATATCTCTATGCCTGAGCATAAACTTTCATAGATGAATGATGGGCCTAATTGATAAAATAATCTCAGAACTAAAGAGGACAAGGACAATGGAGAGGAACAGGAGTCAGTTATTTATTAGCAACCCGCCATGTGCTTTTTATGCATTTATCTTATTAAACCCTCGTTAAATCTAATAATCTAGATGTTATTGTTATCATCTTTGTAAAATGCAAAAACTGAGGCATAGGTAGGTTAGTTTGCCAGAGTCACAGATTAGTGAGTAGCAGAAATGGATTTAAACTCCAGTCTGTATAACTGCCTAATGTGTTTTCTTATGCCTCATTGAATAAAGTAACAATAATAACAGTAATACAGAATGATAAAAAGTTTAGCTTTAAGCTTTGAAAATAGTTTTTCCCTATAGTATGGTCAAGTGCAGGTATCTCAGTGGCCCACAATATCACCATGACAACCAATCCAACCCAAGGCTAGCTTTCCTTTATGTGTTTCAAATTACCTCTGTGTCTGGGGCACTCCAGGGCTTACTGGCCTTGTGAATTAAACAGAGTCAGTCAAAGCGACGAGTAAACTAATTTCCACTAAACGTCTGGACTCATCAACTTATGATGTGCATATCTGGATTTCCGGGTTCAGCCAAATGCAAGGAAAACCTGACAAGAATTCAATTGAGGAGTGTGCAAGAAATGAGAGTTGGAAATAGAACAGAAGGCTCAGCATCCTGTTAGACAAGACATGGATTTGCTATGTTCCTGTCTTTTTCCCCCTCATTCTTCCTACCAACAAAGAACCCAAGCTTGGACTTTTGGCTAAGCTGCTCCATATGTGAATCTTGCAAAGTTTAACTCTTTACCTGCTGAACCACCCCTTCTGTTTACTCTAGGGCATCATGGAAAATTAAGCCACGTGATTCAAAGAAAGTTCTCTCTATCATTCCTGCAGGGGGTGTAGAAGTGTGAAAGAAAGAATTAAGTCTGTAACAAAAAATGAACTTTCAATTACCTTAGGATGGGGGATCAATGAAACAGCCTATGTTGTTTACTGAGCAACTAGAGTTGACATTGGTTAGGTGAGTTTAACTGGGTATGTTTCAAGGTGAGTACTGAAGAGAGATTAAAAGCTATGCTTAATAAGGATAAAAGCTATGCTTAATAAGGATAAAATCTTGTCAGGAGAGAAGAAATTAAAAGATTTCCATGGTGTGACTCCTTTCCCATAACATCCATAATGTTCAGCAAATCTACTAAACACAAAATGCTACATGTAAATGTATTTCTCATAGAAACTGATAGAATAATTGATTTTTTGTGTCTGAGATGATGTGGAGCAAAACAGAATGTACTTGTACCAACAACAGAGTGGGAAGCATCAGGGACCATGTCTCTAAAGAGACAGAGCCAATAGGATATGGATAGATATAGATATAGATGCAGCTATAGATACAGATACAAATATAGAGATATACATTACATCGATGTAGATATATGAGCAGGGATTCATTAGAGGAATTGGCTCACATAATTATGGAGGCCGAGAAGTCCTGTGATAGTCTGCAAGCTGGAGAACCAGCCTAGCCAATAGCATGGCTCGGCCTCAGAACCAGGGAAGGCAACTGTGTAGCTTTCAGTCTGAGGCTGAAGGCCTGAGAATCTGGAGTTCCGATGCCCAAGAGCAGGAGAATATCAGTGACCCAAATCCAGGAGAGAGAGGGGAGAGGGGAGAGAGAGAGGGGAGAGGGAGAAAGAGAAAGAGAGAGAGAGGGAAAGAGAAAGAAAGAGAAAGAGAGAAAAAGAAAGAAAGAAAGAGAAAGAAAGAAAGAAAGGAAAAGAAAAGAAAAAGAAAGGAAAGAAAGAAAGAAAAAAGAAAGAAAGAAAAAGAAAGAAAGAAAGAAAAAGAAAGAGAGAGAGAAAGAGAGAAAGAAAGCAAACAAACAAGAACTGGCCTTTCATTCTGTTGTTTTGTTCTATGTGGGCCTTCAGCTGACTTTACTGTACCTGTCCACATTGGGAGAGGACAGATCTTCTTTACTCAGTCCACTGACTCTAGTGCCAATCTTTTCTGGAAACATGCTCACAGCCACATCCAGAAATAATGCTTTACCATCTAAAAGAGTCCCTTAATCTAGTCAAGTTGACACATAAATTAATCATTAGAGACTGTAAGAGCAGAGGCCCTCAAGAATTGTTACTACAGGCAAGGTCTTTAGACTTCTACGGAGCAGGAAACCTGTAGTTAGATCTGATTTTAATTAGGGAATTTTACAAAGGGACAGGGAGTCCTCCACATCACATAGGGATTACATATGAATATACTTGAGATGTCTTATCCATTCATCTTCTCTTTCATTTAACATTCATTCAAACAAGTATTGCAAGCACTATGCTAGACAAACTGAGTAGAGAAATAAACAATATAGTTCAGTGTTGCTCTAACTCGTTTGCATTAAAATTATCTGGTAATTGTTATAACGCAGATTCTGAGATTTTCTTCAACCTCTCCACATAACTTGATTTATAATAAGTTTGGGGCGGAACTGAAGAAATTTGATTCATGTTGTCTGCGGACTCTACTATAAAAGGATATAGATTTAGTCTTTCACTCAAGAAAGGTACAGCATAGTAGGGAAGACAAACATATAAACAAAGATGATATGGTTAACAATTGTAGGGGCTGCGATGGTTCTATGTTTTGGGACCATAAGAGAACCAAAAGAGGGACTACTCATTTCCTTCTGCGGGAAGGACTTACTGGGGAAGATCACACTAACACTGAGAGTAAGAAATGACTAGAAGTTGATGAACATGGGTGGGAAAGAATTTCTAAAGAGAAACAGCACAAACAGTGGTTTGTAGTTCTCCTTGAAGAGGTCCTTCACATCCCTTGTAAGTTGGATTCCTAGGTATTTTATTCTCTTTGAAGCAATTGTGAATGGGAGTTCACTCATGATTTGGCTCTCTGTTTGTCTGTTATTGGTGTATAAGAATGCTTGTGATTTTTGCACATTGATTTTGTATTCTGAGACTTTGCTGAAGTTGCTTATCAGCTTAAGGAGATTTTGGGCTGAGACAATGGGGTTTTCCAAATACGCAATCATGTCATCTGCAAACAGGGACAATTTGACTTCCTCTTTTCCTAATTGAATACCCTTTATTTCTTTCTCCTGCCTGATTGCCCTGGCCAGAACTTCCTCAACGAAATAAAAGAGGACACAAACAAATGGAAGAACATTCCATGCTCATGGATAGGAAGAATAAATATCGTGAAAATGGCCATACTGCCCAAGGTAATTTATAGATTCAATGCCATCCCCATCAAGCTACCAATGACTTTCTTCACAGAATTGGAAAAAACTACTTTAAAGTTCATATGGAACCAAAAAAGAGCCCGCATTGCCAAGTCAATCCTAAGCCAAAAGAACAAAGCTGGAGGCATCATGCTACCTGATTTCAAACTATACTACAAGGCTACAGTAACCAAAACAGCATGGTACTGGTATCAAAACAGAAAGATAGACCAATGGAACAGAACAGAGCCCTCAGAAATAATACCACACATCTGCAACCATCTGATCTTTGACAAACTTGACAAAAACAAGAAATGGGGAAAGGATTCCCTATTTGATAAATGGTGCTGGGAAAACTGGCTAGCCATATGTAGAAAGCTGAAACTGGATCCCTTCCTTACACCTTATACCAAAATTAATTCAAGATGGATTAAAGACTTAAATGTTAGACCTAAAACCATAAAAACCCTAGAAGAAAACCTAGGCAATACCATTCAGGACATAGGCATGGGCAAGGACTTCATGACTAAAACACCAAAAGCAATGGCAACAAAAGCCAAAATTGACAAATGGGATCTAATTAAACTAAAGAGCTTCTGCACAGCAAAAGAAACTATCATCAGAGTCAACAGGCAATCTTCAGAATCGGAGAAAATTTTTGCAATCTACTCATTTAGCAAATGGCTAAAATCCAGAATCTACAAAGAACTCAAACAAATTTACAAGAAAACAACAACCCCATCAACAAGTGGGCGAAGGATATGAACAGACACTTCTCAAAAGAAGACACTTATGCAGCCAACAGACATATTTAAAAATGCTCATCATCACTGGCCATCAGAGAAATGCAAATCAAAACCACAATGAGATACCATTTCACACCAGTTAGAATGGCAATCATTAAAAAGTCAGGAAACAACAGGTGCTGGAGAGGATGTGGAGAAATAGGAACACTTTTACACTGTTGGTGGCACCGTAAACTGGCTCAACCACTGTGGAAGACAGTGTGGCGATTCCTCAAGGATCTAGAACTAGAAATACCATTTGACCCAGCAATCCCATTACTGGGTATATACCCAAAGGATTATAAATCATGCTGCTATAAAGACACATGCACACGTATGTTTATTGTGGCACTATTCACAATAGCAAAGACTTGGAACCAACCAAAATGTCCATCAATGATAGACCGGATTAAGAAAATGTGGCACATATACACCATGGAATACTATGAAGCCATAAAAAAGGATGAGTTCATGTAGGGACATGGATGAAGCTGGAAACCATTATTCTCAGCAAACTATCGCAAGGACAAAAAACCAAACACCGCATGTTGTCACTCATAGGTGGGAATTGAACAATGAGAACACTTGGACACAAGGTGGGGAACATCACATACCGGGTTCTGTTGTGGGGTGAGGGGAGGGGGGAGGGATAGCATTAGGAGATATACCTAATGTAAATGATGAGTTAATGGGTACAGCACACCAACATGGCACATGTATACATATATAACAAACCTGCACGTTGTACACGTGTACCCTAGAACTCAAAGTAAAATTAAAAAAAAAAAAAAGAAACAGCACAAAACAGGTATGAAATCATGAGTTGACAGAACTGCAAGAGGCTGAGAGTGGTTGAGTGCAGGGTCAATACAACATGGCACATGTATACATATGTAACAAACCTGCACGTTGTGCACATGTACCCTAGAACTTAAAATAAAAAAGAGAGAGAGAAACAGCACAAAACAGGTATGAAATCATGAGTTGACAGAACTGCAAGAGGCTGAGAGTGGTTGAGTGCAGGGTCAATAAAGAATGCCACCAAATATATAAGAGATGAGCAAAAGAAAGATGTGAAAGGCTTTGACAGCCATACAAGGAGTTGGACAATAGGGGAGCCACTGGAAGAATTTGCAAAGACTGGACAGGAGGGTAAAATAGCCCAACTTTCATTTTTTGAGGCTTAATATAATTGCAAAGCAAAAGGCTGGCACTGAATTATGGTTGACCTCTGGAAACAGCCTTGGAAAGCTGCTTCTGTTAGAATCTCAAAGGTGTCAGATTCTCAGGAAGACTACAAGAACCTCTAAGTAGGCAGAAAAGAGCAATAAGAAGGCATCCTCTCCCTCTATGGCTCCAAGAATAGGAATGTATTTCTGCTGTGCTGTTGATATCACCTGGAGTAAGGAATAGTGAGTTTCATGAATGTCTTATGTGGACCACCAAGTAAAGTTATACTTATTAGTTATCCGTCTTATCAATAGAAGACTCAGCCCTTTCAGGCTTCTCCAGCATTCCCTGTTCATCGTTCAAAGCTTGAATTTCTACATCTGAAGGCTGAAATCCCTGAAGGAGATAGATGGTCTTTTTCATTTCGTTTTGTTTTGTTTTGACTTCTTCTATTCTTTGTATCTTCGCCATTCTGTAAATTTGTAACCAGAACTTTATCACATCCTGGCTTTCAATCTGTAGATGTACAAATCTAGTTCAGTATTTGTACAATGCCTAGAAAGTCACAGGTCCTGTAGTCCAAATCCAGTGTCAAATCATGGCTAGACTTGTCTGTATGAGAGACATATAGCACTGGATAAAGTTGGGTATTGTAGTCATTTAGGTGAAAAGGGAGAATCAAAGATAAAGGTGATCATTTTTCATGCATTCTTTAATGTGTACTAAATACCAATTGTTGAGTCTTTGTTCCGGGTTGAATGGCAGTCCTAATAGCCTGACCAAGTCAACTAGATTTCCAAAATGCTCCACTTGTGCTTTCACACCTGGAAATACCTACCCAGGTATGTGTATGTATTTATATCTAAGGGTGGATAATCTGACATCCTGTAGGTATAGATGTTGTAAAACTTTTGAGATTTCTGTCGTTCTGAACAAAGGTATAAAATTATCAGTCCTTGTAAACAAATATTAATTCAGGAAATGATTGAACAAAATAATATTAAAGGCACTAAAATAAATATTAGCACCATTCTAAACAATGTAAACAAGGAGCACGCTGTCATTCATTACAAAGCAAAGCTTTGGTTAAAACACACACACACATGCACACACACACACATGCACACACACACACACACCTGGAAACCATCTACTTAACTACAATGACATCAAACAGTAAAGATTTAGGATTTAAACCGAAGTCAGAAAACCTCTCAATCTGTCTTTCTTGAGTACAAATTATTTAATAATTATTATTATAGTAATAAGTGCTAACATTTATTTCTTACCTGGGGAGCTTAAGATCCTTGCCCAAGGTCCTACAGCAGCCCAAGGACAAAGCCAGGCTTCAAAACTAAACCTGTAATATTCTCATGTGCATACACACAGTCATTTGTCTGGTCCTTTAACTTTCCATCTACAATTGATGCCCCTTCGATGTTCCTGCATATTAATTTAATGGAGTCTAAACATTGAGACTAAACAGTGAGATGCACAAGATTTTATCTTATAATTTGTCTTCAGACTCTCTATGACTGCACCCTCTTCTTTCCTGTACTTGGTCGGACTCTTATTGCCTTAGGATTATTATAAGGAGGTGTTGCATGTTGCTATTCAGAACAGGCAAAAACCTTTAGGAGACTTTTGGGATTAAATATCTCAAGTAGTCAACCAATTATCAAAGTGAAGACTTATTTTACTTTAGGATATAAAGTATGATGCAGTTAATACAAGTACAGGAAAAACATGAGGATCATATTTTCTGAAACCTGAGTTACAGGTGAACAGAGCAATATTGGATGAGAAGATGATGCTCTCAGGCCCTAGTGCCAAAATAAGTCTTCCCAACACTTCAAAAAGAGAAGTGAGCAGGGAAAGATACTAGCAACTTGCTGATATACCAGCATATTTCTCAGAAAGACTCCTCTGACCTGTACAAAATTGTTTTTGAACTAGAAAAACTGGACTCTTGCCCTGTCTTAGTCACCAGTCATATCTGGCACACGGTAAAACAAGTTATTTCCTTTGGCTGGAACTTCATTTGCTAATCTCTAAAATGGATTCATCGAGCTAAATGATATCATGTTTTTTCTAACTCTTAACTTTCTAGGATCCTAAATAGAAGAAATCTTTAGTGTAACCATTTGCACAAGAATTATTTTGTCCAAGAACCAAAGAATGTTCCCAAGGCCCTACAGATTTTCTTCCTTCATTTATTTCTGTACAATCACTAGTAGGGTGCTGATTCAAGACAGTGCCATGTTAGATTCTTTTATCAAGAAATAAAGTGAAAAAAAGTTTTCTTTTTTAAAATGTATAACTGTGATTCAAGTGACTGGGGCAGCAAGAAGGAGAGTTGCAATTTCTTTTTCTTTTTCTTTTTCTTTTTTTTTGAGACAGAGTCTCTCTCTGTCGCCCAGGCTGGAGTGCAGTGGCGCGATCTCCGCTCACTGCAAGCTCCGCCTCCCGGGTTCACGCCATTCTCCTGTCTCAGCCTCCTGAGTAGCTGGGACTACAGGTGCCCGCCACCACACCTGGCTAATTTTTTTGTATTTTTAGTAGAGACGAGGTTTCACTGTGTTAGCCAGAATGGTCTCGATCTCCTGACCTTGTGATCCACCCACCTCGGCCTCCCAAAGTACTGGGATTACAGGCGTGAGCCACCGCGCTCGGCCATTGAGAGCTGCAATTACTTAGAAACGCTATGAAACTTTTTCAAACTGCACCGGCCACCTATTCTTTGACCTCAAGGGTAAGGTGGAGGAGAGCTAACTCTTTTTGTTGGGGAAATTGAAAAAGGATTATTTTAATCAACCAGCTGGGGAAACCAATGGCATAGAGTGTGGTAACCTCTAGGGAAGAATTGAGCTTCTTTAAGGGAAAAAAAAAAATCACCTGGAGAAGTTGAGGAAGGCAAAAAGAAAAGGAGCAAGGGGAGAAGGCAACTTTTACCGACTGTCCTGTTAGAAATACCCCTGCTTTGTATAAGTAGCTGACTTAGGGTGTCTCCTGTTTTCAGTAATTCCACGTTTAAATCAGTGGCTCTAATTCATCCTCAGAACTGTTTCTTTCATGATTCTGCTTGCGTGTGTGTGTGTGTTTGTGTGTGTGTGTGTGTGTGTATTAAATGTGCATATTTCTACTGTTTATGCTGGGGAATAGGAAGTATCAGAGTGATGGAGGTAGTTATGAACATAATCTAGAGCTCAGCAAGAACAAATGCCTCTACTCCAGGTAGCTCTGCACAGTCTAGAATCATAGCTTGTGGCTAAATACACTAAAGACAGGCATATAGTTCTGACAAGAATGGGAAAGTGAGGAAGAAGGAGGGAGAGTATAAGGAGAATGAGACACAGTCAGAGAGATGGAGAGAAAGAGGAAGAACAAGGATGAGAAGGAGAAAAGGAGGAGGAAGAACAAGGACAAGAAGGAGAAAAGGAGGAGGAAGAAGAGGGGGAAGAGGGGAAAAATACAAATTATTTATGCAGAGGATTTGGAAGAATTCTGGCCAAAAATTACTGAAAACTTGGAGGTAGGGAACATTCTTAGAACAATATTTTTATCCTGTTTCAGAATTCTTAAAAGAGAACTTATTGCTGGCAAAAATATACTCAAAACTGGGAGGTAGAGAACATGCCTAGAACAATATTTTTATCCTGTTTCAGAATTATTAAAAGAGAATTTGTGATCTAAAGCCTAGGTTTTCTTGCATAAAATTATCTAATAATAAGAGTAATAGCTAGATAACAAAATATAGAAAAGGTAACAGATTAAAACCACAGGCTGAAGGATCAGACTTTCTGAGTTCAAATCCTCAATTCACTAATTATATCATCAGGTATCAGTTATACAGTCTAGGGCAAAATATTAAACATCTGTGAGTCTTAGTTGCTTTATCTTTAAAATGAGGATAATAAGTTTATTTGCCTTGCTAAGTTGTTCTAATGATTAGGTAAAATGACACTTGTAAGCTGCACATTGCTTAACACAAATTGGCCATTAAATGCTAGCTCTGAATACTCATCTTGAATAGAACATCTATCATGTGCTTTGAGCTACATTACAGCTAAGCCTTACAAAATTCATTCTCCCATTAGATTGAACACAGTCCTTTTCTCAGAATCATGCAGTAAAAATAGAGCTCTCTGACTCCAAAGCCTTCACACCTTCTCTATCACTGTCCTCAAGATATGACACTACTATATGATGAAACTGATCAGATAGAATAAAAAGACACTACTAACAATTAGTTAAAAAAATAACAAAAGCACAGTGAGGTAACAAAATCTATATGCCTTAGACAAAATAAATTAGCACTAATTTAGAGTATTCAGATTTTCATGGGATGATTATTTTTCTCTATAATTAAACTTCAAAGGTAATGAAATAATAGTTGCTCTCCACTCAGTTTATTAAACACAGGTTATGAATGTAATATTTCTTTTTAAAAAGTTTTTATGAATCAGGAAATAAGAGAAACAGAGAGAATGTGCAAAAATCAAATGTAGAGATTTCATGTTGGCTGTGAATTTGTCATAGATGGCTTTTATTATATTGAGGTATGTCCCCTTATACTGATTTTGCTGAGTTTTAATCAAAAAGGAATGCTGGATTTCACTGAATGCTTTTTCTGCATCTATTGAGATGATCATGTGATTTATGTATTTAATCCTGTTTATGTGGTGTATCACATTTATTGACTTTCCTATGTTAAACCATTCCTGCGTCCCTGGTATGAAACCCACTTGATCATGGTGGATTATCTTTTTGATATGTTGCTGGATTTGGTTAGCTAGTATTTTGTTAAAGATTTTAGCATCTGTGTTCATCAGGCATATTGGTCTGTAGTTTTTTTTGGTTATGTCCTTTCCTGGTTTTGGTATTAGGGTAATACTGGCCTCATACAATGATTTACAGGGAGGGTTGCCTCTTTGTCTATCTTGTGGAATAGTGTCATTAGGAATGGTACCAATTCTTCTTTGAATGTCTGGTAGAATTCTGCCATGAATCTGTCTGGTACTTGACTTTTTTTTTGTTAGTAATTTTAAAATTACCAGTTCAATCTTGCTGCTTGTTATTGGTCTGTTCAGGATATCTAACTTTTCCTGATTTAAGCTGGGAGGGTTGTATCTTTCTAGGAATTTATCCATCTCTTCTAGGTTTTCTAGTTTATGCACGTAAAGGTGTTCATACTAGCCTTGAATGATCTTTTGTATTTCTGTGATGTCAGTTGTAATATCTCCTGTTTTGTTTTTATTAAACTTATTTGGATTTTCTCTCTTTTCTTGGTTAATCTTGTTAATGGTCTATCAATTTTATTTATCTTTTCAAAGAACCAGCTTTTTGTTTCATTTATCTTTTTTTTTTTTTTTTTTTGCTCCAATTTTAGTATTGCTCTTCATATGGTTTGACTGTGTCTCCACACAAATCTCATTTTGAATTTCCATGTGTTGTGGGAGGGACCCAGTGGGAGGTACTTGAATCATGGGGGCAGGTCTTTCCTGTGCTGTTCTCATGTTAGTGAATAAGTCTCACAAGATCTGATGGTTTTAAAAATGGGAATCTCCCTGCAAAAGCTCTCTTATTTTCTCCGCTGCCATGTGAGACGTGCCTTTCACTTTCTACTATGATTGTGAGGCCTCCCCAGCCACATGAAACAGTGACTCTATGAAATCTCTTTCTTTTGCACCTTGCCCAGTCTTGGAGATGTCTTTATCAGCAGCATGAAAATGGACTAATACAGTAAATTGGTAGCAGTAGAATGGGGCACTGCTGAAAAGATACCAGAAAATGTGGAAGTGACTTTGGAACTGGGTAACAGGCAGAGGTTGGAACAGTTTGTAGGGCTCAGAAGAAGTCAGGAAAATGTGGGAATGTTTGGAACCTGCTAGAGACTTGCTGAATGGCTTTGGCCAAAATTCTGATAATGATATGAACAATGAAATCCAGGTTGACGTGGTCTCGGATGGAGATGAAGAACTTGTTGGGAACTGGAACAAAGGTGACTCTTGTTGTGTTTTAGCAAAGAGACGGCATTTTAGCAAATGGCAGCATTTTGCCCCTGCTGTAGAGATTTTTGGAACTTTGAACTTGAGAGAGATGACTTAGGGTATCTGGTGAAATAAATTTATAAGCAGCAAAGAATACAAGAGGTGACATGGGTGCTGTTAAAGGCATTCTGTTTTAAAAAGGAAAAAGAGCATAAAAGTTTGGGAAATTTGCAGCCTGAAAATGCGATAGAAAAGAAAGTCCCCTTTTCTGAGGAGAAATTCAGCTAGCTGAGGAAATTTACATAAGTAAGGAGGAGCCAAATGGTAACCACCAAGACAATCGGGAAAATGTCTCCAGAGCATGTCAGAGACCTTTGCAGCAGCCCCTCCCATCACAGGCCTGGAGGTTTAGCAAGAAAAAATGGTTTGGTGGGCTGGGCCCAGGGTCCCTGAGCTTTGTGCAGCCTAGAGATTTGGTGCCCTGTGTCCCAGCCACTCTAGCCGGGTCTGAAAGGGGCCAACATACAGCTTGGGCTGTTGCTTCAGAGGGTGCAAGCCCCAAGCCTTGGCAGCTTCCATGTGGTGTTGAGCCTGCAAGTGCACAGAAGTCAAGAATTGGAGTTTAAGTACTTCCACCTAGATTTCAGAGGATGGAAACACGTGGATGCCCAGGCAGATATTTGCTGCAGGGGTGGGGCCCTCATGGAGAACCTCTGATAAGGCAGTGCAGAAGGGAAATGTGTGGTTGGAGCCCCCACACAGGGCCCTTACTGGGGCACTGCCTAGTGGAGCTATGAGAAGAGGGCCATCATCCTCCAGAGCCCAGAATGGTAGATCCACTGACAGCTTGCACTGTGTGCCTGGAAAAGCTGCAGACACTCATTGCCAGCCCATAAAAGCAGCCAGGATGGGGGCTATACCCTGCAAAGCCACAGGGGTGGAGCTGCCCAAGGCTGTGAAAGCCCACCTCTTGCATCAGTGTGACCTGGGTGTGAGAACTGGAGTCAAAGGAGATCATTTTAGAGCTTTAAGATTTGACTGCCCCGCTGGATTTCAGACTTGCATGGCCAATTGTTTTGGCCAATTTTTCCCATTTGGAATGGCTGTATTTACCCAATGCCTGTATTCCCATTGTATCTAGGAAGCAACTAACTAGCTTTTGATTTTACAGGCTGATAAGGTGGAAGAGACTTGCCTTATCTCTGATGAGACTTCGGACTGTGGACTTTTGAGTTAATGATTAAATGAGTTAAGACTTTTGGGGACTGTTGGGAAGGCATGATTGGTTTTGAAATGTGAGGACATGAGATTTGGGAAGGGTCAGGGGCAGAATGATGCTGTTTGGCTGTGTCCCCACCCAAATCTCAACTTTAATTCCCACGTGTCATGAAAGGGACCCAGTGGGAGGTAACTGAATCATGGGGGCAGGTCTTTCCAACGCTGTTATCATCGTAATGAATAAGTCCACAAGATCTGATGATTTTAAAAACAGGAGTCTCTCTGCACAATCTCTCTTCTCTTGTCTGCCACCATGTGATATGTGACTTTCACCTTCCGCCTGGATTGTGAGCCCTCCCCAGCCACATGGAACTGTGAGTCCATTGAATCTCTTTCTGTTATCAATTGCCCAGTCTCAGGTATGTCTTTATCAGCAGCATGAAAACAGAATAATACAGCTCTGATCTTGGTTATTTCCTTTCTTCTGCTGGGTTTGGGTTTGGTTTGCTCTTGTTTCTCTAGTTCCTTGAGGTGTGATCTTAGATTGTCTGTTTGTGCTCTTTCATACTTTCTGATGTAGGTATTTAGGGCTATGAACTTTCCTCTTAGCACTGCCTTTGCTGTGTAACAGAGGTTTTGATAAGTTGTGTCACTATTGTCATTCAGTTCAAATAAATTTTTAATTTCCATTTTGATTTTATTCTTGAACCAATGATCAGTAACAGGTAATTTAATTTCCATGTATTTGCATGGTTTTGAAGGTTCCTTTTGGAGTTGATTTCCAGTTTTATTCCACTGTGGTCTGAGAGAGTGCTTGATATAATTTGTATTTTCATAAATTTATTAAGGCTCATTTTGTGGCCTCTCATATGGTCTATCTTGGAAAAAGTTCCATGAGCTGTTGAATAGAATGTATATTCTGCAGCTGTTGGATGAAATGTTCTGTATATATCTAAGTCCATTTGTTCTAGGATATAGTTTAAATCCATTGCTTCTTTGTTGACTTTCTGTCTCAATGACCTGTCTAGTGCTGTCAGTGGAGTACTGAAGTCCCCCACTATTATCATGTTGCTGTCTATCTCATTTCTTAGGTGTATTATTAATTGTTTTATAAATTTGAAAGCTACAGTGTTAGGTGCAAGCTACAGTGTTAGGTGCTATTTGTTTAGGATTGTGATATTTTCCTTTTGGACAAGGCCTTTTATCATTATATAATGTCTCTGTCTTTTTTAATTGCTGTTGCTTTAAAGTTTGGTCTGATATAAGAATAGCTACTCCTGCTCGCATTTGGTGTCCATTTGCATGAGGATGCAAAGACATAATAATGACACAATGGACTTTGCGTACTCAAGGGGAAAGGGTGGCAAGGGGGTGAGGGAGAAAATACTATGAATAAGGTAAAGTGTATACTACCCAGGTGATGGGTGCACCAAAATCTCACAAATAACCGCTAAAGAACTTACTCATATAACCAAACACCACCTGTTCCCCAATAACATATGGAAATAAAAACAAAAACAAAAACCATATGTAGAGATTTAAGGGAAGAAAATCTAGCTATGGAAAATAGATAATTTCTTAAGGTCAAACAAAATTTCAAACTTTTAAAATCTAACTCATGAAACATCTCAAACACGGGATTTCAGGAATTTTTAAATCTACAGAAAAGTCAGGTATTTATTTTGATTAATAACTGCTGAAAACTAGATAATACAGCGACACTTCACAGTAACTGTACAACAATGAATTCCAAATGGCAACACATTTGCCATAGAGCTCTGGTATGCATTTAATGTTTACTGAAAGAGCTTATTATAATTAATGTCACTGCACTGAATGTCAAAGAAATTAATAATGATTAGCCTCTGATTATAAAAAGCTGCCTATCATGGTTATTATGTTAACATTCAAAAACAACTTGCTTTATTAAAGCATTTGTTTTTGAATTGTCAACAGCAATCTGTAAATTAATGAGTTGCATTTTTCAGGATCAAGGATCTCATATAGGTCGTTGGTTTTCTCACTGGAGCTGTGTTCCGTAACTATGCTTTTAGGCAGATGATCAATCTGAAAAGGGAAGAAAACTGAAACTCCTGAAATTAGATCCTGATATTGCCCATTACCCTGTATGGGGTTGTGTCTATAGTTATCTAAATAAGTTGGAAACTATTTTTACTATTTGAAATGTATAGTGTCATAAGTTACAGTCTAATCTGGAACTAAGAACATAAAATATTTTTAAAAAGCTAGCAAATTGGCCTGCATTAAATGCTATAAGATTTGTCCAAATCTATAAAACAGATATTTATGAAAATTAAAGTTGCTGAAGTGCTGAGTGTCATCTTTCTCTTTATCAACTTACAACTTTTAAAACAGTTGAAATTCATAAGCAAAATGCCTTACAAAATAGTTGAATTTTTGAAGGATTAAAATTATTATTTATATTATAAATCTGAACACCTGAATGACAAAATAAAAGCTGGTTTCCAGAGGGCAATGGCATATTTAAGTCAAAAGTACCATTGATAACAGTGAATGATGATCAAACCCCAGAGAACAAAAATGTGGGGGTTTTTAGAAAGATAACTGCACTTACACAATGTGTGAAAAGGAGAAAAACATTGTTTTTCAAATATTTATGCAGTCAGCTGCCCACCAAAGATAGTTTACTTCTTTCTTTCAATGCAAGATGATATATGTAAAATGCACATCAGATTGTGCCTGTGCAATAGACTGAACCCTTCAGTCTTCAAGAAGTTCTTAAGAGAGAAATAATGAAGAGGAGCTTTGAGGCTTCAGTGTCATATAATTTGAGATCAGGAAAGCAGGCAAAAGTTCTCATGGCTAATTTAACTGGCCATGAGAACTTTTAGTATAATAAATAATAATAATATGTACTTACCATGAAAACCAAGACCCCTTATTATTTCTTCCTTTCTCCTCTTGCCTAAAAAAAAAATCCTTCTTTCTATCCCAAAAGACTCTTGCTGTTTTGACTTCTACTCACATATCACCCAGGAAACTGCTGTTTTAACATCAGTAGGAACCCTTTAAAAATGATAGGAAACCTAGCAATCGAGACCTATATTTGGTAGGAAAATAAATCATAACAAATTTCCAGCTGTTATTAAGCATGCCTTGCTCTTCCAGGCTGCCATTCCTTTGCTATCATAATTTCTGATTCCTAGAATGTGTGAAATTCTGGAATAAAAACCTAATTTCTGGTTTCCCCATTCTTCTCTTCCTTGAGACTCAATTTCAAATGTTTCCTGCCCTGATAAATATTTCTAATCTCTACCTCAGGGATTCCTCTGCATACAAATGTATTCAAGATTTACTATATTGTATTAGAACTGTTCATTTGTGCTTCTGTAAGCCTTCACTTGACACAGGGTTGGAGGTTCTGATCACATTTTCATCTCAATATCCCAGACACATATGGCTTTATCCCCTTTTCACTGAGTGAAGAAATTTCTCAAATTTAGAGTAGTTTAGTAATAATTCAGCTAACTAAGGAAAAGCCTGCCCTCAAATGCCTGATTACAGATTTTTAAATTTGCTTTAATTATCATTGTAGAGTATATAATAAACAATTAAAGTAGTGGCTCTTAAACTTATTTGTGTCAAAAGCACTTTATATTATTAAAACTATTTGAAGTCCCCAGAAGTTTTTGTTTATGTGGTTTGTGTCTATTGCCATGTACCATATTAGAAATTAAAACTGAGAAGTTGTTAAAACTCAAGAAAAACAATATGCGTTTCATCGTACATTAGAATGATGGTGCCATCACACACCATGTAGCCTCTGGAAAACTCTACTGTATACTCCTGAGACAATTAGAGTGAAGAGAACAAATATCATGTTAGAATTATTATGGAAATAATTTGGCTTCATATACCTTGATAAAGAATTTGGGGTCTCCAGACCATGCCTTTGAAAACCACTGCAGTAGGCTAATAAAGATGGTAAATAATAACTAAATTTTCTATCACTTTATAGTTTCAAAGGATATTATCTTGTGTGTTGCTTTTAACGACTCAGAAAAGGAGGATAGCAAACTGGGAAATTAAGGCTTGGGTTAAACCACTTGCTAAAGACATACAATAAGTATCAGAACCAAATTTTAAATAAAAGTTTCTAACTTCAAATCCTCTATCTTTTATATAACATTAAAAGTTGCCTTTCACTGGAGTCTTGGAGAGGTGCTTAGGGGATTAATAACTAGTTTTTTTTTATTTTTTAATTTATTTTCAGTTTCACTTATTTTTTTATTTGGGTTGAAACTCAATATTGTCATTATTCTGTTACACACTGTTTCAGCTTTGGACATTAGGAGGTCGTTCAGGATAGTTTTGTTTTTTTTATATGCATCTATATATCTATTTTACATATATATATATACACACACACATATATGTATATAAAACCTAGTGAATTATATTTCACATCTATGTATATATATTTAGTATATCATTTTTAACTTTTGAGCAGTACAAGATGCTCTAGGCTCATTCTGTGTTTTCCATGCCTTAGCACTAGTATCAGCCATTTCTTCAAGAAGCTCTAACTTCTTTGATGGAAAAATGGTGTTTAGAAACTAACATCTGGATACTAGATATGCATGTTTCTATTTAAGTGTCACTACTTCTAGGCTCTTGCAGGAGACAGATCTACAAAATATATGTATATATGCTAATCTATGTTTACACATATATCTATATCTATCTATATTTATCTACAAACACAAGTTCATATGAACATCTCTGACTATAATCCAGTAACAAAGGGATTATTCTAGCTTTCTCCTCATTCTTATTTGTAAATCCTTTCTTTGACAGTGAAAGCCAAGGTGTTTTTAATCATTATATCCCTCCAATTTATAAATAAGTGTCTTCTAAAAATTAAGTTTAGAATTTGGGATGCATTTTCTCATAGAAAGAAACAATTGTAGCATACTGCCCAATTTATACATGGGAGTTAGGTTCCCAGTCTAGCCTACAGAAACCTGCTAAGCCCTGGTGCAGGATTTAGAATTCACTTCCAAATTCAACAGTCAAATTTACAGTACTCTCAAATCTCAGTGGGTTCTATTGCCATTAGTGCTAAAATTACTACCACATCTCACATTTTAATAAAACTGCTAAATTTACAAAGTGCTTGCACATAAATTATCTCACTCCATTCTCATAAAAACCACAAGAGATGGTGGTTATTATTTATAATTTCCATCATTTTAGAAATTAGAAACTTGAGAATCAGCTTCAAAAATTAATCATTGATTATAGAAAACATTTTATTTATGTTTAATGCATATCTAATTAAGTTAACGAATATTTGCTGGGTATCGTTTGTGTGCAAAATTAAGACAAATAATGCAGTAATACTTTGGAGTAAGACTACTCAAAATATACTCATCAGATCAGCAGCAGCATCACCTGAACATTTATGCAAAAATCATGTGGCACTCCTAGCATATTGAATCAGAATGGCTGAGATTGGCAGCCAAAAGTTTGTGTTTTAACAAATCTCTCAGGAGATTTTTAAGTTCACTGAAGCTTGAGAGATAGAGAAACCCACTTAGAAACAGAAATGAGGCTTCATAATGATAGAACTTGAGTGGGACTTTATCAGGGTCAGGAACAGGATTTTCCTATATTCTAGTAGATACTCAGGTCATTCTTGCCATATTTTTTATTTTCAAGACAAGTCACAAGTAAGCTAATTGTTCTTTCTAGGCAGGGTCTGGTAGAAAGATTGTTGGAAACATTCTTGGTGGGCTGGTAAATATGTGGCTTGTATTTGCAAGACTGGTCAATAGTGTGTTTAACATTTCTCAGAAAAAAAGTATTTCATTATTATTGTCATGCCTATTTACCCGGAGGGATTAACAGTAGGTGTGAAAAAGAATATTCTTGGATGTGGAGCTCAGGAGAAGGAAGGTTTTGGTGGCCATTGAAGTTCATCCTATGAAACATCTAAATCCCCTCATTCATATTCACTGTACCTGGTAAGCAGTACTTCTGAGCACAGACTTTAAATCAAAAGCTTTGCTCAAAATTCTCATCTCTTTGCAAATCACAATGAATATCAATGATGAAAAAAAAATTACCGCATAGAAGATTGCAAATGGGCCTCAGAAATCATCTGGTCCAACTCTGTCACTTTGCAAATGAGAAACCTGAGTTGTAGAGAGATTCATTGGCTTGCCCATGGTCACGCAGGCAGTCAGTGGCAGAGCTGGGACTGGATTCTTCGTTTCCTGCCTCTTTAGATACTTGCGGATATTTAAATCAGACTGTAAAAACAGGGTTTTCCTCAAGTGCCTTTTCCACTGAAACACTCACAGGATAGCAATATTCTTACAGAAAAGGGGCTCTCTTACATGTCCCCACATCATTCTGGGGCTTCATGGGATACACGCAGGATAATGCCAACAAAAGAGAAGCCAGAGACCCCACTGAATTAACTAACAGGTGTGGAACAAACTGAAAGAGCAAAGAAAGGTGGCATTTGTAAATATCTTGAATAATTTTGCTGTGAGTCAACTAATTTTAGGTGAGCATACATATAGGCAGGGGCGATTTAAGTTTTTATAGTCACGTATCTATTTGAGAGTGAAATGACAATTACAGAATTTTTTATAGGAATGTACTAAAGAGGAAGCTGGCACCAAAGGGAAGAGGACCTCATGGAAAAACTGATGGACACCGAAAGTAATTCCCCAGAGAGGATTTAAAGGAAGAGAGAAATATGGTAACTCGGCAAAGTAGGCTTGATCCTTGACACTCCTTTTAGGAAATCAAGAACTCATTGATAGGGGGCTGCAAGTTGAAGAAAAGACATGTAAGCATCCTGCACTCATGATACGAGTCACCAAATCCTGAAAGCCCATAATCAAACATGATCAAAGCACAAACACCCAAAAGAACAGCTGAGTATGTCCAGAGGAGACCTAAATCTTCAGGAAAACATTAATGCACAAACTTCAAATTCTGCACGTAGGTTTCGAGATGGAAGTTGCCCAGATATCTTTTTCTTTTTCTTTGTCTATTTATATGTGTACATATATATACACATACACATATATACTGTTTCTCTATATATATACATATACACACATATATCTACACATATGTATTCCATATACTTCATATTCAATAAATGTTGTATGTAGTATTTTGTATTACTTAAAGGTATCAATATAGGTTTATGTCAAGAGTACTTACACAATATTGAAGCTTTTTTGGAGTTCTATAAAAATTTTATATGCTACTCACAATAGACCAAGAAAACAACAACCTGGTAGAATTTATGAAAATATCTATGGAAAGATGTGCTACAAAAATAAACAATTATTCTTGGTGTATTATAATTGCATTTTTCTTAACCTTGCAGCATTTTCATTTTCTTTAGAATTGACTATATGCCTATTACTCTCTTAGGTGCTGTATTAAGAGAAATATAGGCCACAAAGGAGCACACAGAGTTAAGTTCTGCAGTCATGAGAAAGCTTTGAGTCCTTAATTGTTACATGCTAGCTTAGGAGAAAAATCCAACATGAAATAGGGGGGAAAAAAAAGCAATAAAGTGCTGAACTAAGAACAGTGAACAAAGGGATTAGCATTATTTGAAATAGACAAAGCTTGACAGAAGAAGTGGAATTGAAGTTGGGTCTTAAAGAATAAATAGAATTTGGATCAATGAATAAAAGAGTTTGTGTATTTTAGGCTAGGAAAAGATCCCTGATCACTAAGACATGAAATAGTTTGACCTATATGTATGGAAGGTAGCGGGGGATGGTGAGGAGATTATGAGAGGAATGTCCCAGGGAACACTGGAAGCAATGGGGAACATGTTAGAGAGCAATGGAGTATCAAACCTTCTGGGTGGTTTTGGTACCAGAATATGCAAGGCCATGAGATTTTTGAGTGTTTGCACTTGATGCTGAGAAAAATAGGAAGTCACTTAAGCAGGGAAGAGCCATAAAGGAAACATCGTTTTAAAAAAATAATTTCAGAATAATGATAGAGAAAAACTGAGAAGGAAGATAATATAATGAGAGATGTTTGAAGTAACGCAGGCCGTAGTTTATAAATGTCTAGTCTAAGGTATTAATGTAGTCATGCATCACTTATCAATGGGGTGCATTCTGAGAACTATATTATTAGGTGATTTTGGCATTGTGTGAACATAGTAGAGTGTACTTACACAAACCTAGATGGTAGAGCCGCACCAAACACCTAAGCTATGTGACATAGCCCATTGCTCCTTAGCTACAAACACTGTACAGCATATTTTTTTTTTGTATTTAACTCAATAGGCAATTGTAACACTATGGTAAGAAGTTGTGTATCTAAAGATATCTAAACATAGAAAAGGCACAGTTAAAATACTTTATGGGACCACCGTCGTATATGTGGTCTGACATTGACTGAAATGTTACATGGCATATGGCTATACTGAAAATGCGTAAGTGATATTTTAAAAGAATAGGTTGTAACTGTCAAATTTATATAATAATGTGTAAATACTTGTTTAAAATATTTCTTTTAAGCTTGAGATATTCAAGAAAAAACAATGAATGACTATTGGAAATTGTTAAAGTTAGCTAATTACAGTTTGGAGAGGAAGACTATGATGTAGATTTGAGACTTAATAAGCAGCTTGAGTGGGAATATGTAGGGAAAATAGTGTTTATCAAATTCTATTTTATTTGTTCCCTCTAGTGTTCACGTGAAGGCTATGAAGGCTACATTTATGAGACTCCCTCAAAGTTAAGTTGGGATCATGCAGCTAGGTTCCAGCCAACAGAATGTGGTTGGAAAGAATATATGCCATTTCCACGTTTACATCACATCTGGATCCCTGAGCCAGTTTGGAAGAGAACAAGTTGCTGTACATTGGGTGTAGCATGAGTAGAAATACTTTTTTTATTATCACTAATTTTTCAGGCTTATTTTTTGTGAAGTAGAACTTGTCCTGTCCTGACTGAAATAGATGCACCATCTTGGCAGACATAGACAGTGTTGGAATGTAGATAATTAGATTTATACTTTGAAAATGAGAACTGGAATTTGCCTACCTGGTTGGAATAGTTTAAAAAGCAGCAGTGGGTAAGCTTTCAGAGAGAGTGAATGAACAGAAATAAAAGCATAAAACACGGGGCATGGATGGAAATTCAGTAAAGTAATAGGAAAAAGAAACAGTCGAAGATAACGAAACAAAAAATTTCAGAGAGGAAGTGGTTTAAAGAAACAATGGCTAATCAACAGCATCTAGTGCTTTAAAATTATTGAGGATAGTGAAGATTAGGAAAGGACACTGGGTTTTTCAAACAATGTGTTCTCAGTGATAGTAAAGACCATAGTTTCAGTTGAGAGGTGGGGTCTGAAGTCACATTGATGAGAATTGGTAAAGGAAAGAGAAAGAAGTTTGTTTAAACAGGATAGGGAAACCTGAAAGTTTTGTGTATAGCAAAGAGAAGGGGAAGGACATTTGTGTGATGGGCACAGCATGCACTGTGTTTATATCTGCATCTCACCCTCTAAGCAAGCCTGACCTATTCATGTAGGATGCTCCTTTTACCTCATATGTATGAGATGGTTTCTGAGGTAATCCCCCTACCATTGCTTCATTTTCTTTCTCTTGATTCCATCTCCCCTGGCATTTCAGATCTGGCTTATTGACCTTGATTTTGATTTCATCTGATTTTCAAAGCTTTATTCAACCCAGTATTTGAACTTCAGCTTACTTAAATCAAACAATGTATGTGAAACACTCAGGAAAGAGCCTGAATCATAGTACACACAGATCAAATATTAGCAGTAATAATAATTACTGTTATTATTCTTTTAAACTTGGCCTTAACTTGTCTTTTTACTTCTCATAAACCATCATTATCTTGGGAGGAATTTCTTTTCTTTTCTGCCCTAGGAATAAGCATGATTATGCAAGAGAAGTCTAAGAGACTGAGAAGCTATTATTCCAACATAAAGTAAAGGGTGTATCCTGAGAGCTAAGTGTGAACATACATTGGGTCTCTATTGTTGTATCCACAATAACTAGCTTGTGAAATGCTGTTATTAAAAATGGCTTGAAAAATGAATGCATGCATCAACTCACAAAGTTAACTATTATGAGTGTGTATGTGTGTGTTGAGGGGGTAAGGGCACCTAAAATCTACCCTCTTGGCAAATTTTCAATTTACAATAAAATATTATTAACTATAGTCTTCATGCTATACCTTAGATCACTAGACATATTCATTCTACATAACTGCTAGTTTGTACCACTTGACCTGGCTATATCCACTTCCTCATCTTCTTTTATAACTACCTTTCTACTCTCTGTTCTATATATTTTAGGATATATAGACTCCATACATAAATGAGATCATGCAGTATTTTTCTATGTCTGGCTCATTTCACTTGGCATAATGTCCTCTAGGTTCATCCATGTTGTCACAAATGACACAATTCACCTCCTTTTTAAGGCTGAGTAATATTCTATCATGAACACACCCACACACATACCCCACAATTTCCTTATCCTTTCATTTATTGATGATCACTTAAGTTGTTTTTGTATCTTAGTTATTGTGAATATGCAGCAATGAACATGGGAGAACAGATACCTCTACAAGATTTTGATTTTATTTCCGTTGAGTATATACTCAGCAGACAGATCTCTGGGTCATATGGTACTTCTATTTTTTTTTTTTTTTTGAGAAACCTCCACACTGTTTTCCATAGTGGCTCTACCAATTTATATTCTCACCAACAGGGTACAGAGGTTCCCTTTATTCCACCCCATTACCAATACTTGTGATCGCTTGTGTTTTGATAATAGCCATCCTAACAGGTGGGAGGTGATATCTGATTGCAGCTTTAATTTGCATTTTCCTGATAATTACTGATGTTGAACACCTCTTCATATAACTGTTGGCCATTTACCTGCCTTCTTTGGGAAAATGTGTATTCAGGTCCTTTGCCCATTTTTAGTCAGATTATTATTTTTTTTTTTACTGAGTTGTACAAGTTCCTTATGCATTATGGGTATTAACCCCCTATAAGATATATGGTTTGCAAATATTTCCTCCAAATCTGCTGGCTGCCTTTTCATTTTGTTGCTGTTTTACTCACCTTGATTCTTCCCAATTTAGATTGACCCACATGGTACCTTCTAACTTCTGCTGTCTTCCTGTTAAATTTATTTAGCACACGCTACATGAAAATGACTTTGTTGCCTTTTAGTCATTATATTCTCTCATCTATCCAGGAACAGGTTGGCAACTTTGTTTTTCATCTTCCAATTTTATCTGTGTGGGAAGATATCTTATGCTTGATGCAGCTAAACAAATCCATTCATTTTAATCCCAGATTTTGCCTCATCTAAGATGTCTTTGAGGGACTTGCTATAATCGTGTCTTTGTTCTTATCATTCTTGTGAAAATCACATTTCCAGGCCTCTGGCCAGCTCTTCAACCTTGTCATAGTCCCTACACTGAATTCTGTCTCTTCTCTCTGCTTTGTTTTAGTCAAGGTTCCTATTCCACGTATCTGAGGAGAGACTGAAAGCCTAGTGTGCAGGTGGGAGTTTCCAACAGAACAGAAACCTGATTTCACCTGGATACTTATTTGGTATTTTACTTGAATTTTATTGTTCAAGTTCAAGTGAATGTTAATGACTCCCTTGCACATGTGTTAAGGACTGCCTCTTATAAATCATTGACATTAAATTTGTTTGCATAATTTTCATGCCTTATAAAATTATATTTATCTTGGAGTTAATACAATTCTTTCTCTATGCATTTATTTCTAAATAGTCCTGACATGATTGAAAAAACACTGAGAAATACATATATATACATATTAAAATAATAGTATTTCTGTATTTAAGGTAATTTAATTTTTATATTAATCTTTAAATGTTAATTTTATTTAAATTTTATTTAAGAATAAATCCCCCCCATAAAATTTTTATACAATGCTTTTGTTTTTGTTTTGAGATGGAGTTTCACTGTTGTCACATATGCTGGAGTGCAGTGGTGCAATCTTGGCTTACTGCAAACTCCACCTCCTACCTCAGCCTCCAAAGTAGCTGGGAATACAGGCATCTGCCACCACACCTGGCTAATTGTTGTATTTTTAGTAGAGATGGGGTTTTCACTATGTTGGCCAGGCTGGTCTCGAACTCTTGGCCTCAGATGATCCACCCACCTCGGCCTCCCAAAGTGTTGGGATTATAGGCGTGAGCCACCGTGCTCTGCCTACAATGTTTTTAATAGAACAATAGAAGCAAAGTAGTTAAATTGTCAAATCTCAAACTGTTACAGTCAAAACAAGATGTTTACTGATGTTATGGGTAAATAATATGACTATCATACTTATACTCAATGGAAAATGTTCGATTTCAGTTTAGATTCAAACTGGAAAGTAATTTTTCCTACCAAAATTACTCTGTACCACAGCAGTACAAATAACACCAGTTTGGGACACCATATGCATTCCATTTGGAAAACAGAGATAGCAAATTGTACATACAAAGAGAGAAGCCTTTCCAGATTAACACATAACTGGCAGTAGCATTAGGTGCCTTAGAAATCACTTCATAAGGGCCATTCTTAAAATTAACTTTGTGTAAATTCAGAGGTAAAAACTGAGGACAAAATCTCAATTACTCTATGAAAAATAATAAACATTGATTGAACATTTATTAAGCACCAGGAACTATGTTCAGAGCTTTGTATTCATTATTCCATTTAATAGTCACAACAGCCCTAAGGGGTAGTAATCTGAAGATGCAGGTAAAATATGAAGAAATGGATGCATAGTTGTTTTAAAATTTGAAAAAGTCACACAACCAGTCATGTCAGAGCTGGGATTTCAGCCCAGGTCTGCCCGACTTAGAGCATTGACTGACTCTTTACCAATATGGACTTTCTGTGTTTACATAGAACAGTCTTGGAAAGCATAAAAATAGAATGGGACACAGAAAAGAGATTGTAGAACAGGAAAGAAGACTTCACATAAGAGCAAAAAAGAAGCTATATGTGATGGATTAAGGTCAGCACCAAATTCTTTGCTTCTCCTCCCTTAGGAAGTAGAGTCATTTTTTCCTTCTCTTCAGTCTGGGATGACATATGACTTGCTTTGACTGCAAGAATGTGGCAAAAGTAACAACCTGGGATTTCTGTGCCCCAGTCTTGAGATGATTAGGAGCTTCCTCTTTCCCTCTCTGGAAAGCCAGGTGCCATGCTTTAAAAGTTTAGGGTTATACCAGTGGTTCCCAGTTGGTGGTAAATTTCCCTCAGGAAACATCTGGCAGTATCTGAAGATATTTTTGATTATCACAACTTGGGGATGAGGCGACCACATATCTAGTGGGTACAGGCCAAAGATGCTGCTAAACATCCTACAATGCACAAGATAGCCCTCTGTTGTCCTATCCTGTAAAGAATTAATCTAGCCTAAAATGTCAATAGTTCAGAAGTTGAGAAACCCTGAATGATAAGAGAATTAAAATATGGAGAGAAAAAGGTCATATAAAAGACCATTGAGAAACCAGACAGGTACATTGAAGACTTATTAGACCTTCTGGCCTATATCAGGTGTCAGCTTAATGAAACTGAATGAGTGAATGACCTCAACTGGCACAACTTGGAGCAGGAAAATCACCCAACAGAACCCTATCCAAATTCCTATGCTACAACATTGTGAAAAGTAACAAATTTAAGCAACTAGGTTTGGGGCTAGTTTGTTGCACTGCAATATATACTTGAAACACCATACTTTTAGCCATATTTGGAAGTACTAATTCATTCACCAAAAAGGATTTACATTGAAATTCAATTGTATGATATCTCCAAATTGTGGCTTATTAATATGCCTAAATTACTAGCATCATTAGAGTACATAGTACTCCCCTGGATTTGGGCTCATTTCTTCCCATCAAAATGTTTGTTTTCTTATAAGGTCCCAAACAAACCATGATATGCTTTGGCTGTGTTCCCACCCAAATCTCAACTGGAATTGTATCTCCCAGAATTCCCACACCTTGTGGGATGGACCTAGGGGGAGGCAATTGAATCACGGGGACTGGTCTTTCCTGTGCTATTCTCGTGATAGTGAATAAGTCTCATGAGATCTGATAGGTTTATCAGGGGTTTCTATTGTTGCTTCTTCATTTTCTTTTGCTGCCACCATGTAAGAAGTGACTTTTGCCTCTCGCCATGATTCTGAGGCCTCTTCAGCCACGTGAACTGTAAGTCCAATTAAACCTTCTTTTCTTCCCAGTCTCAGGTATATCTTTATCAGCAGCGTGAAAATGGACTAATACAGTAAATTGGTACCAGTAGAGTGGTGCATTGGTGAAAAGATACCCAAAAATGTGGAAAAGACTTTGGAACTGGGTAACAGGTCTGAGGTTGGAACAGTTTGGAGGGCTCAGAAGAAGACAGCAAAATGTGGGAAAGCTTGGAACCTCCTAGAGTTTTGTTGAATGGCTTTGACAAAAATGCTGACAGTGATATGAAAAATAAGGTCTGGGGTGAGGTGGTCTCAGATGGAGGTGAGGAACTTGTTGGGAACTGGAACAAAGGTGACTCTTGTTATGTTTAAGCAAAAGAACTGGTGGCATTTTGCCCTGCCCTAGAGATTTGTGGAACTCTGACCTTGAGAGAGAAGATGTAGGGTATCTAGCAGAAGAAATTTCTAAGCAGCGAAGCATTCAAAAGGTGACTTAGGTAGCGTTAAAGGAATTCCATTTTAAAAGGGAAACAGAGCAGAAAAATTCAGAAAATGTGCAGCATAACGATTCAGGAGAAAAGAAACACCCATTTTTTGAGAAGAAATTCAAGCCAGCTTCAGAAATTTCCATAAATAGCAAGGAGCCTAATGTTAATACCCAAGACTATGAAGAAAGTGTTTCCAGACCATGTCAGAGACCTTCATGGCAGCCCCTCCCATCACAGGTCTGGAGGCCCAGGAGGAAAAAGTGGTTTTGTGGGCCAGGCCCAGGGTCCTCGTGCTGTTTGCAACCTCGGGACTTGCTGCCCTGTGTCCCAGCCACTCCAGCCATGGATGAAAGGGGCCAACGTAGAGCTTGGGCTGTGGCTTCCGAGGGTGGGAGCCCCAAGCCTTGGCAGCTTCCACATGGCATTGAGCCTGTGGGTGCACAGAAGTCAAGAATTGAGGTTTGGGAACCTCCACCTGAATTTCAGAAGATGTATAAGAAAGCCTGGATGCCCAGACAAAAGTTTGCTACAGGGGTGGAGCCCTCATGGAGAACCTCTGCTAGGGCAGTGCATGTCTGGTTTCTCAATGGTCCTTTGTGACCTTTTTATCTCCACATTTTAATTCTCTCATTCAAGCCAGGGGTTCTCAACTTCTGAACTATTGACATTTTAAGCTAGATTAATTCTTTACAGGTTAGGACAACAAAGAGCTATCTTGTGCATTGTAGATTGTTTAGCAGCATCCTTGGCCTGTACCTACTAGATACGTGGTCGTCTCATCCCCAAGTTGTGACAATCAAAAATATCTTCAGATATTGCCAGATGTTCCCTGAGGGAAATTTACCAGCAACTGGGAACCACTCTTGAAGAGATCAGGGCTATAGACAACAGCCAATATCATGGTCTTAGAAATGCTTGTTCCTGTGTTGACATTTTGGGATATGTCACATGGCCAGCACACACGTAGTGGAAAATTAAGATGAACTGTGAATTTTTCAGGCACGGGTACAGCAATTTGTAGAAATGAAGCATAGTGGGGAAGCTTTTGGAAGTTGTCCTCTTGTGAATTGATCCAAAATAAACAAATTAGCCAAAAACATTAATGTGAGCATGTTAGGATGATGTTGCATTGGTAAAACAGCAGGTTTCCGGCATGCTTTAACTGATTATTATTATTTTGGTAATAATGAAACAATTCTATTTAAGGTTGAATCACATCATATTCTCAATTAACTTATGTAAATTCAATTGCACCAGCTTGGTCTATAATAACAAAGGAGGAATAAACAATGACTTAGCACATGATCTGACCTGATAATCCATTCACTAGCGTGCAGCCAAAAGCAACCTTGACATGGGAGAGGCAGAGCCATTCTCTTAAGCCCAGGTTCCTTATGTTTCTGACAGCATAGCCTTCTCTTCTCCCTGTGTGTGCTTATGATACTATATTTTTAGCACAACTTCACCCATAAATGCAAGACAACTATTTTTTATACTTTTATACTACTTTTTAACTGAAAAAAATTATCCCAAGGCAGGTGGGAAGTGCTATATTAAACCTCTTTGAAACTAACTTCCCACAACTTGAAGTTTTGCAACAGGATATTCAAGAGCAATTTTAGCTACCTTTCATTTTCACTTTAAAATCACTTTATATTTTGACTCTTAAGTTTGCAACCCTACCATGTAGTATATTTGCTACTACTATTGTGGTTATCTTTTTTAACTTTTAAGTTCAGGGGCACATGTGCAGGTTTGTTAAATAGGTAAACTTGTATCATGAGGGTTTGTTGTGTACAGATTATTTCATAAACCAGGTATTAATCCTAGTACCCATTAGTTATTTTTCCTGATATTCTCCCTCCTCCCACCCTCCACCTTTTGGTAGGCTCCAGTGTGTGTTGTTCCCCTCTATATATATCCATGTGTTCTCATCATTTGGCTCCCACTTATAAGTGAGAACATGCAGTATTTGGTTTTTTGTTCCTGCTTTAGTTTGCTAAGGATAATGGCCTTGATAGTAATTCCTTGATTTAAGCAGTGAACCAGCATTAATTAATATCTCCTATATGCTCGTTCAGGGGAATACAGACTTGCAAAACTCATTTTTCTTGTGTGAAATACCACACTGAATGTCAGTGTAACTGATCTGGAGTTTAAGAAGGGGGATTCACACCCATGCCCTGGAAAGACTAGTAAGTAGAGGCTGAAAAGCATTGTTGCTGCACATTTTTATGCTGTATTAGGCTAAAACTTCCCAAGACATGGACCATACTGCTGTTCTTGTTTGAACATCAGTCATCTCCATTTCATTCTTCTGTTTGTCTTCCTTTCCTTAAATATCCATAAAGTTATCAATTATAAATATAAATAGGAAATATTTCAAATATATATGTAAGAATGGGAGTAATGTAAAAGACACACATATATTCACCACATAATCTAACATTTAATCATTGTATTACACATACCTCAATAATATATTTTAAAAGTAACCCTCAATGGAAATAATTGGAAGCTTTCTCCTTTAATCTCACCCCCACCCTTTTTCCTGCAGAGTTAAACATCATCTCAAAATTGGTGAAGACTATTGATGCATATAACTTTAAAATTTGCACTACATATGTATAAATCCCTAAACTGTATTTTGTGAACTACTTTTTATTGAAAAAAATACAAACATGGTATGACACTGTTCAATACTCAATATGATTTTTTGGCCATTCAACATTGTTTTGATGTTTATCCCTGGTACATGTTTATTTTATCAATTCATTTTAATATTTACATGGAATTTCACTGAATACGAAGAGTGTAATTTATTTATGTATGTCCTCCTATTACAATTTCTGGGTTTTGTTAAATATTCCATATTACAATAAACTCTGGTGAACATCTTTGTACATGCCTTGAGTATATGGGAAAAGATTTATCCGGAGTTCATACTTGTGTCCTAGGTATGCACAGCTTTCACTTTATGTAATGTGTATCTTCCCATATGGTTGCAACCAATTTACCATTCCTCTAACAGTAAGCGACAGTTTATCTTTTAGCACATCCTCCCCTTCAGTTGATCTTAATATATTTTTAATGTGGGCCTATCTGATGAGTGTGAAGCATTGCCTCATTGTTGTTTAATTTGCATTCTCCTGATTACTAGTGCTATTGAGCATCTTTTCACATACTAGTTAGCAATTCAGTTCAGGTTTTCTCCTCTGAATTGCCTGTTCATTTTTTAAGTTCTTTTATCTTATTGATTTGGTGAGGGTTCTTTATATAGCCTGAGTAAAAATTGTATTAGTCATTGTTCTTGCAAGCAGAGGAATATACTGTAGCCAGTTTAAGCAGAAATGTTGTATGTTAAAAGGATACTGGACAGCTAATATAATAGAATCTCCAGAAGGGGTAAAGAGTCAGACTCAAGGCCCTGTGGTTCTCCCAAATCACACTGCAGGATTGTCCCAACAAAGACCTCACTGCTTCACAGCTGGGCCCAAATACTTCATGTACCACTAACAGAAGTGGAACCTGAAGGTGGACACACCTTTTGCAGTCCCCTAAAACCAAGAGCTTTATTCCTGTTCAAAGTCTTTTCTGCATGCATCAATCACTGAAACCTAGGCCCCTGCCCATGCCTTACCTGATTTCTTCCTTGAAGAAGCAGAAATCACACAATGGGGAATTCCCTAAATATCAGGAAGTGTGCAAAACATGACGGGCATGGTTAATGTCTACCTCACTGTATTAGTCAGGGTGCTCTAGAGGGACAGAACTAATAGGACATATGTATATATACAAAAGGAAGTTTATTAAGGAGAATTGACTCACACAATCACAAGGTGAAATCCCACAATAGACCATCTGCAAGCTGAGGAAGGAGGAAGCCAGTCTGAGTCCCAAAACCTCAAGTAGGGAAGCCAACAGTGCAGCCTTCAGTCTGTGACTGAAGGCCCCAGGGGCCCTGGCAAACCACTGGTGTAAGTCTAAGAGTCCAAAAGCTGAAGAACTTGGAGTCTGATGTTCAAGGGCAGGAAGAATCCAGCACAGGAGAAAGATGAAGCCTGGAAGACTCAGCAAGTCTGCTCCTTCCAACTTCTGCCTGCTTTATCCTATCCACACTGGCAGCTAATTAGATGGTGCCCACTCAGATTGAGTGTGGGTCTGCCTCTCCCAGTCCACTGACTCAAATGTTAATCTCCTTTGGCAACACCCTCCCAGACACACCTGGGAACAATACTGTGCATCCTTCAATTCGATCAAGCTGACATTCAATATTAACCATCATATTCACTAATCATGTGTTGCCTATAAGTGATGTAAATATCTATTTATTGGCAGTGACTCATCTTTTAACTGTTTCATGTCTTTTGGTGTATAAAAGTTCTACATTCTGATTCTGTTGGATTTTTAAATCTTTTCCTTTATGTCTTATTCTTTGTGTGATTTATGAAATCTTTCTCCATGCTCAAGACATAATAAAATTTTCCTATAATTTTTTCAAAAAGTTTTAAGTTTTGCTGTTTATATTTGTGTTTTTACTCTATCTGAAATTGACTTTGTCTTATGAGAGAAAGCCATTGAACATGTTTTCCCACATATTTACCCAATTATCCAGCACCTTTAATCACTCAGTCCCTGATATTCTCATTGATTTATGCAGCTATACGTCTCATATACCAACATCTCCTATCTATGTAGTCCTCTGTTTAGACTTTCTATTCTGTCCCATTAGTCTACTCATCTATTTTTGTACAAGTATCAAATGGTTTTAATTACTAGAGCTTTATAATATCTCATAGAGTGACTACCACTGTCTCATTATTTTTCTTGTTTTGGCTCTTCTCATTTCATCCACATGAATGTTTTTAGTTTCACAATCCATAATGTAATTTCAATTGCAATTGTACTGTATGCATTAATTTATAACATTTTATTTCATAAATACTTTATTATTATTAAATTTTCTAATTGGTTTTTCCTTGTGCATCAGAACATCTTTGATTTTGACATGTTAATTTTGTGTCAGGTAAATTTGCTGTATCCTTTTTATTAATTCTGTTTGTCATTAGATCCTTTTGAATATTTCCATATATACAATTATAGCTCTTCAAATAAAGTCTGTTTTATGTTTTATTTTCACTCCTATACTATTTGTTTATATTGTTTTACTGGGTTGACTATTATTATCTTACTGGGTTGACTATGACCCTAAGGGTTGCACAGAATAGGAGCTGCAAGAGTGGGTATCCTTTTCTTGTCCTTTCAAACCAATACTTCTAACATTTCATAATGAAGCACAATGATTAGTGGAGGTTATTCATAGTAACTCTTTAACAGATTATGTAAACTTCTTTCCATTGTCAAGAATGGGTAATGAAATTTATCTAAAGCTGTTTTTTCCTCCATTTTTAATATGATCATATATTTCTATATCTTTTTTCTATTATTGTGGCAAATTATATTAATAGATTATTGCATTCCTTGTGTAAATACTAATTGGTCATGGTATGTTTATATTTGTGTGTATACTTTTGTGCATATGCAAATGTAAGGAGATAAACCACATTCTATAGAATCTGAAAGGTAAAATTTGGGATCTTTCTTTAAGAAAGGATTCCAAAAATCCCAAATCCAAATATGGTAATATGACTTAGAAGGAATGCTGAGACTCTGTCCTTCTAACTGAAGGATGCTGAGGCTTAAATGTCACATTTTCATAGTAAATTCACCTCTGCAGGTGTATGAACAACAAAATTCTGCTTGCTAAATACTAAGACATTATTATTTATTTTAGAACATGAAATTGCAGATTTGTTTTACTCACATTTTCCTCTGGTTTTAGTATCAAGATTATACTACCATCGTAAAATAAGTCGGATAGCTTTTCATTATTTTTGTTTGTCTCTAGAGCTACTTGAGTAAGATAGAAGTTACCTATTCCTTGAAGTTTTCAGTTTGGAGCTAGTGCTTTCATTAATCCAATTTTCACAATAGGCCTAGACTTCAACAAGGTGCAGAGGAGGAGCAGGAGAAGGAGGTGAGAGTATTAGGAAGCCCATCTTGTTCTCCACTCTGCTTTAAGAAGTAATAAAACCAAAGTATTTTCTTTTTCTTTGGTAATCTTTTGTCTATTTAAATTGATTCAGGCCTCAGAGAGAACAAGCATAGCATTTATCAGCATCTTCACTCTTTAAAACCCTCATACTTAAGTTTCTATTAGCATGACCCACACTCCACATTCTGAACTATGGGAACCACTCAAACAACCCACACTGAATACAGGAGCTTCCAAACTTCTCTGAGTGGCCAGCCACCCAAAAATTTACTGAGCACCTACAGAGTGTACAGAAACACTCATGGCAGCTATTGATTCATAGACACTGCCCCTGCCCTTAGGAAACAAAGTCAAACCTGAGACTTGCCTCTGCCCCCGGTTTTAGAATATCATCATGATACTTATGACTCAACACCACCCTATAGTCATTGAGTAATAAATTATTCCCCATAGAAGAACAACCAGATAAACATATAATTCCAAAATCAACACCAAAATTATTCCATAAAATACTTTGATAGGATTATGTCTAGATTGTTTTCTTTACTGCTGTTTTCTTATTCAAAGCAATATCTGGAGCATGAATCTTTGTTTCTGGACTCTGTTGCCACATTGCAGTTCTTTACAAAGAGTTTCTTTACCTAGATTCTAATTAGCCAAACTTCTGAATAGACAGCAACCGATGGCAGTATCTGCCTCTTAAGAGTTTGAAGTCAGCCAGGAAAACGGCAATTGAGTGAAAAATGCAAGGCCCTGGAGTTGCAAGGTCACACAGACTTAGGGACAGAGTCAGGCTCATGACAAGCCATTGCCTATGCAAGTCACAATTATGAGAGGAAGTAATTAAAATCTCACTGAAGGGCGGAGGTTGCAGTGAGCTGACATGGTACCACTGCACTTCAGCCTGCGTGACAGAGTGAGACTCCGTCTCAAAAAAAAAGGCTCACTGAGGAAACAGTTATGAAACAAAGTCATGACATGATCAGGAAGGGCAAATATATACTTTTTAATTCCAAAAAAGAATAAGAAAGTAAGATTGCCTGAGGACTTTTCAGTCCTATGAAGTAAAAGTCTTTATTCTGCATTTGGTTCTAAGGAATTTTCCGGTATTCCTAAAATATAACGTTTATATTTGGCATTATTGAGTGAATTTCTTATTTTTACTACCAAATCATCCCTAAATGAGGATTAGTAATATTCATCTGAAATGTAAGTAGTGAGCATTATGTTGATGTAAATTAATTTGATCAGTTTATTATAAAATTAAAATTTTCATCTGTTGCCTTTCTTATAATAACTTTGGTACCCACCAGGCCCAAAGATGTACAGTAGTTTTATCAGGCTGAGTCCAGAATTGAAGAAACAAGGAATAGAATGAAAAACATTCACTCATACCATGACATTTGTTGAGTGTTCATTATGTTCTAGGCATGGGAAATATAGATAAAATATGCATGACCCCTGACATCATGGTTTGTATCATATTGAAAGAGGTAAGATATATTTTAAACAATTGTATGAAAATTATAGGGTAAGCGATATGAAGGTAAGCTATATGGTGATATGAGAGAGGAAAAGAGGTATAGTGGACCCATATTTGGGGAGGATAAGGATTCTTTGAGAAAGTAGCACATAAGCTGAGACTGAGGTTAGAAGTTGGCCAGATAAGATATCACAGGTGAGCGAAGAGACACACTCCAGGGACACGAAATGTCCTGTGCAAAAACCTTCATTTGGAAGAGACGAAGCCAGTCTGTGTGAGAGGAGAGAGACTACAGGCACAATGCAGAAAGAAGAAAGAGTCAGATAATTTAGAATCTTTCAGATCTCATTAAAGGAATCAAAGCGTACTTTGTTAAAGGAAATGGTAAGTCGCAAATCCAGTGGCCCACATCTTTAGACTGGATTTTTTAAATGAGATTTGATCTCTCGCAGGTTTTTAATGAATAATTTTAAATATCCATAAAGCAGGAAAGTGTTGGTCCTTTGTCTATGTTCTTCTCACTTCCCACAAACAGGAAGTAAAATAAATGTCATCTGTAAATAAAAATTATCTAAGATACATTATCAGCCTCTAAAGCAGTATCTATTCCATGCAAGCCTGCCCCTGTGTGTAAAACATCTAATTCTTCCAAGCAATTATTTCTCCACTGTACGCCAGATTACCTTACCACTATCCCAGCTAGAGTAGATACAAAAAACATTGTTTAAAGTGTATGGCACTGAACAAAATGTCAAATTAAAAATCATTAGATAATAAATTAACATAACATTAATCTTATAATCATCCAAATAAATATATAATGGAAACAGTAATGGTATTGAGCATTTCTAACTGGTATGGGTGACTTTGTGTGGACTGCTTTGCTTGTAATGTTCCAAAGTGCTCAAGAATAAGCTTTGCTGAGTTGCAGGCTACAGAGGCTGGTGGTAGGAATAAGAACATTTAATTCAGCCTGGGAAAGAAAGTTTGATGGATCTCAAAACAAAAGCTAAGGCTGCAGAAGGAAGAAATGAAGCTGACATTCAGTGACCAAGTGCAGACCAAAGCAAATTTGGTGAAATATCTTTCTTGTCTGATTGACACACTTCAGTGCTGCCATTGCCACATGGGACAGGACCAGGGACAGACGACAGTGTCCTCTAATGAACCAGTGTCCCAGCAACAGAGTCAAGTACTTGAATAGAAGTGACTTGAGAAAAGTGTAGGGCTGAGTAAACCCAAGAGACATCCTCTATAACAAAACTTCTCTGCTTTTGGCATATGAGAAATGTAAGGTGGGAGAAGATTGATAAAATTTTCAACTATAAAAAGTAGTAGAACTGGAAGAGATGACCAAAATATCTGCTCAAGTATCTCATTTTATAGGTAGGGAAGTTTGCTCTCTAGTTTATTATCTCTCCACCTTCATCCCAAATCCCAGTGCCTATTCCCACCTTTCTAATATATCATTCATGACACATAATCACTTTCCTTTATAAATTTATTTACAGAATAGAAATAGTTATATATCTCTTATGCAAATTTCTTTGTAAACAGAGCTAGTTTGGGGCAAAATTATGAGGTTATTTTGGGTGGAGGGGAGAGGGGCCTTTAGGAAAACACACACAAAAAGTAGGAGATGATATTCTCTTGTGAGAGTTTCTACTAATTTATCTTACCTGACATCGTAGATATTGGAACAACATGTCCCAACTCTATGTTACGTATTGAATGTGCCTTTACCTATTTCCCAGGCAGAATGATTTCTGGCAAGTCCTTACTCTTAACTGGCTCAAGTTTACTCAAATATGAAATAAGGGGTTGAGAATAGATCACTGGTTCGCAGGCATTTGTCATGCCAATATTGGATCTGTTGGTACAGTCATCCATTTCTTTTAAACAAAGAAGAGGTTAGAGAACTCTGCCCTAGTTAACCCCCTTAATTCCTCATGTGGCATGGGGTACAACTCAGAAATCCTAGGGATCCATGTAATATAACCTTAAATCCTGGAGATGATTCCCATGGACCTGTTCAGCTGTCACACTTTATGGTTTGTGATTAATAGTTAGTCTGTAAGGGAAAACCAATACTAAGATCCAAGTTGGAAAGAAAGCTAACATTGTGAGGCACCCACTGTGTGTTCAGGTACTATGTTAGTGCTTATATGGATTATCAAATTTAATATTCAGAACCATCCTGTGGAGGAGGTACTTTACTCCCATTTTACCTACAAAATAACTGCAACTCAGAGGGGTCAGTCATCAGGAATTACATGACTCTTAGTGCCATGGGATTTAGAAGCAGCTGAACTAGGATTTGAACTTAGTTCTTGTTGGCTCCAAAAGCTTCTGCTCTTTCTACTATTATGAGTTTCAGTTATGAGTTAAGAGTCTAGGCTTGGTATTAGACATGTCTTATTTGTTTTAGCTACCCAGAGGTTTTAGCTGCTGTTCCAGTGGGGCAGTAAGATTGAGTAGGCCCGCTGATTTCTCTCAATTTGAAATAAGTCTGAAGTGCTGTACTAAGCTCCTGAGTGATCTTAGCTCCTTATGCATATTTGATTCCACTAAATCCCCATTTCCGAATCAGCTGTTTTTTCTATGTTCACAAAGGGCACGGAGATATAACACATGCTCTGTCACGATGTTCTTTTTTTGAAGAAGAAATTAAGGCATATTTCTTGAGCACCAACTTCGTGTCAGATCTTGGGCTTACATATATGTTATTGCATTCTACCTTTAGTAATGCTGCAATGTAGAAATTAATATGCAGTTTATGGACAAAAGAAACAGGAATTTAGCTAAGAGGACACAGCGAAGAACAGGTGAAGCTAGGATTTTAAATCCAGGCCTCCTGGCTCTAAGCCTAATCCTTTTTTCATTTTTCCATACTGCCTCCCTAATGGTTCCCTGTCTGAACTAAATCACAATTCAGCTGTTCTTTTATCCTGCCCTTTTAAAGGTTTGTATGCTTAACCGGATTTCAAAATAGTTGCAATAGTTGTCTGGGTTTTCAAAGAAATGTGTATTTCATTCTGACATCTTTACTCTTTCATTACTTTTAAATGCTGTTAAATTAACTGCCAGTTTACTTTGAAATTCTCATATCATGAGATAATGATCACTGGCACAGGGTTCAAACCCAATGACAAAGCAGAAAGATTAATGCATGAATGTTAATTATCCAGCATGGAGGGTTCCAAGTGCTCTGTCATGTCACTGAAAAAGATGGATTTTAATAGACAAACCTCTTTCAGGTGAGCTCCATATTACTCACTGGAAAATCATTACTAGGTGATATACAGATGACACAAACCTTGGCAACTGGGATGATTGCCCAGGCAGATTCTCCAAATTTCTGATAATTGGGACTGACTGTGGCTAAAATTGAGTCTATGGCTGAGAAAGTCTTTCTAAATAAGAAGTAACCAAGAGCATGAAGCTTTCTGGTCTCACATGTGTTCCTCATTCACTCACCACTCATTTATAGTTCCCGTCTTTAACCAAATATTTAATTGTGTGCTATCTCCTAAGCATTGTGCTAGACACTGGAGATGCAAAGATGCACAAGCTCTCTGCTCTCAGGAAGCACACCCTCTAGATGAGAAGACAAACATATATCTGACCATAATTCCATGTAACGTGAATATCCTTAGTAAATTCAAAGGCGTTAGAGGTCTCCTGATGATGCAATAGTTCAGGCAACTTGACAAATAGAAGGGGTGGAAAAGACTCCAGTGGTGAAACTGAGCTGAACTATGAAGGAAAAGAATTATTTAGCCTTGCAGAAAAGAAGGGAAAGGATTGTAAAGCAGAGGAAACAGTCTATGCAGGAAGGAGCTCAGAAAAACAGAAAATGATCTGGAAATCATAATGAGAATAACCTCAGATAACTAGCACATTGGTTTTGAGACAAAAAAAATAATGGAAAACAAATCTGAGGTAAGTTGATACTAGATCATGAGGGTGCTTGAGTGCCCTGCTAAGGCTGTACATTTATTATATAGATGTTAGGAAACTAGCTTTCTTACTGATCAGCTGTCCTTGTTATCACCAGTGGGAGGTAGGCAAAGGTCGTAAGGACTCTGGACAGCTGTTTTCAGCTCACACCAATCACACTGTACGTGAGCCAGCATCATATATTCGAAAAAAAAGACATGATGTTCTCTCCATTTCAATTTTCATTTGCACTAAAATGGATGTCCTTTTTGCACACTATCAATAATGCCTGTGCTGGAAGAGCTTTTAATAGGACAAGCATTCATCATTTTAAGGTTACTCTTTCCCCAAAAGCATGAGAGCAATCTGTTGGTAAAATAGAAAAACCTTGTACACGAGGCTGCCCTGCTGCCTTATTTTTCCTGGTGGTGCCCACTGATAGGAAAACTGGCAGCAACTGGGAACAAAAGTAATAAGAATTTTGCTGAGGATCTGCCCCTTTGAGGAGACTGTGCCACAAAACAGAAAGAGCTGGGACAAGAGCAGATGACCCAGGCTCTAACTCTAGATTTCTTACTAAATAATTGTGTCATTTCAGATAAGTGATTTTCACTCCCCAGGCTTAAATCTCCTGATCTTTAAAGGATGATTTAGACTATGGATTATCAATTTTCTCCCATAATGGCAAAATCATATGCTATCTTGATATTAGATAATATAAGAACAAAAATAGGTTTTTTAAAAAGCATGAGTTGTTCAAAATTTCTAGTATGTTATCCATAACATCACACAGTTCTCATAATCGATTCCAACATACCAGCTGTATTAGTCTGTTTTCATACTGCTATAAAGAACTGCCTGAGACTGGGTAATTTATAAAGATAAGAGATTTAATTGACTCACAGTTCAGCATGGCTGGGGAGGCCTCAGGAAACAGAATCACGGTGGAAGAGGAAGCAAGGCATCTTCTTTCACGGTGGCGGGAAGGAGAAGAGCCCCTTATAAAACCATCAGATCTCGTGAGAACTCACTCACTTATCACGAGAACAGCCTGGGGGAAACCGCCCTCATGATTCAATTACCTCCACCTGGTCTCTCCCTTGACATATGGGCATTACAATTCAAGATGAAATTTGTGTGAGGACACAACGCCTAACTATATCACCAGCTGTGTTCTGATAGTCTTATCACTCATACAGAAAATATCCTTTCGACTCTAACATACCCACCACTGGTACCATAATGAATTAGAAATCATTCATTTTAATTTAATAGAAGAATTGCAGATGAGCTGTCAGTCCAAACCAAAAGACCATATATATCTGGTGCTGACATATTCTTTATTAATAAGGTTGTAAACTCCTATTCCCAGTTAGTCCACTGGGTGGTGACTATGGCGTAGAAAGGTTGCTCAGCAGGATCACGTAATAGTACAATTGTGCAATAATGGCATTTGGATTCAAATGCAATCAATTTTCACTGCATCTGCATTTAGAGACTTCCTGGTCTATGCTAGACCCTGTGGGAAGTCTTGACAGCCACTGGAAATTAACAGAAGACAATATCTCTCACTCTAGAGGGGCTAGAGTCTAGTTCTAGAGGACAAACACACAAGAGAAAGAGAATAAATCCAAAGCATTCTATAAGGGTACCCAATAGTTCAAGATAGTAAAAATCGTCAAGGCACTAAGTTCTCCAGGAGCACTTCAGCTGAAAGTTATCTCCTGTTTTGAAACATTCCATAGCAAAAATTGCTCCTTTTCAATAGTACATCTCATTTCTACCATTGCATCACAGTGATTGGTATCTTCTCCTTACTTATTTTAAGCACTCTGAAAATAGGAATTGGACATCTACAACCAAGGTGAATTGACTTGAGTATTGAAGGATATGGAAGTAAGAATCACAGAATGCTGGTAGTGAATGGTGAGGGGCACAGAAATACTGAAACAAGGAACCCATTTGGGGGCATGTTGAGAGACAAGTGTATATAGGAAAGGAAAGGCTGGCTAGGAAAGGGTTTGCAGGTAACCGGTCAAGCTTGAGGAATTTCCTTTTGATCCAGCAAAGCTAGTAAAAGTTATTGAGGAGAGGAGAGATATGTGATAAAATTCTGTGCTTTAGGAAGATTTATCTGGCAATCTTGTACATGATGACTGAACAGAGAGAGTAGAGGCAGGAAAATCAACCAGGAGGCTATTACCACAGCCCAGGCTTAGAAATACTGGCTTTGATATATACCTTTTAATCTTTAATTTATTGAGACTGAGTATGGGCAGAGCCTTATTTTATTTTGTCCTGGCTACTTCTCCAGCCTCATCTTTTACTATTCTTTTTGCTTTCTCCACTCCAGGCTTGCTATATCTTTAACAGATCAAGTACAACTCTCAAAACAAGACCTTTGCCCATCACTTCTGCCTAGAAGTGGAAAGCTATAGAGGAAAGTTATTCTCCTCTAAGGAATTCTCTTCTCCCAGATCACTAACTGGCTACCCCCAATTCACACAGGCATCCTATCAAATATAACTTTTTGAGAGAGTCTCCCTGACCACTTTACCTCTCCACCCTGGCATTCTCTATCTCTCTAATTTGTTTTGTTGTGGCGGGTTTTTTATAAATATAGTCTTTGTTGTCTACCCAGGTAGAATGAAAGCTGTATGATGAAAGACATCAGAGACCTTTTTTCTTCTTAGCTGCGCTCCTGGGAATAGTGTCTGGCATACAGCTGGTGCTAAAAAATACTTGCTGAATGGATGAACAAATGAATGGGCAACTCTAGGAAGTGACATGAGCTAAAAAGCACAGTTTCTCTTTTTCCAGGTTAAAATAGACACTTCCACCTACTTACTTCTATTGAAATGAAACCACCTTTTAAAAATTTTATTCTTATGATCACATTAATGCTAAACTGTCATCTTGCCATGCAGTGTAGAGGTCAAACACTGGACTTCAATTCACATGTCTTGGTTGTAGATGTGGCTCTCTGCATGTTACATGTTTTGACTTTCAGCTATTATTTTCCTCATCATCTCCTTCCTTAACTACTGAGCAATCTTCATAATTATTGTCTCTGCATTCCCCTTGCCTCCACCAAACCAGTCTCCAAAACTGGTTTTGGAGCTGCCAAACTAGTGTTTTAAAAGTCAGTTCCTGGGCCGGGTGTGATAGCTCATGCCTACAATCCCAGCACTTTGGGAGACTGAGGTGGGAGGATCTCTTGAGGCCAGGAGTTTGAGACCAGCGTGAGCAACATAGTGAGACCCTGTCTCTAAAAAAATAAAATTAAAAATTAGCCAGGTGTGGTGGCACAGACCTGAGGTCCCAGCTACTTGGGAGACTGGGGCTGACAAATATCTTGAGCTCAGAGATCAAAGTTCATTGTAAGCTATAATGGCACCACTGTACTTCAGCATGAGTGACAGAATGAGACCCTATCTCTAAAATACTAAATAATTAATAAGATTAAAAATAAATAAAAGTCAGTTTCCTCTCTGCCTAAAACCTGTTGACTTAAGGGTTGAGTTCACAATGCTTCATATGTCCACAAGACTCTATATGCTTTGGCTACTGATTGTTTCTTCAACTTAATTGCATGTCACTCATGTCTTAACTGCTAAGCCGCAAAGGTTTTCTTCAGTATCTTGATGCTACCAGGCTTTTTTCCTATGAAGTTTCTTATATTTGTTGATCCTACCGCCTGGAATGCTTCCCCCATTTCTGTCCCCCTTCCCTGCTTTCTCAATTTGGATTTATAAATTTCTGCTCGCTGGCTTAGTCTTATCTTGAATATTTCCTTAGGAAAACTGCCCCAGGTCCTTTAGCTCAACTACACACCACATACTTTTCTTAAGAACATCATACTTTTTTTCTTAACATCAATTATTTTAAATTAATTTTATCCTATCAAAATAATAAGAGCAGACGGTTATTTCTAAATAATAGTCTTATGTTTCTCTATTATCTATTAGCTTTCTAGTATGAGAAATGAATAATTCACTCTTTTCCATTGCCATTTCCTCTTCAACCCTTTCATCATCTTGATACAGTTATATGATACTTTTCTGTTACAGCATATGCAGTGTTTATATTCCTATGGCTAGAGTAAAGCATTTCACAGCTGAACATTGTTGGGTACCATGACTAGATTTTCCTTTTTTTTTATTTTTAAAATAATGGTCCCTTGTGGTTTTTTCACTTTAAGTTTCTTTGTACTTCTTGTAAATGTTTCCATCCCTTTCAATAACCTTTCACTATAATTTTCCATGAACTCCATCCAGACAGAGGCTCTAACAGCTGAGTTTTATTTTTCTTGGAGACATCCCTCAGGTAGACATTCATTCTTCCATCTGGGCTGGTCGCTCTCCAGGACTGTTGCACAGCTGTTATCCTAGGTTTTCCTTCTGCTGTTATTCTTGAGTTTCTTTTGTCTACCTCCTGGGTTTCATTCCCTGTCTCCTGGATTAATTTTTTTGTTGTTGTTCTTTTAGGATTCATTTTATTTTATTCATGGAGTACTTTTTCCAGTACATTTCTCAAGTTTAAAAGATAGTACAATGACAGAGAAGACTGTGACAAGAGCCCTCCGCTCTTGAGTCAAGTTCTCTAGACTGGAGTGATCACCCTCTATGCCTGGTTCACAGTTTTCCTCTTGAACTCTCTCTGCACTGTCATCCTGTGATGCCTGTTGGAACTCTCCCATATCCGATATCTTTTTCGTTATTGTTTATACCCTGTGTGGAAGTTATTCTCCAGTAGTTTCCAGAGAAAAGAGTATTGGAAGATTATTTACTAAAATGTTGGAATATGTCATTATTCTACCAATAAATTTAACTGCTATTTTTATTATTATTTTGGCTAAGTAAAATTTTAAGTGTGAAATCATCATTTTGTTTTGTTATGTAACAATTCTTGTACCTCCACGTTCTGAAAGCTTGTAGAACTTTCTCTCTGGGCTCACTATTCTAAAATTTTACAGTGCTTTCCCTTCGTGTAGGTATATTTTCCTACGTTGTTCTGGGCACTCACTGATCCCTTTCATTCTGGAAATTCCATACTGGAGACTTATTAGAATTATTATAGTGATCAACTCTATTCCATTTTCTCAGTTGTTTCTTCTGAAATGCCTATTATTCAGATACCCTGGAATTTGTATACACCTTTTTTCTTTAAATTTCCTCCCATTTTGTTTTTTTGCGCTACTTTCTGTGAGACATCTCCAACTTTATCTTCCAACTCTTTCAATTAGACTTTTAATGTTTTAAAGCTTTTTTTATTGCTCTTGAATCTTTCTATCCATCTATCTATACATGTATATATGTCATGTTTTTTAATACAGTTTTTTATTTCTCTGAAGATATTATTTATATATTATTTAAGTTTAATATATATATTTTAAGTTTCTTACTCTCTGAATAGTTTCTAGTTTCTCTAATTTATGCCCCCGCCCCCCACCCCGCCATCTCTCTTTTCTTATTTTGGTCTCTTCTGTGTTAGAGGATTTCCTCAGTTGTTTCAGATATCAGTAGATTGTGATTTGTCTAAACATAATTCAGAGTAGGCAAATAAAAACTTGATTGGCATCTCTAAGGATGTGGATGGGGCTTTTCCAGTTTGAGTTTCCTTAAGGATAATGTGATGGGTTCTTTGCGGTGAGCCCTCGATGTCAGTGAACAGGGTGGACTGCTGCATTGGTGACCTCCAATGCCTTATGCCTCTCAGAATTCATGAATATTTACACTGACTGTGGGCTGGGCTTCTGCCTCATTTAATCAATGAAATATGGTGGCAGTGATACTGTGCCAGTCCTGATCTTCCCTTTTGAACTCCTGCCTATTGAAACATTACTTGGAAGTTAGTCTCCATGATGTAAGGCAGCCGAGGCAGTCATGCAGACAGAGCTACGTGGAGAAGAACTGAGACCTTTAACTCACAGCCTCAGCTGAGGCTTCACATGATTCCATCCATCCAGTACCCGAGTCAATGCCAAGAGGGGCTAAAGAACTCTTCTGTCCACATACAGAATTATGATGAATAATAAGTTGTTATATTAAGCCCCTGAGTTTTTCAGTGGTTTATTAGAGAGCACTAGATTATTGAGTCAATATCATTAGACTTGTCAGGTTTCTCAGAGAGAAGTATTTCAAACCCCTTGCCTGGAACTCAAAGTATGGCAGTCTGCATTCTGAGAACTAACTGGAAAAAAGTGTTAGAGGACCTCAGCTTTCAGTATGTGTACAGTCAGGTAACTTCCCTGCTTTTCAGATGAGACCCGTGGTCTCAAGTGTGCCAGCCAATCCTGGTGAGAATAAATCTTGCCAGAAAATAAATATCCATTTTTCTGCCAGGGAGGAAGATGTATAGTCACTCAGCATCATGAAATGGGGGAGAAGATCTAGATTTCTAACTAGTGCTCAAAAATATTTCACCCAATAAAGCATATTTTGGCTTTCTTCCTTACCCTTTCCCCCTACTTCTAGAAATTCCTGGTATTTCCAGAACCCAAGTCTTTTAGTGACTTTGCAGTATTAATTGGGTTGTTTCCCAGCTGTACTGCTGGCTCAGAATTTGGCTTTCTTTGGTATATTTAGCCCATTTTAACTGGTTTGTTTGCTTTCCAGGTTCAAAAATACCGTCAATGTGTTGTGTCTTCTCTCTTGTTTTTGCTGTACTTTTTTAAAGTCTCAAGGGGGGATAAAAATCTTTCCAGTAGTGGCTGGGTGCGGTGGCTCATGCCTGTAATCCTAGCACTTTGGGAGGCCCAGGTGGGTGGATCACCTGAGGTCAGGAGTTCAAGACCAGCCTGGCCAATGTGGTGAAACCCCATCTCTACTAAAAATGCAAAAATTAGTGGCGTGTGGTGGCAGGCACCTGTAATCCCAGCTACTCGGGAGGCTGAGGTAGGAGAATTGCTTGAACCCAGGAGACAGAGGTTGCAGTGAGCCAGGATCACGCCACTGCACTCCAGCCTGAGTGACAAGAGCAAGACTGTGTCTCAAAAAAAAAAAATAATAATAATCTTTCCGGTAGTTTTAGTGGTGGCTTTTGGAAGATTAGAAATTAGAAATTAGATGTATTTGTTCAATTTGCTATTCTAACAATAAATTCCTTATTATTATTATTAACTTTCTAAATTTCATTTTTGAAATAATTCTGGATTCATAGGAAGTTGTAAAAAATGTGCAGGAAGGTCTCATGTACCTTTGGCCCCTTATCTTTAATGGTAACACCTTGCATAGCTAGTACAATATCCTGTGCTAAAGAATATTAGGGGTTTGACATGGTACAATCCACAGAGCTTATATAGCCCCAGAATTGCATGTTATCATTTGTATGTATGTATGTGTACATGCATGTGTGTGTGTGTAGTTCTGTGTAATTTTATTATGTATGTAGATTCATGTAACTCTTACCACAATCAACATAAAAAATTGTTCCATCATCACAAGAATTCCTCCGTGTTATTCCTTTATAGCTATGCCTACCAAAACCTTACCTGTAATCCTTGGGAATAACTAATCTGTTCACCAATTCTATATTTACTTACTTTAAAAATGATATATACTTTGGAAGTCAGGGTGGGAGGATTGCTTGAGCCCAGGAGTTCAAGATTAACCTGGGCAACACAGTGAGACCCTGTCTCTACAAAAAAAAAAAAAAAAAATTAAATTAGCCAGGAATGGTGGTGCATGCCTGTAGTTCCAGCTACTTGGGGGTCTGAGGTGGGAGGATCACTTGAGCCTAGGAGGTTGAGACTGCAGTGAGCCATGGTTGTACTGCTGCACTCCAGCCTGGGCAACAGAGTGAGATTCTGTCTCCAAGAAGAGAAAGAGAGAGAGATACAGAGAGAGACATTGGCTTTTCCTTTTATTTCTTATACTTACTCTTTAACTAATTTTTTTTACCTTTTTTAAATTATACTTTAAGTTCTGGAATACATGTGCAGAACGTGCAGGTTTGTTACACAGGTATACACGTGCCATAGTGGTTTGCTGCACCCATCAACCCGTCATCTACATTAGATATTTCTCCTAATGCTATCCCTCCCCTAGCCCCCCACACCCTAACAGGCCCTGGTGTGTGATGTTCCCCTCCCTGTGTCCATGTGTTTTCATTATTCAACCTCCACTTATGAGTGAGAACATGTGGTGGTTGGTTTTCTGTTGCTGTGTTAGTTTGCCGAGAATGATGGTTTCGATCTTCATCCGTGTTCCTGCAAAGGATATGAACTCATCCTTTTTTATGGCTGCATAGTATTCCATGGTGTATATGGGCCACATTTTCTTTATCCATTCTATCATTGATGGGCATTTGGGTTGGTTCCAAGTCTTTGCTATTGTGAATAGTGCTGCAATAAACATATAGGTGCATGTGTTTTCATAGTAGAATGATTTATAATCCTTTGGGTATATAACCAGTAATGGGATTGCTGGGTCAAATGGTATTTGTGGTTCTAGATCCTTGAGGAATCACCACACTGTCTTCCACAACGGTTGAATTAATTTACACTCCCAAAAACAGTGTAAAAGCATTCCTATTTCTCCACATCTTCTCCAGCATCTGTTGTTTCCTGACTTTTTAATGATTGCCATTCCAGCTGGTGTGAGATGTATCTCATTGCGGTTTTGATTTTCATTTCTCTAATGACCACTTATATATATTCATGGGACACAAGTGCAATTTTCCTACGTTGATATATTGCATTGTGGTGAAGTCAGGGCCTTCAGTGCATCTATCAACTGATTATTTTTTTGAAGTCTTGAATCCTCACTAAGCCATAGGCTTTGTGAGGGAGAGACCATATCCGTCTTGTGTCCCTGGCGCTATTATATTCCTAGCACCAAACATACCAGCTGACACATAGAAGGAAATCAAAATGGTTGGCTAAGTGACTGAATAAAGCTCTGGTCCATGATTCAGTTTATTGATTAGGATTATTTTGGCTCCAAGTATCAGGAAAAAACAATAAAACTTAAAAACATTTAAACAACACGGGGATGTTTTATCTTTCATATCAGGGAGTCTGGAGGACAGCAGTTCTAGCAGCATGCCAACATTATTATCAAGTACAGGGACTCTGGACTACTCCTCTTCATGGTCCCTGGACAGGCACCAGAATTCTAAGCACTATGTGCAGAGGCTGCAATATTCAACAATAGATACTTCTTCCTGTTTATTTCTAAGGAGTACGACAACCTTTTCCGTAAGCTCTTCAGCACACTTCATCTTGCAAGTTGTTGACCAGAATTAAGTTTCCTGCTCATATCTAAACCAATCACTGGCTGGGGGGAACAGGACCATTGTTATCAGCTTACACAAATATAGTTTAGTTGTTTCTGAGACACTGGCTCACCTACTCCGGAAAACAAGAGAGATAGTTACCTAAACAAATTGGGTTCCTACTAGTAAAGAAAAAGAAATAAATTGCTATCAGAAGAATATCAACTATAAAATGGAGGCAATCTTGCAATAGGATAGGAAAAAATCATTTCCACTTCTGACTACTGTGATTATTAACTAGAAGTTTTTGTAGAGGCTTCGAGCCGTGGCTCACGCCTGTAATCCTAGCACTTTGGGAGGCCGAGGTGGGTGGATCATGAGGTCAAAAGATGGAGACAAGCCTGGCCAACATGGTGAAACCCCATCTCTACTAAAAAAAAAAACAAAAAAAAAAAACAAAATTAGCTGGGCGTGGTGGCTGTATCCCCAGCTACTCGGGAGGCTGAGGCAGGAGAATCACTTGAACCCAGGAGGCGGAGGTTGCAGTGAGCCGAGATGGCACCACTGCACTACAGCCTGGGTGACAGAGCGAGACTGTGTCTCAAAACAAAAAAAAATTTTGGTAGAGTTTTTAACTCCTACAAATCTGGGATCTGCATTTGTTCTGAAAATTAAATCAGTCATTATAAAAACTGCTTATATTTGTAATACAGAAAAAGAAAGTGAGTACTTTCTTTCTTTTTTTCTTTTTGAGATAGACTCTCCCTCTGTCACCCAGGCTGGAGAGCAGCGGCGCGATCTTAGCTCACAGCAACCTCCGCCTCCTGGGTTCAAGCATTTCTCCTGCCTCAGCCTCCCCGAGTAGCTGGGACTATAGGCACCCCCCACGACACCAGGCTAATTTTTTTTTTCTCTTTTTTTTGTATTTTTAGTAGAGACAAGATTTCACCACGTTGGCCAGGCTAGGCTCAAACTCTTGACCTCAGGTCATCCACCTGCCTCGGCCTCCCAAAGTGCTGGGACTATAGGCGTGAGCCACTGCGCCCGGCCAAAAGTGAATACGTTCAATTTCATTAAGGATATATTTTCCTTCCACTTTCCCTTTAACCTTTCAATACAAGTTCTCACTGCCCTTTCATTAATAGTTTACTCTTCTCCTAAAATGGTGTTGCTACAGCCAAAAGAACTGATGAGATATTCATGAAATGAGAGGAGAGTGAGTGGATGAAATACTGCTAATAGAAGCTCAACAGAGACATACAAACCAGCGCCAGTAATCCCAGAGGCTTCTGAGACTGCAGATAGTTTTGCCTTTCTGCTTCTTAGAACCGACTTTCCCCATTTTGAAAAGAACAATCATTAAAGGAGTCTGTTCTTCCCCTAATGTTCTTCCAGGACCCTTCATTTCAGTCCAGTTGCATTAATTTGGTGCTTAAATTTATGCTCTGGAGTCTAATGTGCATTACTCCTGTCAGCATTAAATTTAATTTACTACAATGGGGCAAAGGGGTTGCTGAAACCAGATTTTAATTCCCAAGCCATTAAAATGTGTTGTCCTTGACAAGCAAGATCTTTATTTTATACCGGTACAATGTGTGTGCCTATAGAGCTATAGCTCGGCAGAATGTGCATCTTTGGATGGGCTTTTTCTTTTTCTTTTTTAAAATAAGGCTTAGTCTCTTTATTCTGCATATATGAATGTTCCAGAAAGCCTGGGCTATTGAAGCATTTTGTTCTATGATTTTTTTCAGATGATGAAATAGGAAATCTAACCCCAGCAAGACTACAGAAATCTGCTGTATTCCTGCTGAGGTCTTCTCACCAGTGGATTATAGCCAAAGACACAATGTTGACATTTTTTGTAAGGGCACATACTGAAGACAGCAGGAATTTCTTTGTTGCCAAAATGAAAATAGATTTTTTTAATCTTTAAAAATTTTTAAGATCATTTTGTTGTTAAAGTAATACATGCTTGTAAAGAATTCAATCGGTATGAAATGTTACACATTGTCAGCGTTTTGACATCTCTCCTTTGAAATCTTTCCTATCTTTCTTCTTGTCTCTTACCTCGCCTCTGTATTTCTATGTATGTGTGTGTACTTATGTCATTTAAATGTTTGTATATGTGTACGTGTATACATTTGGTGCATATTTACTAACCTAACCTATTTCCATGCATAGCACATAGTGAGTATTCAGTAAATGTTTGGAGAACGATTGAATTGCCTAATGAATGTATGTTATTCTTTCTCGTTTACTAATTCTATCAATCAGATGCACAAAGCTATATGTAAAAACGAACAAATGAAAACCACCACTAATTGAAAAGAAGCTGTATTAGCTCACCTAAGAGGAAGTTTATAGGTAGGATGGACGTCAAGGTTGATTTATTGGGAGCTCCGTAATGTTTTCAAGGCCCTAGGTTTGTCACGTATCTCCAGGCTGTGATCTCTAGCAGAGGCTGTATTCTTTTTTTTTCTTTTTTTTTTTTTTTTGAGACGGAGTCTCACTCTGTCGCCCAGGCTGGAGTGCAGTGGTGCGATCTCCGCTCACTGCAACCTCTGCCTCCCGGGTTCCCGCCATTCTCGTTTCTCAGTCTCCGGAGTAGCTGGGACTACAGGCGCCTGCCACCACGCCTGGCTAATTTTTTTGTATTTTTTTAGTAGAGACGGGGTTTCACCGTGTTAGCCAGGACGGTCTCCATCTCCTGACCTCGTGATCCGTCCGTCTCGGCCTCCCAAAGTGCTGGGATTATAGGCGTGAGCCACCGCGCCCGGCCTAGCAAAGACTATATTCTAAGGAGATTCCCCTGTGTCAGTAGCAATTAGAGCTCCACGTTTCCTCATTCACAACTGGTATTCTTTGGCTCACTCAAGAAGGCAGAACTTTCTCAGAAGTCTGTTATGCCTCCGCCTGCCATATTGTTAGCCCAAATTAGTTTAATAGCTATTCCTCAATCAGTCACTGGCAAGAAGGTGAGAGTTTCATTGGATCCATCAGGCCAATCTTTAGCTTGTTCTGAGAAACAGAACTGTGGGTCTGAGGGGTAAATACTTGAGAAAAAGTTAGTTTCTAATAAGAAGGGAGAATCCTGGGTCTATCACTGACAAAATCCATTACGGTAATGTAAGTATTTAAGGTCCTGAATGTTTAAAAAAATTTTGATTCACTCGACCTCAAGACATATTGAGAAAAATACTTTTCCATTTAATTTTCAGTTACTTACTTTTTCTTTTTATGTGTCTTTGGCTTTAAATGTTTGCTTTATGATCTGTGTTTCTTTTTTGCTGTATTCTGCTTTTTCCCCCTTTTGGTAATTCCAACATTGTGAATTGAAATTAAAGCCCTTCCAGTGGCCACATTTTAACACCTTATAACTTCAAAATAACAAACCTAAATTCGATTTATGAATTTAACAACTTCAACATCTACTGATATTTTGCCCTAAAAATAAAAACGTTATTATACTTCAAATGTCTTCTCCTTATATATTTCTGTCTTTGATATTGATTAGTTGTAGTAATATTACATTGTCAAATTTTATATCATTTGCATTATATTCTATAAACCATTTAATATAGATTTGAATTCTAATTTCTTTATTTACTTGCTTTCAGTGACCTCTACTACTTCTTTTATAGTTCAGCTTCGAAATTTCTGAGTTTTCATTTTGTTTCTTCTTTTACTCTTTCTCCTGCTCCTCCTCTTCCATCTCCTCCACATCTTTCTCTTTCTCCCACTTCTAATTGGCTAGATATCAATAAAATATTTATCCAATCAATCCATTTGAGTGCAATTTTTCTCTAAGTTCTTTTTTTTTTTTTTTTTTTTTTTTTGACGAAGTCTGGCTCTGTCCCCCAGGCTGGAGTGCAGTGGCGCGATCTCGGCTCACTGCAAGCTCCGCCTTCCAGGTTCATGCCATTCTCCTGCCTCAGCCTCCCAAGTAGCTGGGACTACAGGCGCCCGCCACCACGCCCAGCTAATTTTTTGTATTTTTAGTAGAGACCGGGTTTCACCGTGGTCTCGATCTCCTGACCTCGTGATCTGCTTGCCTAAGCCTCCCAAAGTGCTGGGATTACAGGCATGAGCCACCGCGCCCGGCCAATTTTTCTCTAAGTTCTGAAGTTACAGACATTACTTTTCTATACATCTTATAAGAACAATAACTTAGCTGGGTAGGAACCTTATGTATTCACTTTCTTCTCATAATTATGAAATACAGTTCTAATGTACTCTGCTGTTGCAGTATTGTTGAGGATAATTGGGAAATCAATGCTTTTTTTCATATATTTCTTTTCTGCCTAGATAACAATATTGTTAATTTTTATGTGATGAAATTATAGTAATTTCATCAGGGTGATGTTACAATGATACTTCTTTCTTAAAAAAATTATACTTTAAATTCTACATGTGCAGAACGGGCAGGTTTGTTACATAGGTATACACGTGCCATGGTGGTTTGCTGCACCCATCAACCCGTCATCTACATTAGGTATTTCTCCTAATGCTATCCCTCCCTTAGCCCCCCAACCCCCCGACAGGCCCCGGTGTGTGATGTTCCCCTCCCTGTGTCCATGTGTTCTCATTGTTCAACTCCCACTTATGAGTGAGAACATGTGGTGTTTGGCTTTCTGTTGCTGTGTTAGTTTGCTGAGAGTGATGGTTTCCAGCTTCATCCATGTCCCTGCAAAGGACATACTTCTTTAGCAGTGGTAGATATATTCTTTAGCAGTTTTTCCCTTGTATTCAGGTAGTGTTCTTTCAATCTATGTATTTATGGCTTTCTTCATTTTAGGAAAATTTCCTTGTGTTGTATTTCTGACTATTTTTTCTGTTCCATATGAAATGTATGTGTTGTGTTATTTCCTCTATTTAATCAGAGGATGCCAATTATGCATATACTGGATGTATTCTTTGTAGCCTCCAAATATTTCTGCTTCTCTCTAATTGCTGTTATCCTTACCCTCTGATCTGAATAACTTTAACAATCCAATTCACCACGCCCGTGTTTTATTAATATCTATTCAAGTTCCTTCTGCATTATTGTGTGGTTGTCATATATGTACATTTCTGTCTTTTCTGACATTTGTCATCTCACTTTTATTCTCTTTCTGTAGCTATATTAACTTTTCTGTGATTGTTTATAATTCTTGAAAAGTTTATATTCCTTTAATTGCTTGAGAGCATAAGAGAGTGGTTATCTAAAATATTCTTTTGTAGCCAGGTATAGTGGCTCACCCCTACAATCCTGGCACTTTGGGAGGCCAAGGCAGGAGACTGGTTGAGGCCAAGAGTTCAAGCCCAGCCTGGTCAACATAGTAAGACATCTTCTCTACAAAATAAATAAATAAATAAGTAAAATTAGCTGGGTGTGGTAGCATGCACCTCTAGTCTTAGCTACTTGGGAGACAGGCAGGAGGACTGCTGGAGCCTATAAATTTGAAGTTGCAGTGAGCTATGATAATGCCACTACACTTAAGCCTGGGCTGAGTGAGGCCCCAACTCTTAAAAAATAAAATAAAATATCATTTTATTAATTAAATAATTATTTTTAAATGTATTTTTTTATTTCTCTTTTAAGTTTTAGTTCTCATCTTTATGACGTTATTTAGCTTTTGATGGTGTGTTTGTTTTCTCTCATCCAAGTACAATCCCAAGCTGGGATTTTTTGTTTTCTGAATGAGAGTAGTTTATTCATGACCTGCCAGTTTTTCTCAAGAGTAGGGGACACTAAGGTTTATCAGGACGGGTAGCCCCTCATTTCTGATTTCTTGTCTTAAAATACTACCCTACCCAAACAAATGCTGTCTCTGGTGTGAGCACACTCCCTCTCAGTGTTGAATTCCTTCTTTGGGGGTTATCATATCAATCAGGAAAAGGATATTTTAATCATCATATCAGTCACGGAGGAGATGAATTAGTGAATTTCTGTAGCTCATGAGAATTTTTTTTTTTTTTTTTTTTTTTTTTTTTTTTTTTTTGAGACGGAGTCTTGCTCTGTCGCCCAGGCTGGAGTGCAGAGGCGCGATCACTGCTCACTGCAAGCTCCGCCTCCTGGGTTCACGCCATTCTCCTGCCTTAGCCTCCCGAGTAGCTGGGACTAGAGGCTCCCGCCACCACACCTGGCTAATTTTTTTTTGTATTTTTAGTAGAGACTGGGTTTCACCGTGTAAGCCAGGATGGTCTCGATCTCCTGACCCCGTGATCCGCCCGCCTCGGCCTCCCAAAGTGCTGGGATTACAGGCATGAGCCACTGCGCCCGGCCACTCATGAGAATTTTTAATGCTACAATGCCTATTTACTTCTGCTCAGTTACCACCATTCAGGAGCTACCAATAGTATGGCCATCTCTCATCTTTTGTACAATAAATCCACTTCTGATAAAACAAAGGTGCCATCCTACAAAACCCCTCGTGAAACCCTGCCTCTCCAGCAGTCTGAAATGTGGTTTTAGCCTCCCAAAAGGTATTCCCTACTTATTATGATGATCTGAGGTTCATATTATGATTATGAGGAACCAGACTGCCTCAGTTGATTGTAGTTTCACATATGTCCCATGAGCAAGTTGTCTCACTCTACTGTGCCTCACAGATGTTATTTCACCTGTAAAATGGGTGCACTAGTAGTATAAGCCTTATTGGGCTGGACAAGGATTAAATTCACTAATATGCAAAAAACACTAGAACAGTGTCTGGCATACTCTTGAAAATTCACGGGCTGCTTGCACCCTACATTATTTCCAGAAGATACTTACCCATTTGACCTCCCAGGAAAGTTTTACTTTCAGAGCTGTATGCATCTTGTTTGAAATCTGAAGAGGTCTGAATACACTTTTGCCATCCGCCTTATTGAAGAGAAAAGTCACTGTATTGCAGCTATTTTTCATAGCTTAGGACCTCTGGTTTTAGCTGCTTCTTGTTATCATTGCCAATAAACTTTTATTCCTTAATATATTTTCTATCATGTATTTAGTATGCTTTCATGAAGACCAGTACATGAATGTCTTTTGTATCCTCTAAGAAAATTCTATTTTATTCTTATTCTAGAAATATGTGTATTTCCTTTTAAAAAGGAAGTCAAAATATACTACAGTAAATCAAAATAGATTACTAGAAATACCACCAATCAGAATTAGCTCCCATCAATAGTTTAGTGAAAAACTGTTCAAGCATTTATGTGTACATACATGTGCGTGCACACACATGCCTATTGATCTGAAGACTCTTCTGTGTCCCCTTTCTTCCTTCCATAATATGTTACAAAGTTCTTTCTGTGTAACGAAATGCACAATTTTAAGCTGATTCATATTTCCATTCGATAAAAATAATCTCTTAATTGACATTCATTTGCTTCCAGATTTTATGAGACTTTTTTTCTATAACGAATAATGTTTTAATGAGCATACTTGTCCAGTGATCTTTTTCATGGTACAGTTCAAATTGTGGAATGAGACAGCAGGTCTGTGCCTCTCTCCATTTAGCCTGTTCTTTGAAATCACACCTTTTGTCCAAGATGCTGATAACTCTCGCTGTCTCTCTCCCTAAGAGAGAAGTCACATGCTTTAAAAAAAAAAATGCTATCCAGTCAATGCAAAGATGGGCTGTGACTTAAAGCTGGAAGGAAATATGTTTTCTTCTTTTTTTCCCCTTTTTTGTTTTCAGAGGAATTCTGAAGTATTAAAGGGATGGATATAGGGTGCTAGAAGCACAATTATACTCTCTGTTCCTTAAAGTTCTATCACTACCAGAGGTAGTTCTAAATATGAAATCCACTTGTTTGGCTAAAACCTTACTTTGTTCAGTAAAATCCAAGCTTGAGGACTGTCAAGAATAGTGGGTCTCATCACTTGTCAAAAGCCCAGAGAAAAGACAGGACTATTGAAATCAGCTAGAAGAGAGAGAAAGGAATCTCTCAGAGGTCTGGTACAGAAATCAAAACTTAAAAAAGGTTAAATGTCTACTGCTTTCCTTTGTATTTAATAAAATTCTATTTCTAGACAGTTTTGAAAATTAATGTGCTAGCCTGCAGTGTCTGTATTAATGACTCTTAACTACATAACAGTGAATCATCTTACACACTCTATCACATAAATTCTTCACAAAACTCCATTTATACATTGCATGTTCTTTTAGGTACAAATTCAGTAATATTTTTCCTCTTTTCTTTCATTTTTCTCAGGCAGAAATATTCACTTTTCCTGGTAGATATTTATCAAACAGACTGTACCATGTTGCAGAGAAAGATTACTCTGCTACCATTTCTCTGCATGTTCAGTTGATAGCCCTGAAAGAGTAACTGTGGGCATAAAATGCCTAGGCAAAATGAAGAAATCCTGCATCTACAAAAATAAATTTAATTACCCACATGTGATGGCCTGCACCCATAATCCCAGCCACTCAGGGCAGGGAGGCTGAAGTGACAGGATTGCATGAGCCTAGGAGTTCAAGGCTGCAGTGAGCTGTGATTGCACCACTGCACTCCAACCTGAGCAACAGAGCAAGACCCTGTGTCTAAAATATAGTAATGATAAGAATAATGTTCAGCAAAAGTGCTAAGACAAATATGGTAGTGGACATATCAACTAATATCATGATTCTTCCCTGTTGATGGACATTATTGTACTCTTTGAAGTATTTTGGCTGATTCCAGTGACACTCTAAGATTCTCTTTTTTCCAAATCTTTATCAAGAAAAATAGATGTTATATTATCAAAATAAAGTAAGGCAGATTCATTCAGATTCAACTTGTAATCAGATTTGCTATAACACTTGTTGTGAAAACATGAATTTGTTCCAATGCAAATGATGTATTAGGAAATAATTTAAGCAAACTGAAAATGTTATATTTGCTTATGCATGATTTTCTATGGGACAAATATTAAGTGAAGGCAGAAACCTCCACCTGGTTGAACCTAGCCAAGGAAAAATACACAAAACACATACACACAGATCTCAAATATCTACACCTGCTTCAGTTCATCTTGTGTTATGAGCCATATCCATCCACATCTGGTCTTACAACTTTCTGTCTTATTTCAGTTAACACTTGTTCCACCACTTCAAAATAATTCAGGAGCTGCAGCTCTTCTAACGTCCATTTCTATGGGCAAACTTCAGATCTTCTTTAAGGAAAGTACCCTAATTATTGTAGCATTTATGCATTTCTTAACCATTTAACATGTGAACAATGATGCTACGATTTTTATTAGTTTCCTAGCTTTTGTTTTCATGTGTCACCTATGAAATTTTTGGGTGTTGTGCCTCGATTCCATTTTTTCCGCAAGCCCTGTGGTTTTTACTATGTGATTTTGTGTAGCATGGTCATTTTAAGAAATGCCTGTGTCTTATTACAGCAGAACTAACTATATGTAGTCTCACTATGACTATCATTGGTGATATTGCTTACGGTGGTGTCTGCAAGATTTCTTCACTATAAAATCACTAATTTTGCCTTTCCATACTCTAGTCATAAGAAGAGAGTTGCCATCCTGGCTAACACGGTGAAACCCCGTCTCTACTAAAAATACCAAAAATTAGACGGGTGTGGTCGTGGGCACCTGTAGTCCCAGCTACTCAGGAGGCTGAGGCAGGAGAATGGCATGAACCTGGGAGCTTGCAGTGAGCCAAGATCATGCCACTGCACTTCAGCCTGGGTGACAGAGCGAGACTCCATCTCAAAAAAAAAAAAAAAGAAGAAGAAGAAGAGAGTCGCCAGTCTAGCCCACATTTAAAGGTAGGAAAATTACCATTCCCTAGAAAAAAAAAAAGACTATAAATGATCTGTCAGAATATATTAAAACCATCACAGGAATTAATATTTTGGGGCATGTATTAGGCTGTTCCTTGCAATGATATAAGGAAATGCCTTAGACTGGTTAATTTACAAGAGGTTTAATTGGCTCATAGTTCTGCAGTTTGTACAGGAGGCATAGCACCGGCATCTGTTTCTGGGGAGGCCTTAGGAAGTTTTTGCTTAGGAAGGCAAAGCAGGAGCTTGCATGTCACATGGCATAAGCAGGAGCAAGAGAGAGAGTGGGAAGGAGTGCCACACTTTACAACAACCAGATCTTGGGAGAACTCACTATCTGAGTGAAAAGTCACTATCTAAACTCACTAAGGACAGCACCAATCCATGAGGGATCCTCCCCCATGACCCAAACTCCTCCCCTCAGGCCTCACCTCCAACATTGGGGATTACAGTGCAACCTCAGATTTTGTGGGGACATAAACTCAAACTATATCTGGGAGATACTTTGAGGCTATGCAAATATCTCTGTTTTTCCTTAAAGCTTTGCACACTAATTTTAGCATGCATCAATAGATCTAACATGCAGCAATTATTACTGTAGTGTTATAATGGTGACTTCTATTTCTCTCATTCCTTATAAATTTATTAATTGGAATTATTCCATACAGAAGATTTGTCACTTCTTTCCCAGTAGCTTATTCATTTAATCATTTATTTATTAAAGTAAGGATGCATGGATATATATTTACAATGTAACAGGAAAGGCACATCGCCTCTGTGATTTTCTTCCTCCCAATCCAAAATCATGAGATAACATGAGAGGAACTCAAATTGAGGGACATTCAATAAAATATCTGACCATTACTCCGAAAGTGCCAAGATCATGAAGGGCAAGGAGAGACCAAGACACATCACAAATATAAGACTAAAGAGACATGAAAACAGAATGCAATGTGGTATCCTCAATTGAATCCTGAGACAGAAAAGAACATAAGCATAACAACTAGGAAGATCCAAATAAAGTTTGCATTTTAATTAACAGCATTGTATCAACATTAATTTCTTAGTTGTCATAAATGCATCATTGTTATGTAAGATGGTAACATGAGGGAAGCTGGGTAAATGGTATGTGAGAATTCTATGTACTATCCTTTCCACTTTTCTGTAAATGTAAAATTATTTTGAAGTAAAAGGCTTTAAAGAAACATAAGAATGGGCCGGGTGCGGTGGCTCACGCCTGTAATTCCAACACTTTGAGAGGCCGACGCAGGCAGATCATGAGGTCAGGAGATGGAGACCATCCTGGCCAACATGGTGAAACCCCCTTTCTACTAAAAATACAAAAATTAGCTGGGCGTGGTGGATCATGCCTGTAATACCAGCTACTAGAGAGGCTGAGGCAGGAGAATCGCTTGAACCAGGGAGTCGGAGGTCACAGTGAGCCGAGATCGCTCCACTGCACTCCAGCCTGGCGACGGAGACTGTACCTCAAAAAAAAAAAAAAAAAAAAGAAAAAGAAAAAAGAAAGAAAAAAAGAAAAAGAAATATAAGAATTTAAAATGGGAATGACAATTTTCCCTTCACAACGTTTTATGAAAGGCAAATAAGTTAACATGTAAAGTGCTTAGAAAATTGTCTTTGCCATGGTAAGCAGTATGTAATAATTTATTATTATTATTTTGTTAAATACCTAATACAGATAAAGAGCTTTACATACATAATTTTCTTTATTCTTTGAAGTAATCCTTGAGGTTTTTTTTTCTCCTATTCTAGACCTAGAAGCTTAGAGAACTTAAGACCCTGAAGGTTCCAAAGGTTGATGGCTAGTAAGAGGAGAAGCTATATTTTAAACGTGATCCTCTCTGAATCTAAAGAAAGCCTTCTTTCTCCACACACATGCTGTCTTCCTGGAGAATGTGTGAGGCTGTTATGTATTATGGATCAGTTTGTAAAACTTTTCACACTGCTCTAAATAGTTTTGGGAGTCTGATGGAGAAGGAATTTTTAAGCAGTGAGTAAAATTCATATAGTATTGCTTTATGTGTAGGAGATAATGGCGGATTCAGTGATTGCAAATATTTGTACTTCCATGACATTCTTAGATGTGATCTCCTTAGTTGTCTTTGTATTCAATGGTAAAATAAGTGCAAAAGCATTTTTCATAAGATCCTCAACCAAACAGAACTTGGGAACCAGTTTTTTTGTTTGTTTTTGTTTTTGAGACAGGGTCTTACTTTGTCACCCAGGCCGGAGTGCAGTGGCGTGATCTTGGCTCACTACAAACTCCGCTTCCTGGGTTCAAGCAATTCTCGTGCCTCAGCCTCCCAAGTAGCTGGAATTACAGTCGTGCACCAACACACCTGGCTAATTTTTGTGTTTTTAGTAGAGACAGTGTTTTTCCATGTTGGTCAGGCTGGTCCCGAACTCCTGACCTCAAGTGTTCCATCTGCCTCAGCCCCTTAAAGTGCTGGGGTTACAGGGATGAGCCACTATGCCTGGCTGGGAACCAGTTCTTAACAAAAGCATAGCTAAATGACCTCTAGTAATGTCACAGATCTACAGTCAGTGAATTCATTTGATCATCATTATCCTTATCCCCAATGACCTTGTAAAGTATTAAGGAAAAACCGGGAGATTTTTATTAATCACTGCATTCTAGAATTCACACTTTAATATTTCTGAAATCATGATGCTTGTTACAGTCAATATGCATATTTCAGTGTTTCCTTTTTCCCTAAAATTATGTTATTTTTCAAAATAATGGCAAGAATGAATATCAGTGACACCACCAAGTTTGAGGAAAAGATAGTTTGTGTTATCATAATTCTTCTCTCCATCATCATCCTTCCTGTGTTTCTATCAAAGCTGAAAATAAATAACTTCACCATCCTATCCTTCTCACATTTTGAAACTCCTAAAGTCCCCATAGCAATCTTCTTTTTCTCCTTCATCCACCAAGTGGTCAGGGTAGAAGCTTTGTCTGTAACTAAAATAGGTGATAGACTTTGATGTCACAATTTCAGTGTCAGGAGAATGGCTCTCCATCCCAAGAATGAACTCTCCCACCTACAGGCTGCTACCTGGAGTTGCATATTTAGAGATTTGAGCTAGTGTGCTGTGGTTCAAGAGCGCAAGCCTGAGTAAAGAGGACTGAGCTTTAAATGCCCGTTGCTCCTCTTACCAGCCATATGGCATCAAGCAAGTTACTTAACTACTCGGAATCTCAATATCCTCATCCACGAAATGAAGATATTTATAAACATCTCTTTCAGTTGTGACTAGGACTAAATAAGATAACAAATATGGAATGATTGGTGCAGTGCCTGATATATTGTGAGCACTATGCAACTGTTAGTGCCATTTAATTCAGTTGGATGCAATTGAAATGAGCATGTGTATGCATACAAAAAACATATTTTAAATATGTTGGAAGCTAGCTTTGGAAACAAATTTTGTAACAAAGCTCAAAATTATTTGAACTCTACAACTAAAGTGGAACAAACCAAAAAAGTTCAAATTATAAATATTGATCCTTGATTTTTAGTATACATGAATCAACGTATGCCTTTATTATTCGATTACATGAATTATTCAGAATATATTGATAGAACAGATTTGAAATAAATGCAGATGTCCAATGAACAATTTCTTGAGGATTTCAAAAAATGGTTTTAATTGGAACAAAATCCTTCCTCTTAGAATTAAAATCCCAACACAGAGAGGACTTCTAACAAGGAGGGAACTTTATTATTTGAAATAAACAATAATGATATTTACTGTTGCTGTTGGATTTAATAGTAAAAATAATATAGTTACATTTATTCAGAGCCTGGGAGTGTTCTAAGTTATTTGGAATAGTAATTCATTTAATTAATCATATTAATTCTAAGTGACAGATATTTCCCCCATTTTAAAGTTGAAAAAAATGAGGAATAGACAGGTTAATAACTTGCCCAAGCTAGAAAGTAGGGTAGAAAAAGTCAAAACCTGGCAATCCAATTCCAGGGTCCACATCTCAACTACTAGGCTATAAGGAGGAATTGTTAGGTCCTAAATATGTGTAGGAAATGTCCCTTGATGGTTCTGTCCATGATATAGTATATCATATTGTAATATTGAAACAGTAGAAATAAAAGATCATGTCTCAGCAACATGTGTTTTTGAGTGCAAAATTGAAAAAGATTAAGAGACTGAAAATTTCTCCTTGAGACCACAAGAGAGAAGAGAGATCAAGAAGGATTTAATGTCACTAACAGAGAATTAAACTTTATAATGGGGTGGGTGATGTGTAAAAGAGATCTACTGACTCAGTGGTCACTATAGTCATAAATGAATGTCTGAATCCCCATTGATTCACTTTTCCTGGTGGCTGATAGAAATGCACAAACACATACACACACACATCCGGGTTAGAGAAGGCCAGTCTCCTCTTGGTCAATTTTACAGATTCCTGAATTGCCATTAATTGTGGCATAATCAGTTGCTTCCTTGTCTACTTATAGCTGACAAGTGGTAAAACCAAATTTTGAACCCATTTGTATCTGTCTTCAAAGGTATTTTTAGGAACCATTATGTTTTGTGAGTTAATTGATTCCCAGTGCTAGATCCTCTGAGTAACCGACTCTTTCTAGAAGCTTTAAGTAGACAAAGAAGCAGTTTATGCATTTTATTAAATAAGATAATAAATGCAATAGATATGTTTAATAAGATTAATAAGGATGTTTTTAATAAGATAAATAAAATGCAATAGAAGTCATATATTTTATCTCTTTCCTCTGACTTTTAGTTCCTTTTCTGTAAATTGGAATAATAATATCTCTCTCTCAAGTTTATTATCAGGATCAAATATGAAAATCTTTATAAAGCACTTAGTATCTGACACATTGTAGATAGTGTATTAAAATATGTAGTATTATTATTGTTTTTGTTCCCAGTACCATTAGACAGTATTGACATGTATTTGTTTGAAACATGAGCTCTTTTCAACTAGCTGGTCACTGCTTTATTTCATACAATAATAGTAACCTGGAACTACCAAATTAAACATTTCTTAAACTTAATGCCCAGGAATTACTCCTGACCTCCCTAAAGAAGCCTTATTTTGACTATTGTATTTACTGATCAAAAAAAAAAAAGAGCTCTAGACATCCACTGAGACTGTGGCAGAATGCACGCTGTCTTGAACATCAGTGGAGTTTGTTTGATAGTATTTCAAAGTCATGGTGTAGTTGTGGTACAAATATGAAAGATGGGCAAACTATAATGCATCCTATGGGGGTGAATTAGAAATAGTGACATTAGGCCAGGCGTGGTGGTGGCTCATGCCTGTAATCTCAGCACTTTGGGAGGCCGAAGTGGGCAGATCACCTGAGGTCAGGAGTTCAAGACCAGACTGGCCAACATAGTGAAACCCTGTCTCTACTAAAAATACAAAAACAATTAGCCAGATGTGATGGCGCACACCTGTAATCTCAGCTACTCAAAAACTGAGGCACAGGAATTGCTTGAACCCAGGAGGCGGAGGTTGCAGTGAGACGAGATTGCACTATTGCACTACAGCCTGGGCAACAGACTGAGATTCTGTCTCAAAAAAAAAAAAAAAAAAATGAAAAAAATAAATGGCAACGTTGGTGTTTGCCCATGGTTTTAAATATATAGAGATAGAGAAATACGTGTGTGTAAGTTGCTTATTTATTCATTCTCTACCTCTATCCACTGACAGGGCCTGGGAAAAATGATAATTCAATAGCAGTGAGTACACCTAATTCAAGATTGTGGTTTCTTCTCTAAATGGAACAAGAACACCTTAAACAATAGATGATTCCAGCACTGGAGTAGAGTAAGTACATGATAAACACAGAGTATTGTTTTGTACCAGAAATTCAGGGAAGTGTTTAAGAAGTAATGGGAACATGTCAAAAGGACATGAAGGCCAGCTGGCCTAAGAGAGGATGATGTAAGAATGAATAATGATAGTATTGGATTATATCCAATTTAATAAAATATGAAATAAGTCTATAAATAGTTAATAAGTTGAAAGTTCGATGAAGAACAAGATATTTACATAATTTCAAAGTGTCTCCCTATAAACTCCTTAGTAATTATAAATTGGAAAAGAGTGAATTTACATTGGAGCAGCCCAGAAGGTACTACCTTAACTAACTGATCTAATTTAACATTAACAGTAATAGGACAAACAAAAATTGAGCACTACTTTAAAGGGTGCAATGAAAGGAATAAGCCTACCAAAAATGTGTGAACTAAATCTAACCATTTGAAACACTGGACAAACCCAAATTAAGGGATATTCTATAAAATAATCTGCCTGTAATCTTCAAAAGTGTCAAGGTTACAATAATTAAGGAAAGAGTAAGAAAAACTGTTCCAGACCCTGGACTAAAGAGACACAACAATTGAATGCAGTGCCTCATTCTGAACAGGATTCCTCTACCATATAGAACATAATGGAGATATTTGCCAAATGTGAATGAGGTCTGAGGGTTGGATATAACATGATAATATAATTTTCTGATTCTGATAGTTGGGTTGAGACCCTGTAGGAGAATGGCCTTGTTTGCACAAAATGCCTCCCAAAGTATTTAAGAGAAATGGGACATCAACTTGGCAGCCTATTCTATATTCATTCAGAGAGAATAAAATTCTTTGTACTGTACTTCCAGGTTTTCTGTATATTTATAATTATCACAATACTTAAAAAACCAAAGAGAGATTTTTTAAGTCAATAACATGCTTTTTAAAATAACTAAATTAAAGGGATGGCTGTCTGTGATTGTAAATTTCATGTATCAACTTGATTAGGTCATGGTACTCAGATATTTAGTCAAACATTATCCTAGATATGTCTGTGAAGGCATGTTTTAGATAAGATTAGCCTTAAGTCAGTAAACTTTAAGTTAAGCAGATTACCCTATAATGTGGTTGGGCTTTGTTCAATCTGTTAAGGGCTTTAATAGAGAAAAGACTGACCAACCCAGATGAGGCGGGGAGAATTCTGCCAGTAGACTGCCATCAAACTCAAACTGCAACTCTCTCTCTTTGTCTCTCCCTCCTCCCTTCTCTCTTTCTCTCTCTCTCTATATATATATTCTCTCTCTCTCTCTGTACATATATATATAATATATATATACATATATGTAATATAGAGAGAGAATATATATGAAAATATATTATTCATATATGTATAAAAATTAAATATATTATATATAAATTATGTGTATATCTATATACACACTATCTTAACAAAGTGATCTGAGAACAAACAATATATTCTGTTGATTCTGTTTCCCTAATGAACCTCACTAACACATCTGACTTATATACTGCAATTCTTTTCTGAAATAATATTATTACATGAGAATTCACACTTTATATTGAATGAACTTTAAAATATGCAACACAAGATAGAAAATTGAAATTTTAATATGAATTAGGTCATTGATTAAATATTGACTCCAGTCTTTGTAAAATGTTCTAGGATCCAAACCACACACATTTATGTTTTTAAGATCCAGTTTTTAGGATGCCAGCTTGTCTCCTCTGCTCTGTGGCTATCATACTGAAGGCTTTGCAAGCCTTGGGTGCACCATAGCTGGAGAGTTGGGAATAAAAGCCTTTGGCCAGGGTTCAGGCATGACACAACTGCTTCACTCTGAGCAGTTCTGTTTTGTATGTTTTCTGTATTAGTTTTCTACATAAGATTTCCTTTGACAGAAGAGGTTCAATGCAGAATTTTTAAGAGGTTAGAAAATTACTGCTCTAAAGAACCAGCATTAAACTATTTTAAAATGGCAAAACATCATCACAGAGATGCTCTAAATCATTCTCTTGCTCAGCATCCACCCTCGCAAGTGCCACTTTTCATCCTGTCACCATGAAATGTGAGAGTCCCACAGCAGAGCCATCTCCTATCACATAAAGAGAACTTTGTCAAAGCTTTCAGAACCTCATCTCCTGGGAAGGCTAGAGTCTTGTTGTGTGTATGTGCTGAGATCAAATGAAAATCAAAAATCAGTGAATAGTGACTGGGAATCTCAACTGTGCAGTGATGTCTAGGTGATCTCTTCTCTCCATCTTTTTCTTTTGATTCCTTCTCCATAATCCCAGTCATGTACCTCACCAGTTACTACTTAGATCCTTTCCACATTCTTAAGTTGTTGGAGGGGCAATAAACAAGATTTGAAACTATCAGGGTCTAAGAAGTCTTCTCAGTTATAGAGGAGGCTTTGGGACATGGATCTAGGGAAAGTGAGTATGGCAGTATGGCGGTCTCAGGATGCCAGAGGAGGTCAGTACTGAGACATTATATCAAGAGGACAGTCCAAAGATCAAGGCAGCCTCACAAATTTAGGAGTCAAGTATCCTGATTAGTGTGTCTTATGAGTGATTTGCCACTTGTGTCAGGATACTGGGAAACATGCTAAGAACACAGAATACAGAATCTAGCAGTCAGGTGGGGGTTAAGGTGGGCATTAGAATGCCAACCAAGTATTTGGAGGTTATGTTGTGAACCCCAACTCTAGAAAACTGGAAAACTACTCTAGAAAATATAACAGTCTATGGACATGGAGAGGTAAAGATCCAGTCTATAGGACTGACCTGACCTAGGAGGCAGGAAATGTGACTGGGTGGGAGCCAAGTGTCTATTCATGACTTATTCAACTGTGCTGTCTGGTCAGGTTGTCAGTAATAGATTCTGGCAAATCATGAGGGAATGGAAAAGCATATGGAATTCAACAGGTAATGGTTTTGCCATCAAATGTCTAGAAAGATCAAGAAGTGGAAAATGTGACTCTATTCAAGTCCTTACCAAACAGCTCAGTCTGAGCCGTCAAGGCTGACGATCTTAATTGATCTTCCGACTCAGTGGAACAAAAGGGTAGAAAACAAAACAGGAGCTAAGTGAGTAGCCTCTGACAACCACTTTTTCCTATAGCATTAGTTGTGCAACTAGCTATTAATACTTTTTTAGAGCAAGTCTCATTTCTCCAGAGGAATGGGAAACCCTTGAGCAAGGATAGACCGCTGCCTTCTTCATTATTAGTGCCTATCACTGCAACCCACAGGTAGGGGCCTTCCACTCAATCTTTACTCCCTCCCAAGCAGCAGCATGATCCTGTTATTGTTCTAGTTAAAGATATTTAATGGCTCTCAATCAGTGCACATCTCAGCTTCTCATCCTGGCCTCGGCTCTCCTCTCCCCTTGCATCCTACACTTGAGCAAGGAAACTACTCATAGTTTCCCACGTTCAACAGACCAGCAATAATTATTTTACTTCGCAAGCTCAGATACAGAAGAAATATCCTTCTTCTTTGTGCTCTTTAAATTAAAATAAATCTGACTTTGCACCCATGTTGCCAGGTTGAAGGCAAATTCACTCAGTCATTGTGGGCTGTCACTCCACCCAACTCCTCCTCCTGCAGTTCTTTAAAATTTTATGTTAAGCAGAGCATTCAGAGAGACTCCTCTAATGTCCTCCATACTGGTCACTGCTAGTCTCTGTTGATGTGCTCATTATCCAAGCCAAGGAGGTTTGCAGACCTCCAACTTCCCTGTAGGTTGATTGATTGCTTGATTTATTAGAAATAGAAACAATTGTTGTGGGGGGTGAGGTACAAAACATAAATAAGATATAAATGAATTCCTCAATAAATTATGCTTCTTCACTCTCAGTATTCTATCAGGGCAATACTCTCCTTTATTTGTGGTAATTTTTTCTCTCCTTCAGAAACCAGCTCAAATATCTCCTTTTCAGTGAAACTGTCCTAGTTTTTTCTCCCTACCCAAATGCATAGCTCCCTTTTCTGGTCCCTCAGCACCTGATACCAGCCTTTACTGTAGCACTTACCCAGCTGTCCTGTGTTTTTATTGATCACGTCCCTATTTTGCCCCACACATTGTTAGTTTCCCAAAGGTAGAAATTATGTTACTTTTATATCCTAGGTCTTTAGTAGAATCCGTGGAAAGTGATGAATGTCCAGTAATGAATAGAGTTCAAATAAATTTCTCTATACTTATTGATTTTATTTATTTATTTATTTATTTATTTATTTATTTATTTATTTTTTGAGATGGAGTCTTGCTCTCTTGCCCTGGCTGGAGTGCGGTGGCGTGATCTTGGCTCACTGCAACCTCCATCTCCTGGGTTCAAGCGATTCTCCTGCCTCAGCTTCCTGAGTAGCTGAGACTACAGGCATGCACCACACCTGGCTAATTTTTGTATTTTTAGTAGAGACAGGATTTCACCATGTTAGTCAGGATGGTCTTGATCTCCCGACCTTGTGATCCACCTGCCTCAGCCTCTCACAGTGCTGGGATTACAGGCATGAGCCACCACGCCCAGCCTGATTTCATTTCATTTGATCATGAGTGTGTGTGTATGTCTGTGTGCCTGTGTGTTTTGGGCAACCACATACAATATACAGTCTAAAGAAACAGTTTCCATTTGTTTTATTTCCAATCTAGGTTAGAGTAGAACCACTATCTGTCTAAGAGATAGCCATGAAATACCCTGAAGGACCAGCTCTAACCCAGAGGCAAGCAGCTTCCTCCAAAAGGGCAGAGTAGCTTTCATATAGAAGGCACAATTCCTTTCCCATGAAGAACATTTTAACTAATGCTTCCTACTAGGCAACGATCTTCAGTTGGATTCCTCAAAAGGAGACCCTGAGATAAGGATTTGTATGCAAGTGATTTATTAAATAAGTTTGAGGAAAAACTAGTAAGTAAGGAAAGCAAAAAGCAAAAGGAAGCAACAGTGCAATTTCACACAAAGCTTTCAGAGCTGAAACTCAATCTGATCTAACAGAGAGACCCTGGAAGTATGGAAGTATAAATTATGTCTCAGCACTATTGCAACCTAAGGCAAAGAGCTGGGCTTTTAAACCTCCTCACCCATAGGTATTCATTGGCTAAGGATCACCCTTAGAAATGAGTAGGGTGAGGTATAAATTCCCAGGCACTGCCCACTTTTTATACTTGAGGGACAAAGTGGTTCCAGTAGCCTGAGAGTGGCCTCCAAGGTGGAGCCACTGGTATAGGTCATCGACGTCAAAAGCCACAGAAGCCAAGACAGGTGCCGAAAACAGTAGGAAAGATCTGTTTTGGGACAAACATTGAGTGTTCAATCAAGGAGCCCCCCTGCCTTTGAGCCACAGTGCTGGACCTCTTTACACAGGCTCTGAGAGAGAGTTTACAGAGACATTTATCCCATTATCAGCAATCATCCTCTGCCCACAACAGATTTGTGTCAGTGTCATGCAAACATAATCATCAAATATCCTAAAGCGGTTATTATTCTTAGACATCAGGTTTTGTACAAAGCCAGAATACATGGCACATTGCTTAAGACATATTTGATAGTGGAGAGATAGAGATAAAAATCCAAGAGGAAAAAAAAAAACCCTCAACATCTTTGTGTTTCTATTTTGCCCATCCTTTAAATGGGGAATAATAATATCATTTTGAACTATCATAAGGATTAAATATATGTAACAATGACCTATGAAAAATACTTGGTAAAACATATGTACTTATTACATGATGGCCTACTGATGGTCTTGTTTGGTTTGGTTTGGTTTGGTTTCTGCTTCATTCACTACAGAAGCAGCATTTAGCGCAATGATTGCCAGTCTTTTATTAAGCAAATGAGTAAATGAACAAACGAATTAAATTATTAACACTACAGACATTCACCTATCTTCCAAATACTTAATAAGCACAGATCAATGTACTAGAGAGGATTCAGAATTACATTAAACAGCCCACACTTTGAGGGGCTTATAGTATAATAAGATGAAATGTCAATAGCTTTGATATTTATTACAATCACATGATCTAGGAAGAAGTGTCAAATGTCTTAAGAAATTATTATAGAACCAATGAAAGACATGAGAAGACCAGGATAGAGGTTGGAGATGAGAGATGGCTTAAGGGAAAATAAAGACATTTTAACTGGGCATGAGGAAGAAGTTGCATAGCCTTCAATATTCAACAATATTTGAGTTGTTGTTCTGTGACAGCAGTGCAAAAATAGACATAACCCCTGTTCTCATGGAGCTTTCATCTCAAACAGAGGGCTAGTGACAAAGAGGGGATGAACAGATAAGTTAATAATAAATACATACTAATCAAGTGGCGATAACTGCTATGGAGAAAAATAAAACAGAGAAAGGAATGGAAGAGGAGGCAGCATTTCTGATACATTAACAGGCCAAGGAGAGAGCAAGTCTTGCAAATATCTAGGAGAAAAGCATTTAAACAAGAGGGAGCAATAACACTGAAGACCCAGGAAGAGGAGCAGGTTGGTAGATTTGAGGATTAACCAAGAGGCTAGGGTGGCTGGAATTGAATGGTAGAAGATGTGGTCAGAGGGATGTTGGGGAGATCATGAGGTTGAAGAAATGGAGAAAATGCATTTTAGGTTAAAAAAAAAAGTCACAAAGCACCCCCGCCTGCATTAAATGTAGGACATGAGTAGGAATATCAAGCCAATCTGTCATGTTATACTGCCACCAGCAAGGGCAGTAGGCCCACATCACGCCATTTAAAATCTCTTGTAGGAGTAAGGGGTTGTATAGGAGAGTCTGGCTTCTCTTCACTAACTTCACTCACTGACAGGCTGTTCTTTCCTAAATCTTTCCTGTCACCTGCCTCTTCAGGAAGACTAGCATCCCTGGGCTTGTGACCCAAGTAGGTGGGTATCTTGGATAAGAAAACACATCTAATGGTGACATTTCACTGGCAGTACTGCCTTTATCTTCACCACTTAATGCTGTGTAAGATCTGCATTTTCAGAGAAAAAGAGTTGGTAGGGAACATATTGGCCCGTGTTATTTTTGGTGGTCCTGTTATTCATCATCCCTTAGCTTGCCTCTGCTGACATGTGTGACAGCTAAATGGTAGTTTTGAGGGGGTCCTTGTGATGCTTAGGAATGACTTAAAAGCAATGAGGGGACCATGAACTTGGCTATTAGGCTAGACTTATTGCCAGCATATGGTATCCAAAGGTACCCAAGTCCCTTTATGACAGCTGGAAGAATTCTGTGTCAGGACACACTGGATTTTATTGGCACAAATGGATTATGCTAACTGTGCCAGGTGTTTCTGAGTTATGGAGATGGACTGGCTGGCCCCACCATTACTTCCTATATATCTCATTTTGGGAAATATGAATAGTTTTACCCAATATTCAGTTTCAAGGGAATATGTTCTCTTGTTCATGAAAAGGACCATCTGATAGGATGATAAAGACCTTATAATCTGCCCTGTCAGGCCCAACTTGATTTCTCAGGTCTAACTTTGGTTCCAAATCAGAGAGCAAGACATCAAACAAGAACGTTAGGGGAAGAAAAAGGCTCTAGATACCTAGCCCTAGAAATCAGTAAAAGGAAAACAGCCATTAGCACTAACATGTTACTTTGGTATAGGGCTTTGTCATTTACAATGTGTGTGTGTGTGTGTGTGTGTGTGTTTAAAATTAGCTTTATTCCTCTGATTATCATAGTCACTCATCAGGATATGTGTTGGCCAGAAAGCACTACCATTTTAAAGATAAAAAGCAAACAAATATACAAACCATCAAACAAAAAGAAAATCTGAGGTCTAGTGGTACCATGAGTATTTCACCAAAGGTGAAAATTGGCAAAACCAAGTTCTGTCACTTTAATACTGACCATGAAATGTGCTAGAGAGATTGTCTAGTAATGGCCTGCTCTGCTTGTATGTGAACATATTGAGACACAGAGATGCGCCATCTAGTTCCCTTCAGGGAAAAATTTGTTTGACAGCTGTGGGGAGTACAGTCAACAGACAGCTTCCACCTGTAAGCACCTCAATGATCTGCCTTACCTGCAGAAAGCCATCCTGCCAAGATCATATTCTTGCTGGGTCAACCCAGCATATGATGACTGAGTGAAGCAAAAGTATAAATGTCAACTCTAGAGCTTCCCGTTGGGTTTGTTTTTGTCAAGCCGGCATCACAATTTGACTTTTCCCTCTACCAAACCCCACTTTTTCTTTCACAGGCGTTAATCCATAATAAGCATTTGCACCCAAAATTCTAGTGGCTGTTTCCTTTGAACCCAACCTACAGCAGTCATTACTACGAGTAACCACCTAAAATGGTGGTAAGATGGGATTTTGGAGGCAAATTGCTCACACCTGGCTGATAATGAGGACCCCCCCCCACCTCCATTGCTGGTAGCAGGTAAAGCACAGGCAGCCTTTAGCACAAAGTGATGGTCCAATTTTTAAAATTTTCACCAGCGCTAAATGGAAATGGTGCATTTGTGGAAGAATATAATTAGCTGTCCATTAAAAGACATTAAGAAATTAGGAGCTCTAAAAATAACAATATTGAATATTATTGCGAAGCATGATTGATGTGCTCCAGAAATATAACGAACTGATGATGGCCAATAACAAGCAATTGAAAGTCACTGGCAAATGCCAGTGGGTCTCTTTGTTTTCACGCAATTGAGCTCTCATCTGCAATGGGAGTATGGATAAATCTAAGTTAAGACTTAATAAGGCCAGTGTCTGAATTTCAAAGAAAGTTAAACACAATTAAGTCAGGTCTGTTATGCCAAGGTCAGGACCTAGATCAGAAAAACCTAAATGAAAATATCATGGTGGAGGCCTCTAAAAATTTTATCTGCCCAGACTCTTCTGAGTCTTCTGTGTTTGCAGAAGTGCTTCAGCTTTCCCCAATAAGAGTGGGCACTACATCCCTCCAAGTGGGAAGACAATGCCAGGCATCTCTCTCACAAGGGAACAGATGCATTCCTCCAGACTTTTCCTCTACCTGTAGGCCTGTACCTAAAGGTTAAATCATAGCATAACCAAACTGGAAACATGCTGGGTCTAATATGGCAGGAAAGAGTCTATATGCCTAAGGAGCTGCACAACCTGGCTTGCAAGTGCTTATGGAACAGGATCCTCAGGATACTTAAACAAAGGTGCTAAGAACATGCAATTTGATAAGAGAGAGTTCATTGATTTTGAAGCATTCTCCTGATATAAAGAATCTGACAGCTGGCAAGGATCCCAAGAGATGGTGCAACATGCATAAACATTTTAAAAATTCTTGGACACAGGATATGAGTTGACATTGAGACTCTGAGACCTGAAACATCATCATGGCCACAAAATTAAAGTGAAGACACATAGGACTCGGGTAATAAATGGAGTCCTAGACAATATCCAGTTTACAGTGGTCATTTCACCAGTTCATGTATGTAAAATTGGAATTAGTATCATTGAAAATTAGCATACCCCCCACAGTGGAATCATGGTCTGTGGGAAAAAAACTATCATGTGGAGGTCTAGTGGAAACCTTGAAACATGACCATCCCAAGGCAAAATAGTGAACTCAAAGCAATATAGCATCCTGGCAAGCAGAGAATGGCAAAGATTGGTGCCACCATTAAAGATCTAAAGGAGGCAGAGGCAGAGGTCCCCATCATGTCTCCATTTGATTCTCTAGTGTGGATGCTGCAGAAACCAGATGCAATCTCAATGACGATTACAGACTACTGCAAGCGCAATCAAATAGTATCTCCAATCACAGTGACAATGCCAGCTGTGGTATCTTTATTACAGAAAAGAGAGTTTTCTTGTTTGTTTCTTGCTGGACACAGGAGCTCAAAATGCCCAGGTAGTAGCTATAGGTTATAATTAAATGGGACTCTTTTTAACAAGCATGTTCACATACCCTGTGAAAGAGGCAGAGAAGATTTTATTATTTCACCCATTTGTAAACTAAGACAAGATGCTAAAATGTAAGTCTTCTAATTACACATTCATACTTTTCCCCTTAGTTCCTGAAGCACACAAATTAAACACAATAGGTATTATACCTGCTTACAAAGGCACATAAACACAAAACAGACCAATAAATATTTTTAATATCATGCTAAATACTCACAATTTTATGCAAATCATAGCAGTATTTTAGTTGAAACTTTATTTTTTGACAATATTTAATAATTTTGCTTAAAATAATGTTGTTAGACTAATATTTGGTAATGAGATGCATTTTGAAGTTTTTCATTTTGAAGATTTTGAAGTTTTTCATTTAATTAGTCCTTCAGGCTATAGTAACAAGTTATTTGCAAACTTGCAAGTAAATCATTTCTGCCAACAATTAATGGAGAGTAAATAAATACAATCCATTTTTCTGTATTTACACATTATATTTTTTCATTAAACATGAAAGTATTAGTTGCTTAGATTTTTTAGTGCTAAAAAATGTTAACATTAGACTCTACAGTTTATACTACTTTGAATTTAAAATTTCTCCTGTTAAAGACCAATAGAGAGAATATAGTCTAAACATAGACCCAAGACAAAAGGGGCATTTAGTATACCCCATCTTTTATTGACAATGACATTTCAAATTACTGGAGGAAAAGATAGATTATTTGGCATATGGTGTCAAGGCAAATAGCCACTTAGAAAAAGGTAAAGCTGGATAATGCTCCTTAGAGAATAACAAGATAAACCAAAAATGTAAATGTGAAACGTGTCTATTTTTATAATCGAAGGTTTAATTACTTTATGTATTTAGAAAATATTAACTTCATTCTGTGACATTGTCCTAAGTGCTAATACTGACATAATGAGCAAAAGAAATTTGAGTTTACCAATTTAACATCTAGTAGGAAAGGGAGCAATTAAAAATAACTACACAGGTATTTGTGCAATGATAGATAAACCAATGAATGAGAATACCAACTACAGAAAAAAGACACAAGAAAATAAATAACAAACCTTGTATCAGAACTAAGTGAAATAAAAACCAAAATAAAAATAAAAATCATCAACAAAACAAGAAGTTGGTTGTTTGAAAAGATAAACAAAATTGATAATCACTAGCTAAAATAACAAGACCCAAGTAAACAAAATAAAAAATAAAAATGGAGACATTATAACTTATACCACAGAAATACAAAATATCATCAGAGATCTTATGAATAACTATACACTAACACATGAGAAACCTACAGGAAATAGATAAGTTCCTGGAAACATGCAACCTCTCATGACTGAACCAGGAAGAAATGGAAAACCTGAACAGACCAACAATGAGTGGCAAGACTGAATCAGTAATAAAAAATCTCCAAACACACACACACACAAAAGCCCAGGACCAGGTGGATTCACAGCTAAATTCTACAAAACATACAAAAAAGAATTGGCACCAATCCTCCTTAAACGCTTTCAAAAAATGGAGGAGAGAATCCTTCCTAACTTTTCCTTAAAGCCAGTATCAGCCTAACACCAAATGATTACCCTAATACCAAGCAAGGACAAAACAAGAAAAGAAAACTACAGACAAATATCCCTGATGAACATATATGCAAAAATCCTCAAAAAAAATAGCAAAACAAATCCAACAGTACATAAAAAGATAATATAACAAAATCAAGTGGGTTTTATCCCAAGGATGCAAGGATGGTTCAACCTACATAAATCAATAAATGTGATTCACCATTTAAACAGAATTAAAAACAAAAACCATATGATCATCTCAATAGAGGCAGAAACCACATGATCATCTCAATAGATATGGAAAAAGCATTTGATAAAATTCAGCATCCCTTCATGAAACCCTCAACAAAGTATGTATAGAAGCAACATACTTCAAAACAATAAAAGTCATATACAACAAACCCCCAGCCAACATCATACTTTACAGGGGAAAGCTGAAAGCATTCCCTCTAAGATCTGGAACAACAGAAGGATGCCTACTTTCCACACTCATTCAACATAGTCCTGGAAGTCCTAGCAAGAGCAATCAGGCAAGAGAAAAAAAAATAAATGGTATCCAAATTGGAAGGGAAGTCAAATTGTCCCTCATTGCTGATTATATGATCTAATACCTAGAACACCCTAAAGATTTATCCAAAAATCTCCTAGAGTTGATAAATAAATTCAGCACAGTTTCAGGATACAATATTAATGTACAAAAGTCAGTAGCATTGTTATACACCAATAACGATCAAGCTGAGAACTAAATCAAGAAGTCAATCTCATTTACGATAGCTATAAAAAATACCTAGGAATAAACTTAACCAAAGAAGTGAACAATCTCTACAAGAAAAAACAAACAAACGAACAAAAACCACTGATGAAAGAAATTATAGGGAACACATACAAATGGAAAAACAACCTATGCTCATGGATTGGAATAATTAATGTTATTAAAATGACCATACCTCCCAAAGGAATCTACAGATTCAATGCAATTTCTGTCAAAATGCCAATGACATTTTTTCACAGAATTAGAAATTACAATTCAACTATTCACATGGAACCAAAAAAAGAGGGTAAATAGCTAAAGCAATCCTATGAAAAAGAACAAATCTGAAGGCATCACATTACCTGATTTCAAATTATACTTCAAAGCTATAGTAACCAAAATATCATGGTACTGGTATAAAAATAGACACATAGATGCATGGAACAGAATAGAGAACCCAGAAATAAAGGCACATACTTATTGACTACATGGATCTGATATTTGATAAAGTCAACAAAAACATACACTGGGGAAAGACCTATTCAATAAATGGTGCTGGGAAAATTGGATTGCCATATGCAGAAAAATGAAACTGAATTCCTATCTCTCACCTTATACAAAATTAACTCAAGATAGATTAAATATTTAAATGTAAAACCTGAAATTATGAAAATATTAGAAGAAAACCTATACAAACTGATATGATTAGGCTTTGTAACCGCACCCAAATCTCATCTTGGATTGTAATCCCCATAATCCCATAATCCCTACACGTGTCAAGGGAGAGACCAGGTAGAGGTAATTGAATCATAGGGGTGGTTTCCCCCATGATGTTCTCATGATAGTGAGTGAGTTCTCAGGATATCTGATGGTTTTATAAGGGATTTTTCCTCCTTTGCTCAGCACTTCTTCCTACCGCCCTGTGAAGAAGGTACCTTGCTTCCCTTTCACCTTCTGTCATAATTATAAGTTTCCTGAAATCTCCTCACTCATGCTGAACTGTGAATCAATTAAACCTCCTCCTTTATAAATTACCCAATGTCAGGCAGTTCTTTGTAGCAGTATGAAGACAGAGTAATACACAAACTATTCTAGATATTGACCTAGGAAAATGATTCATGACTAAGACTTCAAAAGCAAATGCAATAAAAAATAGACAAATGGGACTTAATTAAACTAAAAAGATTCTGCACAGCAAAATAAATAATCAACAGAGTGAATAGACAACTCACAGAATGAGAGAAAATATTTGCAAACTATGCATCCTTCAAAGGACTAATATCCAGAACCTGCAAGAAACTCAAGTAACCCAACAACAACAAAAAACAAAAGAAACAACCCTATTTAAAAGTAGGCAAAGGGCAGAAACAGATATTTCTTAAAATAATACCTACAAATGGCCAAAAAACATATAAAAAATGCTCAACGTCACTAATTCAGAGAAATGAAAATTAAAACGGCAATGTGCTATCACCATTTTAATTACACCACTTAAAGTGTCTATTTTAAAAAGTCAAAAATAAGAGTTGTTGGTGAAGATATGGAGAAAAGGGAATGCTCTTATGCTGTGGATGGGAATTTAAATTTGTACATCTATGAAAAACAGAATGGAGATTTCTCAAAGAACTAAACATAGAATTAACATTCAACCCAGCAATCTAACTACTGGGTATCTACACAAAGGAAAAGAAATAATTAAGAAATCGTTACATCAAAAAGATGGCTGCATTTGTGTGTTTATAGCAGCACTATTCACAATAGCAAAACTATGGAACCTGACTCCATTAAGGGATGACTGGATACATATCACAAAACGTGAATGAATAGATATACCAGGGTATGTATACCTAACACATACCTAAAAAACACTTGTAGATATTGACTTTTTTTTTTTTTACACAGTGTGTATATACCTACAAAACAGTCAGTATCTAGAAGAGTTATGTTAGGTATATATGTATACACATATATCATATATTATTTATATTTATATATTATAAAATATATATTTATGACATATATTTGATATATTATATGCATATATTATATTTGATATATTATATGCATGTATTATATATTATATGCATACATAGTATATATGTATTATTATATATAATTATATATAAATATATTATGTATTATATACATATATATCTTAGATGTGTATATAATATATAATATACACATATATATCTTAGATGTGTATATAATATATAATATACACATATAAATATATACATATTTACATATTACATATACAAATTATATAGTATATATTATATATATAATAGTATATATTACATATTAAATATATATGAGATATAATATAAAATATATTATATATACACATGTAAATATATACACATGTAATATTTATTTATGTGTATATATAATGTATATTTAACATATACACATAAATATATATCTTTATGTCCACATATTATATATATATTTTATATACTATGCTTAATATATAAAATACATATTATAGGTGTATATATATTTTATGTTATGTAGTATTCCATGGTGTATATATATTTTAGACATATATATCATATGATATGATATGGAGCACTTCTTCCTACCACCCTGTGAAGAAGGTGCCCTGCTTCCCTTTCACCTTCTGCCATAATTGTAAGTTTCCTGAGGCCTCCCCACCCATGCTGAACTGTGAATCAATTGAACCTCATATATCATATGATGTGATATATCATATGATATGATATATATGTCTAAAATATATATACATCATGGAATACTATTCATTTGTAGAAAATAATAAAATCATGTATTTTGCAGCAACATGGATGGAACTGGAGGCCGTTATCTTATGTGAAACTATTCAGAAACAGAACGTCAAATACCACAGGTTTTCACTTGTAAGTGGGAGTTAAATAGTGTGTACACATGGAGATAGAGAGTGGAATATTAGACACTGGAGACTTGGAAGGGTAAGAGAGTGGGGTGGTGAGGAATGAGAAATTACTTAATGGGTACAATGTACACTCTTCAGGTGTTGTTTACATTAAAAGCTCAGACTTCACCACTACACAACATAGCCATGTAACAAAACTGTGCTTATAGCCACTAAATTTTTACAAATAAAATACATTAATTAATAAAACAATAATTAAAATTAGTAACTTTGGCTGGGCAAAAGACACAGTTCAGAGAATGAGAAGACAAGCCACAGACTAAAAGAAAATATTTGTAAATCCTGTTTCTTACAAATAACTTGTATTCTGAATAAAGGACTCTCAAAACTGAAAAATAAAAAATAAAAAAGCCCAAGTTTAAAAATAGGCAAATTTTGTCAATAGAAACTTTACCCAAATAGATAGCAAACAATATATGAAAAGATTCTCAAAATATATAGGACAAGATACTCAATAGTATTAGTCATCAGAGAAAATTAAGTTAAAACATCATTGAGATACCACTGACACCACTTACAATGACTAAAAAACAAAATGACAATACCTAGGCAAAGGTACTGGAACTCTCATGCATTACTGGTAGAAATGTAAATTGGTACAACCTTCTGAAAAAACATTTGGCAGTTTCTTATAAAGTTAAATACACTCACCAGGTGATCCAGCTAACACACACCTAGGTATTTGCCCAAAATAAATGAAAACTTACATTCACACAAAATGTGCACACAAAGGTTTATATTATAGCAGCTCTATTACCACTAGCAAAGCTTGGAAACAATACCCATGTCCTTCCACTGGTAAATGCATGACCAAATTATGATACAAAGGAGTAGTTCTTATCCACTGAAAATTCAAACAAACAAAAAAAATGTTGATTTACAAAACAACATGAATGAACCTCAAATGCATTTTGATAAGTAAAAGAAGCTAAACCAAAAATGCTACATATTGTATGATTCCATTTATATGTCAAATCAGTAAGAAAAAGATAAACATAACATTTATTTTATTTTTTTTCCTTAGAAAGAAACATTTACTGGGGACTTAGGAATAGAAGCCATGTCTGTGTCTTGATCAGCAGCAAGACAAGATGGTGGATCTTCACACCATTACCCCCTCAGACCACAGATATAGACTGTACAGGAGGGGTACAGGGGCTTCAGAGGGAATGGGTATGAATTTGCACTAAGGGCAGGATTTATGGTAAGTATGTGCTCTTACACAAGGAATAATAGATAATCTGGAAATCTTAGAGGTATTCCCAGAGCTAGGGTTAATCCAAAGACAATCTGTTGGGTTAGCATCCAAGTTGGAGTCCCTTTGGCTTCTACGCTCCACCTCCACCCACACTCCAATTTGGTTCTTTCAATCTCACATGCCCTCCTCTTCTGTGATGGTCCCTGAGCCTTTAGGAAGGGTGCTTGATATGGTAGAGGTTAAGCAGCAGTGCACTGGCAATGGAAAACCAATCAGGCCAGTGAAATTCCAAATGCAGTAGATTTACAGGCTGTTGAATCATCTCTAGTCTTCACAATATCATGACTTTGGTTTTCACAGAAGTAAAACAATGAGAGTCACATAACATGAACAATTTGAATAGCAGAAAAATAATGTACACAAGGATTACAATCAAAAGAAAATTTGTATGCCAGAACAACAACAACAAAGAACCTATTCCATTAAGGAACCAACTGAAATTATCATGAAGAAAATTAAAACCTGTTTCTTTTTTAGAGACTACCTGTAGCCAAGCAATAATTCAGGGTTAGCCCAAATTGTGGGCAAATAATCAAAACTCAAAACAATGGGCAGAGCTAGATTCTAAATTTTTCTCCCTTCAGGTTCCCCATTTCTACCAAGAATAAATCATAGTAGGACCAATTTATTTGCAAAATAAATTTTAGTATCATTATAATTTGCATCAGGTATAGCAAGAATAGTAGTCAGCCATATAGGCTCCTTTTAAGGTGGCTTTATTAGAACTTTTAGAAGGAATTTGAGATTTGACTTTTAAAAGTCTTGAGGCCAGAAGCCAACCCAAGTATCCACCATTAGACTGTGCTTATAACACCCGTACAAATTCCCCTCTTCTCAATGTCCCCAAATATCTTGAAGCTCCAGGGCCTGTTAGAAAGTGATAATCTTTACTTAACATACACGTCAGAAATCTTGAAGGGAACCATTGAGACAATGTAACAGGCCAGTCTTTCCAAGGGGCTTTTTATCAGCTGTATAAAGTCAACCTCAATTTCTCCACAAAATCTGGTCATATCTGAAAATATGTCATTTCAGTGAAAGCCTTGGTAAAATAACCAATGTCTCCACTTGTGTCCCGTAACAAAGGAAAACATATTCTGGCTGAGCTTATGCAAATAAATGTATTGATATAAAATAAGAAGACTCACAAATAGTTTCCAAATTTTGGAACTTAGGTAAAGAGAATAGTAAATTTTGCTCACAAAAATATACTTTACTTAATTTTTGTAAGATATAAATAGCTCAAAATAAAAAGTTTTTCTTGACTCATCTTCAATCAGAATTGCAGTCTTCCAAACAGAATGTAGTTTGTTCACCTTGGAACTGCCATTTACAAGCCACTCAATTCTTTGCCAGTCAGGCGAGAGCTATTTATTGGGCACTATAGAATCCGGCAGCTCTTCACACAGTTCCAGAAACAGTCCTAGGGAAAAAAGAGGCTTCCTGCCATAAGTATCTCCTCCTTGCATTCCCCAGGAGGCCAAATCCATTATAAACTGTTTCCATTTTAACATGGGACTCTTTTGGGCACCCCATTTCCATTAGGGTAGCTTCAGTTAACATCACATAGCAAGGCAGTAAATACCTCTGAAGTAGAAATTCTCTTGTCCAAAGTCTCAGTATTTGTCATTGTGAGGTGCTCACAGGCTTTTGACCTAAGCCCCTGTAAATGGTCCATAAAGGTCTACCAAGTGGAGAATTCGTCCTTACCAGCACTCCGTCTTCCACTCTACACTATGTGGGCCAGGCAATCTTACTAGTTCCCATTTAGCATGTCCACTTAACATTGTAATATTGCTCAAAGGGTGGATTTACATGTCTTCTGTTTTATAGTACTGTTATAGGAGTTATTAATAAATTATTTTAGGCAGATAGGAAAAGGGGTTTTTGTAATTTTTTTTTTCTTTTAAAGCAGCTCTAGAAATGTTTCTTGTCTAGCAGAAAAGCCCTGACTCTTAAAGCCCCGCTGGCAAGCTTTAATATGCAAATGCTGGCCATTAGAGACTGGGTCCACCCAAACATAGCGATTCCCCTCATCTTCTTCTTGTCCCCACATGTGCGCCTGGCAACATGGCCGCCACCACATATCCCCACATGTGTAGAACATCATGGCGTCCTGCACTTGCATATTCAAAGCCTAGGGTTGTAGCAGAACAAGCCGCAGACAAAACCCCTCAGACACTGAGTTAAAGAAGGAAGGACTTTATTCGGCCGGGAGCTTTGGCAAGACTCACGTCTCCAACAACAGAGCTCCCTGAGTGAGCAATTCCTGTCCCTTTTAAGGGGCTTACAACTCTTAAGGGGGTCCACGTGAGGGGGTCGTGATTGATTGAGCAAGCAGAGGGTATAGGACTGGGGGCTGCATGCACCGGTAATCAGAACGGAACAGAACAGGACAGGGATTTTCACAATGCTTTCCATACAATGTCTGGAATCTATAAATAACATAACCAGTTAGGTCAGGGGTCGATCTTTAACCAGGCCCAGGGTGCCGCACCAGGCTGTCTGCCTGTGGATTTCATTTCTGCCTTTTAGTTTTTACTTCTTTCTTTGGAGGCAGAAATTGGGCATAAGACAATATGAGGGGTGGTCTCCTCCCTTAAGGTGGGGAGGCCAGTTTTTCTGCGGGCTACTTGAATGACATACCTGGTCAAATCAATCCCCTGGGCCCTGTGCAAATCAGACACCACCTCCTCCAGTCTCCTCAGATAACTGGCTGTTTTCTGCCACACTGGGGATTCCCTCTTTCAGCTTGGAGCCCCGCTTCCTCTGTCTCTGTACAGGGTGAGCCTCTTCCTTCTTTCTTGCCTATTAAATTCTCCACTCCTTAAAATCACTCCACATGTGTCTTGTGTTGTTTTATTCAAACCAGCAGGAGACCAAGGACCCTGGTGTTCCTCCAGTCATCAGAGCCAAATGAGTACTAGGTAGGAGAAATACCCTCAAGTCAGATACAATATTCATTTTCATAAAACATTTAGGTAAAGGCGTACAAACTATGTTACATAAAGCGTCATAACAATTGTTAAAAAGAAAACTAAGTAAAGGACATACATGTATGAAGGAATGTCAGTGCCCATAAATATATGAAAAATTAGGCAACCCTATTAACTATCAGAAAATACAAACCGAAAAAAGTGGTAATTTGTGTTTATCAGTTTGGAAAGGTATTTTCAAAGACTTAAAATATCCAATGTTGATTACAAAACAGGGAGAAATGGACAGTCTGTGCTGCTAATGACAGTGTGCCACTTTTCCGGAGGACAGCATAGCAATATGCAGCAACATCTTAAACTGCAAACCTACAGACCTAAAAATGACACTGCCCCAGGGAAAAAAAAAAGTATCTTAAGGAGATGATCACATAGGTTTGCAAAAATATGAACACATATGTAATCAATGCAGTATTATCCATAATGGTGAAAATTTAACAGAAAACATAAATATGCACCAGTCGGAAACTATTTAAAGATTTTATTGTATTAAATGCATAGCAACAATGGACTACCAGTCATTTCCAGCACTAATACTTCCTAGTTCTGAATTCCAGTAACCTGATTTACATTTGACATTCAATTTTGAAAGCATTTCAGGGCCTAGGAGGTACACATCCCTGCACTAAGTGCTCAGGTTACAAAGATGAATAAGGCACAAACCAAAACCTCAAGGATCTCATGATTTAATGGAGCTAGACTTGTAAATTAACAACTTAAAAAGCCATAAGTGCATATGATAAAGCAATTTATAAGTTTCTAAGGGAATACAAAGGAGGAACACTTAATTCAGACTCTAATTAAAAGTCATACTTGCCAGAGAGTTGATACATTTCCTATTTTCCACTAATAATACATAACACAGTAGCAAGTTTATGTGCCAGCATTTGAGCATGGGTCTGCCTGAGGGTAGATCCTTCAGATTTTTCTGTTGCTTCTTCTGTGGTTGAGATCAGGGCTATCCACAGAGAAGCTTAAATTCTTGGGGCTATAATAAAGAGTGAAGTCTTTGACCAGCATGACATACTGGCACAGAGCCTTTGAAAAGTACATTGAATATAGATTCTCAATAGATGCTTGTTGGTTCGGTTAATTTCTAAAATCTTTCAAAAGAGGTTTGCCGTAAGATATGCCAAAGCAAAGTGCCAAGCCTTTCTCCAGTATTGGCAAAAATAAACTTCCCTTGATGGGTATATATCAGCTACAGCTATAGAACAATAAAAATTGAGATGAAAAATTTTAAGCCTAATTACCTCTTTGTTATTATAAATATTGGGCCACACAGGTAACTAGTTTGCTCTCTGGAAAATCTGAACCCCCAAAGACTGTCCAGAGAAAGTTTTGGTATGAGTCATACTAATTTATCACTGGCTGCCATAACTAATAAGAACTTTAAATTTGTATCTCACTCTCTCTAGAAAAAAATAAAAAATAAAAAAATGAAAATAAAAAGTAATAATGAAACTACTTATAGCAGTAAGTTTAAGGATAAATCACTAATTAGGCTTTTAGGAAGGAGGGAAGGGAAGAAGCAATTAATGTATTTTTTCTTCTGTAGAACAATGCCTAGGTAATCGCCCACTGTGTGCATGAATTACAGCTGAGCTGCAAAAATGCTGTATAATTTTAACATTCAACTGGCTTTTCTTAATCAATCTCATTGATGTTCTTTCCAAGGATAAAGAATGGAAGCTTGACTTCTTTAACTTAAAGAAAATATAAGATCTCATTCTGAGTTTCTCTGTTTCTTTGTTATGATGCTTTAATGCCACCAGTATAATTGATTCTCTCTTTCTCCTCAAGTCGAAGGCTCATTTTTGATTCTAGAATGATAGCATCTGCTTCTCTGAAGCTGTGATGAATGAGGTATATGTACTTCTCTAACTCTTCACTTTTATGTCCAAAAGATGTGCTGCAAGAAGAGAATTGCTGGTTGTCAGAATTAGAGGCGCATCTTTCTACACTGGTGAAATATTTCCTGACCATTTCTGGCACAAATAGAGAACAAGCAAAACAGTCATCATAAAACCCCGAGGGAGTAGACAAAAATCCCTTGCAGGCTTGCCTAGAAAAATCTATATCAGAATCTAAGAAACGCATCAATTGCAATGGTATAGGGATAAGCATTTTTAAGCAATTTCTGTTCAAGTGCCTGTTAGCCACTCCAACTTTCAAAGAATTTTTGAAATTTTGAATTCTCACTAAAGCCAAAAAATGTATTAGGCACATTGCATATATTATTATTAACTGTTACAATACCCTAGAAAATCACTCCATTAATTTCCTTTCCAAATGAGAACAATGGACTCCCACAGTTTAATTAACAGTTAGTTCCAAGATCACCGAGCTTGTAGGTATTAAAACTGAGATTTGAACCCAGGTCCATCTATCTTCAAAGTCCAGGCTCAACCAAATTATCTAATGGACAAAAATGTGGGTGAACCCAAAATATATTCTTTAACACTTGGCTGGGTCTTGAAAACAAAACTATTGTGAACCTCTCTATTCCACCGCCTCTCACACCAATGAAAAAATGCTGTTTCCCTACGCTCATCAATAAAAAAGGCTGGGTACTCAGTTGGTCAGGCCTGTAATCCCAGCAATTTGGGAGGCCAAGGGAGGCGGATTGCTTGAGCTCAGGAGTTCAAGACAAGCCAGGGCAACAAGGTGAAACCCTGTCTCTACAAAAAGTAAAAAATTAGTGGCACTTGCCTATAGCCCCAGCTACTTGGGAGGCTGAGGTGGGAGGATGGCTTGAGCCCAGGAGGCAGAGGTTGCAGTAAGCCAAGATTGTGCCATTGTACTCCAGCCTGGGCAACAGAAGTGGAACCCTGTCTCAAAAAAAAAAAAAAAAAAGACCATAAATAATTATTTTTAGTATTTTTGCTGAACTCTAATGGGATATAAGTCATGTAAATACTGTGACACTCAATTGGACCTGGTATTAAAATATTTTTTAATAGACTTGGCACATTGTTAAGGTTATTTTTACCTATTTGCTAATATAATTTAGATTCACTGCTAGCAAGAAAATTATAAGATGACCAGTGGTAAAAATGCATGCTTCCTTATTATTCAAGATAGTGGCTTTCACATCTGACTCTCCCCTAAGACAGTACTTTATACTTCCAATACTTTGCATTGATGTTGCATGTTATCAAAAACTAGTTTTCTTTATCTTTCTGTCTCTCCTTGAGTTTGTCCATTTTTTTTTTACTTTATCTCATTATTGGCCTACCAAGTACCAAGAAACTTTCGTATTATCTCATTTCATCTCCACTGAGAAAGAACTGTTATGTCTATTTCTACTGCATGTTTAAGATCACATAGACAATACAAGAAGAGTCTAAGATTTAACTCCAAATGTTTCTGATGTAAAAGCCAGTGAATTTTCAATAGTACTATGATGAATCTTTATTATCCTTCCTTGGTCTCATTCCCTTTATTTCTTTGTATAACCCTGTTTAATTGAATATTACTGCATTGCTCCTCTGGCCAAAGAAATAACTTTACCTGTATTTCTTCCATTTCTATTTCTTTTCACCTCTGTATTCTACCTGCAGTAAACAACCCACCAGGACCAACTCCCCATGTCTAGAGGTATAGTATTCATTCACTTTTATTCGTTGATTCAATCAATCATTTTTCCCTTCATTTAACAATTCAACAAATATTTATGGAACATCTATTATGCGCCAGGCCCCTTGATGAAAATCACAAATATAAAGAATAATGTAATGTATCCCTTCTATCAAATACCTCATGGTCAACCAAGCTAAACATGCTATGATGAAAAATGTAACCAGCTCTAAATATACGAAGCTAAGGAAACATAAAGGCAGGGAATTCCATCTTATTGATACAGGGAAGTTTATCTACATTTTTTTTCCAAAAGTGAAAACCATAATTGTATATATTATTTGAATTCTGGAGTAAGTTTTAAAAATCTAACTTATGCACATTTTCTTGTGAGAGTACATATTCTTTAAACTATTATTTTAATAGCTATGTAATAATTAATATGTAAGCTTATGGTTTATTTTTAAAATTCTGTTATTGTTGATTGTATTGTTTCCATTTTTTATTAAACTAGTAATGTTGCAATAATTTATCCACCCTTTTTATTATATTTGTAAGATAGATACCTAGAAGTGGTATTGAAGAAGAAATTTAGGTACCTTTGATACATTTTGCTAAAGTGCTTCTCAAAGCATTTCAAGCACACATGCCCAGTAGAAGTCTACAGAGTGGCCACCTCACAGTACTCACCGTAGTATTAATATAAAAATTTTAAAAAGTCTATTTAATACATAAAAAAGAATACTTTATTGTTACATGTACTTGCATTAATTTAATTACTAGCAAAGTTAAAAATATTCCCATATAGCTATTGGTTATTTGAATTTCTTTAGCTTACTTTTTGTTCAGTGAATCACTAGTGTTTCTTATACTGATTTATCAAAAATATCTTAATGAAATGTTAATTTTGTTAGGATTATTTTATTATTTGGCATTTTATATTACATATTATAGAGTAGTTTTTCATTAAATCAAATATTCGCACAATACTGGTTAAAAGACTACTGGCTCCAGGTGATAGACTGAGCACACAATGTTTTTCTCCCTCTCTTGTGAGTTCCCATTAAAATGATGATACAGAAGTAAAAGGGGGAATAAAATCAGAACAAAAAGAACACAAGGGGAGCATTAGCAGAGTAGAGACTTCAGCAGATTTTTGGATATCAAAAATAGATGGAGGCATATTGATAATTGAAACAAACTAGAGGAAACCACAGCCTAGAAAAGCAAGAGAGAAGTTAAGCAGAAGACAATCTCGTCTGCCCAGGAGACCTTCAGGAAGGATCCTGAGGAAGAGGTGAATGATGGAAATGAAGGAGAAGGCTAAGTCTGTTCATGGAAGACCCCTGATAGCCACCCCTAGTCCCTGCTCCATGCCTGTCTACAGTAAAAGACAGTCTGGTGCTGATGTACAGGCAAACAAACAAACAAAAACAGAAATAAACCTATTTAAAGAAATTCAGTGTGTTAATTGAGGGAGCTAGAGAAGCCTAGCTCTGGGTGGAGGAGTGAGCCTAGAGAGGGGGTCTTATAAGCCAGAGTAAAGTGCACATCACTGGTTGGGGATGTGGGGTCAACACCAAAGTAGCCAGCCCCCAACTGCATGCCCTAAAGTCAGCCCCAATAGACTGAGCAAGCACAGGGTGAGTTGTTTTTTGTCTGTTTTTTTTTTTTTTTGACATTCAAAAATTTCTATTTTTATATAGTGCAACCTACTAATAATCTTTGTGTTGGAGTTCATTCCATTGGCTTTTATTGTTAAAAAAATCAATCCTATCCATGTAATCAATTTAAATATTGCTTATCTTTTCAAAGATATTTTCAGTTTTAAACATTTTAAACCCTTTAATTCCTTGAGAACATATTTTCTAAAATGTCCTACAATCTACCCTAATACTTCAAACATCAACCTTCTGAACATTATTTTTGGTGCTTTAAATACTTACGTAAGTTTTTATATAAACAATTGATTTTTTTTCAGTTATTTATTATTTTCCATTGAGTTGTCTCTTGGTTAATGTGTCAATTTCACTCTGGTTGAACTTTAGAATAACTCAATATTTGAAAAGGCAGATTCCCCCATTATTTTACTTTTTCAAAATTATCCTATATTTTCCATAAATTAATATCATTTCACTAAAGTCTCCAAACTTCTAATATTTCAATTGATACTGTCTTAAAACTATAAGTAAAGTTAAAAATAGATATTTAGTCTTTCTATCCAGGAAGATGATATATTTCTTCATTAATTTGTATATTTTTATTCTTTTCATAAAATGTTGCCATTTTCTTCACATGACAACAACATATTCTTCTTCATGGTTATCTCTAGGTATTTTTGTTTCTGTTGTTACTATGAAGTGTTATTTCTCTTCAATAATTATTTGTCTCTGTTATTAAATTTGTATTTTTATCAAAATTTAATACACATACAGATAATAAATCATCAAATAGCTCTACAAAGCTTTTACAACCAAGAGAAGTCCATTACCATCAACACCCCATCTACCTTTCCTGATTTCCAGGAGCAAAACCACCTTCAACACTTTGAGCTGATCCTTTCGGTATTTACTCCCACATTTCTAAGTAATCTGCTTATATAACTATTTATTGACTTTCATTTTTAAGGATTATCTATTGATTTTTCTCCCGTAGAAAGTACAAACCAAGATTTACTTTGCAGTCTCCCCACTCATCCTTCCAATATCTTATTTTTTATTTAATCAATAATCAATATTTACATTATTTTTATGTAAATATTATTGACAGCAGAGGAGTAGTTTAACTTTCCTTATGAACTTTTTATTTTCCCTGACATTGTAATTATCTTGTTTTTATGTACTTGTTTGGGTGGAATTTTGGGAGGGAAAGGAGGCAGGGCATAGCTTTCTATGTACTACTCTCTAATTCATCTTCATATTCTTTCCCAGTGGTGCAAAATCCTCTCAAGACATTAAAAAATACTAAGTGTTCTATCACATTCATCTTGTAGGAGTTTTCCATGGAGATGTGTACACTTTAGGCCTACTTGAAGTGGGGTCTCCCTCAATTCAGTTATTCCCTTGAGCTTTCTCTAATGTTGGCAATCTTTCTCTTGTGTTGGATCCATGGTTTACAAGATTCCATTTCTTCCCTTTCATGCTTCACTACTGTATTTTGGCAGAGCATATCTTTCAGTAGCTCCCTTAAAAATAGTGCATGGGAGGCAATTTTTTGTGTGTATACCTTGCATGTCTACAAATGCCTTTATTCTGCCCTCACATTTCATTGATAATGTCCCTGAGTATAGAATTTTAAGATGAAAATTATTTTCACTCAAAAGTGTAAAGGCAGCTCCACAACAGCTTCCAGTTTCCAGTGTCTTTGTTGAGAAACACTTTGCCATTCAGACTGTTGGTCCTTTACATGTACCTGCTTTATTCCCTCTGGAAGGTTTTAGGATGTTCTTTTTCTCTAATGTGTTCTGAAATTTCTCAGCATGGGTGGTGTGGGTTGACTTTCATCCATTTGGCTGGGCACTCAGTGGGCCCTCCAAATCAGGAAACCTGAGTCCCTCATGAACCTTTTCATTCTGGAATTACTTCATATTTTGTCCCTTTATACATTTTCTCTTTCGTCTTTTTCTGGAACTCTTCTCTGCCATTGTACTTCTTAGACAATTCCTTTAACATTCTCTTTTTTCTCTTCTATTTTTCATCTCTCTGACATTTGTCAATACTTCTTTTAAATTCTGCTTTACTGAAATTGTAGTTTTCATTTCCTAAACCTCTATTTTGTCCTTTACATATCTTATTTTTCTCCTGTTTTTAATTTTTTTTAATATCTCTTGGAATTGTCTGTTTTTTCCAGGTTTCATTAATGTCTATTGTGTTGGCCTTGATCTTTCATGTTTTCTCATAATTCAGAAAGAAGAACTAAAAAGTTAATTAGAAACACTGTGTAAAGTAGCAGAACCTGTTGCACAGTAGAATGATCTCACTGAACCATATACTTTGGTTGCCTCCTGCCCCCCCACACACAAATACAGTGTTATAGTATTTAGTCATTTATCCTGGACTGGTCACATTAACCAGAAAAGGTGTTTAAGATCTCCTGACTAAAGGGCACAAATGGATTCTTAGCCTTCCAAGAGCCACTAAAAAAGAAGGCTGAGGATCTCAGTAGTCAGTGAATAAACATGTATTTATTTCCTTCTTTTAGTACTAGCACTCTTAACTGAGCCTGGAGGTTCCTGCTGTTATCTTCCCCCTAGTATCCTCCGATTTTCTGCTACCACCATAGGAAAGGGCAGTCACTCACATGGGTGAAGTTGGGGACAGAATCTAGGAGTCTACGTAGGCTTTTTCTTTTTTTTTTTTTTGAGATGGAGTCCCACTCTGTCACCCGGGCTGGAGTGCCGTGGTGCAACCTCCTGTACTTACCGCAACCTCCACCTCCTGGGTTCAAGTGATTCTCCTGCCTCAGCCTCCTGAGTAGCTGGGATTACAGGCATGCGCCACCACGCCCAGCTAATTTTTGTACTTTTTAGTAAAGATGGGCTTCACCATGTTGGCCAGGCTGGTCTCGAACTCCTGACCTCAAGTGAGGGTGGCTGCCTCGGCCTCCCAAAGTTCTGGGATTACAGGTGTGAGCCACCATTGACAGCCCTGCCAGGCTGTCAATCACTCGCTCTCTTTTAAGCTCCGTAATCACCCACTACTTGACCATCCTCATGTACCTACTGCCACTCGTTCCTGAGCCTTTGATAAGCCCACAGTATACATTAGCTTGCTTATGTTTTCCCCACTGGCAGCTTAGAATCACATTTCTCAGGTTTGGTAATAAGTGAGGTACCAGTCTCTTATCTGCTTATCTATTTCCAAAATATCTCCCATGGTCTTTTACCTTGTGAGCGTGTATTAGGCCATTCTTTCACTCCTATAATGAAATACCTGAGAGTGTGTAATTGATAAAGAAAAATGGTTTCATTGGCTCACAGTTCTGCAGGCTGTACAGAAACATGATGCTGTCATCGGCTCAGCTTCTGGGGAGGCCTTGGGAAACTGACAATCATGGAGAAGGCAAAGGGGGAGCAGACACCTCACACAGCTGGAGAGAAAGAGAGTGCTGGGGGTGGTAACAGGCACTTTTAAAAAACAGATCTGATGAGAACTCCCTCACTATCATGAGACCAGCACTAAGAGGATTGTACTAAACCATTCGTGAGCAACACCTCCATGACCCAGTCACCTCCCACCAGGTCCTACTTTTGACATTGGGGATTACAAGTCAACATGAGATTTGGGTGGGGACACATATCTAAACCATATCAGGGCATATGCCATTAGCTGGTATCCTCATTACATTTTTTAAACTCCAGTTTCATGAGGGACCATTACTAAAATGTATAGTTATTTGTCCTCTGTAATAAAAAATGTCTATTGATTCTACACATTAATTTAACAAATTAATGTGTAGAATCTACAGATTTATTCTCATTTTCTATATATGTATTACCTGAACTCTTTCACTAATGATGAGTTTATCAACTAGTTTTTTTATATTTCTAGACTTAGAATTTGCAAAAAAAATTTTGACATATATTTACTTCATATGTTTATATTTTACATATACAATGTATATGTGTAAATATACAAGTAAATATATATTCATTTATAAAATACATATTTATGTATTATATATATAAAATTCTTCATGTATTATTGCATTTACAAGAAATTCCAGCAAAATGTTGCATAACAATGATTTTAGTGGTCATCATTTTTTCATTGTAGTTTCTAATGTTTTACCATTAAGCATTTGCTTTTCCATTAGTTGTGGTAACACTGTATTTTTTTATTACCTTAAGATAATACAATTCATTGCATCTTAGGAAAGTATCAATGCTATATATTTATCGAAGAGAATAAGCAAGTTTCATATGTTACATTAAATACATATGCATTTTTAAATGATTTACAACTAATATATATATTTGTTCAGGACATTATGTTCAGAGCTAACCTGCTAAAATAAAAAATCTTCCATCTAAGATTTATAAGAAATATTTATTGAATTTCATTTTGCCAAATGCATGGTTATTCATTAACCATTCATTTCCCAACACTATTGCAATCCTACTGTATGGCCGGCAGTTTGTTAAGCACTGGGCAAGATAAACAAAGTTCTTCTACCCATGACATCAATATCCTAGTCACCTTGAAATAAAGGTGTCTAAATATCCAAATTTGGTAGTCAGGAAAGATCTCTTGAAGTATGTACATTTAAGCAGAGGTTTAGGGCCTAAGTAATACAGCGAATGGTGGTGTCATTTAATACAATGGGGAATACTGGAAAGGTAGAGTTTTGGGGGCTGTGAGGGAAGAATTCCAGTGTTTTATTTGGGTATATTAAGTATGAGATGTCTATTAGGCAACCTGGTGGAAATGGCAAGTAGTCGGTCTGATATAGGAACCTGGAGCTCAGAGGAGATGCCAGAACTATAGATATAATTTTATAATTTTTCAGAATAAATTATATTTAAAAATATGAGCCTGGATGATGTCACCAAGAGAGTGAGTATCATGGGACTGGAGGAGAGGAATTAGGACGGCACCCTGAGAAGCTTCAAGAAGCTAAAGGATAGGAAAGCAACCTGCCAAAGAGTCGGAGAAGAAGCATCCTGTGAAACAGGAGGAAAAACAAGAGTGAAAAATAATGAACGCAATACCAGCAGCATTTTCAGAGGAAGGAGCCATAAGCTCAGTCAGAGGCTTCTGAGATAACTGGTAAGAAGGGCCAGAAAATTGAGCATCAATTTGGCAAGAATATTATTGACCTTGAAAAGTATGTTTTCAAAAGGGTGGTGGGCACACAATCAACCCCTGGTATGTACGTGTATGTGTTTGTCTAGCAAACATTAAGTTGCTGCTTAGGTTCTCACACAGACTAAGTGGAAAGTTGGATTTCACCGGGTTTGGAATTTTCCCAGGCAAGTGCAACAAAAGAGAAAAAGATATAGAGAGAAAGAAAGGTGGCTGTAGGAGTATGTAATGATGCACCGTAAAATATATCATGAGTAAGGAAAGAAGAAAATGGTTAATACTGAGAAAATAACAGGGCCCATGGAAGAAACAACTCCATGATATTTAAGAATTGATCCCATTAGTAGTAATGAAATAAATAGCTGAAAGGATACAATTTTTGATGAGAGAATTAGATGCCTGAGGTCAAGAGCTCAGGGGTCGTTCAGAAACAGTGATGAAAATTCAAGTAGGTAGTCATTGATGAAGACAGATGAGATAGGGTGAAGGAAAATATTGAAAGACAGGCTGTTAAAGACCTGAGAGGACAAGGTTGATGCATCATCCTTGTGGTTGATGAAATACTAATATTTTACTGTTAATCATTTCTTTCCCCACTAGTTGTTGGTAACATACTTTTAAAAAGTATCTTGTTCTATACTATGACCAAGGATGGTCACAGTAGCAGGAATTTTAAAAAGCAAAAAGTAAAAACAGTGAGTCAGATGCCCATTAACAACACATGAGAGCAAGTAATTGGCAATCCCTTTATAGCAACCAGAAAAGATAGCAGACTGTAGAAACTGACATTAATACACACTTGGGTGAGTTACAAAGTCGACAAAATGTACATTTTAGAAGCAGCAATGGGCATCAAAGAAGACCTCTACTCCCAAGTTACAGGGCACTCCTCGAGTGTGTGAAGTAAAGGTTAGAAGGAAGAGAGAAAGAAAATCAGTTTGATGTTGCTCACATGCAGAGTTTGTGGTGAAAAGTGATGAGAGGAAATGGGAAAGGTACCCGAGATAATAGACAACATTTTTATACTAGGGTAATTAACTTAAAATATTTCCTATGGGTAATGAAGAGTCACGGAAGGTATCCAAGTTTGTATAATTATTTTCCTTACAGCTATAAAGCAGTTTTAATGGAAGGGTCAAACACAAAAAGACCACTTCAAAGCAGCATCCTGAGTTGTCAAATGAGACAACTCAGACACCGAGTTATGAGATGAATGCTTACCATTCTTTCATTCTTCACAAACCTCTTGAATGCCTGCTTCATGGAAAAAAATGGTGTTGGGTACTGACACATATGAACAAATCACGAATGGGCTTGTCACAGGATTTTAGCATCAAGCTAGAATAAAAGTGAGGTGAAACATGTTTTAATTGGTTGGCATCTAACAAGAATAATTGAAAATGTGAAGATATTTAATTGTACGTGAACTCAATATGATATATATGCTAGATATATATGACACCTATATATTCAGTATGATTTAACAGTCATCTACTCCATCTATCAGGACAAGGAACTGGGACCCAGAGAAGTTAACATGAATTCTCAGAAATCCCCCAGGTGTTCTTACACCCATAACTGTTAGGCCCATCACGTTTCCATTCAGGTTTGCACAGTTGTAAAGGAAATCACTTCACACAAACTTTCCTCAAACTTAGGTGAATACCCTGGGCAACAGAAGCCTAGGGAATCAGGCAGATGGAGAACATATTAAGAATGTATTGACTTGACAGAGCACAGAAATTCACAGGTGAATTGTCAAGTAGTAATTGTCTGGAATCTGGAACACTGTACGTAGGTCCATGGTCCCTTGGAGAGAACTCAGCAGCCTTTCCACTCGTTAGACAATGACTCTGCATTCTGTGGGTTTTTTTCTTAGCTATTTGCCATGTAGAAAAATTATTCAACACAGAGATGTCTTCAAAGACAGACTGTTGGGAAGCACTTGCAGATGTGGAAAAGCTGAAAACCATTCTTAATTTATTGTTTGCTGAATGTGTCCTGCATGCCAAGTTAATCAGCAAAAGCACTCATTTGCCTCCTTCCATCTAAATCACTATTTCTTCTAGATTTATTAGAATTTTGAAGGCATGCTTAAAGACAGAAAAATACAAAATTTCAAAATTTAAAAAGAATTTCTTGTCAACAGTGCCTTTTTTTTTATATTACAAAACTAAAGAGGGTACATGGTATAACAGAAAGAGGGAACTTTGGCATCAGCCATACCAGTATTTAAATTTAGGTCTCTTACAAAGTTCGGAACAAGTAGCTGAACTTTTAAAGTAAATGAAAGTTTTACTTTTCTCTTAGGTAAAATAGGGAGGAATATCTCTGTCTTGGGCTTATTCCATCAACTAAAAATATTAATATATTCAATGAGATGGTAGAAGCAACAATAATTAGAGAACACTGAACCTCCATATTATACCTGAGTGAAAAAAAACCCACAGTGTATATTGGTTACAAGTAGAAATATCACAGGAAGTGTGCAGTGACCTTTACATGGAAAATAATCAACATTAACCTAAGCAGTAACAGTCATATTGACAACTTGTGCCTCCTAAAATGGCACGCTGAGAAGGACACAATGCCACTTTTGTGATATTCTTACCAAAAATCTACAACCTGAATATAATCATAATGAAATATTAGACAAACTTCAAACAAGGGCAGTCTACCGAATAACTGGCCAAATCCTCTTTACAAGTGTCGAGGATAAGAAAGATAAAGAAAGGCTAGAGACAAAAGATAAAGAAAGGCTAGAGACCCATCTCAGACTAAAGGAGACATAAGGAGACATGACAACTAAATGCAGCATATGATCCTGTATTGATCCTGGCCAGAAAAAGGACCTTAGTGGGACAATTGCCAAAAGAGTAGTAAGATTTGTAGATGAGAATAGCAGTACTGCATCAATGTTAATTTCCTGATTTTCATAATTGTACTGTGGTTATGTAAAACGTTAGCCTTTGGGAAGTCTTGGTGAGGAGTACAAGGGAATTTCTTGCTTGGACTATTTTTGGGATGTATAACGGAAATCAAAAATTGTTTCAAAATAAAAAGTTAAAATTTAAAAACACTTTAAAAACTTGAGTGTTAAAAAAAGTAAAACACCGGGAAAAAATAAAATCACATTTCTTAAGAGCATTCTAACATTCAGACAAGCCTTTCAAATCAGTGCTGTTTTGCCCCTGGGCTCCAATTAAAAATCATTGTGGAGAATTTTAACAAGTTTTAAATTAAATAATTAGATGGTTAGAAAATAAGTAGTCCAGGGCTTTCCAACTCAAATGAAATAATATATACTGAGTATCTACTGCATGCAAATAATAGAGCTACATAATATGGGTGATACAAAATGAAGACGATACAGTTTCTTTTCTCAGTCAGCTTTCAGTCCAGTGAACCAGCGAAGACTTAAAATGATGTGATAAAATAAGCAACTATAAATTAAATTGTGAGCAAATAACCACAGATAAACAAGAATAAAGAAATGTCATTATTCGGTGACACTGACAAATGCATCATTCTGATTTACTGGATAGATTCTAAAGAAGGGGAAACTCCCTGTGGCAGATTGCAGCTCCATCTACCTGGCAACTCCAGCCCACAGCCTTGGGTCACGGGAGTGTTGTGAGAAGCAGCACAGTATAGCACCACAAGAGTTGGAAGAGCATAAAAAATAAAAGTGTAGATTCAGATGCCTAAGTTCAGATCATGACTCTGTCGTTTATCAGCTATGTGCCTTTGGACATGTTACTTGACCTCTCCTTGTCCCAGTTCTTCATTTCAAAAATGAAGATCGTTAACATACAGAATGGTTAAATCAACCCAATGAATTCCTATATGCAAAAGACTGGCATATAATAAATGCTGTGTAAATATTATTATTCTGCATTGCTTTCTTTCTCTTACCCAGCCCACCTACAACAGCCCCCCTCGCACCCACACACGCACATAATCTTTCCAGAAGTTCTTTTGCTATTCCTCAAAAAACATTCCGTTAATCAGTTTCTTTTCCTCTATTTCCACTGCTAAATTTTTCAAGTCACTGCCATCTCTTGCTTGCAGGGCTATAATTGTGTCCTAACTGGTCTCTCTGCCTCCACTTTTGCCACCTTCCAATCCATTCTCCACACAACAACAAGAGCATCTTCCTAACATAAAACAGATGCTACACCTCCACTTAAACAACCAGCAGCTTCCTATTGCGCTTAGAATAAATTCTAATTTTCTTACCATGGCCTGAAGGTCCTCTGTGGTCTGGAGAGTGCCTCCTCTGAACTCATAATGCTTTCTTCCTCATTCACTATAGTCCAGCACAGGGGCCTCTCTCTGTTATCTGCATACTCATTCCACATCACGTCCATCTGCCCTCAGCCTGTGCTCTGCTTCCACGTCTTAGGATTCCTGTCTCACTATTACCATTTGTTACACATACTATTGGTTATCTCGGCAGCAATATACTCCATTTCCTTCTTCTGTTAGAATTCAATTTTGTTCAGGTTTGTATCCCTCCTTCACATGATCCATAGGATGACTCTAGTACAATTTTAATTTATGCCTATTATTTAAGTATAAATAACAGCATTCCCTTTCACTTTCAAAAGTGTCCTGATGTGTACTAAAAATTATATGGTCCCTCTCTCCATGGGCAAGTCCTAATTAGTGCAAGCGAAAGATCAGCAAACCATGGCCTGAGGGTCAAACTGAATGTGTGTTTTTATAAATAAAATTTTACTGGACACAGACACACTCATAAATGAGCATATTGTCTATGGTTACTTTTGCATTACAACAACAAAATTAAGCGATTACAACAGAGGCCTTATGGGCCACAACCCTGAAAACATTTACTTTCGTGCTCTTTACAGAAAAAGTGTGCTGCTCCCTGTTCTAAGCCAATCAAGGTTATTCATTCCCCTGTCCTGCCAGTGATTGGTGCAGGAAGGGTTAGAAAACCCAATCCTGGCCAAGAAAATGTGAAAGGACATCCCACAGGGAAGAACCTGTGAAAAAGTTATTAGCCGGTGAAAGAGACACATGGGGAGAGCCGGCATTCTACTTTTTCATCCAGATGATCTGGATATATGGATTTACTGTCTGGAATGCTACAGTCATCTTTCAGCCAACCTGAGGATGAAACCAACAAGCAGATATCAGAGCCAAGAAATTTTCAGGAAAGTGGAGCTGGATCACTGAAGTATTAAGCCTGGAGGCTATCATATCTATGTTTATCTTCTCATATGAGAAGAAAATCTGATTATTGTTTAAGCTACTTGAGTGTTTGTGGTTAAAGCTAAAATCATTTCACCTGATGCAAGGTCATCATGCTGGGATTTTAGTAGTGGGCTAGTCAACAAGGGAAGGAAAGTAGGAATGGGCTTAACTGGGGTAGGAAATTGATCAATCTGTAGGATAGAGTCTTGAAGGCATTGTCCAAAAATCTAATGAGAGAGTGCAGAGACAGTTTTACGTATTTGGACAATATCGATATCCAAGAGAGTCTTAAGCAGTGTTTAAAGTAGAATTAAAGGGGGCTTAGACAGCTATCTGCTGACCCAGGTGGTTACAGTTTCTCATTATTCAATGCAGTCTATCTTTCTAGAGTGAGACAGACTACAACAGCGGTTGGGGGTCCAGGGGATAGAAACCTCTCCTGGCCCGGGAGGAGAGGATCTAAAAGAGCTCAGCAAGTAGCCAGTGCTCCAGTTAAACAGGCTGAGGTTTTGAGCAGGGGTCCAGAACCAGTATGTGGACTAAATATGAATTATAAGGGCTGCTCAGGGGTGATAAGCTCATATATTCTTCATTGCCAAGAATGAAGGCAAGGGCCTTGCTAGATCTCAGCTGTAAATCTGCATATTTTTTTTTCTGAGGACTCCAAGTTTTAAATGTTGGCAATTCACTTGGATGTTCAAACAATATTATGCTAATTAACCATGTGAGGCAAGAAAAATCTTTTGGGGTCTGGACAAAATAAACATGGTAGTGGTTAGGCTACAGCTGAATGAAATGTGGGAGCCCAACTAACTCTGCAGATAGTCAGACTCTGAACCTGGGGAAGCAAGACAACACCTGGACTCTACTCACCTGTAAACAGAGATAAGGCTCCAGACACTCTCTTTATCCTGGTCAGGACTCATTCAGGAATGGGTCAGCCCTGAACCTGTAGCTCAAGTCTCAGTAAATCCACCTGCTGCAGGCAAAGGAAACTGAGTCTGGTTCAAAGAGAGGGTTTGTGTATCGGGAGAATAAGAGAGAAAGCTAAAGACTAAAGACAATGTAGATCCAATTTGTTGCAGAGGACCATTATTCAAGGAACGAGGCTCATAAGGAGACAAAGATCTCTTTGCCATATTTGGAAGTTTGATGAATGCACCAGGACCTGGTTTACCTCAAAGAAATGTTTGCACACAAATGAGTAGATACACCTGTCTTATTAGCAGGCAGCCTGAGACCAAAATGAACTAGAAAAAAAATTTACATTGCAAATGTTATAACAGTTCAAATGCTCATTTTTTAACATAGCTGCATTGAGCTAGCCCTGGAGCTATGATCAGCATTAGGGATGTTTAGGAACAATGCGTCTGCAAAAAGTGAGAGTTGCAAGTTGATACTCATCTTCCTAAATACCTACATTTATGCTCAAAGCTGTCAAGGAATTATTCATGAACCACTGTCTCTCCCTACTTGCCCTCCATCTGCCTCACATCAACTTCTTTCTCTAAGAAGAAATAGTGACAATGTTTGAACAGAAAACTGTCTTTGAAACTTGGCCACGTATCTACTAAAGCACAAGAAGAGGAAATGTGTATCCAACCTGCTGTATGTACAGACAAGAGCCTGAAAATGCACAGCATCGGCACAATCGCCCAGCAGAGCCAGTCTCCACTCGGCCTTGGGGTTACACAATCTGCTAATGAGATACCGTGGAAAACACTCTGACTAACACTCTAACTACAAACCACTTAGGCCTTTGCTGATTGACTTCAAACCCACAGAAAAAGACCTAGAGCACTGGCTCATTTGTAAGAATAATTATGCTATGAGAACCAAATCTGCCGTACAAGAAATTAAAGGTCTAGCACCAGGTAAATTCATATCTCAGGATTTTAAACTATAGCTGGATGCTTTAACTTAGCTGTACAAGTTCTCTCAGTCTAATTTGTTTCCAGAAAATACTAATTTTTCTTTATCAACATCATCATCACCCACCAAATCATAATAGCAGTTAATAAATATGCAGCATTCACAACATGCTAGACACTTTGCTGAATATTTTATATAATTTATCTCAATGAATACAACAAACTTATAGGGGAGATACTATTTTTATTCCCCACTTAACAGATGGGAAAAAAATAAGGCTCAGAATTACTAAGCACTCGAACAAGGTCCCATGGCTAATCATTGATAACACCAGGATTTAAACCTTTTTTTTTTCCTGAGGCCAGAAAATGCACTCTTAGTCAATATACTCTAAATAACGTGCCTCTTCCACTTGAAGACTATGATGCAATTTCCTAAGAGGCATATTTAGATGATAGGGTTACTTAGGCCCAGAATGATGGCTCACGCCTGTAATCCCAGCACTTTGGGAGGCTGAAGTGGGTGGATCACTTGAGCCCAGGAGGTCAGAACCAGCCTGGGCAATGTGATGAGACCCCATCTCTACAAAAAAATACCAAAAAATTAGCCAGGTGTAATGGAGAGTGCCTATAGTCCCAGGTACTTGGGAGGCTGAGCTGGAAGGATTGCTTGAGCCCAGGAGGTTGAGGCTGCAGTGACCCGAGATCATGGCACTGCCCTCCACTCTTGGTGATAGAATGATACCCTGTCAAAAAAAAAAAAAAGTAGATAATAGGGTTATTCAAATGTTTAATTTATTATTTATAACATTCTATCTATCCTATTATTTAAATTAATTGAGGTGTGCAAAAATGTGGGAATTGCATGTCAGGATCCTGCCTTTGTCACCAGTTTATATATTGAGACAACTTCTACCTCATGTAGCCCATCGATTACTCTGTTCTCTTTCCTATCTCTGCATCCCACTTTGTTTTTTTCTTCAAGCACCATTGGCTTTTGACACAGTTTTAGACTTCCCTCTCCAACTCAATGCTAAAGTTTACGTTTTGACATGCCTAAAGGTTTTGTCCCTTTTTGTCAAATGACACTTGTACCCTCCTTCTCCCAAATGTAGCCCCCAAATGACTCAAACTACCTGGACTTACCCTACCCAGTCTTCCCCCTAGGAAACAGGAAACTGACTATGACCAGTTATGGAATTTCAACTGATTTTACTATACTTTCATACCTTTTTTTCCTGCTTGACTGATGGGCAATAATATATGGAGATCCCACACAGGAAATGTCAAAACCCAGAAGACTCTGCCAGCATTTCAGGTCATTTTCAGTCTACAGCTAGGGCAGGCAAAACAGGGAGCCAATTACAATAAGCCAATTATAGGCCCCTGACCAAGAGCTGAGTCTGACTCAGGCTTACGACAGTGTGAAGTAAGAAGTTTAATGAGAAGTAAGAAAAACAGTTTGCTTTCTATTTTCTGGCTTTCCCTGACTGGAGACCTATTGCCTGATTCCATGTGTTCAACCATTGTAAGGCAGGGCCTGTAATGGGCTGTTTGCCATTCCCCAGGGAAGCACAACTGAGCTGAGTCTGGCATCTGTTTGCAGCTAATAAGGTCAGATTGTGAATGCCCAATCACAAGTAGAATAATAATATATGGTCACTCAAAGTGAGGGAATTAAATTCCCGTAAGTCACACCATTAAATACTAATAATAAAGCGTCAGCACCCTCTGATCTAATAATATATCTGATTCCTTAAAGAGAGTGAAAAGTAATACCTGGCAATGAGTGCTTTGGTTCATACTCCTAGTTATTTACCATACCCAGGGCGCTTGGGGGCTCTGTCCAAAGCCGTACACAGAAGTTGGAGCCCCTGACTGATAAAGTTAATATGTCTATTTGCTTCATTAAAGTAATCTAATTTTTCTTTTTAAACAAAATCCTGATTCACAAAATTTCTAATTGATCTTCCCTGCTGTGTTTGTCCCTACTGGTATTTTTTCTTTATATAAATATATGCACAAAGTAGTCTGTGTTCACAATACTGTAGCTTTTGGTTCAATTAAGCATTATCTTGTATGTTTCTGTTCTTGGCATATGCTGATACCTCTTCCTGAGACTCCTCCCTCTTTTCTGGACCTGTCAGACTCCTATTCATACTTCAGTAACCAACGTGAATGTCACTCATTTGGGAATTCCTCCCCAGCTGCTCATGTAAACCTCATCATTTCGTGTAGTGAAGATTTCTAGGCATAACCACAGTGATACTGAAAACTACTATTCTCTTTTTTACTTTATGGACAAATCTATCCAAAGCCACATGAGACTATAGTTTTCTTTGACTTTCATCAGTCTTTGATTTCATACATAGAAACCAAAGAACTTAGCATGTGCTGTTTATTACCAACTAGTAATGTTTATTACCATTTCTTCAAAATCTGTACTCTAATAACTGCCAAAACTAGAAATGATCCATCAATAGAAGATGGCATTTTAATACTCTACAAAGACACAGTTTAAACTCTCTTCCCTATTTCAAAATTTATATTTGTGTTAAAGTGAATTGAGCCCTGTATTTTCTCACTATACTGAACTAAAAGACTAAATGTTCTTCTATGTATTGAGCTAATATCCACAGGACAAATATTTCTGGTGTAATACCCATTGCTATTGACATATGGGCACACCATTACTTTAAAAAGTAAAGCATTTCCATTGCAGAATATCTCTAACATTTGATGAGTCTGTATTGATTAGTAGAACCCTGTGCTTGGTACCAAGGAGAATGTTGATGCTAGACAGGGATGTCCTCTTAGGCAAGTTTCAGTGTGAAGGGAAACTTCACATTTGCATCACAGCCTGTCTGAGATGATCAGACAAATTCACATTAGGTTGAAGGATAGAAATCCAAAATACAAATGTAAATTAACAATAGGATCTTAACTTCTTGGAACATGAAATGCTCACATTGCCAGTCTGGCGAGGAGTCAGAATTCAGGGGTGCCTCACTTAAACTCTGGGAAAGCCCAAGTAACTAGACTGTTTTTATATTCCAGATTTCATTTTTGGACAAGGTTATATTCATATCAATAATATTAATCTCTCTTAAGTCGTTTTTTTAAGATTATGACCTCTGTCTCACTATCTATTGCTGCGTAACAAACTCTCCTAAGACTCAAGACACAGTGTTCCCTATGTAAGTCAGCCAAAACCCAACTCAGTGTAAATAGAAAAACAAAACTTAAGCTTAACCAATAAGAAACTGCCAACCAGTCTCTAACTAGGGACTTTGCCCTGGAATGATCCAAATAAAGCTACTGCTCCACTTTAACCATGCAAATATTTTCTTTGCCTTGCTTCTGAGTTGACCCTATAAAAGCTTCCCCTTATGCCCTTTGGCAGAGCCCCAAAACTCTCTTTGGTCTGCCTAATTCACAATATGTTACCTGCTGAAATATACTCCTTAAAATTTTAATGTATCTCCATTTATCTTTTAACAACACCATGAATTCTATTGCATTTTATCAGCCAAAGGGGATGAAAAGTTTAGTTTATATTCAAGGACTCCTACCTTGAAGAGGAGTTCTAAAGTTATACTGCAAAAGTCATGGATGCATAGAAGCTTCAACAATAGTATTTTTGCAGTTGATCACAACCTCTACCTCCTTATTTGACACATATTTCTCTTTTGATGTAATATCATTGTTTAAGCTATGGTTGAGTTTCTGCCAGCCTGTTGTCTTAAGAGGCATTCTGGCCCTTACTATTATTACATACTCTGAGGATACCTTGTATGTACAGTCATTCATTGCCCAGGCATGTATTTTTATGGCTGCCTCATTGTCATGAATTCTTTGCTCCACTCAGGATTTTTGTGGTCACAGTTAATGAATGGTACAGAGTGCAGCAGAACAAGGGAATTTTTTCCAAAAAGTTGGAAAGAGAATTGGATAAAAGTGAATTAATAGCTCATATTCAATACCTTAGCATTGTGTATATGTAACTAATGAAATGACAGGTCATAGGGGGTGACTGCCATTTCCTGCTAAATTCCTTGCTAAAACTATTCTAGCCTTGGTCTATGATATGTTTCTTTGGAGTATTTTGTAGGAGATTTTGAATGACAACACACAGTGACTTCAACCACAGTTTCAAGACAGATGCAAAAAGAATCCATAAAACTACAGTTTCAGCCAAGTGCTGAAGCATATCTGAAAATTATTTCTCGTGAAAATCCTGGTTTGATGGTAGGTCCTTCTGTGCACAGACTCATGGCTTCTCAATCAAGCAAGTACATGTTTTACTTTTCATGCCTTTTTCTATTTTTCTGTTTTTCAAGTTAGTGAGCCTTTCATTAGTCAGCAGTTTAGGATATGTTTCACCTAGGATCTCAATAAGCCATTATAAATTTGAAAAATCTGTAATCTAGTGCTTGTCAACAATCTGGGACATTTAAAATTCAGGTTGCAAGAATCCACCCTACAGTACCACTGGTGTGTAGTTTGGGAATAAACACTTCTTGTTGCATTATCCTACACTGAATATCAGTACAAAGTACTGAATAGAGAAAAATCCATGAATACACTTCAGAATCAAAGTGCAACAATGTAGGATTTTCTGCAACTGGGAAATAGTAGGAATCAAGCCACATGTCCAAAGTGTTTGTTTCAATAGGTAATTGGGAGTCAGTAAATATAAGCACAAAATCTTTGGTTCAAATAGATCAAGGTTAAGCTGACCTTGTTGGGAGGATTATAAGAATAATAAACAAGTGGAAGAAAGGAGGTACAGCTCATCAAATGTTTTGTCTGATTAGCTGATTCTAATAGTGCAACAGAGAGCACCAGGCTGGAGGAAGTGAAGAGAGGGAATCTGAAGGCATTTCTTTTGAAAACTACAATTCTTCTTCAGGAAAGAAAAGCACTATATATTGTATCCCCATGGTGCATATGTTCTGTCCTAGATGGTTTGATAAAAAAAATTTTACACAGTGAGCACCAAGCTCTAGTTTCAAGGGAGTTGCTGATGAATTTACCCTAGCCAGAAGCTTCAAGCGAAAAGAGATGCTGTGCTAACCTCAAGGATACTAGAAAGCTCCAAGACTCAAGTCAAGTCATGGACAGACTGTAGGGTCACCGAAGAAGTACAGTCAGGTGTTTTGACCAAAAATGATTCAACCCAGAAGAAATGAAGGCAGTGCCCTCCATCTACATTCACACTCTGCATCACTGTATTTGCATAGCACTTTAAATGACATTTTCTGCAGCGTTTTCACAACTCGCAGTTTATTTTATCCACACACCTTCCCTTGGAGACAGTTCAGAGCAAGTTTCATAAAATTCACAGTATTTTTTAAGAGAAGACATGAAAACAATGAGAGGTAAAATGATTTGCCCAATGTCACTTAAATAATCAGGAACAAATTCAGAAATAGGACAATCACAGGCCTCTGCTTCTTAAAGTCACTATTCCTTTAGGATACCAGTACATTTGACAAGCATATTTGGTAACAGCCCCCCAGGGTGAATACCTAAGTCTTCTTACATGCAACTGCTCCTAAATTATCACTGTCCATCCTCTCCTTCCCTGCATTTGATCTGTGGTTAGCTTCCAATCACTTCCCTTCTCCCCATCCCTCCCTGAGAACAGTTAACTGACTCGGGGGGATGGGAGATGAACTTTCCTTTAGCATCTGCTGATTCTGTTTTATTAACTCAGTCTAATTCTAAAATTAGATTAGATGGATAATTAAAAAGCAAAGAGGAACAATCAATGTTAGATGTGGTCATTTGCTACAATTCCTGGTTATGTAGAGCCTGTGTTCATCAGTGGGTGATGGTCACGGGCAAAGACAGCCCATTGGGGTAAACACAAGCCTTGTGTATATATATGTGTCTCTGTGTGTGTCATTCAACTACATGACTTTGCTGTTTGGTAAGTCTAAAAAGATCCTCATGAAAAATATACCAGATTTTCCTGTACCTCTATGTGCTAGAGGGTCTCAGCCTGCTTTATCTGACAAATACTGTGAAATGGGCCCCATTTCAATCTGGAAAACACCCACTTGTTTATTCCCTGATCACAGACAATTTAACCTCTCCGATCTTCAATTTCTTCAACTACAAAATAGATACAATAAGTCTCATTTCACAGGATTTGGGTGAGTATTAGATAATATATAATACCTCCAAAAAATCTATTAATTTTTGCTTTCTTCATAAAAAAGTCACTTGCCAAACAATATACAGGATTATACACACAGCTAATTCAAACAGAATAAGGGTAAAAAAATTGTCTGAAATATATAACATAGTGTCTTAGTCATTTCAGGCTATTAAAACAAAGTACCATAAACTGTGTGGCTTGTAAGCAACATAAATTTATTTCTCACAGTGATGGAGTCTGGAAGTCTGAGATCAGGGTGCCAGCATGGTCGGGTGCTGGTGAGGGCCCTTTCCCAGGTTGTATACTACCATCTTCTTATTGTACCCTCACATGGCAGAAAAGATAGAGTGAGCGCTCTGGAATCCCTTTTATAAGAGCATTAATTCCATTTATGACAGTTCCACCTTCATGACCTAATTACCTCCCAAAAGGCCCAGCTTTTAAATACTATCACATTAGAGGTTAGAATTTCAAAATACGGATTTTGAAAAGAGACAAATATTTGGTCCATAAGATAGAGTTGTATCATTTTTAATTATTTAAATATATTCATAAACATAATGGCTAAATGTTTCCCAACTAGGATATGGATAATTTGTTTTGTTAAACAAAATACTGTGTAATTTGAACATTGCATGTCAATATTAATGAAGTTATGATAGGATTAAGTGGAACAGACATTTCTTTTTCAGTTTATTTACTAATTAAATTTCTGTGATGGTTTGATGTGTCAACTTAGCTAGACTATAGTCCTTGGTTATTTAATCAAACGCTAATCTCATGAAGGTATTTTGTAGATGTGATAAAAAGTCCACAATCAGTTCACTTTAAGTAAAGGAAAGTATCCTAGATAACCTAGGTGTACTTGATTCAATCAGTTGCAAGCCCTTAAAAGCAGAGCTGAGACTAACCAAAGAAAGAAGAAATTCTGCCTCTGGACTGCAGCTTTAGCTTCTCCCTGAGAATTCCAGCCTGTGCTTCTTAATGGCCTGTCATATGGAGTTTGGATTTTCCTAGGCAGATATACATACGTTTATATGAATATTCCTAGGCAGATATACATATGTTTATATGTATGTTTGGTGGATACATGTGTATGTATAGTAGTTTATATATCTTACTAGTGATACTTCTTTGGTTGAGCCTGATATACCTTCTTTTTTACATAGCAAAGTATATGCTTTTATTAATTTTGTGTAAAAATATTGTGTATATATATGCACACATGCATATGTCTGTGTGTATATATACGTGACTCTGTGTGTGTCATTCAAGTACATGACTTTGCTCTTCTGTAGGTCTAAAAAGATACTCATGAAAAATATACCAGATTTTCCTGTACCTCTATGTGCTAGACGGTCTCAGCCTGCTTTATCTGACAAATACTGTGAAATGGAAACACTTAATGAGTCTAGTGATTAACCAGGTCCTGGCCTGCAATCCCCTCAGCATAACAAACCAGGAATCTGTAAGAATTTTATATTTTTCTAAGAGTACTAGAAACTCCCACCAGCTTTGTGGAAGCATGCAGCTTGTCTTTTTTTGATTCTCCCCACCTTGCATATTGTCAGATCTGTTTCATTCCCATTCATACCAAGCCTTCAACAGGGCTTAGAGGCAGTATTTAGGAGAAATTAAGAATTGAAGAGTCCAAATAACCATTCCTTTGTCAATGCAAAGATTCAGAAACAAAAAACAAAACTCCCAACTAATAGGTTGTGATTCTATTCATTCTCAGACAGACATAATCAATACCACCAGATTTGAGGATATCATCTTTCTTGCATCCCCCCAGTCTTACAGAGTCCCCCGCAGAATTATCTCCAGCCTAATACTGCAATGAGGCTTCAAGTCTGCTTTGAATTGAACCAAAATATTCCTCCTGCCCAGGCAAAGCCGGGAAACTTTGCTTTGTACACTTTTCAGCTGATGTGCAGCTTCCTATTGTGTGAGCAAGCCAGCCACCATCCATCTTCCTTTGGAAGGCTGTGACGCTGCTCCACAGATCCTAATGAACTGGCAAGGTTGATTAAGCACTGCATAGAATATCCATAGCCAACTAACCCACTGAAGAACAGATAGAACACATTGATACTGTGTCTTTTATAAATGGAGATTATCAGGAAAAGGATCTTTTGTGTTATTTTCTAGCCTGGAGGGAAGTGGGTTACCCAAATTCACCAGACCAACCTCTTTTTTTTCCCTTAGGGACTTCTTGGCCAACTAGATCCAGCTAACATTTACAGAATGTCTAACATACACCGGTGCTAAACTAGACAGTTTCATATGTGTAATGTCATTCAGTTATCACAATAATGACTGGACATAAGGATCACTGTGATGAAAATATTGGCACTCATAAACTTGACAAATCATGCAGCTAAAACAATGGCAAGCCTGGAAGCCACATACAGATTTCTTAACACCAAGTCTGATGTTCTTTTCACAGTTATAGCTTTCATAGAGAGAGTACTTGCATTTATGAGATGGCTAACTTCATGGGATAGATACTTTTTAAGGTAGCTTCCCTAAAATGTCTTCTATGGAAGCCATTCCTCTTCTTTCTTCTGAGCACTTACTTTCTCCCACCTCCACTTGAAATGTCTCCACGAATTCTAGAAACAGAGGAGAGGGAAAGTAAGCCTCACTGTAGATGGCTGAAATTGAGACAAAGTAACTTTGGAGGCTGTTGATATCTAGGTCCTACCACAATTTTTCAATCTCCCAGAAGAAAAATGAGACAAAAACAGGAAAAAGCATAGTAGCAGCAAGAGAAATGATCGTGTTTGATTCTTCTAGGAGCTCTGACCCCTCTCTTCAGTCTGTTGCTGATGTCAGCCAACTTTTGAATACTTCCCCCAAATGCCACTGAATCATCGTCTTTTATTTAAAGTAGACAGGCAGCTTTTGTTCCTTGGAATCAAAAGAGCTCTGATACAACAGAGAAGTCACCCAACACAACTTTGTCATTGGAAGCTAACAGGGAACTGTGCTTAGGTTTGTATCAATATCCTTCTTGAAGCATTATTTTGGGGTGATAAGGTGAACTGTACATATAAGGCAAAGGGAGTATGGGTAGAATTGAGATCAATTTAGGTATTAGCTAAAGCCACTGGTGAAACTATCAAGGGCTGGGTAGAGAAGAATTGAAGAATTTATACCTTCAGGGGATGCCACATTTATAATATAAGAGGAACAAGATGTGCAAAGAAAAAGAAAGAAGAGTCAGGGTTAAAGAATTAGAAAAAGAAATAGGATAGTGCTGAGTCACAGAAATTAATGAGAACATTTCTAGAGGGAAACAAATGTTCAATAGCAACTAATGCAGGCAACATGGTGAAGTGATTGAGTTGACAAGAGGGGACTTAGTTATGACCCATGAGCAAGCTTTTTCATAACAGACCTATGAAAACAAGTCAGATTGCAATGAGTTACAAAATAAGTACATGTGTGATAGGGAAGTTTGTGTACTAAGAGTAAATTACTGTTTTTTAGAACTTTGGTCATAAATGAAATGAAAAGGGGGCAGTAGCTTGAGGGTATAGCAGACTAAAACTATTTATTTGGCACATGGGAAATGTGAGTGTCCTATTAGCCAAGGATAAAGCGCACTTATTTCTCTACAATATCAGTCTACAAACCCATGGCAGAAACTGATAACTGTCCCACAATACCCATTCTCTCCTTCTTCCTTTAAGTAATAAGTTCCTTCCACAGCTGAATATTACACATCCCAGCCACCCTTACACAGCATCCCATATACTAATTCTCATCAATGGAGTAGAAATAATGTGGGCTGCTTTCACACTCCTCTTAAGTAAAAATCCCCTGCCCTTTCCCCATAACCTGGAAATCATATTTGCTGGTGAACCAACTCAACCAGAACTCTAAGGAATGGTAGAGAAACAAGAGAGAAGGAATTTGGGCTTCTCACGGAGTGAAGCTACCCACTTGTTCCCCTTCTAACAACCCTTAAACCTCTGGATTGTTATAAAAGAGAGAGAGAAAAAATAATAATAATAAAACACCATTATGCTTGAGTAACTATATTCCGGGGTCTATATTTCAGAAGCTTAGCCCAGGACTCAACATATACCTGTAGCAATGATAAAAGGTAATTATCCTAGATAATTTTAATAAGATGCAATTATCCTAGGTAATTTTAATAAGAGTCTGTCTTAGTGACCACTGAATATGACTGCCTACATGGAAACAGTTAGGAAGATGTGTTTAGCAGGTTTAGATCAAGCACTAAAAAAAAAGTGGCTACTTCTAGATATGAAATAAATCATTTGGGACATCCTCCTTCAGATAAAGACAGCTATTAACTTCAGACAAAGAAATGGAAGATTAATAAAAAACTACAGAAGTGCTTTATAAATGAGCAATTGGAAGAATCTTTGCTAAGAATTGCAAAAGATTCCATTTTGATGCTGTTTATGACAGTTTGGACTTGCAAATGACAGAACTAGACTCCGGTAAGTTTAGGCAAAAGGAGATTTTGTGGTTCATACACACATAGAAAGGTCAAGGATAAGAAGGCAGTCAAGAAAAAGGGAAGGACAATCGCTTGAACCTGGGAGGCAGAGGTTACAGTGAGCCAAGATCTCGCCACTGCACTACAGCCTGGGCAACAGACGGAGACTCTGTCTCAAAAAAAAAAAAAAAAGAGGGGGGAGTTGAATCACCTCTCTCTCTCTCTCTGTCACTCACTCGCTCACTTTCATTGTAGGCCGGTTTCTGTATTTTACAGATTTCTCCACAAGTTGGAGAACTTGAACATGGACAAATTCTTAACTTCTCATCGCTCAACTTCACCTCCCAAGAGTGGCTGGGATTTGCTCTGTGCTCCCAAATTCAAAAGAAGCCCACAGATTGGCCTACCTTGGCTGAGGTCCCCAACTTTGGGTCCACTAATTTATGGCAGAGAACAGGATATCTAAGAAAGTAGTAACTCACATTTAATTATTTATTCAACAAGTTACATTTGAAACAGAGAACATCACTTGTTCCAGAAGGCTGACTAGAGCATTTTGGAAAGTCTGATATTTATTCTGCTCCTTGGAACTCATATTATCAAGAAACATTCTTTTTATCTTCCCATAGATAAAGTTTAGGCTCCTTAAAGGAAGAGTGCTTTGCTGGGGATAACTAATAGGACAATTCTATGCCCTCCTCATCTTTTCTTTGTTTTCTTGAACAAGGACATAAAATAAATTTGTGAAAATCAGGCCTTATTTAATTCAAGTGTTTGATGATAGGTTATGAGTGTGAACTTTCTATTAGGAAATAACCAAATCCTAGCCTAATGAATATAGGACATAAATGAGTTGAAATCTCTGGAAATAATGGCCAAAGGAATCATCAGGTGGCAGAGAGAAGGGCAATTGCAGGCAATTCTGAGAGGTAAAAGCCTCACCCGACACCAGACTTCGTGGGGTCCTGAAAACAGAAGGATATAATCAACCACAAAGCTCACTACCAGACCTTTGTGCAAGTTTGTGCACCAGAGCCTGAATTAGGTATTTTATGCCACAATAAGGAGAGGATTTCCCTTCATAACCCCAGGATGAGATCAGGGTCTGGGGCCATCTGTCTCCTTCTTGTTTGGTACAGTGGAAAAATTCAAATGGATCTCCCATTGCCATAAAACAATCTAGGTCTGAAGCTAAATCAAAACTCCAGATCCCAGTTTCACCCATCTCCTCTATCCCAGAGGGAGTGGATATTCTGCTGAACACTTGCCTGCAGAGTTAAATAAGATAAGAAGCTGGAATCTTTTTGAATGCAGACCGTAAAACATAATTGGAGGAATCTCCACAGACAGTATAAAATATTGTATCCTGTCTCACACAGATGGGATTATTTAGCCTTCACACAACCTTCAAATAATGTGTTGTGCTCCTTTTAATCAATCCATAATTCAAAGAGGACATCTTGCAGCCTCCAGAGGTTTTTCACTATGACAATAGATGAGGGCAGGCTAAGGCGAGGTATGTTTTATTATGAAAGTCGAAGTCGGCTTGGGCCATAATTTTATAAATCTCATTAGTGATTATAGTTTCTTATTTCCAGGTATGATAAAATACCAGTTTTACTTTGTAAATGTATCTCAGCCAGGAGGAGGGATCCCAGGGCCTCTCTACCAGGTACCAGGAACAAAAGGTGTGGGAGACTGTGCCAGTGATAATAATGCTGTCCTTTGCTTACAAGCAGCACATAATGAAAGGTCAGAGAGCAGAGGAGTCTCTCTCTGAGTCCTCCAGGAAGAGAAAGGCAAGGAGTTTTGTGAATGCCAAAATAATGGCCTTTCTCTGCTTCTCATGCTATGATGCCTGTGTAAGGCCCAGTGACATATAAATTAGGAATACAAATTTCTTGCAATCACCAACTGCACATGTGCTTGCAGAGGCTGAACTGCAGACTCTTGGACAGCTTAAGCTGCAGTTGGAGAAACCCCTAGCAGAAGACAGTAAATCTTCTACCATCAGTCAGTCAACTAAGCATTTGCGCCCATGTGGTCATGGATCTCAGCTGTGATAAGAGGTAAGAGGCAATTAATACTCATTTGGAAACAATTTTCAAGCATCTATTTCAGGCAAGGCTACAGGCTAGGTGTTGAGGAGACAGCAGTGAAAAGATATCTTTTTTGTGCTCAGATGAGAGGAAAAGTCAGCTTTGATGGGGTGGATAAGAAAAGTCTGCATAGAAGGTAAGATCTTTGATTTTGGTCTCAAGTATGAGATGAGATTCCCTAGATGGACAAGGACAGAAAAATCAGTGGGAGTAGCCAATATGCTGGTGTAATAAAAGACCAGGAAATACAAAGTCGAATTGGTAGAAAGGGACATTGAAGACTTAGATAGGGATCAAATCCTAGTAAGCTATGCTAAGGACTCTAGAGTTTTCTGCTTTGTTTTGTTTTTCCTATAGGCAATGAAGAGACATGGAGGCATTTTAAGCAAGAAAATGGTAAGAACATGTCAGAGGCATTTGAACCAAAGCAACTCCATCTTGAATAGGAGCTCGGTAAAATAAGGCTGAGAACTGCTGGGCTGCATTTCCAGCAGGTTTGGCATTCTTAGTCACAGGATGAGAGAGGAGGTCAATACAAGATACAAGTCACAAAGACCTTGCTGATAAAAGAGGACATAGTAAATAAACCGATCAAAACCCACAAAAAGCAAGATGGTGCTGAAAGTGACCTCTGGTCATCCTCACTGCTTATTATACACTAATTATAATGCATGCGCATGCTAAAAGACACTCCCACCTGTGCCACGACAGTTTACAAATACCATGGCAATGTCAGGAAGTTACCCTATATGGTCTAAAAAGGGGAGGAAGCCTCAGTTCCGGGAATTGCCAACCCTTTTCCAGAAAAACTCATGAATAATCCACCCCTTGTTTAGCATATAATCAAGAAATAACCATACGTATACTCAGCGGAGCAGCCCATGCCACTGTTCTGCCTATGGAGTAGCCATTCTCTTATTCCTTTACTTTCTTAATAAACTTGCATTCACTTTATGGGTTTGCTTCAAGTTCTTTCTTGTATGAGATCCAATAACCCTCTCTTGGGGTCTAGATTGGGACCCCTTTCTGGTAACAAACATATTTGTGCTTTTGGAGTATCATCCAGTGACAGCACAGGGGAGGATAATATGTCTGAACAAATGGGAGAGTAATTCTGGCACACAGTAGGCTCCGTAAATATTTGTTAAATAAGTGAATGACACAGACAAGACACGATCAAACATGTACGTTTTTTTAAAAGATGCCTCTCCTTTATCTTACCTTATCCATGTAAAAGGCATGTAACTGATTACTAATATCAGACTGCATAGATGAGCCAGAATTCACAAAATTTTAGCAAAGAACCAAATCAGTACATGGCAAGCAAGAAGATGATATTGAGAGTGTGAGTGAAGCAGGCGATCAGGGTGGTAATGGGTTTCATCAATGACTAGATGGAATTTCATTAAGTTGCATGTCAATAGCAGGAACAATTTAACTTAGAATGTGAATGGTTTCACTACCTTTATAAAATCATGTGCTGAAATTAGGTACATTTCAGCAGTAATACTACATGTTAAGAGAGTGAGGAGAAAGCAAAAATACTGCATAATTTATCCTCCTCCATATTTTATTGTGAAAACTACAGCATGAGAGATCTTGAAAGATTTCATTTTCATCCCTTGTCGTTCTAATTTTTTTGTTTGTTTAGAATTTTGGTTGCATTGTTTAATTTCTATAATCATAACAGACATAGTCTTATCCCTTAAGTATCACCATTCTGGCCTCTTTGTCTGTATGAGATAAAATATCAGCTGCTTATATACTTTTCATGGATGTGTGTAAGAAAGCAAGATTACATTCTTTTTGAACTTGGAAAACACTGTCCCAAGGTTTTGAGCAGGCCGATTAACCTACACAGTTGTTTTGCTGTTTATGGCTACATTTCTTATTCTGATAATCAGGCAAAATTTTATAATCCAGCATTTTCTTCTAACCTGCTGCTTTAGAGGGCTGCATGGGCTATCATGTCACCAAATTAAGAAGAGGCACTAGGAAAAATATATCAGCTCCTCATCTCCAGAATCCCAACCCTATGATAATACAGACTCTGGATTCAGTATACATTCTCCTTACCAGGACAGATATTAAACCCTGAAATTAAACATGTCTCTCTAGGCCTCTGTTGCCTTGTTTACAGAGACCACTCAGATAATCTCCAAGGGTCTTTTTACTTCTAATGTTTTCAGGTTTATAAGAGAAGATACAACTTCAAATGCAACGAGATAATTAAGGGTCAAAACCTTTAATGGTTAATGGAAATAAAAAAGACTCAAAACCCAGTGCTATTGGCTTTTAAATACCAAGTATCTCACATTCTCTTCAAATCACTGGTAAGATCACAAGACTTCAGCATAAAACTCTTTAAAATATCCTAGATCATAACTGATCCACCCCACACAAACACTTGAAATACACTGCCTTTTAAAATGTGAGTTGTTAAATCTACTTCGGCATTTTGTTTATTTTTAGTACAGTAAATTTACCATGGCTACATGTTATCTATAAGATCTGCTAGGGCTTTCTCCTCTCAAGCACATTGTACAGTATATCTTTTGTTCTAGACACTACCCAGTGTGCATGTCATAATATCTTTTCAATAAAATATGTGAACTTGTGCAGAGGGAGTCATGGGGGGCAAGAAATTGGAAACTCAAGTCACATACTGTGTAAGCCACAGGGAATCAGGCCTTAGGTGTTTTAATGAAATCCTTTCATCTTTGGAGATGCCTCTGTGGCTCTCTACTTAACTGAACAGGTCTATTTCCAGGACGTTTTACTCATCATCAGACCTCCTCATGCTCTGCAGGGTGACAATGTCATAAGCACGGAGCCAGAGACTTCTCATTGTTTCTAATATAGTTGCTTTCACTCATTTCCTCATTCTTCTTTATTTTTATTTTTTTCTTAATTTCACAGACACCCAGCAGAACTAATGTAAGTGCCCTCACTGCAATCTCTTTTCCAAAAAGAGAAAGGGGGCAGGGGGTGGGGGTCATAAATTTGTTCTACTTGAGTGTTCCTGTTTTTCTCAGCAGAACAATTGCACTTTTTTTTTTTCTGGTGTCTCTCACCAGACCATTTTAGCTTTGCTAAAATAAAAGTGAGGATTTTAAACCCCACTCTTCTCTCAGCTCCTGTCTCACTCTCACTCATATGCCAAGGTTTGTAAGGGTCACGCGTCTGGATTCCTCAGCACTTTCTTTCCTTTCTTTCTTCTCTAGCTCCTTATTTCTCATTTGATTCACCAATAGGACATTACCTCTAGTCTCAGCTGTTTCTCTAGACCCCAACTAATGGAAACCTAATCGCACTGTCTTTCTTCTCTCCATACTTCCTCAGATTCCTTGTTCTGAGGGCTGGAGGATCTGGAAGTGAGTTTCTGTGTAACTGTTCTGTTCTGGCAACACGGACAAAATATATCTTCTGCTTCGTACGCACCTTCCATGTAGTTTGTTCAGAAGAAAGTAGAGACAGCTGGGGAGTGGTCCACATGCCAGATGATATCTAAAAAAAAAAAAAAAAACTAGTAGGATTTTGAAAAACAATTCCAAAAGAAGAGCTTTAGCTCAGAATACCTGAATACCTAGATATCTGAATACCTGAATACTTGATACCGAGTTATCTGAATTTCTGGATTCTGAAGGGTGGCAGAATATGCCACCCCCAAATATGCCACTTTGGCATAAAGATTATTTTAAGCTAAAAGTAACTGAGGAGAAGGGGACACAAGAAAAGCTCTCTGCCCTCCCCTTATTTGCCCAAAAACAGCCCCTCTGCTCTCTACTGTGAAGGACAAACTTTTAGGACCTTTTCAGCACCAGCATAGCAAGATGTACTGACTAGCCTTTATCTACCATTTATTTGCTTTCCCACAGTTTGCTGTCCCTAGGAACTCTGAGACCTTTTTCTTTGTCTTGTCACTTCTCTAAAAATTTGCTCTTGTTTGTGGAAGAAGCTATATAAGCTGAAGTTATAAGCTACCTTTTTGAGATTTACTCATTCCCTGGGTATCTCCCTTGTATATAGGAGATATAAATGTTAACGAACTCCTGTTTGCTTTTTCTTTTCTCAATTTGTCTTTTTTTTTTTTTTGAAACAGAGTCTCACTTATTCACCCAGGCAAGAGTGCAGTGTCACAATTTCGGTTCACTGCAACCTCCACCTCCCGGGTTCAAGCGATTCTCCTGCCTCAGCCTCCCGAATAGTTGGAACTACAGGCACATGCCAACATGCCCGGCTAATTTTTATATTTTCAGTAGAGACAGGGTTTCCTCATGTTGGCCAGGCTGGTCTCGAACTCCTGACCTCAGGCGATTTGCCCGCCTTGGCCTCCCAAAGCGCTGGGATTACAGGTGTGAGCCACCACGCCCGGTCCTCAATCCATCTTTTATTACAGGGGGTCCCAGGTAAAGACTCAGAAGGGTAGAGGGATTTTTTTTTCTCCCCTACAACTCTTCCAAGAATATCTGATAAAGTTCCCTGCCACTAGGTTTAGGCCTTTCCAAACCATCACTATCTGCCAGTCATCTCTCTGAATGTGAAATCTGATGCATCACATGGCTATTTATATCTTCCATAAGCCCCTAAGCCTCCAGGATAAGGTCTTGGTCTTTAGCAGGGCACACAAAGCCCTCCAAGACCTTGCCCTTCCGACTCCTACAGCCCCATCACTTTCCTCTCACTTCCCGGACCTCCACATGAATCCTATGCTCTATTCACATCCAGTAAACTGCAGGTCATTGGAATGCATCCTGCTCAAACATCTCCCTCTGCTCAAAATGCCCTTCTTGTCTTCATCCACACACGGAATACCTCTTGAGTTTTTGAAACTAAGCTCATACTATGAATCCTGTTCCTGACAATTATCTTCAGGGAAAATTGAAAACCATATATATAGAGTCACAAATTTATTTTACACACACATTTCTCAGAACATGAGCAACACTTCTGAGATTTTTTTAAAAAGTTGTCTTTCCCCAGCAAGACTGCAAGTCCTTTAAGGGCAAGGTCATGCCTGTCTTATTCACTACTGACTCCCCAAGGTCTAGCACAGTGCCTGGTACATAACAGGTGCTCAGTAGCTCAGTAAATGTTAAATGGATGAATGGTGTAGTACATTAATTTCTTTTAAAAAATCTACCTCTGAGCACCTGAACTAAAACTTAAACTGGAATCAGTTTATACTTTTTCCTCCTCTGATTCTGACCTGTACTTTTCACCTGAATCAGGAAAGGATTCTTCTGCTAATTTTGATCATTTTATCCTAAGGACCACAGGACCCCAGAGGGAACACTAGGTCAACTGTGACATTTAGTACGGTATTTTTTTCATTATGCAAATATCCATCTGTTCAGATACCATTTGGGGGCTCATTGAATGTGTGTAGTTTAGGATAAAGGGGATAAAACTAGAAAAAGTGCATCTTACTTTGGCTCCGTAGAAATCTGAGTACTACCTGATTCATTTGAAGTTATGAAGGGTCTCCATTTTAATGGTACTTCTTTTCTCTTTGGTCAGAATTCTAAATCTTTTTAATTGCAGTTTGAACACCTGTAGCCAAATTTTAAATGTCTTTCTCATTTAAATTCCAAACATTAAAATTCCAAACATCTTGATTATGTAAATGGTAAAAGTAAAGGGCAGAGTTTTTCTTTAAGAGTTTTTTCCCCCACTCCCTCCCACTGCTCCCAATTATGGTTACTCTTTAAGCCCCCAGCAAGGTGGCTAAGTTTCCTGGATTACCCTGAAGTTCATTTCTGGAATAGAACAGGAAGGCTAAATCCCAGCAATGTGCTTTTAAGCGACAAAAAAAGTAAAAAATAGCCAGCATTTGTTCAGCACTTATTATTTGCCAGCCACCACAAGGGCCCTTGAAGCAAATTTGTTATATATATTCAATCTTCATAACAGCCTACAATTTAGTATTATCAAACCCATTTCTCAAGTTAGGAAACTGAGACGAAGGTACAGAAGCAACCTGTCCCAGGTTAGACAGCAAGTGACAAGGCTAGGGTTTAGAATAGATGAGCCTGAGTCTGCGTGATCTCTTTACCACACCACTTCCTTCCAAATGCCTGTTTCTGCCAGGACACACTGGTAGACATTTTTTTTTTTTTTTTTTTTTTTGAGACGGAGTCTCGCTCCATCACCCAGGCTGGAGTGCAGTGGCGCGATGTCGGCTCACTGCAAGCTCCATCTCCTGGGTTCACACCATTCTCCTGTCTCAGCCTCCTAAGTAGCTGGGACTACAGGCACCCACCACCATGCAAGGCTAAGTTTTTGTGTTTTTAGTAGAGACAGGGTTTCACCGTGTTAGCCAGGATGATCTCGATCTCCTGAGAAATTTTTTAAAGAATTAAAATTGGCAAGGGAGATTGATTAAATTATCAGACAGAGACACAGAGAAGTATGCTTTAGAAAGAAGACAATATACAGAATGAATACTAATTTTAAGAAAATGGTCATGTGAATTGGCTCGTGCCTGCAATCCCAGCACTTTGAGAGGTTGAGGTGGGCTGGTCACTTGAGGCCAGAAGTTTGAGACCAGCCTGGCCAACATGGTGAAACCCCATCACTACTACAAGTACATATGTGTGTGTGTGTGTGTGTGTGTGTGTGTGTGTAGCTGGATGTGGTGGCACATGCCTATAATCCCAGCTACTTGGGAGGCTGAGGCATGAGAGTCGCTTGAACACGGGAGGTGAAGGTTGCAGTGAGCCAAGATTGCACCACTGCACCACTCCAGCCTGAGCAACAAGAGTGAGACGAGACAAAAAAAAAAAAGGCCTGGCATACATGCCAGGTTGAGGTGAGGAGGGGACACTATCACAAAGATTCATCTACTGAAGGCCTTAAGGAGCTCGCCTTTCAGTTTGAGACCCACTTCTGTGTTTCCACCTTACTCTGGCTTCCTGTGAGACCTACTTCAGCCCTACTCCACCTGATTCCTACATGGAATGGTCTTCATCGTAGTTTCATAACATGACTCTGCTCTTGGATATTTCTGATCTTTTTTCTAGTACCTCATTTATGTCTCCTAGATTCAAATGTTTGAATCTATTCCTCCAATCCCTGCCAATCTGCCTCTAAGAACTGGCAATGTCTATACCTGAGTATTCTTTATCCTGATCTGTATCCTTTATTTTTTTAACTTAGTTATTACATTTGTGCATCAATGGTCCAAACACTTTGCCTTGCCCGCTTGAAGTACCATGGTGTGCTGGAAAGAATCTGCAACAGACCAATTTTAGGAGTCATGTCAGGATATGTAAGCTCTTTGGGTGTCATTTTTTTCACCTATGAATTATGAAGAGTAAAAAGCTATAGTCCAGATGTACATAAGGTTAATGGAAATAATACATGTAAGAATGCGGTGACACAACGCAAGCACTCTGTGAATCTTATTTGCTCAGCACAGTGATGGTCTCTTTCTCTGAATGCTTGGAATATATTGATGAACATAACAAAGTTGAGTCAGATAGCAAACAACGGACAAATTAACAAAGTTTACACTATGCGATAAGTGATTTGTGCCATGTTTTTAAAAAGTGGAAAAAAGTATAAACAGGAGAATCAAGAGTGCAGGAGGGGGTGATGGGAGAGGTGTAGGCCGGAGTATTAAAGAGGAGGATGAGTGAGAGGGTTAGAAAGTTAGCCAACTGATATCTGAAAAAAGAGAGTTGTGGGCAGAAGAAATAGCCACTGCCAATGGGAAATTCAGGGAACAATAAAGAGGACGGTGCTCTTGGAGTGAATGATGGAGGAAGAGACTGGTTGGAGATGAGATCAGAGAGGTTAGAGGGATGGGATATGTAGACCTGGAGGCCATTGTAAGGGCTCGGATCTTTACTTTGAGTGCGATGTTAGTTGACTTACCTTTCCTTTGGAGCCTGGTATGACAGTTGATTTTTCAGAACTTTTCTTTGTTTTCATGCATACTCTGTGTCTTGACTTTAGTACTAATTACTCAAGGGAAGAAGCATGCCATATTCATCTTTATAGTGCTAATGCCTAATATGGTGCCTAGAACATAGGCCATACTCAATGAGCATCTCTTGAATTGATAATATTGTTTTAGATGCTTATCCTGGGAATTTTCTAAAGATAACATAATGCTTTTACCTGGTTAAAATGTACATGACACTTGAAGGCCACTAGAAAATAAAATCTTATAATAGGCCTTTTTTAGTTTCTCTCAAGTCCCAGCCAGAGATGGATGTGTGCCCTTGCAGCATATTACTTACCCTATATCACACCATTTAATAAAAAGATACAAGCTTGGAACTCAGATGACCTAGGTTTGACAACCAGAAATCCCACTTACTAGTTACATGACCTTAAATAAATTATGTAATTCTTCAAAACCTTTTATGTCAGACTAAATGCCATCCAAATCATGGGATCCAATGAGAATCTAAAAATATAATGTGGAGGAAAACCTTTTGGTAAACTGCACTGCAATATATGAATGCCTAATATTCTTATTGTAATTTAAGCATTTGCTAATATTTGACATGAAAATATAAAATTGTCCCTAAAAATTATAAACATACTATTTGGCAGAACCAGAAATTATGTTGTGTTGCTCTGGATGCTCAGTGAGGAAGGACCGGTTTCACCAAAGGAATAAATAGTTCTGTTGCTCTAATAATTTGCCATACTGTTGAATTTTTTCTCACTCTCCTATAACAACTTTGCTTATGTTAGGATATTCTTAAAATAGGATTTTCCCAATTAAGAGTCCATCAAAGATACAGAAGGTATTGTGCCTGATCAATAACTCCAAACCATTCAATCTATATAAAAATTTGGCTACAAGGTGCTAGATAAACTCAGCTCCCCATCTGTATGCTCTTCATTGATTGCACACCTCTCTGGGAACCTACCAGATCCAGGGGTGGAGGCTCCATGATTCCAAAAGGGTTTGCTGAGTTCATTCCCAACTAGCCTGTTGGGAACAAGTTGGGAGCTTCCCAGTGCCATTAGCAAGGCAGTCGCCCAACAGATCCAGAGGCGTCCCACCTCCCAAATTCAGCCAAATTCTTTTCAAAACTGACTCTGTTTGTAGATATACATGCTTTAAGCACTTCCCACAGAAGATTATATAAAACTACAAAGAAAATAGATAACTGCATTCATTTCCCATGACTGGGTGGGATAACATATTCAGTTTTAATTGACTCTGGAGAATCTAAGTCAATTAGACGAAGGGTATAATAGGAACAAGAAGCTGTATTATTTCACTCACTTGATTATTTTATAAAAATAGAAAGAAATAAATGTAAAATTTGAATAGTCCCACAGCATTGAGATGTGCCATCTATACCAAGCTGTTTTGAGCCACTTGGGGTACATATCTTTATTTTAAAACTAGCTGAAAAGTGGATTTGAAGATTCAATAGTCTGAGTCGTGCACTCTTCTGTAAAACATTAGGTCTGCTCCGGCCAAATGAGCAAGCCACTTCTGGTGGATGGGTTAAGTACATACGTAAGAGTGGAACCAGATATCAACATATTTTTTTGAAAGAGTGAATTTAAAACTAAGAATTCTGAGAGAAAAAAATAATTAAGGATTGTTTGACATTATTTACCTACTATGTTCTACACACTGAGCTATGTTCTTTGGATGGAGGGATAAATGCATTTCCTGAAGTGATTCTCAATCAAACAGTAGAAATATACAGAAAATCAGGGCAAAACAATTTATTTGCTATGGATTTTTTTTCAGAGGGAACTGAAGAGGAAGTGGTTGATTTTGCACACACAAAAAGGTGAATTTATGGAAGTTTTCACTAAGTCAGTGAGGTAGGTCTTGCAAGATTAATAGAATTTCAACAGAGAGTGGGGAAAGAGACAGCTATTCTAGGCAAGAACACCACCAAGTAGCTCTGAAAGTACGTGGAACATATGGGCTTGAGAATAGCTGTGTGGCTAGATCATAAAGAACATATTGGGAGAGAAAGGTAAGAGAAAGTAAAGACCGGGGAAATGGAAAGAAATAAGGCTGGGCATGTTGAGTAAGTTTAGATTGTAAAGAGAATTGTTCTGCTATCGATTTTGAACTTTGTATTACAGGACTTGAAGAGCTACTAAAGATTTAAAAGAAAAGATATGACATATCCAGGTTGGGAAACACAAAAAAAAATGTAGGTTAAATATCATTAAAGAAAGAAACAGATCTCTGGAAGTACTAAGTTGTCTAAATTCTGTATCAAACTGGTAATACTTTGCCCAGACCTTGTATTAATCACTGATTTTTTATACTTAATCATCCTTTTATTCAACAAATATGAATTAAAATTCCCGTACTATGCTAGATTTATGGGACATAATGTTGACCAAGACAAATGTAGTTCTGGTCCTCATGGAGTTTATAATCTACTGGGGAGATAAACATTAAATATATAAAAGAGATAAATACAGATAATTACTGATCTTTGTACAATAACATGCTGAATAGCCTCAGGAACTCACTGGTACTGAGTTACAAAGATTTCAGATTTAGTTCATCATTATCCTTCTCACCAAATATGTGTGGGAGTTATTTTTTTTTAAGTAGCAGAACTACGTTTTTTTTGAACTATGGTATTTGCCAGTGAATTTGAGGGTTAGTGGCCTCAACACAACCCATTGTAGTATCTGCAAATTTTTTGCTATTGCAAACATTTATAAATTACTGGGAATCATTATATTTTGCAAGAGAAAAGAAATAGTCCAGCTTTTCTCAGCTGGAATCTTTGAAATGTACGGGTTCACTGGTAAAAAGGACAGATGGCTGAGCTAATGTTAGTAATCGCCAAGAAAAAAGTCCACTGTTGACCTAAAAATGCAACGAAATCTATTCCTTTATAATTTCCACTGACTGCTTAGCTTAAGTCCTAATTATTACAAAATTGAGAAAGGATTTCTTAACATCAGAAGATTTCCCTAAAAACATAAGAATATTAGGCCACATCTCTATATGTGCCTGTTAGCCCATTTACTTCACAGCTTACTTAACCAATTTTCTTTGGTCTGTGATACATTCAAGAATTTAATTAGTCACATGTCATACTACAGGAATGAAGGTGAAAGTTAGTGTCAGTGAAAAAGTAACCCAACAATTTAATATAAAAATATTTTTATGAGAGTATCTTTTTCTCTGAAAACTTAAATTCTCATTAAGTCATTTTAAAATGTATAACCAATACCCTTTTGCATTTTGATCATAACATTGTACTAGTTTTCTAAGGCTGATATAACAAAGTATCACAAAGTGGGTGTTTTAAAAAACAATTTGTAGCCTTACAGTTCTAGTTGCTAGAAATCTGAGATCAAGGTGTCTAGAAGGTTGGTTCCTTCTAAGGACTGTGAAAAAGACTCTGTTACATGCCTCTCATTTACTATCTAGTGGTTTGCTGACATTCTTGACTGCTCCTGGCTTATAAATGCATCACTAGATCTCTGCCTTCATGTTCCCATAGCATACCTCTGTATGCTATGTATGTCTATCTCCAAATTTCCCCTTCTAATAAGGACACCAGTCATATTGTGTCAGGGCCAATCCAAATTGCTTATTTTAAATTGATTACCTCTGTACAGAACCTGTCTCCAAATAAGGTAATAAGGTCGCATCCTGAGGTACAGGAGGTTAAGACTTTAGCATATAAATTTTAGAGAGACCCAATCCAACATGTAACCAATATTTTATGAGCTGAAAAATAAACTTTCTTGTCAGAAAAAAAAAGAAAGAATTCAGCATCTTTGCTATAAGCATCAAATTGCTTTATTTCCTTTTTCATACTCAAGGTGTGTGTGTGTGTGTGTGTGTGTGTGTGTGTGTGTAGTTCATTTTTATTTTTCATGCAGCCTGTACTTGGGAATTTTTTAACTGTGAGAATTCATAATGGAATATGAGGTGTATAGCAGACAATTTGGTAGTGGCTGCCTAGCTCAAAACAAATACTCCTTCTCTGAGATGGACTCATAGGTGACAGGATTATGCTCTGGAAGCCTTGCCCTTTCTGTGTGACCCTATCCCACTGACCAGGACAGTTTAATCCAAGGATAGATGCCGGACCCTGAAAGACCCCATGGGATTTTGAAATTTGGAATAATAACATTTGGAAACTGGGAACAATTAAAGCTGATGTGTTGTTACTCATCCCCCAAAAGGCCCAAAACTCCTCCCGAGGAGGTGTCTATGCTGTCCTAATTCCTTTCCCTCGTGAGGCTGTTACTCATTTCTTCCCTCATTTCTGTAAGATACCACATTGTGTCTACGATAAAATATTCTTTAGTGTGCCTGTGCTTCTCAGGGTTATTTTTGCTGCATGTGACCAAAAGAATCTTAACAAATACAAGTGGCTCTGCAGTAATCTATGTCCCATTCGTGCACTTCTGGTTCTTTAACCCATATAATTTCTTCTGGTTCATGATTGCAGATGATACTCCTGGCTCCTGTCAATCCATGTCATTAGTCATAATGGGAACTCAGGGCAATAGTAAGAGTTTCTGGGCAGAAATCCATCCCTACTCCTAGAAAAACAATAAAAAGCATGCATTTTATCCATGTTGGGTCTATAATATAATCTTTGTATATACCTAATTGTAAAAACATGTTGAACTACCAAGTTCATTTTCTGATTTCAAAATAATAGAGAATAATCTGAAATAAGTCAAAGTCAGGAGCCCTTGTTGAGGAAAAATTGCAACTATAGATCCGTGGAAGTTAATATTTACAGTCCATGATTGTCATTCAGGGACCTCCATCAGAGTTTCTGCTTTTACCTTCCACAGAGGCAAGAGCAATTGCTGTTGCCTCTAAAAGAGAACTTATTAAATAGGGCACTGGCACACAGCAACCTAAGCCCTTCTGTCCCACTCATTCTCACACAAGAGCCCCTCAGTGACCAAACATTGCACCCAAGACCTCTTTAGGGTTTTGTTATCATTTGCATAAATAAACACCAAAATTATAACTGATTTTTTTTTTGAGACAGGGTCTTGCTCTGTTGCCCAGGCTGGAGTGTAGTGACACGATCTCTGTTCACTGCAACCTCTGCTTCCCTGGTTCAAGCTATCCTCCCACCTCAGCCTCCCTAGTAGCTGGGACTACAGGTGCATGCCACCACTCCCAGCTAAGTTTTGTGTTTTTAGTAGAGATGGGGTTTCACCATGTTGGCCAGCCTTATCTCGAACTCCTGACCTCAGGTGATCTGCCTGCCTCGGCCTCCCAAAGTGCTGGGATTACAGGCGTGAGCCACCACTCCCAGCCTTTATTTTTTATTATGTTAAGTTTCCTTAAAGGAGCTTCTAATTAGTTTATCTACTGCCACTTAAGACATTTGCAAGCCTATCTGCAAAGCTCTTTGTATAGTGGAATGAGTAACAGGGAAGAAAGTTAAGGGTTCCTCAACTTTGTACAAGAAACATGGGTCAACATCAGACAGAAGGGCAGATTTCCAGCAATCACTCTGCATTATTTACATGACTCCATGCTCCATCAAATCTCCTAGGAAGGAGAGAGTTGTAGCACTGAAACTCCACAATAAGTCTCTGAGAACTTAGCTGTGGCTTTACACAGAGTTTCAAAGAGTTGTAGCTCAAAAGAAATGCAGGTTATATGACAATATTAATGCCCTGCACGGATTAGCTTCAACCATGATATCTACATTAATCTTTTCTTTTACCTGCAGATCTTCCAGAAAATTCTTAGCTCAAGACAACTTGGTACAAGCAACTATGGAAGCTCATCAGTGAGAGACAGAAAACAAACTGGGTTGGAATAAAATCTAGGTGGATGAATTAACTAAATAGAAGATAAGTACTTGATGGCAGTAACCCACAGTACAATCACGATATTCAGAAGGATGTGGTGAGGTTGAGCTTATTCTAATCCTGTGCTCTCCTGCTGCATGAAATACCAAGTCCAGGCAGTGGAAGCATTTTGGTTACAAATGAAACATCTACATGGAACAGGAGCGCAGTCAGCATCAAAGGCTATAAGTTAACAGTGTCTATCTCTAAAACAGATGGGTGTTAAGGACTTGGTGAGATGTCAGTGTCTCAGCAAAGTGTCCCAGGCTTCACTAGAGGAATCAGTATCTGAATCAAGACACCAACGTAGCAGTTCAGAACCAAAGCTCCACAAACCAATGATTTTTGTTTTGTTTTGTTTTGTTTTTGTTTTTGTTTTTTAAAGTGGTGATATGGTTTTGTTGTGTCCCCGCCCAAATCTCACCTTGAATTATAATAATCCCCATATGTCATGGGATGGGCCCAGTGGGAGGTAATTGAATAATGAGGGCCAGGTCTTTCCCATGCTGTTCTCATGATAGTGAGTAAATCTCATGAGATCTGATGGTTTTATAAAGAGGCGTTCCCCTGCACACACTGTTTTGCCTGTTGCCATGTAAGACATCCCTTTGCTCTTCCTTTGACTGCCGCCATAATTATGGGGCTTCCCCAGCCATGTGGAACTGTGATTCCATTAAACCTCTTTCCTTTATAATTTACCCGGTCTTGGGTATGTCTGTATTAGCAGCATGGGAACAAACTAACCCAAGTGCCAAAACCATACAGGTGGAGTTCCCAAGCAAGTTGGCTAGTGTACTGTACTATACAAAGAATAGTTCCAGGCCCCATCAGCTGGAGTGGCTGGTTCTGATACTCTGCCCCCTACCTTGCTCAGGTCTGACTAAGAACCTAGGCAAGGTATATATACCTTTAGTTGAAATGCCTTCAACATCTGAGCTGACTCATGTCAAGGGAAGCAGGAACTAACATTGTGAGCATCTAGTATTTACCTACCTAGACTCATTTTTATCAGCCTATTTTCTTTACACTGACACCAGCACAGTACACATTTTTTTCCCAGTATTTCTGAGATTATGTAAGCCTCACCATCACTTATATAAAAGTTGGGTTTTATGTTACCTGATAAAAGCCATGATTTTTTGAGTACCTACTATATTCCAGGTACTACACTAGGTATTTCAAATACAGTACTGATTTTCAAAACAGTGCAAAATAGGTATCCTTATGCTCAGAAGAGGTAGATAACTTTCTCAAGGTTATAACACAGGGCTGAGATATAAACCCAGATACATCTGACTCCCAAGTGTGTGTATCTTGCACTACATTTCCCTGAGAAATATTTAAATTCATTTTAATGTAAGTTTTCTGTGTGAAGTTTTTAATATAACCAGTTAAACATAAGCTCTTTCCTTCAACCTGAGTCTGATTTCAATGTACGTTCAATCCTTTAAAAATGCTTTTCATATTGAAAAGCAGTTTTAGCAGAATAAACACTGATCAGAAATGAGATGTGAGATCTCATGCCAGTGAGTCATGTGACCTTGGGAAGTCTTTCACTTATCTAGAAAAATGTTCTTAAAAAAAAACGTGGGGGAGTAAAGACTAGCAGTGGGGGAAGGACTAAACTTGAAAAATTAAACTCTGAGAGTATCTTCTAGCTCTCCAAACTTAAGGGTCTCTCCAATCCTTTAGAAGTCATTCTCTTTATATACTTTAAACACTACCTTTTGCAAAGGAATCATAAAAAAAAGATAATTTTAAATTTACTTTAAAAAAATTATCCAGCTGTCTGCATATCTCAACAAGTTAGTCAACTTCCTTCACTTGTGTGCAACTTATGAGCATGGCAATTATGATATTTGAAGTTGACAACTCAAAGCTATTTGAAGCCGACAACTCAAAGCTATTTGAAGCCTTGTTAACCAATGAAAATGTATAGATACAGATAGCAAATAAATCAAATTCTTGTCTTCAACTAGAAATGCATTTTCAACATAATTCAATTTAAGGAACCAGTGTCTTAGTTTTAACCGTGAAAATATCATTAGATGATGTATGTGAAAAAAAAAAAAAGAGACTAGATGTAATCATGTCCTTCACAAAAGAGTTGACACTTGCAATGTTAGTACTGCAAATAAAAGTGTTTTCAGACCTTAAAATAAAAGTCTGTGGAATTCTTCAGGTACACAGCTGTAACAAAATCACCTATCTGACTGCCTTTGTGGCCTAAGCTAAGGACTATGTGAAAGAGAGAAAGGAAAAAAAAAAAGGAAAGAAAGAAAGGGAAGGGATGGGAAGACCTAGAAGGAAGCACATAATAGACTGCTTTGACTAGGTAATTTTTCACATAATGTTAAATGCAGATGGTTAGAATAGTTCATCGTGATTTTGCAGTCTGGTCTCAGGTTTATTGCTAGAATTAATTTCTACATTTCTGTGAAGGACATTATACATTCCATTCCTATGGTTTTAAATAATAAATTAATTTTAATGCATTTTTGCTCTCACTTGAATGGAAAAGATGAAGAGCAACTGATAGGCTCTGAGTTTTTAGAACGCCTTTCAACAAGATTAAAAGCATAAGGCATCCCAAGTCGGCTCTTCTAAAAACAGAAAGTGGCCATCTGCTGGGGCTGCAGAGCTGTTCTACTCTAGAGTGCCATGTAGTCCAGCAGAACAGACACAGCACAAGGTACACTCCTTGACCAAACTGATCCTTAGACAGAGTCATGGCTTTGTGTGCTTTCAATCAACATATTGTTTGAGGTGCCCTCTATTTCTATGTGACATAACTAATGAAAAGAAAAAAGCTACTTGTAATCATACCAGAACTAGAAAATGAAAATAACCCCAGTGAACTCGCTAGCAATCCTAAAGAATTCCTGGGTTTCCCTACAGTTATTCCAGCTAGCAGGTGGAACTAGGGAGGGAAATTGTGTTGCTCATTATAAATTAAATGCTATGTTAGGACTTGAGTAGAAAGTGGAATGAAATTATTTTAATTTTGTTTGTTCATTTCGTTTTTTGCTTTCTTCCAGCACCTCTTTCCTGTTTGTAAATCTTCACCTATCTTCAATCCTTTCTTGTTTGCCTTTCTACACTGTATGGTACTGAAAATTGTGCTGGAAAGCCAATTCTCAAGGAAGTCTCTTCTCTTAATTTACTCTCCAATTTCTAATGGGTGCATTTTTCTGAGGTCCAAGCATAAAGCTTGGGTGAATTTTTCTTCCATTAAATACAGAATTCCATGATCTTTATTTAAAAATATATTGATATCTGATGGGAAGACCAGACACCTGAAAAGACATGCTGACTCTCAGTCAGTCTTAATGATTAACCCAGGCCCACTGAAAGCAGATTTGAGAACACAATGCTACACTTTATTGTTCATCAATTGATTGAATACTGAGATATTTCAGGAAGATATGTGTGGCAAACACTGTTAGCTGGCAAAGCCAACAGCCATCCTCCAGCCAGCCCCTTTTTCCTTGCCTACATTCATCTATAGGCTGAGAAGGCTAAATGCTTGTCCAGTCTCCCATACAGCTCACAATGGCCATGTGAGTTTCAGGCAATGAGAGAGGAGCAGAAGTCTGATGGGGACTTCTGGAAACACATGTGCTTTCCTCATAAAAAGAACAAGTAAACTGGCATTTCTTCCCTTGTCTCCTTTCTTTCTACTTTGGATGCAGATGTAATGTCTGTAACTATTGCAGCCACCTTTGAGGCAACAAGTATAAAGACAAAAGCCAAGAAGCAAAAGATAATGGAGTAAAATTAGAAGCAGATCCTGAGGCCCTGGTAGCACAATGAGCCAGCTGAACCAACAACTTGCCTCCATATTTCTAGTGAATGAAAAAAAAATGCCTCTATTTGTTTAAGCCGCTGTTTTTCTGGTTTTTGTTTCTTGCCATTGAAATCCTTCCAAATGATAGAGCAGTTGTGTTTTCAAAATCTAATAAGCTACTTCTGTGTGGTGATCATAAAATCTGGCATTTGTTTAGCATTTCCCAATTTACAAAGTTGGGTTTTGCCATATATTATCTCATTTAATCTGTACAATAGGATGGTAAAGCAGGAATTACAAACATAGCTTTAAAGATGAGCCAAGTTAAGCACAGAGGGTTTAAAGTAACTTGCTCAAACTCACAGAAAGAGAACATGGCACAATTGAGGACTTGGACTCTTAGCCTCTGACTCCAGTTCCCAGCTGATCATAATTTTCTCATATTGGAAACCAAACTCTTGACTTTGCCTATTTATTATGTTCTTCATAATCCCCGAAGTACTTCTGTGAATCAGTCTTTAAAAGATAACAGACAGGAATTGGATAGAAATTTCTGAACTCATAGCCTGGAATGAACTAAAGCACTTTGATAAACCCTGAAGTTTTAAAGAGGAATAGTAGGAAATAATTCAATTCTAAGGATTTCACAGGCTACTAAAAAAGACAAACATATAAACAAGTTATTCTAATTATAATATAGAGTGGGGATAATGGTTGGATGTTTATCTCAGTACAGGAATCTTAATTCTTCCTTTGGGGGAGTGGGGATGAGGAATGCATGAAGGAGGAAGCCATGGAAACAAAAACAGGGCATGCCACTAAGCAGTTCTGTATGGCTGTGATATATTTGGAGTGGGGTGATTTATAGGGCTTCAAAGCCAAACATGTCTAGATCATCAAGATTCTTATAGGTACTAGGGTTTTTCTATTTAGGTGGGTGATTAAGATCAATAAAAATATTTCAAACATGGTCATGTTATATATAGAATTATATTTTTGAATACATCTTTGGCATCAGGCAATAAACTGGAAGTAGACAAGACTGGAGACAGGGGGCGAGTAGGATGCTGGGGCAAGCTTCCCAGCAAGATATAATGAGACCACAAACTCCAGTAATGTCTGTGGGTTGCATAGGAGGAAACAGATTGGAGACATATTCAGATATTATAATCTATGGGCTATAGTAGACAACTGGACACAGTTGAAGGGGTGGTTGGTATGTGAGAAGGAAAATATAGGATTATACGCAGGTTTCTGGCTTGGGCTACTAAGGAGGTGGTGGTGCCATTTATAATAGAAAATACTAGAGAAGAAGTATAGAGGGGTAGAGAGGCATAAAAAGGAAAATAAATTCCACATTGCATATGTTGAGTCCAATAGCCTTTTAGAACCTCCAGATAGGGATGTTCTATCAGAACATGAAAGATCAGAATGAATCAGAAATGAAAGATGTAATTCAACAAATATTTCTGGACTGGAGACATCAATTTCTGAAGTTATGGAGGTAAATAAAATCTCACTGGGAGCATGTGTAGAGTCAGAGAAGAAGGAAATAGAGCTCTGTAGGAACATAGACATTTAAAGAGTGAGCAAAAGCATGGGATCCAATGAATGGAATGAAGTAAGAGAAACCAGAAGGGGAGGAGAAAAGCAAGCAAACAGAGAGAAGTTCTTTCCAGAAAGCTTCCAAATAGGTCTCAAGAAGTTAGTGAGTGGGCAATAATAATCTTAGTAATAATAGATGACACTATTGAGCACTTACATGCAATATTGCTTTTCATCTCTGTACTGTCAATGATCATAAAGAGGTTAAGTAATACAAGGGCTGAAAATTTACAATTGGATTTTGCCACAAGTGAATCTGAAGAGGTTACATAATTATCATGACGATGTTAAGTAATATAAGGGCTGAAAATTTACAATTGGATTTTGCCACAAACCAATCTAACCCTCAAAAAAAATGGCATTTCCATCAAATGGGGAGTGTAGAAGCCAAATTGCAGTAGGCAGAGAATTGAGTGGGAGGTGAGGAAGTAGAAGGCAGTAAGAGGAGTCTATCCTTTTTAAAAAGCTTTACTGAAAATAGAAAAAGAACAATAAAAATTTCAGCTATGGGTAAAGGGTGAAAAGAGGTAACTACAAGAACAAAAGAGAGGGTAGAAGTGATGTAGCAGGGTCCCTGAGAAGGTGAAACAGGATGAAATGATAGCATGGGTGGAGGAAGAATTAGCCATAATAGAAAGAAGCATACTTCTTCCTCTGAGAACAGTGGGAAAGTAATATGTGCAATTGCAGTATTTGATGACAAATACAAACATAAATATCAAACTGGAATTAGCATACATCTAGCAGTTACTTACAACTGCTCCAGTCGTTTTTGACCAATGGCCTGTCTCGATTAGATGCTCATCTTCTTCTGTGCTCAGTCTATGGGAAATCAGTTTGTGCAGATTAGTTACTTTCATATTTCAAGCTGATTTGATAACTGAAGAGAACTCTAACATTCTCTATCGGCCTGTGATCAAAGCTCAGACTTTAAGAAGAAACATCTTAAATTAGTTGCCCCTGGAAGCAAGACCAGAGATTCAAATTTTAGTGCAAGTAGTTTATTTGGGAGGGGAGCAAGTATGGCAGGGAAGTAAGGAACTGAGACAGAGAACAGAAGAAAGTTAATGCAGGGAACACTAATAAGTAGATTCCTGTTGTGGGCAATTAAGGTCCCGTTTCCTTGGAGAACTCCAAGAGATAGTGCCAAACGGACCTCAGAATTGACCCTCTTCCAGTGGAGGGACAGGAGTCTGGAATATTTATCTGCCAATAACTGTTAGTCATTGATGAGAGCTGCCCTGGGCTTGTAAACTCTCTGACACTTCCAGCCTGCCCTGCGTGTGCACTAAAGCATGTTCCCATAGCCAAAGAAGGCTCTAGGCAGAGAGGCAAAGATGTTAACAGTGAGAAAGTTTAGGAAACAGTGACCAGACACCAACAGTGTCTACTCAAGCTCCTCCTCATGAATGGCACTTCTTAGGATAGCAGTGGAGTTTGAGGGAAGGACAGATATAGTCCCCTCCAGTTTTTAGCCATGAGGGAATATATTCTGAGGAGAATACTACCAGAAAAAGTTCCTATTCTTTAGTTATGGAATTTTCATTACAAATTATAAATAAGCAGCTTTGAATTCATAATAGACACATAAAAATGTACCCAGACTTGTAGTTAGAAAAATGTAAGTTCAAGTCCTGGTGCTGCCACTTACTGTGTAAACTTGGGCCAGTTGCTTGGTCTCTGGAACCTTCAGTTTCCTCATCTGTAAACAAGGATGATACTTCCTCTGCTATCTAGAAAATCAAGTTATTGTGAAAATCCAATGACATCTTGCACATAGGACTTCTCCAGCCATGAGATTAAGGGGAAGAAGCATTCCAATTAGACTTATGGAAACTATGAAACAGCATGACTGTGTGTAGAAGTAGAGGACAACCATGAATTCCAGTAGAAGTAGTTTGGACTTGTTTCTATAGGCAATATGGAGCCATAGAAGTTTCAAGTGGGAGAGCAGATTTGTGGGCATATATTTTTGAAAGATCACTTTGACAACTATGTGGAGAAGAGTATATATTGCTTTTCAGCAATAGAGACAGCAACTGGAGACAGGAAGACCAGTTAAGACGTTATATTAAAAATCCCATCTCTGAAATTTATCTACCAGTCTCCTTTTGGGTGAGAAGGTGAGGGTTGAGGAACAGGCAGAAAAACTGAGGAAGGAAGTGATATCCAAGAAATAGCCCTAAGGTGGATTAAGTTACTATTTGAGTACTTTGCCAACTCAGTGACCAGAGCTCAATCTACACACAGTAATGAGGACTGAAAATTCAGTTTACAGCTTGAGAAGACATATGTGCAGGGGGACAAAATTACAAGCAGCCTTTGGGGTAAAATGAAGCCTGCACATATGCTTATAAATACACAAGACATCCAAATGGTCTTCCTGATTCAGCTCAAATTAAATACGGTTACTTTTGAAAGGTTAGTGAGCTTGGCTTTTGCTGAAGTGTTCCTTCTCCACACTTTGTTTTCATATTGCACTGACAAGTTGCCTTCACTTTGAGGATTTATTTCCCTTCAGATGCAGCTCACCAAATAGAAACTGTACAGTCATAACACTTCAAGGGGGTGATTAGTGGTGATGGGTAAAGGGCGGGGGATGGGAGGGTGGGAAGAGGACTATGTGCAGTGCTATTTCAGGAAGAGGAAGCTCCCCCAGAGCCAGCTGAAAACATCTGCAACCCAGGTTTTCAAGGTGTCATTAGCCCTAGAGCTAATCGGTACTCTGGTATGCCACAGAGTGAAATTTTGCACTTGTGACAAAGACCAGGTAATCACACAGCCCAGTGGTCCCCTCTCAGAGCTTGCCCAAGAGCAGTCCTCAGAGAGCAACAATTCAGTCAGAGCCTAGAAAGGGGAAGCTGCCTTCTAATTCAGATCTGGGCTTCCAGGGATCTTGTCTTGAAAGCCGCCAGGCTCTTGTCACTGAGAAATGAACAAAGCAGCTTCAATGCAGAGCAGGCAGCCCTCTGGGTAGCCAGACTCCTAGGAAAAAATAGTCTGCCCTATTTTGGTCCCTGCTCATGAACTCCCCTGGCAGCAATGCCTCCAAGGTATTTCTGTACTCACAGCTGGCACTGGTTTTTCCAATTCACTGAGGAGGAAGCCTGTAAGAAATCAGATGTTGTAAAAGCACAGAGAAAGGCCTGGTTTAGCAACCCCTTAGCAAGGTGGTGGCATGTCCAAGCCTTTAGTAAATCTTAAGGATTTCTTATTTTTCTTTTCCAAAATTGTTTTTCTAATCTCATCAACTTGATGAAATGCTGACATTACAATTTAGCTTACTATTCTGCCACACATCTAACCATGTTTAACAGCCTCACTGGGTTTTAATGGATGTACAAATAACTTAACCTATTTATTGTGTATAGTTTGATGACTTTGGAAATATGCAAACGCCTGTGGTACCATCAGCACAATCAAAGCAAAAGACAAATTCAACACCTTCCAAAGTGTCCCATTGTTTTTATTTTGTTGTTCTTGTTTTATTTTATTTTATTTTATTTTATTTTATTTTACTTTTTCTGCTAAGTACATTTAACATGAGATCTACCCTCTTAACAAATCTTAATATATGTAATACCATATTAACTGTAAGCACTAAGTTGTATAATTAGATCTCTAGAACTTATTCATTTAGCATAATTGAAGCTGAATACCCATTAAACAACAAATTTCCATTTCCCCCACCGCCCATCCCCTGGAAACACTCTTATATTCTCTGCTTCTATGAGTTTGACTATTATATTCAATCCACAAGTTCCACAGCTATGGATTCAACCAACAATAAATCAAAAGTATTTGGAAGAAATACACATATATATTTGGAAAAAAACACAAAAACAATACAATACTAAATAATATAAATTTAAAAGTACACTATAACAACTATATTGTATTAGGTATTATAAATAATCTAGAGATGATTTAAAGTATACAGAGGATATATGCAAGTTATATGTAAACACTATGGTATTTCATAGAAAGGAGTTGAGCATCCACAGATTTTGATATCTTCTGGGGTCCTCAAACCAATCCCCTAAGCAACAACTGTATAGATAACTCAAATAAGTGGAATCATGCAATGTCTGTCCTTCTGTAACTGGTCTATTTACTTAACATAATGTGCTCCAGGTTCATCCATATTGTAGCAAATGGCAGGATTTCCTTCTTATTTAAGGTAGAATAATATTCTATCATATGCGTATACCACATTTTCTTTATCCATTCATCTGCCTGTGTTCATTTGCATTATTTCCATACATTGGCTATTGTGAATAATTGATGCTGCAATGAGCATAGGAGTGCAGTTATCTCTTTGAGATCCCAGTTTTAATTCTTTTGGATATATACCCAGAAATGGGATTGCTGGATCATATGGTAGTTTCACGTTTAATTATTTTAGAAACTTCTATACTGTTTAGCCATAGTGGCTATGCCATTTTACATTTCCACTAATATTATACAAGGGTTCCAATTTTTCTACATCTTTACCACCACTTGTTATCTTTTCTTTTTGTTTTCCTTGTCAACAATAGCTGTCCTAACACGTGTGGGTGATATCTCCTTGTAGTTTAGATTTGCATTTCACTGATGATTAGTGATATTGAGCACCTTTTCATACCTGTTGGCTATTTGTATGACCTCTTTGGAGAAATGTTTGTTCAATTCCTCTGCCGATTTTTTAACTGGGTTATTATTGTTATTATTAGCTACTGAGTTGTAGGAGTTCCTTACATATTTTGGACATTAACCCCTTATCAGGTATATGGTTTTTAAATATTGTCTCCCATTCTGTAAGCTGCCTTTTCATTCTGTTGATTTGCAGTTTTTTTTTAGTCATATGTAGTACCACTTGTCTATTTTTGCTTTTGTTGCTTGTGCTTTGGATGTCATCATATCATCAAAACATCATTTCTGAGACCAATATCAAAAAGTGTTTTGTCTATGTATTCTTCTAGCGCATTTATAGTTTCAGGTCTTACATTTAAGTTTTAAAACCATTTTGAGTTGATTTTTTGTAAAGCATGTAGATACTTAGTTTTCCCACTACCATTTATTAAAGACACTCTCCTTTCTCCATTGTGTATTTTTTTTTCTTTTTTTTTTGAGACAGAGTCTCGCTGTCTCCCAGGATGGAGTGTAGTGGCGCAATCTGGGCTCACTGCAAGCTCTGCCTCCTGGGTTCACGCCATTCTCCTGCCTCAGCCTCCTGAGTAGCTGGTTCTACAGGTGCCTGCCACCACACCCAGCTAACTTTTTGTATTTTTAGTACAGACAGGGTTTCACCATGTTAGTCAGGATGGTCTTGATCTCCTGACCTCATGATCCGCCCACCTCAGCCTCCTAAAGTGCTGGGATTACAGGCGTGAGCCACTGCGCCCAGCCCATTGTGTATTTTTGACACCCTTGTCGAAGATCAGTTGAATATATATGCATAGATTTATTTATAGGCTCTCTATTCTGTTTCATTGGTCTATATGTCTATCTTTGTTTTAACTGTAGTTTTGTAATATATTTTGCAATCAGGAAGCATGATGACTTTATCTTTGTTATTCTTTGTCAAAATCATCCGACTATTTTGGGTCTTTGTGATACCATATGAATTTTAGGATTGTTTTTGCTTTTTCTGTAAAAAAATGCCATGGGATTTTGAAAAGGATGGCACTGAATCTGTATACAGCTTTGGGTAGTGTGGACATTTTCACAATGTTAAGTCTTATATCTCCTTTAATTTTTTAATTTTTTAATTTGTTTGTTTTCAGTGTACAAGTCTTTTACCTCTTTGGCTAAATATATTTCAAAGTATTTTATTCTTTTTTATGCTATTGTAAATGGGATTGTTTTCTTAATTTCCTTTTTGGATGGTTCATTGTTGGTATATGGAAATGCGCTATGTGTTGATGCTGTAGCCTACAAGTTTACTGAATTTATTTATTAGTTCTAGTTATTTTTCTGTAAAATCTTTCAGGTTTTTTTTTTTTTTTTTAACCTATACGATCACATCATCTGCAAACTAAGATAATTTTACTTCTTCGTTTCCATTCTGGATGCAAAAATTCTCAACAAAATCCTAGCAAACTGATTTCAACAGGACACCGAAAGGATCATACACAATGATCAAGTGGAATTTATCCCTGGTGTACAAAAATAGTTTACCATATGCAAATCAGTAATTGTAATACTTTGGGAATAATCTCTAATGCTGATATGGAAGTTAAGAATAAATTATTTAGGCAGATTGTGAGGGTAAGGAAGTTCCTTGGTAAGGTTTCCCTTTTAATGAAAAGCAGCCCCCAAATCATTTTGTTTTCTATCAAAGAGCCGTCTGTAAAATTGAGCTGCAGACGTAGACAAGCAAGCTGGAATCTTGAACAGGTGAATGCCAGCAGCTGTGCCAATGGGAAAGGGGTTCCCTGGGGACTAGGCATGTTCAAAATGGCGGCTCCATCTTTCCCTTTCCTTGTCAACCATGTGCACAGTAAGAAGCAAGCAACATGGCTGTAGGCCAAGTAGAGACCCCACTTGCATAATAAGATTAGGGTGGGGCGGCCAGCTTCCTCACCAGCTATGTAAATATCACACCTGCTCCAATCAATCTTTGGGCCTTATATAAATCAGACACTGCCTCCTCAAGCCTGTCTATAAAACCCTGTGCACTCGGCATAGGCCAGAAGTCCCACTCGGGGACCCCTGTCTCTCTCAAGGGAGAGAGATAGTCTCCTTTCTCTTTCTTTTGCCTATTAAACCTCTGTTCTTAAAGTCGCTGCTTGTGTGTGCCTGTGTCCTTGATTTCCCTGGCATGAGGCAACAAACCTCAGATACTACTCCAGACAACTATGCTGCTTCAATACACTACATTAACATAATAAAGTATGAAAATCACATTATCAGCTCAATGGATGTCAATAAAGCTAGACAAAATTCAACACTTTCAAGATAAATATGCTTAATAAACTAGCTATAGAAGAAATGTACCTCAATATAATAAATGATAAGCCCACAGCTAATACCATACTTATTTGAAAAATTAAAATATTTTCCTCTGAGATCAGGAACAAGAAGACAAGGATGCCCATTCTTGTCATTTCTATTTAACACAGTACTAGAAGTTCTAGTCAGAATAATTAGGCAAGGAAAATGTTAGTTTTTGCGATGGTTGTGGTGACTCCTTCTTAGTCAGTAGGAGTTAGGGTAAATTCAATCCATTACCATAAATACAAAAACCGCTAATAGGCAATCATGAGCTCCCAGAGGCCAGAGGTGGAACAAAGCTTTCTTTACCTTTCTCATCAAATAATCTATCAGTTCACAGAACAGAGTTTCTTGTCTCTTTCCTCCTCCTTTCTATCCTTTCCTCTTTTTCTACTCCTCTAGTCTCTTGCAATGGTCAGAGCTCCATCTTGGGGAAAGAGAAACAGATCTTTTTTCAGACTTAACACCCTGGGTCATGACTGTAAGTCCTTCTAAAGAGGCAAGCTTATTCAACACAAACAAACTCTTCTCTACACTGTGTCGACTTATTCTCATAGCATCACTTCAATGTATTGTCATACATGCAGTCTCTATTTCACCATTTTTTTTTCCTTACTGAACACCTCTAGTCACAGAAGGAATAAGACTAGGCAGAAAAGTATTAATAGAGAAAACAATGTACTACTACAGTTTTGTTTCTGCTGCTGATTCCTGTTATTACTGATGTTAATACTTTATCATTATTATATATTAGATAGAAGCTGTCTGCACAGATCCAAAACTCCAGTAATTGAAAATTTTCAGTGTTCTTATGTAATAAATGTTCAAGTATCCAATGGTTTTCTAGTGAATAACTCAAAGACTCTTTTGTTATTGCAAAAGAAAGGACAAGGTATAAAAAGTATACCTTAGTTCAAAAGCCACCATCAGAAAAAGAGTGGCAACAACTTCAACAAGATGAGGAGAATTGGTTTACAACTCATTAAATCCAGGCATTAGAGGAGATGAAAAAGCAAATTAGAAGCCAGATCATTGGGAAGCTAATTCCAAAGTTGAGTTAGAACTGGAAGCAATACACACTCAAAGCTGAGCCAAAAAGTAAATGATATGGAGCTCCTTCTAGCGCCCCTGCCTGGAGCCAGGATTGGTTTTGGAGTCCAGACATCCTGGGCTGCAGGCTGGAATTAAAGAGAGATAGCTGGCCCAGTCAGAGGCTGCAGGAAGTGAGAGCTGATGTTCCTATCATCTGTTAGTTAGAATTTGTTATTCGCACTTGATTTCAAGAAGATGGGAGCACCTTTATCTTTCAAAAACAAGAATAAACTCTTTTAAATTCTGAATATTGCAGTGGTAGTGGTGGTTTTTAAACATGTTTGGATGTACATTATTGTTACTTTACTCTGAATTAAACTTTTAAACCTGCTTGTCAAGCCCCAGCTGGATCCCAGAGAGAGACAAATATGAATTCTCAAACTAGAAAAGAAGTACTTGTGAAAATATATATTCTCTGTTTTCAAATAATAATATATCTGTATATAATTAGATCTAACATAATAGCAGAGAGTTTTCAATTATATTGTCTGGACCTGCTATATTTTTCTTGTTTATCAGAGAACAGTTAATCATTGTTGAATTATTTATATCTGCTCAGTTTACAGTAAAGCTTCAGCCATAAGGCTAGTGAACATCTCTTCTCTCTCCTTCCTGCCTCACATACAGGTTTAGAGAAAATAGAGCTGATGGGTGTATTAGTTCATTCTCACACTGCTATGAAGAAATAGCCAATACCCAAGACTGGGTAATTTCTAAAGGAAAGAGGTTTAATTGCCTCAAGTTCCACATTGCTGAGGAGGCCTCAGGAAACTTACAATCATAGCAGAAGGCAAAGGAGAAACAGGCACCTTCTTCACAAGGCAGCAGAATGGAGTGAGTGCAAGCAGGGGAATGCCAGACACTTATAAAACTATCAGATCTCATGAGAGCTCTCTCACTATCACGAGAACAGCATGGGGGAAACCATTCCCATGATCCACTTACCTCCACCTGGTCCCACCCTTGACACATGGGAATTATGGGGATTATAATTCGAGGTGAGATTTGGGTAGAGACACAGAGCCAAACCATATAAGTGGGTATGTTTGCACTATTGCTTCTCTCCATTGTTCCCTTATATACTCTTCTCCACATAGCCAGGGTTATCCTTAAAAACAATTATTCTTGACTGGGGGTGATTTTGCCTTTAAAAAGACATTTGGCAATGCCAGGGAACATTTTGGATTGTCATAATGGGGGATTGTGGTGGTGCTGGCATCTGAGATGCAGAAGCCATGGATGCTGCTGAACATCCTACAGTGCACAGAAATCCCTTCACAACAAAGAATTATATGATCCAAAATGTCAATAGTACTGAAGTTGAGAAACCCTGCTTTAAAACTTTAGTTAGATCGTGCCACTCTTCTGCTAAAATCACTTCAATGGCTTTCTATAAGACTCAGGATGAAATTCAACTCCTTTTTGAAAGTACATGATTATAAATACATAAGTAAAAACATACATAAATAAATTACAAGATATCTTTGCCATCGTCCATTATCTTGTTAAAAAAATTAAGCTCAACCAAAAGGGTCTCTGGGATAAGTGTCATATGATTTAGACAGAACATTCAAACATAAAAGGTCACTGGGTGTAATACACATGTTCAAGATGGAGGAAGGACATTTCATGTAGTAACTAATATAATTATGGGAGCAAAAGTGAGAAAATTGAAGATTCATGAAAAAGTGTGCAGGCTAGCCAACATAGGGGTATCAGGTACAGGAAGGAGTCATAAGGGAAAGGAACCAAAATTCAAATGCTGTATTTATTGTAGAGAGTCTTCAATGTCAGAATTTGTGTTTTAGTTATATGAAGCCATTAAAGATTTTCAGGCTGGGTAACAACAAATTGAAATCTGTGTTTTAGGTAGACTTTTAGGGTATTACAGTACAATATGAATTACAGAAGAATGAATGAAAACAGGACATAAGAAACTATAAGAACTGTTTGAATGTGATGTAATTTGTACCTGAACAAAGGTTGTGCAGGTAGTGAGAGCGAACAGGAAAGCAGCAAAATATTTATAATGTGTGAGGGTTTTAAAATGCATCCAGCAACAATTGGTAAATGCCTAACAGGCCAGAAAAATATTTTGGCACTGAAAATATGAAGAATAATATTAAATTTCCCACCCCAAAAGCTACTCATTTAGGAAACATTATTCATTTATTCATTATTAAATATTTAGTGACCATCTATATGTATCAGGCAATGCTCTAGAAGCTTGTAATTTATCAAAGAACAAAAAAGACAAATGTCTCCCTCATAAAATTTATATTCTTATGGAAAAGATAGACAGTAAACACATATGTAATGAAATAATAAGAGAACACAAATATTTAATTTTATCATTTTAGCAAGTACTTAGTGAGACCCTAGCCTAACTCAGTATTCTTGGAGGTGAAAACAAAAGCATATTTAAAATATAATCTCAAAGTCTTACAGTCTTGCTGGCAAAACAAAACTAATGCACACGTCACAGAAAACTACATTAGACAGCATAAGATAGCACCATACAGTTTACAAAGCTTATGTCCCTTAACATATTTGACCGTCACAACAATTATTTCAGGCAAAAATTATGATGTCTCTATTATAAAAGAGGAAACAGAACCTTAGTGATTTATTTACCAATCAAAGGTTCCAGAATTTAAAAGTGTCAATAAGCAGTACTTGCACTCATCTTTTACCATCTAGCCATTGCCTTTTTCATATAACAGGAGACTTATAGTTGTTGCCAGTTGTGAATTCCCAAGGCCAGGTGCATGCACTGATGAATATTTCTTTGCTAATACAGTTATTATTTTAACTAGTAATTCAAGTGTGGTCTAATGATGCAGGTACATACTGCAAGCGGTATTTAATTATGGACTCCGGTTCCCACAGTGTCAGATTATGAAGAGATGATCAATTACTGAGGCTCCTGGGGTAACTTGAGTTGAGTGGGAGGCAGGAGAGTAACCAGCACATGGAGGTGTTGAGACTTACTCATTGCCTCATTTATCATCCCACCATCAGCATCTGTTGGAAGAGCTACCAATTAGGACAAGGCTTCCAGAAAGTTATTTTAAAATCACAACTTCCGTTTCAGAAGTGTCATGAATTGGCAGCAAAGTTAAGGTTGTGTGGAATTGCATATGTTGTATAATAAACAGCCTAGAATTTGGAATCAGAGGATCTTTATTCAAGCCAGATTAAATGCTTCAGAGAGTGTAACTTTGGGAATCAAATAACATTTGGTTATCAGCCTTGGAATATTTGTAAAATGAGGATTATGACCATTAAATACCATTAATACCATGTAAATAGCACTCAATAAAGGTGTAAAAATGTACCATTAACTTGGGTTACTTTTGAGAGTTTTTTTTCCTTACACTCTCTGTTTTATATGGGAAAAATATAAAGATAAATAGATTTTAAAGTGATTTTCCAGGTCCTTTTGAGCATAAAATAAGACAAATTTTATAAATTTTAAAGATGCGTATGTGTGAATTGTCATCATCATTGTTATTCTTTGAGAGCCATCTCCAAAACATTTTGCCCCACGAAACAATGACAAGACCTGTGAGAATCTGTCTTTCCAAATTTAACGCACTTGTTCAGCACCCAAGAAAGATATCACATGGGGCATAAAAGTGTAGACTTTAAAGAGAACAGAAATTTTAATTCTGGTTCTGCCCCTTTCCAAGGATTTAAACTAGGGTCAGTTTCTTGAAATGTTATTAAAATTATGTTGAGGTGTTTTTATTATTTCCTTCATAAGTATCAAATTCTCATCCTTCGTCTCTCTACTGTCTGAGAGATTTACTCATCAATCTTCCTCTTTCAATACGCTAATTCTCTCTTCAGCTGTGTTTAGTCTATTCTTTGGTCTGTTTCCTGAGGTGTTGGTTTGTGTATTTCTTTGTTTATAAATTTTATTGTTTATTATTTTTATTTAGTTCTTTTTAAAAATATGCCTGTTTTCATAGTTTTCTATTATTTCTCAAAATTTCTATACCATCTATTTTATCTCTCTGGACATTTAAGTGTAGTTAATTTAACATCCATATCAGAGTGCTCTATTTTCTGAAACTCATTGTCCATGATTTCTGTAATTTGTTCAGTTGCCTATTTTTCATGTCATTGTATTTCCTTGTGTGCTTTGTAATTTTTGTCTGTAGGATGATCTTTAGTGGTCCTAAGAAAATAATTCTGAGGAAGTTGCAACTGTTTCTATGTTGTGGAGGGTCTCCTAGGGGTAGTTTTATGATCAGCCTCGTAAGGGCCTAATAGGACGCAGTTTCATACCAATTTTACACTAGTGTCTAGCTAAGGGCTTTTGCATATAAGGATAGTGTATGAATTCAAGCTTCATAGACAAATAAGTCTCAATATTTTTTATTCCATTTCCCACATTGACTTTCTGAATCCATGCCTTTGGGGAGATGACTTACTTCTCTGAAGCACACTGGAGGTGAAAAATTTATCTAAAAAGACCTCCCTTCCTATCTCCCAGAATTAACAAGAGACCATAGTTCCTATTTCAACTATGAGAGAGGTCTGAGGCTTTGAAGCCAGGTTCTGTGAAGGTGTTTATTCACTAACCCTAAGGCATATATCCCATGTAATTGCCCCATGAACCATGCCATTTCACATACCTCAGGGATTACTTTTTCCATTCTAGTGCAATAGTTGTAAAATACCTTTTAAAACATTTACTTTGGTGCTATATTTATATTATGGTAATGGTTATTGTAATCTCACCACTTTCACCAAGCATTTATATGTGTTTGAAATATGAAGCAAGAGACCTATATAATTCATTTGTACATCTTGAGTGGAAGATCCCGCTTTACTGTTTTGGAGGTGGTATTTTTATTTTCTTCATTATTATTCTAGATTCAATATAATTCTTATTCTTCAGACATCATAAAAATTTATAAACATAGGATTATCTAAAATGCTACAATTTGAAAGGATAAAGTTCTAGTGCTATAGTGAAAAGACAGAAATCAAACTGTTGAAGCTGTGAGGGGCAGCAATCTCAACAGACTTCTCCTTGTGATGCTACAAACCAGAATTGCCACCAGCTTGTTGAAAAGTGGAGAGGAAGAATATAAATGAGAACAGACGCTCTCTTGGGAAACACTGGATTCCTAAATACTGGTAGTGGTCAAAGAAAACAAGAACTTCAGCCTTCATGCTAACAGAAAACACAGCTGTATTAACTTTTATTCACTTTTCTTAAGGGACCAAACAAATCATTCAGCAATTATTTTCAAACAGTTTATCATATAGTTTTAAGATATATATTGAGAAAAGAACAAAAATCAGGGTTTATGTAAGACATTGTCATTTTATAGCCTATATCTATGGCAGGTTTTTCAGCTTGAGTTATTTGCCCTTAAGGATGGAAAACCAATAAACTTTCTTTTCATGTGAGAAAAACCGGAATACATTTGTAGACAGCTAGCCAGATCCCACACTATTCCTGCAGCCAAAATTCAGCCCTCAACACACATGTTTCAGACTTCTACTTCTGCCAAAATAATAGACTGGATAATCAGGAAATGTCCGCACTAAAACACTTAGGAAGTCTACAATATGTTGAACACTCTTAAAACTCATAGGTAAAATTCTGAGAAGGGAAATTATTGGGGACAAGACATAAAAAGAACACTGAAAACTACAAATGTAAATATGTGAGCAGCAGGTACAACTTCCCTAGGAGATACTGTCAGCCTCTATGATCTGTATTTTGTATTGTTGTATTCATTATCACAGGAGTTGAAACCTCAGGCCAGTGGGAAATAGGGATATGGAACTGAAACATGCATTAAGCTGAGAACCTTGACAGTGGGATTAGTCAAATATATCAAAGATACTTTGTCTGCTTTTGCTTGGCCTTTGCTTGGGGAGACAAGCCTCCCTTAAAAATTCATAATTATCAATTATGTTACATATGGATTTGGTGTCAAATTTATACCATCTGCATAGAGAACGGACTTCTAAACAGAGAAGAGAATATTAAAATTGATCCCAATTTGTAATACCTGAAAGTTCTAGGCAGGAGAAAATTCCAAACCACCTTAGAGAAACATGCTTTTAAGCCAGCCAGGATTTTCACAGGGAAAGCCAGTCTAAGGAAACTCTCACATCCAAAATTATAAAAGACATGAAAAATAAACAACCACGAGTAAGAGATCACATGCAGGCATTAGTACTCATTTAAATTGTATTTAAAATGAGTACCAATACGAAGAAAGAATTAGAGTAAGCAAGTAATCTGTGAAAAAAGAACAGATATATTTGAGAAAGAAACACATAACACTTCAGTAATTTTAAAAATTTTTTGTCATCTAAATTGAAGGATAACTAATGGGTTAAAGGGCAGATTGGACACAATGCAAGAGAGCTGAAAAAGACGTAGAAGAAAATTATCCATTATGAAACAAAGAAATTAAAGAACAAAAAATATGAAAGGGAGGTTACCAGGGGAGAGGGAAGGTTCACAATATACCTGGTAGGATTACTAGAAAAAGAAAAGAGAGTATAGAGAAAATATAACGTTTGAAAAAACAATAGCTGAGAATTTAGTACAACTGATAAAAGACAACAATCCTCAGATTTTCTAAACTCAGAGTCTTATGAATAATTTGAAAAGTTAATGAATAGATGTGCAGTAAAATTTCAGCACACTAAAGACGATTAGAAGGTCTAGAAGGCCACTAGTGGAAGGAAGATTACAACAAGAGTAGCCAGAAGACAATGTTATTTCTACATGTTAGCAATAAAAAAATCCAAAAAAGAAATGAACAAAGCAATTCCATTTACGATAGCATTAAAAAGAATAAAATACTCAGGAATAACTTTAAGTGTAAAACTTGCACATTGAAAACTACAAAACATCCTTGAAATAATTAAAGAGCTAAATAAATGAAAACATATCTGTGTTTATGGATTGAAAAGCTTTATATTGCTAAGATTGCAACACTCTCCAAATTGATCTGTAGGTTCAGTCCAATCTCTACCAAAATCTCAGCTCACTCTTCTGCTGAAATTGACAAGCTGATCCTAAAATTCATATATAATTGCAGCATTATTCACTGGGGAAATGCACATCAATACCACAGTGAAATATTACTTCTTACCCTCTAGGATAGTTATAATTTAAAAATGGAAAATAACCAGTATTGGTGAGGATTTGAAGAAATTATAACCCTCGTATATTACTGGAGGGAATGTAAAATGGAGTAGCCACTTTGGAAAACTGTTTAGAAGTTGTTCAAAGCTTTAGGCACAGATTTACCATATAGCAATTCTTCCTCTAGGTACATACCCCAAAGAATTGAAAACATGTGTCCACACAAATATGTGTACACAAATGCTTAGTCATTATTCATTCTAGCCAAAAAGTAGAATTAAAATATTCATCAACTATGAATGGATAAACAAAACGTGATATATCCATACAATGAAACATTATTTATCCTTATGAACGAATGAAGTACTGGTTCATGCTGCAACATGGACGAAACCTGAAATCATCCTGCTAAGTAAAAGAAGCCAGAAGAAAAGTTCATACATATTCTATGATATAATTTATATGAAATGTCCACAATAGAGAAATCTATAGAGATGGAAAATGAGTTAGTGTTTTCCAGGTGCTGGTGGAAGGGAGGACTGAGGAGTGACTGCTAATGAACATGGGGTTTCTTTTGGAGATGATGAAAATGTTCTGAAATTAGATAGTCATGAATTTAATGTGTAATGATTGCACAAATTGGTGAATACACTAAAAACCACTGAGTTGCACACTTTGAAAGGATGAATTTTATGGTAGATAAACTATATCTCAACATCTCAAATTAAAAAAAAAAGAAAAAGGAAAAGAAAGGTAGGAACCCATGAAGGCAAGCCTCACTGTGCAAACACATCAAGTCTCTGCTCGCTCACACAACCTTTATGAATATCCCATTGGCCAAAGCAAGTCCACGTGGTCTAGACCAGAGTGAAGGGCCATGAAAGAACATTTCACCAATGAAAATGTTGAGGAGTCAACATGAACTGAGTAATCATCCAACGGGACATAACTCATAATAATTTATAATGCTGAGTGTATAAAATCAGGAAGGAATTAAAATACTGGACAAAATCAACATATAAAGTAAATGACAAAGCATTTTAATATTATTGTATTGATTAAATGGAGAATACAAATATTAATTACTTTTAGACTTAAGCATATTTTATATTTAAGAGTAACACAAAAATCAGACATTTTATACACATATATATACATATGCATTATATATACACATATCTGTATTTTCTAAAACAATTGAAAAATAAAAAGGGAATGAAAACTACTTAATTAATTCAAGAAGGTAAAAAAGGAAGGTAAAAAAGAGGTAAAGAGAAGCCTGGTGAATAGAAAGCACAAACTAAGATGGTAGCAATAATCCCAATTACATAATTAGTCATAATAAATGTAAAGTGCTCCAAAACCATCAGGTAGAAGACAAATTTTGAGATTGGAATTTTAAAACAATAAATGCATTCATACATTATACACAAATGAGAAGATGGAACTTTTTTTTTTTCATTTTACTGCTAACAGAATACAAATACTCCCTTTCCCCTCTTAAAGTCTTAAAGGCTCTAATGAAAACATATTTAATTAGTATTTCAAAATTATATGAGCACTTTACTTCAAATCAAGGACATTTAAGCTCTGTACAGGATTTTTCTACATCCACCATTATATCCACCCCCTACCGTTGGTGGCAAAGAGTAAAGGTCAACTTCTTCAAGTGGAAAAAATGGACAGACTGACAGAAATTTGCAAGTGGTTTCCTGAATGCACACTGGGGGAGGCTGGAACATGAAGCATATTGAATCTCCATGTGATGAAGGAGCTGAGATATAATCTGTGACAAGGACCATATCAGGGGACTCTTTCTCCCTGACCCACTATTTTGAATTGTCCAGAAGCTTAGTCAAATATGGAAGCTATTAATGTGAGGGCTAGAAAAGTGGCAAGAAAACTGTCTGAGGTCAGTTGCTGTAAACCACAATTCCTATATTAGGTTCCAGACTCAAAGACTATAGCTCAGCAACCGATTTGATTTGAAAGAAGCAAATAGACAAATAACCTACTAACCTTTAAGGTAATTGTATTAAGAAAAAAGGAAACAAAACAAAACATAAGCTTGTCTAACTGTTATATGATTGATTGACCCAGGTGTCCCCAAACCCTGGGCCACTAACCGGTACCATGGTACCATGGCCTGTTAGGAACTGTGCCACACAGCAGGAGGTGAGTAGCCTAAACAAGTGTTATCACTTGGTCTCCACCTTCTGTCAGATCACTACTGAGGCATTAGATTCTCATAGGAGCACAAACCCTATTGTGAACTATGAATGCGAGGGATCGAGGCTGCATGCTCCTTATGAGAATCTAATGCCTGATGATCTGAGGTGGAAGAGTTTCATCCAGAAACCATCCCTGCCCCTATCTATGGAAAAATTGTCTTCCATGAAACTGGTCCTTGGTGCCAAAAAGGTTGGGGGCCACTCGCTTCATCCTTAAGAAAACTCCCATGTCCCTGAGCTCACACTGTGTTACATAGGCTGCTAAAGCGGTACAACCTATACACAGAAAATGGCCTTCTTAAATCTGGCCACAGAGGGCAATGAAAAAAGAACAATCCATTAGAGAACACCTGGGCCACCAGATTGACTAACCAAGACTTTCTGCCTTTATCAGAGATGAAAATTTCTGCTTTCTGACATGCAGGATATGACGACTGCCATGGATATATAACCACTGTATACTATTCACCAATATCTACCTCTTCAAAGAGGAGTCTTATACCATCTGTACACCACAGCATATTGGTTAAGTTAGATGTAGATAAATTTATAATTTAGGCATATATTAAAAAATGAGGAGGAGCAACGTCCCAAAGCGACCAAGAAAGCTACACATCAGTTAAGGAGAAATCCTGGACTTGAACTTTTTCCCTTTGAGTGAGTTTTATGTATGAAAATGTAGGTGTGTGGGCATATTTTGAATAGCAAGGAATATACTTTCTTGAACATCTGGTGTTTTCAGCTCAGCATCCATTTACCCTCCTTCTGGGGACAAGACCATGAATTTCCTTTGAGAAACTAACTCACTTTCTTCTCAGCCTGGTGGATTTGGTTGGATTAACCCCATACCTGCTCAATGGGCCCTAAATAGCTAAAACCAATAAATGAATCCTAACCCCCTCGATACAATGAGATGAACTCTATCATGAGAGAGGGGGAGAATAATGAACTCTTTTTTTTTAATTCTTTGTAGGCAACAGAGTATGTACCTGTCTCTATGAAATTACTTGGTAGTGATCATTTTGTTTATTTGGTAGCTCTATGATTATTTTGATCAATTTCCTTCTTTCTTTTTTTTTTTTTGACACAGAGTTTCACTCTTTTTTTTTTTTTATTGTACTTTAAGTTTTAGGGTACATATGCACAACATGCATGTTAGTTACATATGTATACATGTGCCATGCTGGTGCGCTGCACCCACTAACTCGTCATCTAGCATTAGGTATATCTCCCAATGCTATCCCTCCCCCCTCCCCCCACCCCACCACAGTCCCCAGAGTGTGAAATTCCCCTTCCTGTGTCCATGTGATCTCATTGTTCAATTCCCACCTATGAGTGAGAATATGCGGTGTTTGGTTTTTTGTTCTTGCGATAGTTTACTGAGAATGATGATTTCCAATTTCATCCATGTCCCTACAAAGGACATGAACTCATCATTTTTTATGGCTGCATAGTATTCCATGGTGTATATGTGCCACATTTTCTTAATCCAGTCTATCATTGTTGGACATTTGGGTTGGTTCCAAGTCTTAGCTATTGTGAATAATGCCGCAATAAACATACGTGTGCATGTGTCTTTATAGCAGCATGATTTATAATCCTTTGGGTATATACCCAGTAATGGGATGGCTGGGTCAAATGGTATTTCTAGTTCTAGATCCCTGAGGAATTGCCACACTGACTTCCACAATGGTTGAACTAGTTTACAGTCCCACCAACAGTGTAAAAGTGTTCCTATTTCTCCACATCCTCTCCAGCACCTGCTGTTTCCTGTCTTTTTAATGATTGCCATTCTAACTGGTGTGAGATGGTATCTCATTGTGGTTTTGATTTGCATTTCTCTGATGGCCAGTGATGATGAGCATTTTTTCATGTGTTTTTTGGCTGCATAAATGTCTTCTTTTGAGAAGTGTCTGTTCATGTCCTTTGCCCACTTTTTGATGGGGTTGTTTGTTTTTTTCTTGTAAATTTGTTTGAGTTCATTGTAGATTCTGGATATTAGCCCTTTGTCAGATGAGTAGGTTGTGAAAATTTTCTCCCATTTTGTAGGTTGCCTGTTCACTCTGATGGTAGTTTCTTTTGCTGTGCAGAAGCTCTTTAGTTTAATTAGATCCCATTTGTCAATTTTGTCTTTTGTTGCCATTGCTTTTGGTGTTTTGGACATGAAGTCCTTGCCCATGCCTGTGTCCTGAATGGTAATGCCTAGATTTTCTTCTAGGGTTTTTATGGTTTTAGGTCTAACATTTAAATCTTTAATCCATCTTGAATTGATTTTTTGTTGCCCAAGCTGGAGTGCAATGTTGTGATCTCGGCTGCAACCTCTGCCTCCCAGGTTCAAGCGATTCTCCTGTCTCAGCCTCCCCAGTAGCTGGGATTACAGGCACGTGCCACCACGCCCAGCTAAATTTGGTACTTTTTAGTAAAAACAGCGTTTTACCATGTTATCCAAGCTGGTCTCGAACTCTTGCCCTCAGGTAATCTGCCCACCTCAGCCTCCCAAAATGCTGGGATTACAGTTGTGAGCCACCGCACCTGGCCTGATCAATTTCTATACAAACACTGACATTAAGCTCAATGTGTGGCACTATCTGTAACATTGAAATCACCAGTGGATAATGAAAGGATACCTATTTGTAAAATATATGTTGGGCAGAGGAATGAAATGAGGACAGTGGGTAAAAAGAAAAAAAAAATGAAACCTTGGTTAAGAGGGCAGACTGGTCTGAATAAGTTCTCTTCTGGTTCTGAAAATTACTGAAGATGTTGAAATATGTTCTTCAAATAAGGATTTGTATTAGCTTTCTATTCTGCTATAACAAATAACCATAAATTTAATGGCTTAAGACAACACAAATTTATCCTTCAGTTGTGTAGGTCAATCTGACATTTGGTCTCAGCAGGTTAAAAGCAAGGTGTTGGCAGTGTTGTGTTTCTTCTGGAAGCTCTAGGAGAGATTCCAAGTCCTTATTCATTCAAGTGGTTGGCGAAGTTCATTTCCTTGTGATTATAAAACTGAGATCTCCATTTCTTTACTGACTCTCAGCTGAGAGTAATTCCCAGCTTCTAGAGGCTGCCTGCATTCCTTGGTCATGGCCCCCTTCTTCCATTACTAAAGCCAACAACGACAAGTTGAGTCTCTCTAATACTTGGAGTATCTCCTCTTTCTTCTTTCATCTCTGATGAAATCCTTCATCTCTGATTAATCCTTCTGCTTTTCTCTCCCACTTTTTTTTTTTTTGGAAATGGAAGATTGGGCCCACCTCGATCATTAGGATAATCTCATCTCAAAATCTATTTCCTTAATCGCAACTGTAAAGTCCCTTTTACCATGTAAGGTAACTTATTCACAGATTCCAGAGACAAAGGTGTGGACATCTTTGGCAGGCCATTATTCTACCTCCCACCACATTGTTACTATAATTTTAGCAGGATTTCAAGGAAATGTGTTTCAGAAATGGAAAACACAGTGGTGAATGCTTATAAGAAGCAACTCAGTCCAACTATCTTAAAAATCAACTAAGCATGTTGTTTGTAACATTTGCACAAAGTGAAAATAGCCCTCACTACCCAGATTGACTGACAAGTAAAACACATTACTTTATCTCTCAATGACAGCTACGGTCCACAGTGTGACATACACAGAAGAGACAGCCTAGGTCCTTCCTCCCTTTAAAGCAAGGGCAATAGTTTGGGAATAATGAATTACTTTCACATTGGGCCACTGAAGTACATGACCATAGATTATTCTCCTCTGCCTAACATATCATCATTTCTGCATCTCCAAATTCTATTTAGCTGGACATGGCAGGTCTACTGTAGCCTCTTAAGATAAATGTAGAAACTATCATCCTCACATTAAGGTTGTCTTAATTTTATTTTGTCTGTATCAAAGCAAGATGCATTATTCCTTGATTTATTAAAATTCAAATCCATCTACAGAGCGAATAAGAAAAGAGAAAAGCAATAGGGACCAGAGGTGGAGGGCTCTGGTCTACACTCAGTCACAGTAGTGTCCTTGGCCATGCCACTTCCCTCCACAGGTTTTCTCAGTTGCAAAATGTAGAAATATATTCTTAGGCCATTTGAGTTCTGGAAGTCTACATGATTAACCACGTCAGAAATTGAATCCAAAAAGTTCTTTGAAATCTCATTTACACTGAGAATCCCAATTTATTTAGGACCCTATGGGATAACTCTATGTTAATATTTAAAAACATATTAATTTATGCTATTAGCTATTGGCAATTGCATTTTACTTTTTTCAACTCATCTTTGGAAAGATTATTTTTCTGACGTCTTGAAGAGTAGAAAATGCAAATTGGCAGAACAGTGTGGTTGTCAAATATACAGGATCTATCTACCCCAGACTATCTGGGCTTAATGCCCTGACTCCTACTTAGTAGCTGTATGACTGTGGAAAGATAACTTAATCTCCTTGTGCATCTGTTTCCTCATCTGTAGCATAAGAATAATAATAGCTATTATGAAAGTATATGAGATGGAGTTAATGAGTTAATACGAAGTTCTTATTGCTCAGCCTGACAGACAGCAAATGTCTAATAAATGTGAGCTATTATTACAAGACTCAAAGGTTCCTTTTAAAAATAATAATAATAATAACTGAAGGATCTCCCTTGAAATAGTCACAAGGTCCATTCTCAAATTTGAATCTATTCTCAAATGCCTGGAATCTTCCAGCTTATGGCAATATTCAGCTGAAATTAAAGCAGAAAAGAATCCAGGAATGCACATACAATGAGGCTTTCCTTGTAACAGTGATGATAAAACTTAATTGAGCCAAAGTTGTTTTTTTCTGTATGCTTTTAAAGCATGTATATAATTTTAAGCAATGCTTGGATCCATCAGAAAAAACTTATCTCATCCAAAATTAAGGCCTGTGATTCTACACTACAAAAAAAAAAAAAAAAAAGAGGGGCTGGGGGAGATGGGTGTGAGAGTCACAGTTAAGCAGGCTCTGAAATGTGCCAGGAATCCTTTGACATTAGTACTAGTGATATTCAGGCTAGAGCCAATGCTTGCAATGTAAACTCTGGAGCATAACTGCAGCTTCTGTGAAGGTATCATTTTTCCTTCTCTCCAAACATTAGAACTTAATCTTCATTTGTAAGTCTATAACACCAGCAAACTGACAGTGTGCCTCCTGTGACCCTTTTCTTCAAGGGTGAGTCTCAGTGGCTAGGTCTTCTCTGCAGAAACAGGATAGGAACAGATGTGACAATCAGTTCAATTTGTGGTTTCTTCTGGGTCTTCCCAAAGTAAAGAAAGGTCTCTAAGAAGAAAAACTTGGTAGTGATAGATGAACATAAAGATGATGATGATATTGGTAAGAAGAAGAAACGCCTTGAAGTTAAGTGTCAGCACTTTATCTAAGTAGCACCTCAACAAATAAATTCATGAGATGGGAGTATTTGGGTCATATTCTGTGGAACAGAACCAAGGCACATCCAGGATTAGTAACTGGCCCAAGGTCACTACATTATTTAAACCTCTGTCTGAATTCAGAGACCCTCACATTGACCACTGTACTTTACTGCCCCCATAAAACTGCAGGGAGGGTCCCCCTCCATCCTTTCTCACCTCACCCCGGCACAGTGTCTTTCCCTTGTCTCATTTTCTTTGGCATCCAGGCTCACATTCAGTATATTTGTTTACTTAACAAAGGGCTTTGCTCCAGTGATTAAGGACCTAACGCAGATAATTACCCTGTGATTTGCAAGCAGTGCAGTGGCTGGTATTTCAGGAAGTAGCATTGCCCTATAAATATTACCTGTGTGCTGTGTCAGCTTATTGCCCACCTTGAGAGCAATCTCCCTGTTAGTTTTATGGCACATTAAGTCCCCTTTTGGAATGAATTGGGTTTGTGTGAGCCGGATTGGTTACATCAGAATAAAAGAGTAAACAGCAGGGATGACTGGAAAGCTATAAAAGAGATGCATCAGAGGAAGGGAAAGGTGGTGGGAGGGGGGAGGCATTTAAAGGAGACGTTTAAAATGATAAACTAATAGAAATGGAGTGAGAGTCCGAGATGGTTATACTTACTGCAGAGAGTCTGACTGTTACAGCAAAGGTGTGAGCCAGAAGATGAAAAACAGCACTACAGGAAGGAAATTACCTGGGAGGGGGTGGGGAGAAGACAAATATTGATAGGTATTATATGTCTACCCCTGTCTCTTCTTGGACATTTAAGTCAGCTGCGGACATGCACTTACTAACTTTTAGGGACCAAGCTGACACCACGTGCAGTCTTCCATCTTGCCTCTGCCTCCATGCCCTTTGCCGTCGCCAAGAGAAAGGGACAAAGAGGGACTTCAGCACCAGATGCCAAGCCCTTATTACATGAACCAAGGTGCTGATGGGTGTGTTTCCTCTGCTAACATTATAACCATTGAAGCCAGAGAGCATCTTGCATATTTTAGCATGCCTGATACTGGCAGGAAGTGCTCAATAAACATTTGTTTGTTCAAAATAAATAAATGAATGAATAAGATGATGTACTGAGCAGCAAAGTCCATCTCTAGAAGTGCCAGTAAAACTGGATTTCTTGGTATGAATTTCAGTACAAACCTGGAGTCTCTCAAATGCTGTTTTGTTTACTAATTGCAGATTAGGGGCCTGGAATTTGGTCAAAGTCCTTAACTTAAAAAACTTTATTAATTTTGAGATTGCTTTGTGCTATAGGTAGGAATTTTTAATAGTATAAAAAATACAATAGTTCCTCTATATACTCCTATGGAGGGGAGGGGTCTGTATGGTTTATAATTAAACAAAACCAAATCAAGGTGAAGAAAAATATTAGAAAAAAGGGATGCAAAGATGTGTGTGTTTGCTTTGCTTATTCCAAAGAGTCACAGAAAAATTTAAAAAATTAAAATGGTAACCTGTGGGGGCAGGAAGAAAGAAAGAGAATACAGAGGACTGAGATTACAAGTTAGAAATGTCTAAATAAATCTTGTTTTATACCTTTGATCTTGGGATAAAATATGTATTTAACATAATTAGAAAATAAAAATATAAAAGCAGTACCTAAAACTAGAAATCAGAATGAAATCAAGGAACCTAACTGTGTATTGAGTTGGTGGCATCACTATACATAGGAGAATTATTTCATGTGCTTTCAAAACATGTTTATTATACTGAATATCTCTAGTAAGATACATGCTAAGGACAGCAGACTATTACATATATGGAAAACATATCTTTACATTTGTGGTACTCTTGTTATTCTGAGACTGACATGAATTTTAGAATTTCAAAAATTAATACTTATGTTGCTGACATTGGGAACCAAGATTTTTGATGAAAGAATGAAGGATAGATCTAAGCTTAAATAAACTAATTTAAAACTTAGTAGCCCAAGCAAGCTTATTTTGAAGTACCATAAACTTATGTGTTTTATCTTCAAACATAAACATGCACTTATGTGTGTTTACAGACACACATGTACATATATACACACATACATACATGTATGGATATATTTCCCTTTCTGATTCTGTGTACTGTAAAGACCTAGAAATTTTGGCCAACCTAGGAGCATTGAACACCTCTATCATACAGAATATGGTCTCAAATTATCAGGACTCTTTGAGAGTTGTTGACAGGAATTGTACTAGATGAGCTTGTAGCATTTCATCAGACCAGAAAGCAAGGAAGTTATCAAAGACTATGTTGCTTTTTTACTTACTGACCTCTTCTGGAGCAAGTAAAAATGATTTTTATTAGTCATTGTTTTTTATTTATATTAGTTTCTTCTTCCATTTAGTGTAGTGCACACATAAACACATTTCATGAATTTATGGTGGATAAATATAAATATGACTACATTTGGAGGAAGGGGAAAGGAAAAACACCAAAAGCCCATTTAGACAATTAGAACCTACTCTTTACATCTGGCATATAAGCCGCTGAGAACTACTCTCTTTAAATCATTGTTACATGCCATTAATTAACTTGAAGTCTGGACTATTCTTTGGCTTTTCCTTTTTGCTTTTGTTTCAAATAAATATCATTTCAGTTTATTATTGTTTTGCTCACATTCTATGCTTTGCTTTTCAATACAAGTTAACTAAGCATAGGTATTTTTTATGTTTTTACTAAAATCAATAAAAGGTTTATGTTGCCTTTAATAGAATAAATACAGAAGAAAATGGATGAAATTAGCTGCTAGAGTACTCCAATTACACAATTGATAAGGTGTATTAAAACCTCCCACAATTTTAATTTTTTCTATTTTCAAAAGTTACATTTTAAAAATATATTTGACATTTTATTAATTGGTGCATAAATGTTTACAATTGTTATCTTTTATTGCAGATTATGCTGTTAGTAGTATAAAATAAGCAGTTTTTGGCCAGGCGCGATGGCTCACGCCTGTAATCCCAGCACTTTAGAAGGCTGAGGCCGGCGGATCAAGAGGTCAGGAGATTGAGACCATCCTGGCTAACACGGTGAAACCCTGTCTCTACTAAAAATACAAAAAAAAAAAAAAAAAAAAAAAAAAAAAAAAAAAAAAAAAAAAAAAAAATTAGCCGGTGCCTGTAGTCCCAGCTACTTGGGAGGCTGAGGCAGGAGAATGGCGTGAACACGGGAGGCAGAGCTTGCAGTGAGCCGAGATCGCGCCACTGCACTCCAGCCTGGGAGGCAGAGCGAGACTCCGTCTCCAAAAAAAAAAAAAAAGAAGGCAGCTTTTTTTCCACTTAATGTTTCTTACCTTGAATTATAATTTCACGTATGCCTTCATTGTCCTGGTACATTTCTCAGATTGCACATTGCGTTCTGTCCAGTCAGCAAATTTGAGGATGTAATTTCAGAGACAGTTTTCCTCTGTCTACAGAATCTCTGGGGGATAAATATCCCTAAACTATAAAAAGTATCCTTTTCAGCTTAGGTACAATAAAAGGGAAGACCCAGACTATATACTCTGTTGCCTCCTAAAAAAAACAGATAATTAAGTGTAGTCTGTAGACCACCTGCTTCAGAATCACCTGGGATGTTTGTTAAAAGGTAAGCTGCAAGACCCCACCTAAGACACATGGAGTCCGTCTTTGGGGGATAAAGTCCTGGCGTCTGAATGTTTAGCAAGCTCCACAGGTGGTTCCCATAGTCATTACAGCTTGAGAACAACTGACTGAAAAAAATAATGACAAAGCATCACTAAAATAAATTCACTTTTTATGTATTTGGATGATTTACATAGAAAGCTTCCAAATTAACTTTTTCTCTGTGCAAGAAGAGTTAAGCAGTTATTAAGAGAAATTTACAATATTTATGGAAAGATTATTTCCTATTTCCTCTCTCTTACTAACTCATAATAGCTGAAGAAAAAGAGGTAGCATAGTATTCAATTTGCCCACTTTCCTGCCCTGGATTTTTCTCTCATTTTGCCCAAATGTTTCCCATTTTCTACCTTTACCCCATCTTTAGCTATTACTGCCTTCCTATTTATACTTCATGATCCTCACCTATAGGATCTTTTGTATAAACAAACCAAGGCTTTTTTTTGATTTTTGATTTTTTGCAAAAGGAAACAAAATAACGCCACACATTTGAAATGATAACAATGTGTTAACATGCTCTGATTACGTAATCAAGGTTTCCTCTTTTCGTTTTATTCCTATGCAACAGAGTTTCAATTTACCAGACCAAATAGCTCAGTACTTTTGTTGTCAATCAATGAAGCTGTAATATGTAATTCAATCATCATGCGTTTCTTTCCCCACTGAACAAACATTTACTGACTTTTTAGATTAAACTTTTGGCTGAAGTAACTCGAAACATTGTCAAACACATAGCAGTGTATAATAACTAGATTGAGTCCCTTCCCTTTGCCCAGGCATTAGTGAGGCAAATTTTTGTTTATTCACTTTGTTTTATTAGGTCAGGTCATCAAAATGGGACTCTTTGTAAGCTTTAAATGACATTTCAATTTGTTGAGTACATTCCTAATGGAATTCTATACACTTTCCCCTTGGGAAATATTTGCCTTACAGGCCCCTATGAAGCAAAGTTTGCTGCAATGTCACTAATGAGTTCAAAATATCTATTAGCAAACAAAGATTTTGTTTGATCCTTAGAGACATAGTACAAATGAAATAAATGGACCTTTAGAGAGAATCTAATTTAACTCTTTCATTTTTACATATAAGGAAACTGGAGTACCTAGAGATGGAAAATTTCCTACTCAAGGCAAAATTATAAGTGGCAAAGCTCAGAAAAGTATCTGAGTTCTAGTCCAGTGCCACGGTGGCTATGCTGGGCTATCAGTGGGATATGTCAGGATATTATTTTTCACATTACAATAAAACTTTTCCTTGAAACTGCCGATTCTCTGCCTGTTTGCAAAACCATTATGTCTTTGTTCCACAATAAAATCTTTAGTTCCTCTTTTTCCTCCATCCCCTATAGCCATCAACAAATCCTGTAGACACTACCCTGGAAATAAATTCCAAATCCAACCGCTTTCTCTAGTCTATGACCCCAACATCTCTTCCCTAGTCTGCAATTGTAGCTTCTCTCAGATGATCTCTCTGCTTCCACAGGCCATGTCCTCCTCTTTGTTGTGACCTGTGTCAGTTCTCTACACTGGAGATAAAGCCAGCAATCTTCTCAAAACAATAAATCCTTTGAGCCAAACACTCAAATGACTTCTACAGCCCTGTAGGAATAGAATCCAACACGTTACCATAGCCTACAAGGTTTGACAGCATCTGATTCCAGTCTACCTCTCTGACCTCACCTCCAACTACCCTTCCTCTTGTTCATTCTAGGAGAGCTACACAAATGTCTTGTGGTTTTTCATACCAAGTTCACTATCTTCTGGGTCTTTGTACTTGCTATTAACTCTGCCAGAAATGCTCTTTGGACTCTGCTACTTCATCCCTTGCTTTGATCAGGTCCCAATTTGAATGTTACCTCCTTAGCAAAATCTATTCTTATCACTTGATCTCAAAGAGCTACCTGCTCTCCACCACCCCACCACTCTCTGTTACCTTATTCTACTTTAATCTTCTCATTTAGCTATCTGATATATAATCATATAATGATACATTTACTATTCCCCAACTACAATATAAGTTTTATGAGAATTAAAAAAACTGTCTATTATGTTCATCTCCAATGTTTTACTATCTGTAGCAGTGTCTGTCACATAGTAAAGACCTTAATTAATATTTATTGAATAAATAAATAAACATCACTTTCTAGAAAAAGCAAAAGCATATATACACGCACTCACTCATACATCCATACACACACACATCCAATCTGTTTTGGTTAGACCACACTAGAAATATTGCATTTAATTCTACATCCTCTTTAATAGGTTGAATTAACGGGGCTCTTTATCTTTTAAAAAATGAGTATAAAATTATTTGAAAACCAAAATATCACCACCTGAAAAAGGAGTAAATAGAGCATGGGTAGAGCCTGAATATATGAACATTTTGGAATAAAAGTTATAGGCCGAGCACAGTGGCTCATGCCTATAATCCCAGCACTTTGGGAGGCTGAGGCGGGTGGATCACGAGGTCAGGAGATTGAGACCATCTTGACCAACATGGTGAAACCCCATCTCTACTAAAATACAAAAAAATTAGCCGGGCATGGTGGTGGGCACCTGTAGTCCCAGCTACTCCGGAGGCTGAGTCAGGGGAATCACTTGAACCTGGGAGGCAGAGGTTGCAGTGAGCGGAGATTGTGCCACTGCACTCCAGCCCAGCAACAGAGTGAGATTCCATCAAAAAAAAAAAAAAGTTACAGAAAAATAGATTCTAAGTTCATTTTAAGAAAGGTCTTTAGGCCGGGTGCAGTGGCTCATGCCTGTAATCCCAGCACTTTGGGAGGCTGAGGCGGGGGGGATCACCTAAGGTCAGGAGTTTGAGATCAGCCTAGCCAACATGGTGAAACCCCGTGTCTACTAAAAATACAAAAATTAGCCAGGCATGGTGGCAGGCACCTGTAATCCCAGCTACTCGAGAGGCTGAGGCAGGAGAATTGCCTGAACCTGGGAGGCAGAGGTTGCAGTGAGCCAAGATCACGCCATTGAACTCCAGCCTAGGGGACAAGAGTGTGAGACTTGTCTTTAAAAAAAAAAAAGAAAGAAAGAAAGAAAGAAAGAAAGAAAGAAAGAAAGAAAGAAAGAAAGAAAGAAATGGCTTTAATAGCCATAAATAACCAAAAATAGAATGGACATCAATGTGAAATCAAGGGTCTACAATTATTGAAGATGTCCAAGTATAACCTGGACAACCGTTGATAAGCACGGCTGTAGAAAGTAGTTTAACACAAAAATAGACAGCTGCAGGAAGTGGTCTGATTTGTCTGTTCCAGTCCCAAGGTGCTCTGATACAAAGATTTTACTCACATTATCATTATTCAGAGCATTTATGAAATACTTTCTTAGAAGCTGCTTTCAAAGTCTGTGGCTCATTCTTTAGAATATACTTATTACTGACAAATTCAAGATTGCTGAAGAAAGTGAGTGATAAGGCTTGTTGATAATACTTTTTTATACTTAAAAAAATCACTGTGACTGTTATATGGCTACTTCATTTTAACATGACTTTTAAAATTCATTTTTCAAATAGGAATTCCCATATTATTTTGAGAAATGATAAAATTGGAAAAATCCTTTTCTGAAGTTCCTCCTTTGAAGAGCGAAATTATTTCAACTTGCAAATTTTGATTTGCATGAATAAAAAAGAAACATGCTGAAATCATCAAATTAAATTACAATTTCATCTCTTGCATAACATTCATAAGTTCCCTAACATATGCAAAGTGATTAAACTAAATATCTCATTTTAACGCTTTCATAACAATAAACATCATTAGTGTCTCTATTTTGCTGATAGGTAATTGAAGATAAGACATATTGAATTACTTAGTTCATAGTTAATTGAGTGCAGACCAGGTCTCAAACCTTGATTCTAGTTAGTGGTCATATTATTCACCTCACCCTGATCACTTTGTTCTAGAATGAAGACCTTAATCAATGCTGCAAAATTCCAGGCCCCACCAAAGGTACATGGAAAAAATAACTCTGGGAAGTCTACTTTTTATTTTTTCTTAGGCTATGCTGTATAGGAAGTTTTCTATTCAACCTCCTTGTTGGAATGTTCCAGCTATAAAGCACAATAAAAATGTCAAAAATTATTCTCTCTTGTAATGTGGGCCTTTTCTTGCCAGCGTGTAGAAAGCAATGATGGGTTTTCAGTACACTTGATAAATTGTCACACCCTAGTTATTTTGTTTTCCAAAATCTATTTACATTCCATAGCTTTATGTTAAGCTGGGGTTACTAACTCACACATTTATTCTGAACTTAATTGAATTTTTATTACTCATGATGAAATTGGTGTTTTGCATTTTGCACAATATTTCTCTGCTGTGGACTTTCATAAGGTACAATTATACAAGAATCAGAGCCTGGAGCAATTAATTATTAATGAATGGAATAAAGACATTAATGTTTATTTGAAACAAATGAGAGGCTACATTTGCATCCCTCAATTGTCACAGCAGACCCTGGATTTCGATGCCCTTTCCTTGCCTTAATCAGTAAATTCCAGTCCCAGGATTATAATAGCTACATTATCTAATACTAAGATACTATCTGAAATAGGCCTTTGTATATGTATATGTATGTATGTATATAGATAGATATGCATATGAATATATATACATATAAATACGAATTCACACATATATGTACAAGCATACACATGTACACTCATATACACATAAGCACACATGTATAAAGTGTTTCGCACTGATTTTTTTCATCAGATCCACCACTGAGTAACTCTGTAAGGTAAGGAGACTCAGTATTACTCTCTTTGTTCCAAAGATGAGGAAAATAAACCTGGAGATTTTAAGTGACTTACCCAGTAACACACAGCCAATAAGTGGCAAGGCCAAGACCCAAGTCCTTATCTCACTGATTCCAAAGTCCACAAACACTAGATGCTCAGGGGCTGACAATAATGACTCCCACTAGGGATTTTAGGGTTTATTCTGTACTAGGTACTTTGCATGTAATATCTCATTCATTCTGCTAAACAGCCATGGGTTAGATAGTAATTCACCTATTACAAAGTCAAAAAACAAAGCAACAACAACCAAGACGGAGGCTGGAAAAGGTTAAGTAACTTTCCCAGATAACTTCTAAATTGCAGAGCAGTGACATCAACCCATGTCTTTTGATTCCTATTACAGTTCTTGGAAACTCATCTCTCTGGTGTTTCTCCTCTCTGATAAGAACAAGAAGAAAGACTTGTTAAGTGAATGCCAAATAAATATTTGCTTTACACAGAAATGTCTGCTTGAATAATAATCTATTCCATTTTACTTTACCTTCCCTAAACCCCATTCCCATCCAGATAATCAAAGATCATGGTGCCATATTGGTGAGTGGGGAAGGGATATAGAATAAGATGCATGAGAACCATGACTTGGTATACATTAAACATCTGGTAAATAATGTCTTTTTAAATTCCTGATTGGTATGTTTCATAAACCACACATTACATTTTCCAATTACAATTCCATATAGAATTAGATGAATTAATAATTATTATCTATGATGTGTTAAATGTTTCTTATTTATACTGTTCCATTTCATTGTCTCAATCTATATAAAATATGTTTTTATTCTGTTTTTGCAAAAGAAATTGTGGCTCAAGCACTTAAGTGTCTTTTAAAATCCCATAGGTAGAGAATGGCAGACTTCAGATTCAAACATCAGCCTTCTGATTCAGGGTGCAGTGCCTCTTTATCCACTGTATTCTCCACAGTGCCTGAGGCTGGCACATCTTTAAGTTCAAGGCAACTCATTTCTTTCAACAAAATTTGCCCAAATACATGGTTGATATTGGGCATTCCTCTTCTGGGTTCCTATAATGGTTTCTGAAACTGCAGATCGGCAGCAATGCTTCTGTAACTCAGATGACCTCAGGGTCAAGTTTCTGAATCAGAAAACATATTTTTTTAAATTTTATCATTAACATTGTCTTCTGGTAGGTTCTAGGGACATGGAAGTGAGGCAACATCCTTGGTGTGATCAGCTATTTGGGGGCTAGTCCCCACTGTGATTGTAAGGAAGGCTCAGCCATTTACTGTGATGACAGCAAGCCAAAGCTGTGGAATGACAAATTTGAAGGTAGAAAAGAGGCTGTGGGGTAGGCTGCTTAGTTTCATAAGGTAGCAAGAGCTTAGCTCAAAAGCAGATTTTTGGAAAGCCAAATACATATGAAATTGTGGGTTAGATATCAGAACTGCTATTGAATGAGAGAGAAGTGCACTGGTTCAATATCAAGCACAGTGAAAAGCTTCTGAGGAGCAAAACTTCATCCTGAAAACCCTGCACTATAACAGCCGATGTAGCTCTACAACATTAGAGGCTAATTTTTCTGTCACTCAAGTCTTGTCTTGGTCGGAATTAATGGGTGTGACAGTTATTAACCTATAATCTTTTTTTTTTTTTGAGAAGGAGTTTCATTCTTGTTTCCCAGGCTGGAGTGCAGTGGCATGATCTCAGCTCACTGCAACCCCCACCTCCCAGGTTCAAGCGATTCTCCTGCCTCAGCCCCCACAAGTAACTGGGATTACAGGTGCACACCACGATGCCCACCTAATTTTTTTGTATTTTTAGTAAAGACGGGGTTTCACCATGTTGGCCAGGCTGATCTTGAACTCCTGACCTCAGGTGATCTGCCCGCCTCGGCCTCCCAAAGTGCTGGGATCACAGGTGTGAGCCACCACACCAGGCCTAACCTCTTTTCATTCCCAGTCCCTCCATACTCTGTGATGCTATTGCTGGATCTCCACCAAGCACATTTCTCTTTTGTCAATTTGCTCCCTATTAGGTTTTTGCCAACAGGGAGTGCTAGAGGGAGCCTAGAAAACAAGAGGTGCAAAGAAAGGACTTGATTCATTCAGTTTTCCATACTGGTTTTGCAATTATCTCCCAGCAACAGCTCTTCACTTCAGCAAGCAGTTGCTTCCACTTTCCAGTTTCTTCCAAAAGTCTCAGAACCAGCTTCCACTAGGTTTCAGTGTCAGCTGAGAGGGAGGCTGTACTCAGAGGTCTGAGTTACAGCTCCTCCTCTGAGCTCTAAGATGCCAGTCCAATGGGATGCACCCTCTCTTGCGAGGTACAGTTCCTAGATCATCAGGGACCCCTCCTCCAGGCTTCTTGGTTCTGATCATCCTAATCTGTTTATGTTGTCTCCCTGGTTATAATGGTGGTAGCTGTTTCCTAGAGTTATTCTCTCTGCATTAACTTGGTGTTTCATGGTGGCTTTTTAGTCCTCCAATGCCTGTTCAACCAATTCTCTACTTTAAATTCTCTCTGAAAAATAACTTGTTGTTTGTGTTCCTGTTCAACCAATTCTCTACTTTAAATTCTCTCTGAAAAATAACTTGTTTGTGTTCCTGGAAGGGCTCTGCTTGGTTTTTTGGATCTGCATTATCTAGTTTGGGTTTCCACCAGAGTAGCCCGAAATGTCTTCCCCTCAGTGTGAATGGTTAGATTGAGATTCTTAAGTTCCCTTACCCCTAGGTACCTTTATTTTAAATTTGGCCATTGCTTTTCCATATGGACAAAGCATCTCCAGCCTGACTCAAGGTTGCACCCTGCTGGTTGCAAATAGACAGCTGGTAGACAGGAGGTGAAAAGAGGCTATCCTGATAGAGCTCAGCTGCCAAACTGTTTGGATAAAATCAGTCCCTGAACCAATAGAGACTCTATTCCTTATACCAATGACCCTTATTCAAACTTTTTACCATTTGATTTTGTGACACTTTCATCCCCTATACCTCATTTGTAAATTTATTTTTTATTTTTATTTTATTTTATTTTAGAGACAGGGTCTTGCTGTGTCACCCAGGCTGGAGTGTAGTGATACAATCAGCTCGCTGTGATCTCAAACTCCTGGGCTCAAGCAACCCCCCCACCTCAGCCTCTTGAGTAGCTGGAACACAGTTACATACCATGGTACCTGGCTAATTTTTTTATTTTCATTTTTGTAGAAATGAGGTCTCACTATGTTGCCCAGGCTGGTCTTGAACTCCTGGTCTCAAGTGATCCTCCCCCATCAGCCTCTTGAAACTCTGGGATTGCAGGCATCAGCCACTATGCCCAGGCCCCCTACACCTCCTTAAGAGCCGTTGTAATTAGAGTATATTAAAATCAATTTTTCTTTGAAAATCTTATAAAACGTCTAATGGTAAATGAGAAGAATTTTAGAGTAGCGCCCACTTTCTACTTGATAGAAAGCCCTATTATTTATCTTTGTTTATTGAGAACTTTCCAACAAGCTAACTCAAGTGATTATTGGTTGAGCTGAATCCAATAACTCAAACATTATTATGGCAACATCTCCAAAATTACTACCATCTTCATCTGAAATGTACTTATGCAAGAGGAGAAAATAGAGCTTATTCTGCTCATTTTATTTCCAGCAAAAATTGACTGAAGTATAAAGGGCAGGTTGCCAGTCTGTTTCCCATTTCATGGGAAGGAAAATGAGAAACAGCCACCAGAAATTGCTATTTTATCATAAGAAAAGTTGGGCGAACACAGATGAAAACAATATAAGTTTTTACTTTAATAGTTGATCATTTAAAATATATTTAAGATTTCATTCACATTCATTTAAAAATCTATTTTCCTAAAGAAATAATAATTTATGGAACATGAAAATGGAATATCATCTTATATGTAATATTAACTCATACAAGTCTCAAAAGATTCATTAAGGAAAGCATTTGAACTAATGAGATAAGAACCATTACTTAGTCATATGTTTATGTGACATTTACAACAACCTTGATATTTTTCAATACCTGACAATGGCATGTTTATATTTTTGTAGGAAAAACTCTACTCTTTCAACCTTTGATCTCAATTGTTGTTAACTCCATCATAAAATTATGGCTACTCACAATATCTCCTGTCCTGCTGGGCAGGAGGCTCTTTTTGTTTTCGTTAGTTTTCTTCTCTATCTAGTAGCAATCAGAGAACGGATTCAGAAATTTGAGGGTTTTCTGCTATGGTAACTCAACTCTTACTTTATTACATCCACACAATAGAACCAATGAGAAAAAAAAATCTGTTGTTGAAGCTGGATACAATTCAGGAAATCTCATTTGCAGGAGAAGAAAATTAACTAGATCTCTGTAGCAGGGTCTTATCTTCTGTGTTGATTTGGAAATGGAATTCCTTTCAGAGCCCTCCAGTTGCAGTATTCCTCCCTTGCTGAACTTCCTCAATGCTCTGAATAAGTGGCATGTTATTTCACCAAGGATTTGATGTTTAATACTGTTAAGGTGTGTGTTTGTGGTGGTTGGGTGGGGCTGGGAGGATCTCTTTCCCCAAAAGTAGGCTGCAATGCTGGTGAGTGCATACCCAGGACTGAACCTGTGGTCAAAGAATGGCCCTTTAAGGAGATGTGTGTAAAAGCATGGTCTTAAGGCACTTGATCCTGAGATATCTCATACAAACATGAAAGACCCTACATGAATCACTTGACCATGGAAGCAGTGGCCAGGAGCAGAAAGAGAAGGGGAAGGGGCCATGGGCTTGGGGGAGGGAAGACTCTTGTCCCATACCTCTGACTTTTCATAGTGGATATGTCTGCCACACCCATTATTTGTTAATTTTCCTAATAAATAAATGAGACATATAACTCTATAATCTAGCATGTAGACATTGCTGAGTAGAGAACTACAAAGAGTCTTTCAAGTGCAAAATGAAGCTTAAAACTTGTAATTTTAATGCTAATCATTGGGAAGACAATGTAAAAAAATAATCTCAGCAAATAGTTTTAAAACCTAATGTGTCAGTTGCTAACTCCAAAATTATGCAAGCTGTAGTGAAAGCAGACTGTTGTGCTAATTTAAGCCTTTCTTTATACCTAAGAACCATTATGAAACTAAAATATTCTATACTGATCTATAACTGCTACCCGATAGGGCAGTTGGCTCACAGAGAAGAGCGAAGCATTCCTGTTGGTATAAAACTTCACTGGAAATTGCTTAATGTAAAATAAACACACACCACCCCATCACACCCGCACACATACACACACACAAATGGTCAGGTAGAGTTGAAAGTGCATTGGACAGAAAGAGACAATCTAAGAAAAATGTCTCCCACTAAAATGCCTGGTTTTGGCTAATACATTTGCCATCTATGTTTCAGCTGTTGCACTGTGTTACTTGGTCACAAAAGAAATAATGATGGGAATGGAAGGTTTATAAAAACTAATAATTAACTAGGAAGGCTGAAATTCTGGCCCTGCCCCTGCTTTTGCCTTTGTTGAACTCGGACACATCACTTGACCTAATCTTAAGCCTCCATCTTCCCACATAAAAAATAAGGGGGTTGGACTACATTAGGACTGAAAGTATATTAATGTGCACTTACAATGTATTAGGAAACATTTATCATCAAATTCATTACAAAAAATGGAAGAAAAGTGGATTTATTTGAATAAACAAATAAACAAACCTATTCAATTTTTCAGCAATCTTTTACAGAATGCCTGCTATGTACTCATTGCAAATAAGTCTTCCATTTTTAAGATCTTGAGTTAAGGAGACTGGATATATGAGAGAAATTCAATAAAAAGGAGAAAAGTGTAACATGAGTTTCACTAACTTTCAAAATGATGCCCAAAGCCTTAGCCCAAGTGCCACAATCTTAATGTGAACTATTTCATCAAATTCTTTATCCATCTGCCAAAATATAAATAGTAAATAAGGTATAGCATTTTAATTCTTTGACGTTGGACACAAATTATAGTATGGGTGAGAAGAAAGCCTATTTTGAAAATATAATGAGCACTGGTGGTAATTAAACTATTATCTATTCCGATATCAAAGAGAGGTAAATAATCTATTCTCCTAGTGGTATGTGTCATTTCAGCATCCTCACATTCTTTGTCCAGAGAAATGAACTGTATCCACTCAAATACCTTAACATTTCCTCTTGATAGACTCATTTATAGAGAACAAGGTCTCATACCAATTCCTCAAATAACTCACATGAACTCACTATTGAAAAATGTAAGGTACATTACTGTATAGATTAAAAAGTGGCAGCTTTTTTTTTCAATTACTTTATGAGAAGCTCCATTGATCTACACTTGGCACTCTTCATGTGACCCAAATCAATCTGCTTGTGATAGGTAGAATAATGACCTCCTAAAGATGTTAACATCCTAATCCCTGGAGCATGAGAATGTGTTACTTTACATGGCAAAAAAGATTTGACAGATGTTATTAAATTAAGGTTCTTGTGATGGAGACTATTTTGAAATATCCAGTTGGGTTCAATGTAGTCATAAGAATCCTTATAAGGAAAAGAGAAACTCAGAGGAGAAGAGGTGAGGATGAAAGCAGAAAGTAGAGTAAAATCATTTCTGGAAGACAGCCATGAGCCAAGGAACATAAACAGTATCTAGAAGACAGCAAAGGCAGGAAAAATGTTCTCCCTGAAAGCCACCACAAAGAATCTGCCCTGCCGATTTGTTTCAGATTTCTGACCTTCAGAAGTCAAAGATACATTTTTTTGTTTTAGAGCCTTATGGTTGGCGAATGCATCCATGTGCTGAGAGTGTGGCACATCCTAACTCCATGGGAGAAGCTCCTGGGCTCAGGGCCCTTCTGGACCTTGTCCTATCTACCGCTTCATTGGTATGTTTTATGATAAACCAGTAAATTTAAGTACAAATAAATATATAATAAATAAATAAATGCATTTTTGTTATTTTACTAAGTATGTAATAATTTATTGCAGCAGATATAAGAAGCTAATACACAGCTTGACAGCCCCAATCTTCACACTGGATAGCAGATTACTAGTCCTCCTTTTGAAGTTCTTATTTCCCTATTAATTTTTTTAAAAATATAATGGTCATACACTTTCTTCAGTGTTTTTATTTCCACCTGACCTTCGTCTACACTGAATATCTTTTAATTTTTTTATTTTTAGTGTTTATGGATATGTAATGGGTCTATATATTTAAAGAGTACATGAGGTATTTTGACAAAGGCATGCAATGTGTAAAACTCACATCAGAGTAAATGGGGCATAGGGTACCCATTACCTCAAGCATTTATCATTTACAAACACTCCAATTATACTTTTTAAGTTATTTTTAAATGTACAATAAATTATTATTGACTGTAATCACTCTGCTATGCTATCAAATATTAGATCTTATTTATTCTATCTAATTATATTTTTGTGCCCATTAACCATCCCCACTGCCCTTCCCAGCCTCTAGCAACTATCATTCTACTCTCTATCTTCATAAGTTCAATTGTTTTCTTTTTTAGCTCCCACAAATTAGTGAGAACATTTAACATTTGTCTTTCTGTGCTGGCTTATTTCATTTAAAAAAACCCTATGATTTTATCCATGTTATGTCAAATGACAAGCTATCATATGTTTTATGGTTGAATAGTACTTACTGTATATATGTACCACACTTTCTTTATCCATTCTTATGTTAATGAACCTTTAGGTTGCTTCCAAATCTTCAGTATGGTAAATAGTGTTGCTATAAACATGGGAGTGCAGATATCTCTTCTATATACTGATTTTCTTTCTTTTGGGTGTATTACCTTAAGGGTGGGATTGCTGGATTCTAGTTAGGTCAGTGCAAAAGTAATTGCAGTTTTGCCATTACTTTCAATGGCAATCACTTGCATAACTAAAAAAAAAATATGGTAATTTTTTGAGGAATCGCCAAACTGTTCTCCATAGTTATTATACCAATTTACATTCCAAACAACAGGATATGAAGTTCTCTTTTCTCCATATCCCCACCAGTATTCATTATTGCCTGTCTTTTGGATAAAAGCCATTTAACTGGGATGAGATGACATCTCATTGTAATTTTGATTTGCATTTCTCTGATGAACAATGATATTGAACATCTTCTCATATAGCCATTTGCCACTGGTATGTCTTCTTTAAAGAAATATCTATTCAGATCTTATGCCCATTTTGAAATCAGATTATTAAATTTTTTTCCATTGAGTTGTTTGAACTCCTTATATATTTTGGTTATTAATTCCTTGTCAGATAGGTAGTTTGGAATCCCTACTAACTCTTGGGGAGTCCCTTCGGGGTTGATTCATCTGTTCATAATCCCTGTTATCACCAGTGTCTTCACCATCCCCCACCTCTGTTCTGCCACAGGTCTGCCCTTTGTGTCGCTGTCCATTCTACTCCATGATTTGAGGTACCACCAAGGTTTGTTTCCGCTTCTCCTACCATCTCCACATTGGTTTCAGAACTCTGGCAATTCCCCTCATCATTTTAGTCCATGCGTTTGCAGGGAATTTTTCCAAAATAAGTTACAATGTTTATAAATAGTTATCTGAAGAGCTGGTAGAAAGGAATAACATTGAGGCTAACTTGTCACTGGTTACCAGATGTGATTACTCTCAGATCAGAGTTACATTGCCAATTTTATTAGGTCACTTCAGTGTACATTTCTGTCTTATAAAGCCTTCTTCCCTGACTAGCTCACAGCCCACAACCCAATCACAGTATTCAGCTTTCCCAGCACCATTATACATGCCCGCGAGTGTACATAGACACTTTAACCTATCATCCTTGCTCAATGAACAAAGCATTTGTTGCTAAGCCACAGTCTAAGGCTCATCTTTCGAGTCTTTATTTCTATCCCAAGATCTGCCTCTCTCCAAGTCTGGCAAACCTGGGTATTTTCCACTGTCTCCAAAGGAAATCTGCCCAGTTAATAATGGAATTTTACCCTATGGTACCAACAGGATAATTACTTTATAATATAATAATCCAATACCTGTAAAGCAGATAAAGATATAGCTACAACATCAGAGCTATTTGTTTTACACCAGAGCTTACAAATTGCGGAGACATACAACTCCTTTTAATATTTCTCAAAGTTTAAGTAATTTAGTAGTAAGTAACATCTTGTGCAGAGAAACAACAGTTCGGTAATGTTGAGTTTCTCTAAGCCTAGTCCAGCCACACTTTTAAAAATATCTATTTATAATTACAGTTTCTGCCTTATATTTTCAAAAAACTAATTCATTCATTTGGCTGGATTATTATCAGGTATAACTGACCTAAAACAAACTGCATGTGTTTAAAATGTATATTTTGATAATTTCTGACATATGTGTACACCCATAAACCATCAACATAATTAAGATAATTAATATAGCCATTAACCCAAAAAGTTTCCTTACGCTGTTCCAGTCTCTCCCTCCCATTCCTCCCCATTTTCTGGCCTGCCTCCCCAGGCAACCACTATTCTGCTTTCTGTCAGTGTAAATTAGCCTATACTTTCTAAAATCTCGTATAAATGGAATCATACTATATGCACTCTATTTTATCTGACTTCTTTCACTCAGTGTAATAATTTTGAGATTAATCCATGTTGTTCCATGTTGCAATAGTTCATTACTTTTGTATTGCTGCATAATTATTTCAAAATTCAATTGTCTATTGATTCGTTGATGGGCGTATGGGTTGTTTTTAGTTATGTCTATTACAAATAAAGGACTACGAACATTTGAGTAAAAGTATCATATAAACATTAGCTTTTCTTTCTCTAGGATAAATATCTATGAGCAAAATGGCGACGTCATATGCTTTATATATATTAATATTTAATTTTTTAAAACTGCCAAACATTTCTCTAAAGTCGTTGCATAATTTTACCTGACCAGCAATGCATGAGAGTTCCAGCTGCCCCACATTCTCACCAACTCTTGGTATTGTTTTTTATTTTGTTTTGCTTTGTTTTTAGTTTTAGCCAAACTAATATATGTATACTGGTATCTCATTGGAGTTTTAATTTTTATTTTCCTAATGACTAATAACGTTGAGCATTTTTCTATATTCTTAATTGCCATTACTATATCTTTATGGTAAAGTGTCTATTCAAATCATTTGCCCATTTTAAAATTTTTGTTTTAATAAATTGAGTTTTGAGAATTATTACCTATTTTGCTTACAAGTCATTTGTGCCATATATAATTTCCCAATATTTTCTCTTAGATTATGACTTTTAAAAATTATTTAAAATTATCTTTTGAAGAATATTAGTTCTTAATTCCAACAAAGTTCAATTATTTTTTAATTAATAATGATATTAGTGTCATCTGTAGAAAATCTTTGTCTAACCCAAACTTACAAAGATTTTCTTTTATTTATTTTGAGTAGTTTTAAAGGCTTGGGTTTTACATTTAGGTTTATAATCCATTTTGAGTTCATCTTTTTTTTATATAGTGTAAGGTATGGATTGTAGTTCATCTTTATTTTTTCTCAAAAATAGACATCGAAATATTGAAAAGGCGATTTGTTAAAAAGACTATTCTTCCTCCAAGGAAATGAGTGTGCACCTTTGTTGAAAATCAACTCAATCAATATATGTCAGACTATTTTTAGACTCTCTCTGTTCTATTGATTTGTCTATATTCTACTACATTGTCTTGTACTACATTGTCTTGATTACTATAGCTTTATAAGCCTTGAAGTTACATAATTTAAATATTCCAGCTTTGTTTATCTTTTTCCAAAGTGTTTTGGCTATTTTAGTTCCCTAGTATTTTTATATGGATTTTAGAAACAGCTTGACAATTTCTATTTAAAAATTTGCTGGGATTTTTATTAGGATTATATTGACTCTATAGATCAGTTTGGGGAAAATTGGTATTTTAACAATATTGAGCTTTCTCATTCATGAACATGGTATATCTTTCCATTTATTTGGGTAATTTTATCTTTTTGGTAGAAGTTAGGGGTAGCTTCATCACTAACTTTTCTTTCCCTCTGGCATCTAAGCAATTAAAAATAGAAACATTTTCTAAATGGGAATGGGACAGTCCTTAAATAGAGCTTGATGTGTTTTGAAGTGGCATTTTCCAATTATTCACCCCAAATTCAAAACTAGAACATCACTTATAAGGATGGTTGGGTCTACAAAGAAGGCTCTAAATATGCTTTCCCAGCCACATGCATGATTGTGACTGGCCCCAGAAAGCTAAGTACTGCAAGAAAGCAGAGACCTTACTAGCTCTGCTCTTTGAGAGTGGCATACAAAATAAATATGCATAGGTACACACACTAAAATTGTGAGCTCACTGTGCCTGAAGGTAGCATTACCAAGAAAATAGAGAAGTGGGAAGAGGTATAGATTTCCTTTGTCTTCTAATACAGTGTGCTTGGCCTCTGATAAATGCACCCTAATGAAAGTCAAACTCTTAAAAGTTTATCATCAGTTGAGTCATCCCTTCTTCTATGGCGTTGAGTGAAAGAGAAGGTACAGGAAGAACCCAAAGGAATTTAATATTATTCTCTCTTGGAAAATGGAAATATAATTCCTTGCTTTCTATAGGACAATTGGTATCTCTCACACTTGGGTGGGCTTGGCCAAGACTCTCTGTTAAATGTGTAAGATACTTACACTTGATTTGTAGTGCAGAAATGTAGAGGAGTAGGAAAGGAACAAAAGATAAAGGCGGGTATGATGTGGAGAGATTCTTTGTAGTTATTTAGATATACATATAAGCACATTAAAATATGAAAACGTCTAAGAATATTTTCTAGCTTCATGGAATTTTTTTCCCACATTTATTTGGTTTGTTTTTTGGGCTAAAAAAACAACAAAAAAGAGAGGCAGAATTTACTTAAATTTAAAGGCTTCTATTTAATGCATTTTTTTTTACTGAGTTATTTTCTGTATTAAGATGGTGAATTTCTCAGAAAAACATATAGCAACCTACTCTAGAAATGTAGTAGCCTAGAAATGACTCAAAAATGTATGGCTCTTTCTTCTAGCAATTGCTAGTATGGAATCAATATGTTGGGGACTATTGTGTTCACTGCTGTATTCCAAGTGCCAGAACCAGAACTGACATCTAGCAGGTGCCAAAATTCTATCATTAGAAACGCTTTTGATTACTTCTGATTCCCAGTGATCTTTTCCTTATCCCAACTAATGTAGTTGGGTTCTAAATTGCATTGTCTACCATTAAATTTTAATACCACCTTTGATTAACTTCCAGCTGTCATATGTGTACTTCTGTTCTCTTTAAGTGCAAAATAACCTCCCCAAGATGATATTTTTCATTTTACAGAGCATATAAGGAAGTGGTGTGACATGACTTCTGAGTTTAGACTTTCCAGCTATGGTCTCTACACTACTGATTTGCAGCTGTGGAGCCTTGGGCAAATAACTACCCTGGTATTGTTTTATTGTCAGTAAAAGGGAAGTGATAATGACATTTATCTCACCATCACATTATGATGATTAAATGAGATAATTTATGTAAGGGATTCAGAATCTTCACACATAGTCTTCACACATAACAATCAATACACATAATACTTCACACACAACAATCAATACACTCAAACTTTTTTTAAACTAACAAATACTGTCATGTGAGTTGCCTTTTTTAAAAACTGAAAGCACTTAGTGGCAGATCACAGATTAAATATTCTTTGGGAATGCTGGAGGTGAGTATGCAGACTGAAAGGGTGGAAATAAAGTATTATTTTACTGGCATTGGCTCTTAAAGCAGAATATAGAGGGATATATGGTCTGCAGATTTTTTTGAAAGCAAGGATAATGCATTTTCAATTACAAAGCCCAAGCATCTTGCCACAGTGTTTGACACATATAAGACACTTAATAATTGCAGAATTCATTAGTAAATGAGTGGGTAGTGACATAAAAATTCAGGCACCATGCTTCTGCTTCCAGAGGAGAGACCTCTTCTGCCAGCCTATCTCCCCACCCAAGCAGGGATGGTAGGTCGCTGTCCACGGTTCTGAACTCTCACCAGGCTGGAATCTGCTCATCTTTGTCAGACTGCTTTTTTTTTTTTCTTTCTCCCTCTCTCCTCAAAAAAAGAAAAAGAAAAAAGAAAAAAGAGAGAAAGAAAGAAAGAAAGAAAGAAAGAAAGAAAGAAAGAAAGAAAGAAAGAAAAAATAATAATAATTCTTCATGCAGTCTACTTTCAAGGCACGGAGACAAATGCCCCCATATATTTCCCAAATGGGCTAATTCTCACTATCCGGAATTCTTTTAATGTTCTGAAGTTTCATGCTTTTCCCTGCTGAGCCTGGAAGCTCTCTACATAAGAATGCTGGATTTATTTCATCTGGGCCTAGATTTTTAATGTGTTGACCACCTAGAGTCCTTGGCCTTTGTTTCACAGAACAGATCTCACGGCCACATCTCCTTCTTTAAGAGTAGGCAGGTCTGTCGGCGGTTCCTTTTTCGAATCCCTAGAGTCGGTGGGACTACGTAGCTCTGGCTCCCGCAGCCGCCCAGCCCAGACAGCTCAGAGAGCTGCTGATCTGCTCTGCGTTCTCTCTTTTTCCTCCCTCTTCTCCCCGCCACTCAGCAAAAAGACCCGCCAGACTCCTGGGCAGTTGGAGTCCCTTCAAGAACCCTGGGAGCACTGTAATGTAACTCCTTTAGCTCCCACTCCGCACCCTCAGATGTCGCACAGCCTGGGTGCTGGGATCAACACGGGAAGATTCACTAGATTGACTCTGTGCGGATGAACGGGCACCCTTTCCTTCCCCTCCTCCATCTCCACTTATCTACCCTTTGTGCAGTTCTTAGACCGAGGTTTATACTGAAATAGCTTCTAAACATCAAATATTAAAAGTGGATAAAAAATCCCCGCGGGGTATGTGTGTGTTTGTGTTTGTTATGTGTGTGTTCATCCGCGCTTGTGCAAAATCTCCTAACGTCACAGTTCCCAATCGGGACAAGCGCGCCGAGAAATCCTGGATCTTCCCAGGGATTCCCTCTACGCTCCCTCCTCTTCTTCAATAACCCCAAAGAGGTAGGTTTGAGCTTTCGCAAACCACCACTGCAGCGATGGAAGCAGACAAATCTGTTGAGATTTTGTCTTTCCCCTTTCGTTCCCAGCCCTCTTAGGCAAGCAGTTCTGAGCACAGGGTTTTCTTCAATTCCCCTGCATCCACACTGCAACCGGGTGCAAGTCTTTCCTAGGTTATAGACAGCCCGCCTCCCCACGAGACCTTCTGCGGACTGGCTGCCCCTGGCCTCGGCCTGGGTGGGTGGGTGGTGCTCGCGCCGCCCCTACTTTCCCCTGGGGCCCTGGAGAGCCGCGCGCTGGGTGTGTGTGTGTGTGCGCGCGCGGGTTTGGTGGGGAAATCTCCTTCAGTGGAAGCTGCTGAGTGTCGTTGGCGGAAAGTATCCTGGAGCCCAGCAAAAGCCTCCAAAGCACTAGAGCTTCCCTAAAGAAAAGCAGAATAAAAGAAAGACAAGAAGGGAAGCCCGTTCCTCTAAAGCCCGGGTTTCCAATAGTCCCGGATCCTCCTGGAGTTGGGCGAAGGCGCAGTTGGCAGCAGCCGCTGCTGGCACCCGGACTTGGAAAGGCGGTGTTCCCCCTTTTCGGGAGGAGGGAGGCAGGGACTTGCAGGCAAGAGTTGCACCTGGTCTAGGAACCTGCAGAGAAAAGAACTCTGGGGTAAGTAGTGTTCTGGCACTGGCACGGAAAGGGGTAAAGGGTGGGGGGCATGAGAGGGACGAAATGGAGAGGGCAGGGAATGAATTATGCAAAAAAATCTCCAATATTTCGCAGCGGAGGGAGAGCACAGCACAGCACTCCCAGGATGAGTCCTGCCTGGGTCTCCCGCGCCGAACCCGCAGCACGAAGTTCTTTTTAAGAAGAGAAACTCGAAAATCCTGGAGGGTAACAGAGGCAGCCAGGGCGGGGCGGAGTGCGGAGGCGGCTGCCAGGGACTGGGGCCGAGGCGGCGGCCAAGGTGGCCTGAAGCTGTGACACCCAGCCTCCTCCTCCTCCTCCTCATGGCCGCGCTCAGCCTCACCTCCCCGCCCGGGCCTCCTGCCTCCGCCCCCGGGTGCCGGGCTGCGGAGCTGACGCTGGGACGCCCGGCGGCGGCGAGGACGCTCACCTGGCCAAGCCTCCTTCTCCTCCTCCCCCTCCCGCCCCCACCTGTCCTCCTCCTCTCTGAGTTGGGAAGCGTAGGGATCCGTAGGCGAGGAAATAACGACCCCTGCAGTTGTATTGCGGAAAATCTCGACAGCGGCGCTAGTTGCGGGCGATGGAAGCCAGGCAACTGGGGGTTCTGGGGAGTTCAGGAAAATAGCAGAGGAGCAGGAAGGGCGCGCGCGACCTGGAGAGTCTGTGTGCCCCCACCGCGCCCCAGTCCCCGGGGCCCAGCCCTTCCCCTCGGCGCCCTGGACGCACTGCCGGAACCCGGCTGAGAGGCTGCAGGCTGCGCGCGGACCTGGGGAGCAGGGAGGGTCGGCGGAGGCTGCCGGCGGCTGGCGGTTTCGGGCAATAATCCCTGCCTCTCTTTCTCTGTGTGTCTGCTGTGTCTGCTCCTTCCCCGCCCCCCGGAAGCAGGAGAAGAACTGCCCCGGAGCGCAGCAGCCACCCTCCGACCATGCCCCGGTGAGGGGGGCGGACTTCGAGGGCAACTTGCCGCGGACTGCCTGGGCTTAGCCAGCGAGCTACGCGCTCCCGGGAGCCCGGAATTGCACGGCGCAGCCCGGCGGGGGGCTATCGTCTATGTCTTCTTGGGGCGCCAGACGAATCGGGGTCTCGTTTTTGCTGGAAGAGCCCAGTGTTGGTGGCTTCAGGTGGCTGCTGCCGCCGCCGCCGCCGCCGCCGCTGCTAGTGCGGTTTCCGCCGCTGGTGCGAAGAGAAGAGACACGCGAGCGGGGAGACCTCCAAGGCAGCGAGGCATCGGACATGTGTCAGCACATCTGGGGCGCACATCCGTCGAGCCCGAGGGGAGATTTGCCGGAACAATTCAAACTGCGATATTGATCTTGGGGGTGACTGTCCCTGGCCGGCTGTCGGGTGGGAGTGCGAGTGTGCACTCGCTCGGAAGTGTGTGCGAGTGTGTATGTGTGTGTGCCGTGTCGGGCTCCCCCCTTCCCCCCGTTTTCCCGTCGAGTGATGCACTTGGAATGAGAATCAGAGGATGGAAATAGTCTGGGAGGTGCTTTTTCTTCTTCAAGCCAATTTCATCGTCTGCATATCAGGTACGGGACGCGCCGAAGTCACTGGCTGATTTGGATTATGTTGTGATGTCTGGGGTGTATGGGGTTTTATTGTATATAGCCGCGGGGCAGAGAGAGGGGTGGCGAGACCCTTTGAGTTCTGCGGGTTTGCCGCCTTCAGAATCAAAAATCTTCTCAGCCCAAGGGTGTGTGAATGTGTGTGTTTTGCGGGGGGGGGTGGTTAGGATCTGTGTGCAGTCCTAGAAGGGTGAAGGAAAAAGTGGTGGGGGATGAGAAAGAAGAGGCAGATGGGTGTTGATTTTCAACTGCTTTCCTGGCTGAGAACTCTGGCGCCGAAATCCGAGCCTTGGCAACAACCACCCCCATCCCCTGGCTTTCAAAGTTCCCAGACTCGGTGGTTCCTGGCTGGCAAAATGGACGCGGGGCCCTGCCCGGGTATCTAACCACTTTCAAGAGACTGCGGGAGGATGCGGGACTGGAGAGTACCAGCAGGGATCAGAGATATGTCCTCCATGCCTTACCCAAACACATCAGGACTGATTGTGATGCTTTGAAACCTGCTGACACACCCTCCTCTACCCCCCCAATTTTCTTGTTAAAGCACTACAGTGTCACAAATACCACTTTCTTTACATCACGGTGTTTTTTAATTCCCAGTAGCAAGGATGTGCTGGCTCAGACCTCTCAGTCTACTTGGGCCTGTCTGTGCTTTTAAGAGCAAACGGGATTTCAGGGTGTTGAGGTGAAAGAGGTTGGGCTTGTGGACACCTGTGCCTGAGTGTGTTAGGACGAGTTCTGGTTTTTGAGCACTGTCTTTGTTGATGCAGGGAATTGGGGTTGGGAGGAAGCTGGGAGGGAAAGGGGAAAGCCCCTGGACCAGCAGTATTCCCCAGTTCAGTGGCTCCTCCCATTGAAGGCACCCACCCCATTTCCCTTCACACCTGCCACTTAAGCACCCAAGGAAAAGCCCATTTGTAGTGCTCCCTTCTGCCTGCATTCTTCTGCAGAAGTGGGGACTCGGCCAACTTCCCATGAAGTCATCAGAAGAGGAGAGCAGGATATTGCCCCTTTGAGCAGCCACATTTAAGCAGCACTGGGGTGGAGAGACATGTTTCCTGCCTCTTCCTTCAGCCCTGTCAATCCCCTCCCTTTAAGCCAGACCTGATTCTGGATAGGAGAAAACAACCCTAGTTCTGCCCTCACCCTGGACTCTGTTCCAAATCCCAGTCTGGCTTCCAATTTTCTCCTCATAGGGAAGGAATGGGACTCTTATCCGAAATCATTCTGTGTGGGGCTTGGCTACCCTATTAAGAAATTTGTCTCTGTGATACATCAGTGAGATGTGTTGTGTACCTGGCAGACAAGAAAATGTGCCCTGGGGTCACCCCAACTCCTCTAGTGGGACTTCTATTATTCCATTCTGCATCTAGGAGTGAAAATTCTCAAGTGACTTGTAAAGGTTTATATCAGTCATATGTCCAGATATGAAGTGGGTGGCATCTCACAAGGCCATATTTTACATCTTTCTCTTCTACATGTCTATTTCAAACTCTCTCTCTTGTTCCAGAATATTTGACTAGTTATAAAATAGCCTTTCCTTACTTCTCCCCAGTGTCATTAATAATTTTCAAATCAGACAAGCCATCTGAGTACCTTTAAGATTTATAAAGGGTTAACATTGATTAAGGCTCTGGATTTCCTCCAGCATCCTCTCTGTCCCCAGCCCTTACCCTGAATTTCGCCAGGCAATCACCGAGGGGAACAGGCTGAGAAAGGGTCTGATCTTAGCCTCCAAAAAAAGCATTAGTGGGATACCTGTCACAGCTATATTTGATTTGGTGTATCAGCAACTAAATTATTCAAATGGAAGCATTAGGAGGGGGATTTCCAACTCAGGAGGAGTGCTATGGAGTACATGGCCTTTCATATGTATTTACTAAATAATCATTATTGCTATGTAATGAGAGGATAAAAGTGTAAGCAAAATTGCTAGCTATTAGCTAAACACAGAAAACTAGGTTAGCGTTCCAAATGCCTAGTTAGGATCTGCATTAATTTGCACTTTATGAAGACATTTAGGCAGGGATGCAACATCATATACTCTTTATTTTACACATCCATAAACTTTAAAAGGCCATTTCTTCTCCATGGTCAGGGTGGCCTCATCCTCCTGTAAGCAGAGCCACTCATTCAGTAATGCCCATGTATGTGAGAATTATTATTAGTAATATGATTATGACTCACAATTGCTACAGTTTGGGAGACTCAGACTCCATTCTTTTTCCATCTGGCAGCCTTAGGATGTATAGGAAATGCAATGCACTAAGGTTGAATATTTGTGGCTTTGAGAGAGTTTAGTGGATCTTTCATTTCTGTCTCCATGATTTGCAGTTTTAATTTACTCATGACTGAGCTCTATTGAAAGGAACATAACCCTGTGATCATAGAATCTACTAAATCTTAAATTAAAAATATTAAAAACAAAGCACCTCTTTAGCATCTTGGAATGAATTTTCCTGACCACTAAGTGGGTGCTAATCCTTACAGAGTTACCAGACATTGATACTTGAAGCATTGATAGAGTTGGCTTCATTATTGAGAAACACCAGGCTGGAAAAGGCTAGTAAAAGTCTGTAGTCTAAACACTTTACAGAAGGAAAATGTTGGTAGTAGCTTTGTCATGTGGAAGATATATTGACTGAATTTCATTTGGTGGCATTTGCTTTCAGGAAAACATTGGCGCTTTGTAGCTTAGTGTTTTGTTAACCAAAGGTTCCAACACTTCCTCTAACCCACCCCCAAATTTCTCCTTGGGCCTATTTGGATATATTGCTTAAAGTACAGACACCTGGGCTTGGCATATTTGGTGGTTCTGCACTAATAATTTGGTTTTGATGAAACTGTTGGAAAATGAGACTGTTTGGCCAGGCTTAGCTAGATGCTGGGTCAGTAGCATGTATGTCTTTTATTTGTGAGATCACATCAGCTTTGGCTACTTAATGCAACATAGCTAGGCTAAAGGGCATGATTTGGGAGTTCCTCTGGCTTTCCGTTAAACTCAGATCTCACTTTTCTGAAAATGTAAGGCATCCAGGGTCTGTGAAGAGATCAGAGACAGAAAGAGAGAGGGAGAGAGAGAGAACCAGAATGATTTTTCCGTGTACTGCAAGAGCACCATTCCCTTCCTACCAAAGCAGCTCAGATCAGCAAGAATGTATGCTTAGCAGCACGAGGAGAGAAATTTCTTGGTCAAACGAGAGCTGCCTGATTTAATTTTTACAATGCATCCTACTTCCTCCTTATGTAACTTTACTTCTTTGTCAGTTTATTCATAATAATAACATCAATAACCATTTGAATTATGTGGTATTTTCACACATTGTACATATATTGCACATATTTAATTCATCTATTCTTAGAATTTGTGGGATAATCTTATAGATATAGCAACCAAAGCCCACAGAGCTTCAGACTAGAGGTTTCACATCCAGGTCTACCTGAGTCAAAATTCAGTATATCATTTATGTTTTGGTTCAAGATTCCTTTCAAATATTTTTATTTAATATTTTTTATTTTGATGTCTCTGAAAGAATAAATTAGGTTAAATGAATTGAAGTCTTAGAGAATTTGGAAGTAAAAGTTTTAGATGATTACAATTTAGAGCTAGAATTAAGGTAGCATTTGAGTTGTACATTACCCTGTCAATCAAACAGATGAGGCTATTACCCAAATGCCTCTAGCATCTTAGGATCAGCAATCTCTACAAGCAAGGAATATTTCCTACACTGTTTTCCTAATCTTAACATTAAAATGGCATAACTTCAGTTTCCTTATGTGTAGAAAAGAGATAACAGTACACGTGTCACATGTTTGTTCTATCAACTAAATGAGATATTATGTCCAATGATTTTCACACAGCACAGTTTCTACCACATAGTAAGCATGCAATAATGTCATTATTTCCTACAAATCTGACATTGTATAGGCTTGGTTCATGGTGGAGTAGAGCTTTTACCTTTTTCCATATCAACTTGTTTAAAAGCAAAAAGAAAACCATCATCAGCAAGCACATCTATAACATTGAGCACAAACCCTATTTTCCAGGAAGCCTTGGCTAAATAATTTTGAAAAGTCTCTTAATTTTCCTTCTCATACAAATGAGACTGGTAGCATTAAGCTTTGGTGCATAGTCATAACTGTAACCCACTTTATCCCTATGAGTCCAATATGGAGTTGAGGCTTGGAAAGTTTACTAAACTACCTGGAAACCATGTAGTACTTATTACCCAGGGGATCAGCGAATTTTTCTTTCAGTTGTATATTACAATGCAGTATAGACCCAACTTTAAAGTGCCTCAACACTGGCAAACGACATATGCTTTCAATATGGCTTGAAATAGAATGTCCCATCAAATAAAAAGCCCCACCCTTACAATGACTATTTATCTGATGATCTCATTAGCAATGTGGTTTCTTTAAATCCAGTTTCCCATGTGATGTCATATAGCCCAGTTACTGACAGATAACCATCATCATAGATAAAACTCTCCAGATAGTGAGTCAAGAAAGTCTTTTGGAGTTGTATGAAATCCCAAGGGAAAAAATAAATGTTGATGTGAATACCCAGTCCCTTGGCTGGGGAGAGGGGTTTGATTACTAGCCTAAGTCAGTAACTAATGTCTCAGTTTATCACCTTAATTAAGCATTACATACTTGGGACTAAGGTCAAAAAGAGATCTAGGTATCATAAATGTGTATGATAGCAAGCCATTATAGAAAGAGTATGGAAATCAGAAGACCTATCCTTCAACGTGACTCTACCTTCATTACCTTTATAAATTTGGGCAGTTTTCTTTACCTCTCAGAATCTCAATCCTCATCTGTAAAATAAAAATTATATTTGCTTTGCCTATTTCAAAGCATTGCTGAGGGAAACTTCAGAGAGTGATTCTTGAATAAATATTTTTTGCATTATGCAAGTGTAAAGCATCTGTGTCATTACTATATATGATCCATACTTAAGATATAGTTATAGAAGCAAAGTTGAGATACATACACATAGTTTAGAATGATATAAAGTAATATGAGTAATGTTTATTTGTTAAGATATTATTATAAATGCAAAGTTGTAATGCTAAAATGCATTGTGATATAAAGGAATAGGAATAATGTCTAATTGTTTAATAATTGGCATAAATTGTATAGAAGGGAGAAGTTTAGACATGAAAGAAAAGGAGTATATTAGATTGATTTTGGAGGTTTGGATGAAAGAGACAGAGGGGACCTCATCATCAAAAAGGAGGAATAGAAACAAGAGGATGTACGCTAAAGAATGTCCCAACTGAAACAAAAAATTCACTTTGGGAGATACTGGAAAGTTGGGATGAGCCCACTTAGGGAGCTATTGAATTGAGAGAATATGAAGTGTCCTAATATGGTTATTCACTTTGTGACTTTCGTTTTTGTATTAAGGATCTTTGCAACGGTTCAATGGATTCTTTGTTAAAATTTGTTTGAAATTCTAACATTTCTTTGGATTTTAAATTTCTGTTGCATGTCTACAACTAGCACTGTACTTTATATAGTTTGTAGCCTGTTTGAGATTGTAGACAGTTGAGTTGGAATTTTTTCGTAGGGGGTGAACTGGAGGGGGCTGGAGGTAGGGTCTCAGCTTGCTCATCTGTAAAACAGAGATGATAATTACCTCTCAAGGTTGTTGTTTCTACAAGGTAATTATAAGGATAAAAAAACACCATTTGTAAAATGGCTAATGTGGTATCTGGAATACAGTAGCCATTGGCCAATGCATACACATCATATGAGAGTAAGCCTGGGTTTTGGAGCCCAGATAGGCAGACGTGTGAATTCTAACTTTGGGATTCACTCTCTGTTTGGTCTTGGATAAGTAATTTAAGTTCTGTGTGCCTTAACTCCTCATCTGTAAAATGTGAGGTATAGAAAATGTACATAAGAATCTGCCATACTGCCTGACATGTATTAATCATTCAGTAAATTGAAGTTGCTCCCATAAAATTATCATCATCATCATCACTGACATCAATAACAATACTTGTTGACACTTTGGATCAGTTTTTGTAAATGCCAATTAATTATTTAATCATTTATTCTATGTTCAACAAAGACGTATCGACAGCAAACTCTATGCCAGGCACTGGAATCACAGAAATGAACAATATTTGGTCCTTAGTATTTAACAAGAGAGTACATGTTGTAAAATAGAAATGTGTATAAAGTATACTGGAAGTATAAAGGAAGAGCAATTAACTCTGTCGTTTGTAGATACAAGTGGAGAAGGGAAAATGTTTATAGAAAACATTTGACCTAGACCTAGAAGAACACATGAGATTTCAAAAGAACAGGGAGAAAGAAGACATATCATGTGGCAAGAATAGTATGTTCATAGACAAGAAGATATTTAAAAAACAAAATATCAAAGTATGGTGGATTGGGCATATGGAGTGGATAGGTTAGACTAAACGACTGGATATAGGGGTTACAAAAATAACCTTAGGCCAGTGTGAAGGGGATTGTAAACCACAATAAGATTAGACCTTACCTTTTATTTATGAGGAGCTAGCTAATGGGGAGCTAAGGAAAATGACGTAATCAGGTTTGTGTGCAACTTAATATTTTTACTTTGATTGTAATAAGAAATTACTTAGAAACCCAACTCCTTGTCTTCTTTTTCTGTCAACATTTATTCTTGATCACAAAACACATTAAAAAAAATCCTGACCTAATAGATCAATTTGCCCATTATGGGACATTCTAAGTGATACACTTTTTTAAAAATTCATTTTTTATAAATCTCTCGTGACCCTCATTTATCCTGATCTTTGAGATTTGGTATTTTCAGGTTAAGCAAATACAAATATCTTCAATTTTGTACTTGAATAATAATAACAATGTCTTTAGCATTAGATGAAGGCTAAGAGAAATGAATCATCTGTACATGCATTGGTGTCATGAAGATTAATTATGGGTTAAGCAATAGATACACTATTTGACATAAAACAGATGCTCAAAGTACTACAAAGCATTGTGTAGCAGTTTTATCTTACTACATTCTGTTCAACTCTTATTTCCAATAGAGTACACATTCACTTAACAGAATATACCCATGGTTAACTAAATGATATATCCATTTTACCCACTCTATGGTTCAGTTACTATAAAATGAGTGTAGAGACCTAAATGAAATGGTTTTCATTGTCCACTTAATCATTCAACATTTATTGAGGATACATTATACATCAGGTACTCAGAATCCAACCAGAATAAGTAAGACAGTGACCTTTTCCTCCAAAAATTCTTCATCTAGTAAAAGACTGATTTTTAAAATATTGGTAGTCACAGCAGAATGTGATAGGCATTGTAATAAAAAGGTATAGAAAGTGTTTGAGGAGAAGAGAGAAGGGACATCTGACTCATCCTGAAAGTAGGAGGGGTAGAGAAGGAGAGTAAGTAGCGTTAATAGAGGATGCTTAGGGTGAGTCTCCAAGGATGTTAAAGAGTTGTCGTGGAAGATTTTGGCTACTTAACCAAGAGGGTTGTGATGAGAGATGGATGATCATATGAAACAGCATTTGCAAAGGAAGGGAGATTAGATGAGACATAGGACATGATTAATTCAGGAGACGGTCAAAAAGTGAACATAGTCACAACTAAAGAGTGTAGTGTGATGGATGAGGTTGAGATGGAAGAGTATTTAAGGTATATAATTTCAATAACAGTAATCCCTTGCATATAATAATGTCAGTAAAAATCACCCATTTTCCCTCTGTGCATGAAAGGCATCTTTTAAAGGCCCAAGGAAGTATGCAGTTTGCATCCTTCATTAGGAAGAGACCAGTCAGTATTAAAGCTTTGGCTCTTGTTCAGCTATGCTCTACTTGGCCCAGACCACTGATCATTTTCCACTGTTGTCCCTGGTTCCAGATGGCTTCCCAGAAGCTTTGGAATAACCCAGATATAGATTACAGAGTTTATATCATCTTGTTACTTAGTTTATTGTCACATATTTACACCCTAGGAAAAAAAAGCCAGGACCCTGTTGACCATGGATTTTACGGTATATCTATTATCATCTTACTCATTGATTAGTGAAGGTTTTCTGTAACTTTTTTGCAGTTTTTATTTCATGTAACCTTAAACAGACCTTTAAAGGATTTCCAGCAGTCAGGGGTTGGGGTGGGAAGGTTTGGGTGGTGACAAATGATCTAGGATCACTTTTATAACAAAGCCACAATTGCTGTTTATTAGCAAGATTGGGCTGGTAACGGGATAGCCAGTGTGGGGTTTGATTACATTTGCATTACTGGGCCATCAGGATGGCAGTGGAGAGATTATCAAAGGTTATGAAGGACACAGCATACAAATGCCTTTGCCTACTGATCTGGGAGAAGTGGTAATTTTGTCACAGTAAATGAAGAATTAATCTTTAACTTTGTCCAATACTTCATGCCTGGTGGCTGAAGGGGCTGGCAGTAGGAAATGAGGCCTGTGACTTTCAGGTGAGTTTTCCAGAGCCAAGTCTTGCTGGCTTTGCAACACATTTGGCAGCAATGCCAGAGTTGGAATAAACAGATTTACTGAAGGATGTGAGTCAACATATTCTCTTTCCGCTCCCCTCTCTCTCACTACACACACAGCTACCTTTTAGCCTCAAGGAAAACAATTCTGATAGCTGCAATTATTGAGGGAGCATAGGCCTGTCCTCCAACACAAGGTTAGAATAATAATAAATACCTCAGAGGATTCTTGAAATAAACAATAAAGTAATATATATGGAAGATTTTTTTCCCAGTGTTAAATGTATTTGTTAATTTATTGCACAAATGCTAACAAATGCCTCCTATGAGGTGGGCACTGGGCCAGGCATAAGATAAAATGTAGTAAAAAAAACAGCAATGGTCTTTGCCCTATAAAATGTGTGTAGTGACACACAAATGTGTGAGTGTTTTTTTTCCCATTACCCAACCCAGTGCCTGGCATTTAGAAAATGCTCAATAATGAATGACTGAATTAATACATAAATGAATAATAAGGAGCGATGGAGAGTGGCTTTTCTGCATTCAGGGCAGACTGAGGGACAAGATCTGAGGCCATGAGGGAGGGGAGATGAAGAAGACACCTCTACCAGCTGTTGTCTTGCTTCTACTGCATGTAGGTTTTTGAGTGTGCAGAGTCACAGAGAATGGGAACCTTCCCAATGAGCAATATGTTTGATAGTTTTCTAGTCCTGCTCTGACTCATATTTCCATTTGACAAATCATCCTTATTTGGGGCACTTATAGTTGTTTAAAATGTATTTCGGCCCTTTTGTATTTATGACACCATACCAAAGGCTTGAACTAGGACAATTAAAGATCAGTGGATACATTGTCATTCTTTTCTCCATGTCATCTCTGTTCCTACTTGAGGAGATTGTTTGGAACATGTACGCTATTTCTTACCAAGTTCCTACTTGGGAGAAAACAACACTTTAGAAAGCTCACTGTTCCCTTGTTAGTGTGTTGAACTAGAGTGCTTTAGGGAGAATAGCCTACCCCACTTTTTAGTCTTGATGCAGAGCAATACAGGAAATTACTGTGGTCTCTATGGTGTTTTCAGTCTTGTGTCAGAAAACATTACTTCCCCTCTGGCCTTTTGTAACAGAATTGTGGTGTAGCTGACTAGTTCTTACCAGAGAAGAGCTGGCAGCCTAGGAATTGAAAGAACAGAGTGGATTTGCTGTCCTTGGCTGTGAATTCACCCTGTAATCACCTGGTTAATCTTTACAACTGTGAGGAGATGGTCAATTGGATAATTTGTTGTTGTTTGCTTGTAATCTTAATTACAGAAAAAAATAAAAAGGGGTTATAGAAAAAAAAGGGGCCCTATTGTTAATTTCTCAGTGGATGTTTGGGGATTTTAAAGTGAGACATCGGTGAGTATCAAGTTTCTATTGTATGACCTGGGTGTGATAGAAATATGTCACTTGATGTCTAAGTCTTGTAATGCACCATAATGATACTGGCTCTTAAGTTACAGTGACTCAAACCCCTGTAGAGTGGAATATAAAGTAGTGAAGTCATTATGTTTTATTTCTGTAACAAGTTTCATTCCTGTTTTTCTACTGTGGTGAAGTTCCTTGTGGCCTTTTAGTTTGTTTTAGCACTGAGTTTTATTGGTTGAATGAGAGCCACATGCAATTTTAAGTGTATAAGTTAGTGCAGGCTTTTTTTTTTTTTTTAAATCTGCTTTTAGAACTGCTTAAATTAGAGCTTGACTAAGCCAGGTAAAGGCATATAATGTGCCACATCCAAAGACAAGTTGAACAACTTCATGAATGAGAGTTGTGTTTATGCCTTGGTTGTTTAGGCCAATTACGTATCCAACTCAGATGTTCTTTCTTGATCAGTGCTCCTTGCAAGACAGGGACTGTATATGCAAAGTGTTTTAGTGTCACAGACATGAGTGAAGCCTGGAATCAGAGTGTATTTTATGCCAAATATGATAAAATATTATGAAAAAAATTAGGAAAAAAATTATTCCCCATAGACCAAATTTTTGTTTACTAAATTTTGAAACTGTAACTTTTCCAATTTGTACTGTAAAAAGAAACTTTATATCTTAAATATTTCTCCATGTTGCTTCCTAGTTGTGTCAGTTCAGCATATCCTGGACCCTGACACATACACCCCACAATCTCAGTGACATAACACAATGGAGGCTTACTTCTTTGCATTAATTGTCCAATAGATGTCAATGTATGTGTGTGGGCATGTAGGTGCTTGGTGAGAGGAAAGAGATAAAAGAAAAAAAATTCTGTATTTAGTGGTGACTTGGGAGTCACAAGGTTGATGGGGGCTGTGCTACCTCCTATGGTTTCCAAAGTTTTCCTGGGCATCAACATCACCAGATGGGGAAAAAAAGTGTAGAGGAAGACCATGGGAGGGGTTTTTGTGGGCCAAGAAGAAAAGCTGTGGGCATCCTTTCTGGTCAGTCACATTGCCACATCTTATTTTTATTTTTATTTTTTTATATTTATTTATTTATTTATTTATTTATTTTGAGACGGAGTCTCGCTCTGTCGGTGGGATCTCGGCTCACTGCAAGCTCCGCCTCCTGGGTTCACGCCATTCTCCTGCCTCAGCCTCCCGAGTAGCTGGGACTACAGGCGCCCGCCACCACGGCCGGCTGATTTTTTGTATTTTTAGTAGAGGCGGGGTTTCACTGTGTTAGCCAGGATGGTCTCTATCTCCTGACCTCATGATCCGCCCGCCTCAGCCTCCCAAAGTGCTGGGATTACAGGCGTGAGCCACCGCGCCCGGCCTATTTTTATTTTTTTACCATGGTGTTTCACCACATTGGTCAGGCTGGTCTAAAACTCCCAACCTCAAGTGATCCTCCTGCCTTGGCCTCCCAAAGTGGTGGGATTACAGGCGTGAACCAAAGTGCCCAGCCAGCCACATCTTATTTTTTTTTTATTATCATACTTTAAGTTCTAGGGTACATGTGCACAACATGCAGGTTTGTTACATATGTATACATGTGCCATGTTGGTGTGTTGCACCTGTTAACATCTTATTTTAAAGCAGTTAGAGAGTTGTAGGCTAGCCTTGTAGCCAGGAGCAAAGGGAAAATGGTTTGCGAACAATTAGCTAGTATCTGCTACTTCAATATGCATTATTTTTTTCTTATATTTCCATAGTAGTTTATTCATGTAAAATAGCATTATTTATATTTAACTTTCCCTTGTTTTTAAGCATATATGTTGTTTCTAGTTTATGACATTTTTTGGCATTTGTTTTTATCCAAGTAGATATTTATCGAATTTTTTTTAAAAATAATCTCAATATTGTGATTATTGGGTCAAACAGTATGAAGTTCCTTACCATTTTACTGTATTATATCTGAAAGTAATGTATAACCTGTTTATGAGGCTCTAGTAATGTGCTTGAATTCCTTGAGAGAGTAAGCAAGTATGTAGAATAGTGACTAATCTTTCAAACATCCTTTCAGCAATGGTTTACCTCAAAATCTATTAAACAAACCTAAATAGCTATGGGATTCAAGATGTTATTTTGCATAACAAGTTAGATCAGAGACAGGAAACTGTGGTTAAGATAAACAAATACCTTTTCTAGGTCTAGAATTTTAAGCCTTCTTAAGTATTGTTCTTGGAGCACATTTTTATACATTATAGGGAAGATAGAATTAGGTGATTTGCTCAAGAGATTACTAGGATGGAAGTTAGGACATGTTGTGTTTAGTGTTAGTTTTGCCACTACTACTTCTGTGGCATGGAGGAATTAATTTTACTATTCTGGGGCCAGTTTTCTCCTTTTAAACAGTTTAAGCATATTGGACTAAGTAGTTTCTAGATCCCTTTCCAACTTAGGAACTTTAGTATATTAAGAGACTTTTACAGAAAGTTGTCCAAATTTGCTGTTCATGCTAAACTTCCCCAGTTTTTGAAATGTTGAGGCAACAAGATGAAAATATAGGAAGATCTTTCACGACTGTGAGTGAACAAAAAGTGGAAAATGACTTTCTATATGGGCAATCATATGATAAGGCATTATGAGAAAAATAACCCAAATAACATTTGTGGAATGATTACCTTGTCACCCTCTAGTGCAACGCTGGGAAAGAGTCTAGGGGTCGTCATTGACTGCTACAGATGTATTGAAGAGCATTCATCGAAAACATTATACGTTATACCTTATCTTACTATTTAACCTCAACTCTGATGTTTCTTATTGTGTGACTTTAGGAAGTTATTTAATATCTCTAACTAAGTGTCAGTATCCTCATTTGTAAATTGGAGGCAATAACACCTATTTTTGGAGTTAAGCGGGCTTGAAATAAAAAAAATGGAGCCTGGTGTTTGGCATATAGAATGCACTTGATAAATGGTGGCTTTTGCTTTCGATATGGCTGAAGCTAAAAGAATAAAAGACACGTTGAGCAAAATTAGGAAGGAATTTGGCAATATCATGTAAAACATGGGGATTAAATGAGCCAATGCATGTGAAAGTGTTCAGCACAATGTCTGCACATAGCACATAATCAGTTAAGGTTGGTTGAATCTGATTCACTAGGGGAAACTAGAATGTTTGGGGAATATTTTAAAGGTAATAAGAAGGGAGATAATCATGTCTTTTCATAGCATCATCTTCAGAGACAGTTTACTGGGTCTTGCCCATATGTTCCTTTAATAATTTTTTAAAAATTAAGAAATTAATGCCCCATATTTTTAGTTTACAACTGCACTTTAAATTTATCAAAACCTCTAATGTAGGCATATGGTCTCATATAATCCAATAAATATTCGGCCTTGACAGTAGTGGCATAAATAGAACCCTGGCTCAGGAATTTGCTTATTATTTTTTCCCACTTAATACATTAGTAAATTCTAGATCATTTGCCAGAGCAATAAAGAAGTGAGGTATTATTATGGCCTAATCCATTTATGATAAAAGATACACTATTTACCCTGCAATTTTTGAAACTGTCACTCATTTTTACTGAAATTTGGCTACTCTATTCCCTTTTCATTGTTCAGACTTACCTGCTTCCCCAAGCACTAATTTGTGTTTGTGGTAACCTTACCCATGTTTTTTTCAACCTATTCTCAACATGAAAACATAGCTTTGATTTGTTTCATATTCACTTGAGAGAAGGATTTCTTTAAATGATAATTAAATGCTGAGCTATTCCTGAGATTGCAGTATGGTTCCTTTTCAAATATATCTGATCTGAGCATTTCAGCAAAAGGCATAAAAGGGAAACCAACAAGAAATAGGACAGATGATAAATACTGTATTGATGTTAAGTAAAGACAAGCAAACTGTGACCTGAGTATGTCTGTCTCTAGGGAGCCTGCTTTAGAGCTTTTCCCAGTGTTTGGTTTTTTTGTGGGATTTTTTTCCTCCAAGCTCGTTGGTAGAGGCTGGATTACAACTGAGAATGCAGAGATTAATGGCCTGCTGTGACTAATCCACTAAACCCCTACTCCTGTTTCTCTTAAATTGATTGTACTTAGAGAAGCTGAGTGTAGACCCACCCCAGCCAGCCTGATTTTAGGTCCCAGTGATTTAATGAGATCCAGTAGCTTTAAGTACATGGAACCTTCATGGAACATCATCACTTTTTGCATTTGGGCATTATTTCATTAGTTGCTGATTAGTTCCCACTGGATTATTTTATAACCTCTCTTTTTTTAAAAAGAACATTTTTCACATGATTATATTTTAAAAATTTAACACTAACATAATCCAATTTAAAATAATTGGGAAAAAAGAGAAAAAACAGATCACTTATAATCACATAACCATAATACAACTATTATTAATATTCTGGTTTGTTTCTTTCTAAGCTTTTACTTATATAAGCATTTTTTACTTATTTAAAATTATATCACATTATTGTGTGTGGCCAAAAATTCATGTCAGATAAATATATGGTTTGTGTTCATTAAAGCAACATCCTCCTAAAATATAGCCCAAATAATGTGAAAATAATTATATACATAGATGGATAGATATGTCATTGATGGAAATCAAGATTTAATACTAAAGCAGTGCACTGGGATTGTATTAAATTTGAACAAAATTTAAATTTACAAATATTTTATTATTAATCTGGTGATCTTAAAAAATAATTCATAGGAAGATAAAAGGATGACAAATGTAATTATAGTATTGGAGATCTTTGAGGAGAGGGAACACTGGAGAAACAATTTAGAAATGATGTTAAAAGTATTTTATTTAACTATTAAAATGCAGAAATATGTTTAAATCCACTGAGATGCCATATAGCTTGAGTTGAGAATGATTAAGAGCTGCATTTAAACCCACACTCTGCCTCTTACAAGCTGGTTGGCTTTGGGTAAGTTAACTTCTTATGGATCTCAGTTTTCTAATCTGTAAAATGGAGATAAAAATAACCCCATCAGCTCCTGAGGCCTGAGGAGGTTGTGAGGAATATGAGCGGTGCTGTCTCTCTCAATGTGCCCTTTAGATGATTCCCCCTCCTAGGGCTGCCTGCAGGGGTTGTAGGCTTGGGAAAGATTGTGTAGGTGACAGTGAATCAGAATGAAATGGTAGATTTTGTGTAGATGCATTTGTCTGCTGTAATTTTATATATATATTAAACTTACCATAACTGTACAGTTCATTTCTGTTGTAAAACATCATTAAACCATTTTCCAAGTATTTTCAAAAAAAATAACCCCATCAGTGATTTTTTATAAGCATTATTAAATGACATATGAAAGTAAAGCATTTAGTACAGTATTATCAGGCACATAATAATGGCTTAATAAATGTGATCTGGTATTAGCATCAAATTCATAACATGTGAGATGCAGCCAACCATAGTCTCTTTGTAAAGGAGGAAGACTATTTGAGTTAGCTGCTTTGTAGGGGATATGGTACTACAAGCTCAGAAACCTTCAGTACCTGTCACTGACTCTTAAAAATGAAGAGTTCACACTGTTGAAAGTGATGTTTTAAAGTCTTCCATGATGTGCCATAGACTGACCTTTCCAACTTTGCTCCAATTTCCAACTCAGGATTCTGTGAAGGCACCTTGCAGACACTTACCTGTGCTTTTGCTCATGCTGTGGTTTTTACCTTATTTTGACCCACCTGAATCCTACATGGCTTACTCATAGGTTCTCACATGTTCAACCAGAGGCTTCTTTGTGAACACTGTTATGAGCAGTCCAGCCAGCAGCAGTATCTCCCCATAATGCCCCATCGGCTCTTCTTGTCCCCGGTGCTGCCCATCCACTGGCTGCCTTTCTACTTTCATCAGGAAAATTCACCATGGCCAGGATTCATCTAGGGTATCCCCATCCTACTCCTAATGCAACATGCTCATTGGTTGGGTTTTACTCTCCAATCCGTAATGATAGGTTTTTCCACATTCTCACCAGTAGTCTCTGCTGATTTAGGTTTTTTTCTCTTCCCTAAACCACCAAGTCCCTTCTAGATATAACACAACTCAGACCAGAGCTCAGCAAACAACAGCCTGTGGACTAAATCCAGCCCACAACCTGTTTGTTTACAACTTAGAAAACAAAGTTGTACTGGGACACAGTCATGCTCATTCATTGATGTATTGTCTAGGGCTTCTTTTACATCACAGCAGCAGCATTGAGTAGTTGCAACAGAGACCATACTGCCTGCAAAGCCTAAAACATGTATTCTCTGCCTCTTTACAAAAAAACATTTCTGAGAAACAGTTGAATCAAATGCTTCCAACAGGTAGGAGGATAAACTGGGTACCTGAATAATGATTTTTTCTTCAGTAAGGGATTGATTGAATTTTACATGTAATAGTCAATTTTTAAAAGCTCGGAAGCTTCAAGAACCTCAGAACTGTCTTGACTTTTGTGGATACCTTGGCCATTTTACTACCCCAAAGTAATGCTTCAAGCACCTTCTACTGTCAGAAACCAAAAACAAGAAACCTCAGTTTGTGCTGGTTTGCATTTATAAAGCTCCCTTTGCTCTCAGAGGAGCTTAGAGTAGCTCTGGTCCCATCCAGGTAAACATTATGGGGGAAAGTCACCCTCCCCTAAGGCATGGTTTGTGCTGGGATGGCAGTTCGGCAGGGAAGGAGCAAGCTTTCTGAGTACTCTTCTTCTGCCAGCTCTTTGAAAACATAACCCTTCTCTTTGGGGAATGAAGGTCAGACCATATTCAGAAATAAGAACATCACCTGGAGAACAAGCAATTTTAGGAATGACAACCTGAGAAATCAAACTTTCCCCCTGATGATTGAGACAGGCCAGACTCATAACCCAGGCCATGATCAGCTTCTGCACTTGGTAGAGCATTTTCTCTCAAATAACAAGCTGAATGAGCTTTACCAGGCTCTGAGAGATGATTGTTGTCCTCTCTGCACAGATGGCAAAATTGAAGTCAAGAAGCAGCGGCTTAGGCTGGCCACAGAGAGAGTGGGTTCTGGCAAAGACCCTACAGGGCTCACAGGAGCTGGACTCCCAGTCCTCTTAGACATGGTATTTGCACTAAGTCCCTAAAGCAGATTTCATAACGCTGCGTAACAAAGCCTCTTTGGAACTCTAGAGCAGGGGCTGACAAACAGTGGCCCACTGACCAAATCCAGCCTACTGCCTTGTCTTTGTAAGGCCCAGGGGCTAAGAATGGTTGTTACATTTTCAGATAGTTGGGGAAAAAAATCAAAAGAGGAAATAATATATTTCATGACACATGAAAATTATATGAAAACAAATTTTGGTTCATGAATTGTGTTTGATTGAAAACAACCACACTCATTCATTTATGTACTGTCTAGTATCTATTTTCGATGGCTACATTTACACCGTAGGGGCAAAGTTGAGTAGCTGCAACAGAGCCTAAGGCCGGCAAAGCTCAAATTACTTTCTATCTGTCCCTTCCCAGAAAAATGTTTGCTAACCCTTGCTCTAGAAGCATAATACATTAATTAATATAAACTTTTATTGAAGTACATTAAACATAAAATGCACTCATTTTAATTATATGGTTTGATGAGTTTGGGGTAAAAAAGACAGTCCTATAACCACCACCGCAACTAAGATGTGGAACATTTTTATCACTCCCCAAATTTCTGTATGTTTCTTTGTAGTCAGTCCCTCTCCAATCCTTGTGCAGGCAACCACAGATCTGATCTCTGTTAGTGGTAACAACTTTTAAACAATTATTTAGAAAGGATTTCAGATCACTAGAGACCGTGTTGAGAGAAGGTGGTGGTGGGGGTGTTTGAAAACATGAAGTTGATTTTATTCTTTCGTTTGATAATTCCTTAATTCACTCCAAACACCCACTCCAAACAGCCACTTAACTGTTCATAATATTAGAACCTAACAGGCACTGTGCAAAGTGCTGTCCATTTATTATCTCATTTTATCTCTAACCCTATGAGGGACTTCTTATCCATCTCTGATTCTATTGAGAGGAGACAGGCACCCAGGTAACACTGAGGAGCACACAGCTGTTAAGATGTAAGCTAAGATTTGAATGTGGACCTGTCTGAATCCAGAGTCTGAGCTCAGCCACCATATCACATACTTATTCAATCTTCACTACAAGTCTGTTTGGGAGTATATTATCAACATTTTGTAGAAAAAGGAAGCTCAGAGAGGTTAAGTAACTAGTTCAAGTCACCCAGCTACTAACTGCTAGAGTTAGGATTTGAACCAAGCTCTCCAAACTGCAAGCAAAAGACACCGAACAGAGAGGGATGGAAATGCATTATTTCGAAAAAAAAAAAAAAATCACCTTGTCTTACAGATGGATAAAGTAAGAGCCATATGTGAGCAAGTTCTAGATAATGCAGAGGCGAATGAGGCAGTAGGCAAAAAGCAGTTTTAAGCCAGATATAATTTTGCTTTCTAAACTAATGGATATCCAAGACTATTTAATTTAATGTAAACAACTAAAGGCCATAAAGTGCTTTGAAAATCACTGAGGGGTGCATCCATGCTGACCAGAATCAGTAATCAAAATCTCTCTTGCTGTTCCTTCACAAACAGAATTCTATCTGAATTGGTCTGTCATATTGAGAAGAGATGAAGATCAAAGTCTCAGAACAGACCTCCATAGGATATTCTCTTTCTCTCCTCCCCCTACACCGGGTATTATAAAGAACAGCGCAATTTACCAACTCCTAGTTTGAATGATTGCATTCCATTTCTTCAGGGCCTTTTTTACTAAGTACTTGGCACCTAAATGGTGCCCCAAATGATTGTCTGCTGTTCCAATTTTCTAGGAGCACTCCGTCAGCCTCCCTGCAAGCGCTTCTTACAACCTAGCACAGGAGGCTGTGTCCACTGGGTTCCTTAGTTATAAATAATGAAACCTTCAGGACTACTATAAGCAGAAAAAATTTTTTATTAAAGCACTTGAGGTGCTCACAGAGTCTGAGGGTAGGCCAAAAAATAGTAATTGGAAATTGTACTTACAAGGGTATATTATGGCATTGCTCTAAAAAAAGACTCCTGCCACTGCTGTGTAGAAACAGCCAGATCTCATCACTGGTGTGGACTGAGCTCTATACACCATTGGTATCCAGAAAGCTGGACACTGCTGCTACCAACCTCACCAGAAGATGGATTTGATATCAAACCTGCTTGCTCATGCTGTTCACTTTAGAACCATAATCTCAGGCATCTGAATGACTAAGTTCAGTCACATGCCTGCATCCTGTCCAAAGTAAAGTACAGGTTTCTACCTGGGTGGGACTGGATACAAAAGGCAGGAAATACTCCAAATATAGTGAGTTGGCTGAAGAATAGCCTCCCAAAGATGTTTGTGTCCTAATTCTAATGCCAGGAACCTATGAATATGTTTATTTTACATGGTAAAAGGGATTTAGCATTCATGATTAAAGATCTTGAGATTGGGAGATTATCCTAGATTATCTGGGTGGGCCAAATGTAATCACAAAAGTCATTATAAAAGAGGGGCAGAATGATCAGAGTCAGAAAAAGAAGATGTGAGAACAGAAGCTGAGGTTGGATTGATGTGCTTTGAAGAGGAAGGAAGGGAGTTACCAGAAATGCAAAAGATCCCCAGTAGCTGGAAAAGACAAGGAAATTAATTCTTCCCTGGAGCCTCAAGAAAGAACACATGCCTGCTGACACCTTGATTTTAGCCCCTTAAGATTCATTTCAGATTTCTGAGCTCCAGAACTGTAAGATAATACATTTGTGTTGTTTTAAGCTACTAAATGTGTAGTAATTTGTTACAGCAGCAATGGGAAACTGATGCACATAGGATAGGTATTCAGAATGTGATGACAGTCCAGGGAGCATGACAAATGTCCACCACAGCTGTGGTGAAGGAAAGCTAGAAAAATTATTAATATTTCCCGCATCCAGTGCTCTCTACTTTTTGATAGCATTCTAATAGATTCCTAAAGCTAGGTTGGGTAAACAAGCTAAGTAAAATTGCTTGTGATTGTTCAGATTGTTCACCCACTTTATTCACCCCGTGATTTATTCAACAAATGTTCCATTTATTAAATAAATATTTACTGGAGCTGAGTGCCAAGCACTGTGAAAGATATTATAGCTTCTGGAGCTGAGTGCCAAGCACTGTGAAAGATATTATAGCTTCAAAGGAGAATAAGAGAGTAAGACTCAAAGCTGACAGTCAAGAAGTTCATAGATACCAGGCTTATATTTAACTGATTTTCAGTTGTCTCTTCATATCAAATCCTACCCAAATTTATATTGTTTGTTTTGAACAATGGGAGTTAGGATGTCAAGATGATTTCACAACAATTTATGCATAAAAGCATTATGCTGAAATGAATATTTTCACTTGAATATCTAACAGTAGTCAATATTTATTGAGTGATTCCTGTGTGTTACAGATAATAGTAATATTTTATATTATTTATTTCATTTAATTGTCACATCAACCCTGGAGAAATGGATAGTTGTTCTCCCCATTCTGCAGATGAGGAAGCTGAGGCTTAGGAAATATGACCAAATTCATACTGCTAGGTAAGAGAGCTGGGATTTGAATTTCCTGTTATTTGACTTTTGGGTCCATACACTTTTGCCACCCTACCTCCCTGTGTGCCAAGCTCTGGCCTAGGGACTCACAAGTGTGTGTGAAAAAAAAAAAATCCCCACATCCGTAAACTTCAAAATTTAATAAGTATTATAAAATGAGCTATAGAAATACAGAAGAAGAATTTATATAGATTTCCAAGTTGACTAATTTTTACAGGGAAAAAATTCCTCATTTTGATATTAATTACCAGTTCATTTAGTAAAAGATCACATTATTTTACAACTGAGGTATTTTCCAAAGCAACTCCATGTTGCTTTCACTAATCTAGGTGCAAAATTTATTCTCTTAGATTATTTCCATTTCAAAATCGTGTCTCACAAGGAATATACATGAAATATACTCTCTTCTGTCACCTCCTTCCTTCCATCCATAACAGTGTGAATACTTTGGCCAGTGATATTGTTTATGTTAATACGTGTTGTAGCCTCTTGCCAGAAATTATTAGGCTCAGAAAGGGGGGCAGAGGGAACTCTCCAGGACCCTATTTCTAGCTGGATGTCTCCCTTCTGCAAAGCTCATCAAGCACCCACACAAAAAAGCTGAAGCTGGCTGGACTGTGAGCAAGACACACAGATACCACCCCTCACTCCCAGCTTGAGTAGTTAGGGTGCGTAGGATTCCTTGACCGTGAAGCTAGGGGCCATGTCTTACACAAATAGCACACAAGTGTTTTGCTCCTTAAATTCTGGGAGCTGCTGTTGGCTGAATTACCTCTCAGCCGTCCTGTTGACAGATGGTGTAACTTGCTCATTAAATCAGGATCCTCCCCATTCCGAGGGCCCCAGGCATGTTAGGAGACAGACTTGGTGGTGTTTTCTAATGCTAATGGTCTGCAGCTCCAGAGCGAAGATAAATATTCTACTTTATTGTGCAACCACTAACTTCAGCCTTACTGGGTCTGCTCCCTTCATTTTGACAGGGCACATTTAGAAAAGTGAAATGAAGTGCTTTTAGGCATCCAGTTCCTCCATCCGTCACTTTCTCTTATATTCTGCCAGCCTCGTCTTTTTCTCTGAGACTTGTCTCCACACAGTGCTTTATATCAGTGACATACAGTATCCTGAACTAAAAAGAGACCTTCCTAGTTCAGAGTTCAGGACTTAACTTTGGTTTTAAGCAGTATTATGCAAGGCTTATTTATTTGGAGAGCTTATTGGAGGAAACAATAGCAGCCTATGCAAAGAGGGGACCTGATATAAAGTCAGTGTGGCTCCAGCACAGATAATAAGCATGATTATTAAACAGCCATGTTTAACAACTTGGATGTGTATGCTAAGAGCAATGGGGAAGCCAGGAGAGGGCCTTAGGGTGGGGGTTTCACATGATCGTAGTTATGCTTTAAGAAGACCCCTCCAGCTACAGAGTGGAGAATTGAGCAGTAATGAGAAGCAGAGAGGGAGACAAGTATCAACTGAAGAATGACAAGATTCATAAATTTGGGAAAACAGCTTTATTTCTCATAAAGTGTTGCAGCCTGCAGGGTGCCCATTCCCACAGGCTAGGAAGCATAGCCTCTTGCCAGAAGCTAGAAACAGACACTTCAAGGGAGAGGTAAAGGGAATAGGAACGTGCGCTGAGCAAGGTGGCCAAATATACATATTTAATAAGCTATAGGAGGAGTCATGAATATTCATGAAAGGAGAAACGTGGTCCTGTGCAATTGAACTTCATGCCCATTTGTGGGTCCCATGTACAAAAAAAATGGTAGCATTAGCATGATCCAAGGGTGGAGTTTTGAGCTCTCTGATGTCAAAAGGTGAAGCAGAGGACACAAAAGCCTTTACTGCACATTCTCCATAGACTGGCCAGAACCACTGCATGGTCAGTGGTCTTTTCTCAGGCAAAAAAAGGAGGGGCAGCATCAGGTGGTTTGTTGGTATCAAAAGTGGAGTCTTTCCAAAGAGCTAGTTTCTGTTTATCCCTTAGGGAGGAAAGCCTAACATGGTTAGCGAGGGAGGGATATACTGAGGCATGTCTGACCTCTCATCCTGTCATGGCTGAGAACTCAATTTTTAAGGTTAATCTGGGGTCCCCTTGGCCAATAGAGGGTCCATTCAGTTGGGGGGCTTAGGATTCCATTTTTATTTCTCACAGGCGACCTCAGGAGGGCAGTCAGGAGGCTCTGGTGGCAGTCTGGGTTGGAGATGCAGGTAACCTGTTGAAGGTGATGGCACACATGGAGAGCAATGGCCAGCATCAGGAGCCGTTCAGGATGTGGATTCACAGAGCCTGATGAACTGTGTATGGTGGGGGTGAGGGAGAATGGTGAGTCAGAAGGAGCCCAGGGTTCTGGCTCATGCATGGGGTGGAGGATGGCAGTGACATCCATGGTGCCAGGGCACAGTGGAAGAGGCAGCTGTCATGCATAACCTGAGCTCTGCTTTGAGTCACACAGAGAATTGCAAAATACTGTGAAGGGAAGAGGCAGATGTGCAGTTGTAGGAGGGGAGAGAAAAAGAAATAATAACCTAAGAAAGAGAAGATGATTCTTTCTCCCAGAGAGTATGCCAGGGCATAAGAACAAACTTACTATTATTATTATTTTTAACTAATATTGGCAGAACCACTATTACTAGCTGCTGGTATTGATTGTTTAGTTCATGTTTAAACTTTACAATAGCCTTCAATTCTTACCGAAATCATGTGGGTAGGCATTATTTATCATGCCTATAGAGGTGAACAGACTGAGACTCAGTGATATTAAATAATTTAGTTAAAGACAGAAAGCTTGTGGGTGGATGAGCTAGGCTTTGAACCCAAGTTTGGCACTAGAAAGTACACTCATAACTCTTAAAGAAAACCATCATCTCCCAAGGGACAAATAAATAGGTACAAGGTTACAATAAGTTAAGAATAAAATACTGAGTAACAAAGAAGCTGATGGGAGGTTATTTTAGGATTATTTCTTGAAGAAGTTGAGGTTTAGGATTATTTTCTGGAGAACTTGAAACATTTTGTTTTGAATGGGTCTATATATGCCAAATCTTTGAATGTGAGCACATTAGTTCGAAGTAGGGAAGAAATGAGATTAATAACGTATAGAGTGAAGATGGCACTGGGGGAACAGCTCTTTGAAACATTCTGCTTTACAGCCTTTTATTATGCTACCTTGCCAGTGGATGAAAGCTGCAATGCTTAGCTTGGCTCACATCACCAGCATGATATGCTAAGACACCTTTATAGATCTCACTTCCTGCCTCCCCTCGCATGCACCCTGTACAGTCATAAAGCATCTTCCCTCCTTGGTTCCTTCTTCATTCATTAATCTTCTATTCATTAAGTGACCATTAATTGACCATTAGCTAATATGTGCCAGGAACTTTACTAAGTCCTGGGGATATAAGGATAAATATCCTCAAGAAAATGATGAGTGGCTATAATATCCAGAGTCACAATTCATTACACAATATTTTGAAATATGCTATTACAAACATTGTATCTATTAAAACAGAGGCCAGAAGAGGGTATGGCTTTGTCTAAAGGAGGTGAACTTTGAGCTAGAATTAAGAACAAGTAAAAATTTGTCAAATGCATAGAGCAGTCGGAAAAATGGAAAACAGTGTTCTGTAAATGTTGACATGAGAATTGAGCAGTTTCTGATATGCAACTGTTTTTTTTTTCTTGTTAACACTTTTTGCTTTGCTCTCCCCAAATCCTGAAGCCTCTTCTTCCAGTCTCCTGTTTTCTGTTTCCTTCCACCTCTTCACTGACTTTCCAGATTAAACTCTGCATTGCGGATCTCTGACAGTTTCTCTCCTGCTTTGCTAACCACTTTAAAAAATAGACATTTAAAGGCCTTCTGTGTGTCTCCTGCTATGTTATGGCTCTCCTGCTGTGTGAATTGAAGCTCCCTGCCCAGAGGACGGATGCCCCACCGCTGGGGCGCTGGAGGCTCCAAGGCTTACCTTAGAGGTTTGCACCATGGGCTGTGATGAATGGCAGCTTGGCTTTCGTTCCCCAAGGTCAGTCACCTGTTCCATGCCTGATTTCACCAAAGGGCATGGTACCAGATTGCTTGCTCACCAAGAAGGTGAGGCCCAGACAGGGCAGTGAAGCAGCTCCATGCAACATGGATTAGGTCCAGCCCAACTCCCAGCTTTTCCTTACCTTTGGAGTCATATAATCCTTATCTGCATACTCAGCCTGCCCATGGTCCTCTGCGCTACTCCTGAGAAGAGGTAGCACTGATTTAAGCCCTGTAATTCCACCCCATATATTAGGCTCTGCTCCAAGGTACCCTTGCTGTTGTCTCACTGTGGTCCTGTGCCTCGGTTGAGCCACGAGATGTCACCTGTGTCTGGACCAAGTCCCCAGTTTGTACCCCAGTCCTGATGAGGGCCCTCTCTTCTGTACCTGGTACATGCATTTCTATTGTGTTAACCTATACAAGGACCTTGGAATCTCTAGGCTTAGGGCCCCAAATCCTCCCTAAATTTGTTTCTAGAACTGCCTATAAGCTAACTTCACTAAAACCAAGTGTGCTCAGATGGCCAGAGCCTGAGGAAAGATGCTGAATTCTGCATGTTCACTGTGCCTTCATTCCCTGTTGCTGTGCCCCACATATAAGTCAGAAACCCAGAAGTCAGATATTGGTCTTCATTCTAATTATTCAGAATAATATAGCAGTTAACAGGTACAGCACACCTTTCTCCTTTACTGTGCTTAGTACTTTAGAAGAATTGACTCACATAGCTCACAACAGTTCCATGAGTAGCACTCTGTGGCACTGGGATTCCAGTTTAGGCAGTCCTCTTTCAAAGTCCATTTTCTTAGCCCCCCATGTGCTTTACTGTCTGCCACATCTGGACCATATCCTGTTGTTGTCATGCTCAGTGCCTCTCCAGTCAAACCATCTCTCTTGCAGCGTCTTCCTCTGAGTCTGCCTCTCCATTGCTTCCACAGCTCTTGGGGACAAGCTGTTTTAATTTTTTTAATTTAAAAATAAAAATAGTATTTCTTTTTTTATTATTATTATACTTTAAGTTTTAGGGTACATGTACATAATGTGCCCTATGTATACATGTATACATGTGCTATGTATACATGTGCTATGCTGGTGTGCTGTACCCATTAACTCATCATTTAGCATTAGGTATATCTCCTAATGCTATCCCTCCCCCTTTCCCCCACCCCACAACAGTCCCCAGAATGTGATGTTCCCCTTCCTGTGTCCATGTGTTCTCATTTTTCAATTCCCATCTATGAGTGAGAACATGCAGTGTTTGGTTTTTTGTCCTAGCTATAGTTTACTGAGAATGATGATTTCCAATTTCATCCATATCCCTACAAAGGACATGAACTCATCATTTTTTATGGCTGCATAGTATTTCATGGTGTATATGTGCCACATTTTCTTGAGAGCTGATCTATTTCTAGTTCACCAATACACATACAATATAGTCTATTTTGATAAACTAAATCCAGAAACTGATTTAAGTTAAAAGAATGAAAGTTACCCAGTTTCTGACTCCATTAAAGTCAGAAAATTCTGACTACCTATTTTAGTACTGAAAGCTCTCTACAAAATTAAATGCTCTCTATCTTCTGTTTTTGTGTTAAACTCCACCTGGACTTCTTTATTAATTATAAAACAAATAAACCACTTGCAATGAGCTATAATGTTAGTCACATGGAAAACATGTTAGGCAAAAATACTTTCTGCATATAGTTGTAATTCAGTAATTGTTTCACTATCACTCAGAAGAGAATTATTTTATATGCTGGTTGCATTTAGTCCAAAATTTAAATCATTTTCCCTCATTAGAGAATAGTAAAATGTAAGAGAAATATAAATTTCATGTTTTTAATTTGTTCAAAATTTTAAAACATTAAATTTTGTAACACTGTTGCCATGCTCTGTTGACAGATATATTAGAAGAGGGTGGAACAAACTCATAAAGTATGAGGCCTCCTTGGTTCAAAGAAAGTAGAGACAGAACACTCAAATATATATTATTTCCATTTATTTGTTTTTTTAAAGGGGAACTTTGGGGTAATGCCAAACAATAATATTTATGTTTATAGTCTAAAAAAAAATAAAATAAAAATAAATATAGTATATATTTATCATATGTAATATTGTGTTTTGATTTATGTATACATTGTGGGATAGATAAATCAAGCTAATTATACATATGTATTACCTCACATTCTTATTTTTAAAAAACACTTAGAATCTACTCCTTTAGCAATTTTCGAGTATACAATACATAGTTATTCACTATAGTCACCATGGTGTACAATAGATCTCTTGAACTGATTCCTGCTGTCTAACTGAAATTTATATCCTTTGGTGGTGTGTGCCTGTTGTCACAGCTACTCAGGAGGCTGAGGTGGAAGGATCACTTGAGCCCAAGAGTCTGAGGCTTTAGTGAACTATGATAGTGCCACTGAACTCCAGCCTGGGCAACAGGGCAAGACCCCATCTCAAAAAAAAAGAAAGAAAGAAGAAAAAAAGACATGTATATCCTTTGACCGCCATCTCCCCAACCCTGCACCATCTAGTCGCTAGTAACCACCATTCTATTCTCTGCTTCTATGAGTTCAACTTTATTACGTTCCACATATAAGTGAGATAATGCGATATTTGTCTTTTTCTGACTTATTTCAATTAATGTAGTGTTCTCTAGGTTTATACATGGTGTTGCAAATGACAGAGTTTCCTTCTATTTTAAGGCTGGATAGTATTCTATTTGTGTGTATACCACATTTCTTTATTCATTCATCAATTGATGGACATTTAGATGGATTCCATGTTTTAGCTACTGTGAACAGTGCTGCAGTAAACATGAGAATGTAGATATCTCTTCAACCTCTGATCCCATATACTCTGGATATACACCTAGAAGTGGGATTGCTGGGTCATATGTTAGTACTATTTTAAATTTTTTGAGGAACCACCATACTTTTTTTCTTAATGGCTGTATTAATTTGCATTCTCACCAACAGTGCACAAGGGATCCCTTTTCTCCATATCCTCACCAACACTTGTTATCTTTCATCTTTTTATTAAGAGACATTCTAACATGAATAAGGTGATATCTCATTGTGGTTTAAATTTTTATTTCATTTCACTAATGATTAGTGATGTTGAGCATTTTTTCTTATACCTGTTAGCTCTTTATATGCTTTCTTTTGAAAAACGTCTATTCAGGTCCTTTGGCTATTTTTAAAGTGAGTTGTTTTATTACTATTGAGTTTCTTGTATATTTTGGATATTAACCCCTTATCAAATATCTGGTTTGCATATATTTTCTTCCATTCTACTGGTGTTGTCTTTATTCTGTTGACTGTTTCCTTTTCTGTGCAGAATTGTCAACAAATCTTGTTCCAGTCTGACCCCTTCCCTGTGTCCAGGCCTATGTTAAGTAGTTGAACTATATGCAGTTGAGTCTTGAGATGATGATAGAGAGGACTCAAGGACACTGAAAAGCCCATGGGCATCAAACTGTAAATTAGGCATCTAATGAGTACTTACTTTGTACTTATTTATTACTATTTAGTACTATGTACGTTCTCAGCTGTTTTTGGTACTATAAAAGGATCACATGAAAGAAAGTCTCACTGGTTAAGCTCTTAGATTCTAGAACCAGGCTGCCAAGATTCAAATACCTGATTCACCACATAGTATATCCATGTGATCTTAAGCAAGTTACTTATCCTCTCTGTGCTCAGTTTTCTCATATCCATAACGAGGATAGCAATGGCATCTACCTCATAGTGTTCTTGTGAAGATTAAATGAATTAATTCATGTAAAGCATTCTGCACTCAATAAGTTAAAGAAAATATTTGCAATGGTGAAGAGGACAATGATGATAAAGGAGAGTATGGCAATATGTTTGTTCCCTGCTACAAGAAGCTTTTTGCTTAATAAGGGAGATGATAGATCACATAAAACAATATAAGACCATATATAATTAAATGCTAGTTTGGTTGATGAATATCAGAAGTTAATAAGTATCCTAATAACTGTTGGGGACAGTTGAGGAAGGCAACATGGACTATGGCTTTCAGGATGAGTAGGCTACAGAGAGGTAGAGGAGAAAGTGGTGGCTTAGTCTTCTTTACACGAGGGCCACTTCTTTCAATAGAACACTGATAGTCCTTGTTACAGTGTTTGTTATATGTTATTTCAGTTACCATTCGAATAAACAGGAACTCAAGATGCTGGGTCTAACTGAAATAGTGAGGATTTGCCTTAGTCATGGGTAGGGTGTGATTCACCCATGGGAATTAGAGCATGAATTGGAAGGTGATTCAAAAGATAGTATCCAGATGTTTAGCTGCCATGGAAGCCAGGCAGTCAAATCAGGATTTCCCTCAGCAGCTGAGCTGGAAAGCAGAATAAAGGCATGCCCAAAAGACTAAAATCTGGGGTTAAATGCTAGAAGAAGAGGTCTGGGAGGGAAAGTTAGAAAACAGGGTTTAGAAGTGAAGGGCTGCAAGATATGAATGTCTCCAATTGATCAATTAAGGCAAATTAATTCTAATTAACGTATCAGATAAATTAACTCACATGAAGACATCAGATCCTGCATCAGTGGTGTCGTGTGAGAATGGGCCATAAAGAAAATGGTTCTCAGTGGTAGAGATAGGATTAGAAGCCATTCGTATCTAGAAGTTCTGATATGAGAATTACCTCCTGAAAAGATGCCACAGTGGACGACCCATGAAGGCCATTGTCAGATTCAGCAGGGGGACAGTCAGTGATCTTGGATTGTAAGGGAGAAGTTTTGTGAAGCTGAGTGGTAAGTACATCTTTCTTTCAAGATATATTTATCAAGTTCCTACTGTGTTTGAGGTACTGTATTTTTTGAAATGGTCTTGGAGACAGAGGTGACTCATCCATGCATTTTTCAGTTGAGAAGCTAACAGGCTAAAAGATAAGATAAATCCTATTGACAAATAACTAATAAAAGGTAGAAAGCAATGCCTGATGCAAGGGAGGCAGAGATAAACAGGCTTAGGAGAGCAGAGAAGGGAATGATTGCTTGCAGTAGAGCCCAGTGGCTCATAGCCCCAGAACTGGGGTTGGAAACCACCCAGCCCAGATTCAGATTTCTGCTCTATGTCTTAATAGCCCTTATGTCCCTGGGTAGATTTACATACCTCTTTGTGTACTCATTTGAAAAATGTAGATCAAAGCAATACCTATCTTACAGAGTTATTCTGAGGATGTATTTTGAGGATGTATTGAGATAGTACATCCAAAGTGTGTGTCAGTTAATCAACGGTAGTTGTTATTAATTCCAAAGAACGATTTTAATGGTCAGGTGAAACACAGGTTCACAGGATATCTGTTATCAAAGATCTAGCCTTTTAAGTACTGTCTGAATTATTGTGAGCATGTCACATCTTATTTCAGCTAAAAACCGAAATAAGAAAGGACAAAGAAGCATTAAAAAGGAGTTCACTCTAGTGAAATGAAAAGGGGAGAACCATTGCCAGCTGAGATCCTTTCACCTCTTGGGATTTACCTACTGAATGTATGTTCATAACCCTCAGAGAGCTAGAGGACACCAGCCTCTTCTGCCCAACTGACTACCTCCCTAGAATACCACAGAGATGCTTAACTGGAGTGGATTCTGTTGGTGGAAGTGTACATTGTTACTTCATTATTGGAGGGCAAGTCTGCAGTGTCTATTTAAATTTAAATGGAGGAAAGGAAGTGAATACTTCTGAAGCCACAATTATACCTCTCAGTGTATACCCTGGAGAAATATGCATGCATGTGTGCTGGGAACCATATACAGCATAGTACATCAGAAACAGCCCAAAAGCCCACCCACCAGAAATGGGGTAGGTAAACTGTAGTGGATCCATGTAATACAATACTATGCCACAGTGAAAAAGAATATGCTAGAACTCGATGTCCCCACATGGTAAAGTCTCCAAGACATATGTCAAAAACAAACTTGCTGGACAATATGTATAGCGTGCTATTTATGTAAAATCCATATATATGTTTGTGATTACATACTAAAAATTCTAGAAGGATACATACCAAATTGATAACAGTAATCACTTCATGGTTGGGGTAAGGTTATGATGAGGGAACAGAATAGGTAAAAGGAACTTGAGCCTTTTAATTACTGTCTGAATTATTGTGAGCATGTGTTCACATCTTATTGTATAATTGCAAATAAATATACAAATATATAAGTAAAGAGGCCAGTGCTCTCCTCTATTTGCTACATTCTCTCCTCACTTCTAGTCAGCTTTCAAAAAAGTTGACATCAAAACATTCTTTAGCAAAATGTAATATAGAAAAGGCATTGCTTAGTTTATTTTTATGTATTAATCCTTTATAAAGCTACATAAAGTATGCTGCAATTTTTTGAAATTTTGCAAACAGTTGCAAAATTAAATTTGATTCCTAAGTTTCATGGGTAATGATTTAATATTCTCCTACACATTGTTGGAATTCACATATGCCCCAAATAAAAACGAGCTACATAGAAATATAAATAACATTTATGTGAGATGGACAGTCCTGCTTAGCTTGTTTTTCAAAGTGGGCATGAAAATGCCCATTTAAAATTTATATTTAGACAGGAAAATTACCATTATCTCAATAGTGTAAGAAAAAAATAATAATCCTAGAGATTGATGCTTTCAAGGGCACAGCAGTAAACGCATGACTTTTCCAACCATGCAGATAGGTTAACCAAACATTCAGATGAAGACCGAGGCTGTCAGCCAGACATTTGCTCATTTTCAAACATCTAAATGACTGATGGATATTTTTTTAAAATTCATGTGTTGGCTCTTGGAAAGGGCAAATAGACACTGCATTACATCAAAATTAAAATAATAACAATAAAGGCATATACTTCATCTGTTTTCAAAAATGCATTTCTATTCTTTCATATGTGAGCCTCATAGCCACCCTTGCTAGTTATTTAGAGCAGATATTATTAGCACCATTTTAGAATGTTATTTTATAACATTTAGTTTCAGAGAGCTTTAACAGGTTTGTCCAGGATAGGATGAGCAATATCATAGCAATGTTTTTTCACATAACACTTACCACTAGTATATATTACATTGTATATGTGATTATCTTTTTTTAATCTGGTCTAACTCCCTTACTGGAAAACCTTTTGAGGGCAGGGGCTTTGCTTATTCCCTTCATCACCTAGAATAGTACCTAGCACTTAGGTAGAAAGTATTCTGTAAATAGCTGTTGAAAGAATGAATGAATGAGTGAATGGATAGGACTTGAGCCTGAGCTAGCACCCCATCCAGCATTCTTTCCACCACATCAGTCACCCTCAAACAATAGCATCAGTCACCCTCAATCAGTCACCCCCAAACATCAGTCACCCCCAAACAATGGAAGCACTCTGTGAAGAATGGAACCTGAAAAGATGGAAATGAATCTACAATAAGGAAAATAAAGGAGAAACTGATCACAGACTCTTCTGGGAAAGGCAGGAAATATATTAAAGAAGAAAAAAAACTATAAGGATAACTGTTATGGGAAAAACACCTTCATCCCCAAACTAGGAAGGTATCAAGAGACCGAAGAATGATTTGGACAAGTGCAGCTTGGCAAGCAGATGAGTTAAGATTTACATATAGGGTACTCCTGGATGGCAGGCAGGAAGGCACCTCTAGAGATCCGCCCCACTTCCCACCTCTAAGCTGCTTTTAAGCTAATTCTCTGGCTCTTAGGCCTACTGTGCATGCATGATGGGACTGTTTTCCTTGATAGGTTCTTAGATACTCTGGGATGTTTGGGTTCTCAGGGACACCTGCTCTTTGGCTGGTCACCGTGACCTCAGCTCACCAACCAGCCGGCTGTCAAGATGCAGGCAGTGGATATACACCCTTAAGTAACCTGATGGGGGATCCTTCACACTACAGTAGCACTGGAAAAGTCAGTCACTAAGTACTTATCAATGAGACACTAGCAAGGAGGTACCACGATGGCGGAAGCACTCAGGCAGCAAGGAAGACTGACACCAACGCTGACTCAGCGGGCTTCCAGAAGAATGTGACACGTCAGCTAAGACCTCACAAACACCAAGTTGAAATTTTCCTAGCAAAAGTGATGAGGGAGGCAGAGGGAGCTGTGTGTGCAAAAGCTGTGAGGAGAGACAGACAGTGATGTGTATGTGAAAACCATAAGTATTTCATTATGGAGAGATAATAGCATCAGAGGGCATGGTAGGTATAGGAGAAGAAAACACTGAAGATGTAAGCAAGATCTAGATCATGAAGGGCCTTGACTGCCATGTAGAAAGATATGGACCTTATCCTGAGAGCTGTGGAAGCTGCTGAAGTAACAGTGTTGTGGGCACAGAGGAGAGCAAGCCTCATTCAGTGAGAAAGATTCCTAAGTCATACTTAACAGGTTCTAGAAGGATGAGTTGGAACTTGCTAGGTGAACAAGGTGGGAGAGGCATTGAGGATGAAACAGCATAGGCAAAGGCTTAGAGGCATGAAGGTGGAGGACAAGGGATCCTGCCAGGTTAGCATGGTTTGGGTACTGTGGGAATAATGAGCAGTCATGGAGAAAAAAGCAGGAAAGTCAGACAAGCCAAATTATGAATATCTTATATATCATGCTAAAGAATTATATTTTTATTCCATAGGCACAGGAAGATAGAGCTCTCTAGTATCATCTGAACCTTCTTACATGACTTATATCATTCATTTTGTCAGGCTTTGAGCAACTGCATGCTGTATACCATGTTGAGGTCCTTGGTAATGTAACAGAATCCTGGGGAAAGGAGACCTGGTTCTGAATCCCAGATCTATCACTTACTGAAATCTGAGGTCATCACTCTTAAATCTCTAACCTTCAATTTCTCCATCCATAGAATGGGACCAATAATAAGTTTTGCATTGCCTTCTTCATAGAATTGTTATGAGGAATCACTCAAAAAGTGTGCAAGAAATTACCCATGCTGGACCAAATTCTGTAGGTGGGAAATGGGATGAAGGAGAGAGGATAAATGCAGGACTAGAGAGGGTAAACTAGTGTGTTGGAGAGGCAGGAAATACAGGATGGAGCACCATAGTGAAAATGAAGAATAAATGAGTGTGGTTAAGGTTGTATACTATCTTGAACAAGATATTGGAGAGTTCAAGTGGGACAAATCCAAGAGGAAGCATCTGTGGAACATGTCATTGATTTGTTAGCCAACAGGTGTGAATGAATGAGGTGCTTTATAATGTCTCTTAATGATTGTTCTTGACAAGATGCTTTTTTTAAACAGGGTCCCAAGGGTCTGCTCCTATTGGATGCCCATATCTATCTTAATATGGTTTTCTAATCCTGATGCCTTTTAAAGTTTATTCGGATGTTAAAACAATGGTGATAAAAGAAGGAACTCCTCATTCATTTATTTATTCAATAAATATGCATTGAGTCTGTCCAGGGAGAACGCTGCAGGATATTAGGCCACACAGGTGGTTCCTGCAACTCAGAGAGCTTACATTCTAGTAGATAATCTTGAAAAACTTCTGGAAATGTTATTTTCTTAATGAATTATGTCAGGCTTCGATCAATGGCTTTGGGTCCCTTGGTCTGCTTTCCTTCCATACATTTATAAGCCTTGTATTCATTCATACTTGCTCAGAAACTCATTGCTCTACCAGATCTCTTTCAGTTGTTTGCCATAGCTGATTTGTTTCAACAAAACAATGGTTCCTACATAGGAGGTCCTTAGGTCCCCAAAGAACTAGAAAGCTGGTAATGGAGATCTGGATTATTTTTCAACTTTTAAATGAAAACGTCACACACACACACACACACACACACCCCATATATATACACACATACACACACACACACACACACACACATATATATGTAATCCTGTTACTACTATACCAAACTTTTTTACATTACAGTTTTATAAAGCTAGGTGAAAACATGGTATACCTACCATTTCTTTCATGTCACTCTTTTAAGTTAATATTTCATTATAATTATTTTTGAGAACTCAGTATTTCAAAATATCTAATGAAATTGTGGCATCCTTGATGAAGCTTGGCAGGCTGAGTTGCAGGTCAAGTATCTCCGCCTTTGATCACAATTGTGCTGGTTCCCTCTGGCAATCATAGGTGATCTCCCACTGATCAGAATATATGATTGGCAAATTCAGATATCTTGGCCTATTAAATGGTGGACAGAATTTATGCATAAATTCATTCATAAATGTTTGGCAAAAAAAAAGTATTTCAAAACACAAGCCCTGGTTACAGGTGGGGAGAAAAAGAGTCTTTGATGGTATAAAGCCTGGGAATTACTGATCTAAAAGGACCTTGTTTGTGAAACTAAACCCAACATACAGCAGAAATGGAAAAGTTAATGTTAAATTTGTGACTTTCCAATTACAGTTTCTCTTGAATAAAAGCCATAGCAGTTGAACCCAAGAGGCGTATTTAAGCTGTTTAAGAATGCTTAAGTAGGATCTGCCCTCCATTCCACTTGTACTAATTCCGGGGCCTCTGATTTTTTAAGATAAGATGGGTAGCAATATTATGGAAGGCTATATCAGAAGACAATACTTGTTCTTTCTAGTGATACAAGAATTATCAGTAATTTGGAGCAGGGCAGGGATAAGCATGGGATAAGCAAGGAGCTTGCCTTGGGTGCAAATTTAAGAGGGTGCCACCAGGAAACTCCTAAATCAAGATATGTAATATTTTAATAAAACATTTTTAAAAAATCAAACTTCATGCAAAAAAAATCCATGATGAATGAAATATCCAAATATTTAATGAAAACACGATCAGCATCACTGATTTTCTCTTTTGTCTTAGGCTTTAAAATGGCTCATTATGGTACTGCTGAATTTTATTATTTAAAATTTTGATATTTGGTTCACAATGAATTTATCTGTATTAACTTCTATTTTAAAAAATGTATTGCATTAGAATATAATTTATCTATCTCAGTCACTGAGCTTTTTAATGCACCTTAAATTTTGCCTTACCTGCCTAACTTCCATCAACTAGCCCCCAGCATCTGTGGGTTCTTAATACAAATTTGACTTTGCAGTTGATTTGTCTGGTTTTAGAACTTTTTCTTACTCTTCTCCCTCTCCAAGCTGTGTTAATGGCTGTTTGGGTAATTCTGATTGAGGTGTGCATAAAAGGATATTTGCTACACGATGAAAGGCAGTAAGAAGTATATTTGTGGGTGAGATGTTAGTTTGCTGCTGTTGGTGCTAGGATAATAATTGCTACATTCTGAGAGATGCACCAGAGGTTGGGGACGAGTGAGTAGGTCAAGGCTCCTAATGATCAGCTTCTTGCCTACAGGTTTCTGGAGGCCATTGGATGAGAAGGCAGCACAGGTGTGCAGCAGGGGCAGGATTGTCTGGGAGACGGGCTTGCTTTTGTAACACAATTTTCACTGTGTTCTGAGCTGTGATTGACCTAGTGCCTTCTAGCAGTGATTGGAAGTTAATATTTTGCCCTGGTGTGTGTGTGTGTGTGTGTGTGTATCTGTGTGTGTGTGTGTTTAGAGATAGATAGAGATTCCCTCATTTTTTTCCATTTTATGTGATTTCCAGAGGATCTCTACTGAGGGGCTGCAATTCTTTTTTTTTGAAATGAAGGTCTCTTTCTAATGAAAATTATGGAATGGGTTTACAGCTTCACATACCTAAGCATTGTAGAATGATTTATGGCAGAACTATTCAGCAACTCTGTTCTGCAGCACATACTAAGTATTAGGCTTTAGTTTGCATGCTAAGCAGAAGTCTTTTTTTTTCTTTTTTAAGCAATATCCCTTCCAACCTAGGTCTTCTCCCTATTTTAATGCTAATGAGACAGTTTTGCCAATAATAGCAGAATCAAGGAGTTCTGAATGTCACCCTCGTCTTCTCATTTTGTCAAACCAACTAACCAGAGATGAGGCAGAGAAGGTGAATCCTTTGAGAGTGCTTGGAAGGATTTCTTAGCGTATTTGCCATAACGTCTGCAAGAGAGGAGGTGATTCAGCCTTTTGAGGCTATCTGCTATATGGAAAACTCTGACAGCATTTAAGTAGATTAGACACCAAACCACATATGGCAAAGACATGGAAACCAGTCAGATTCTTGGAGGCAGGGAAGTGATGGGTGAAGATTTCAACAGAACAGTGGAAGGTATCCAGGTTAATATGTAGTCATCATTTGAGCAGTCCTACCATAAACAAGTTCTCAGAAGGTAATGATACAGGATTCTTTCCTCCTTAGTTCAGCTAAAATCCAGGTCCTTGTCTCACAACAAGGAAAACTTAGATATGCAGACACATTGAAGGGTGAGAAAGGTAGATTTATCAGGTGAAAAGAATGCTCTCAGCAAAGAAAGAGTGGGTCCTGCCAACAGGATCCCACCTCACAGATCGAATACCAGGCTACCACACATGAGCTGAAGAGGCTAGCCTTCTCCCCCTGCATGAGGCGTGAATTCCTGGTGGCTCCACCCCATTGACCCAGTGCACATGGGCCACCAGTCCCTTGTGGGCATGCCCAGGCAAGACCCTGTGCAGGTTCCCCCAGCTGCACAAAGACATCTGGCATAAACACTTGTGGGGCAGGTCAGAGATTCTCCAGGGACACTTCCTTATCTGCCTCCTGCATCTATCATTCCCCCTACTAAAGAAGTACATCTAAATGCCCTTAGGTTAGAAGTACATCTAAATGCCCTTAGGTTAAAGATAAGGATAAGGATAAGGATAAGGATAAGGATAAGGATAAGGATAAGGATAAGGATAAGGATAAGGTTAAGGATGAAGACCAATATTAACTGCTTCCTGCTGACAGGGGTGCTGTTTTGGGGAATCAGCAATCAGATCTCCCTCATAGGCCTATATAAGGGTCCCTGGTAAAAGGGGTGATCATCAAAGGCTCCGGTGGCAGGACTATTTGGAGTATTTGGAGTTTGATGGCCTGAAGGCCAGAAGAGACAAACTGGGTTATTGGAAAACATGTATCAAAATGAAACAAAAAGGGATGGGTAAGGGCAGCTCAAAAATCCCAAGGCTGCTGGCACACACAGATAACTGGTGGCTATAGTTATGCTTGCTAAGATTTGGGTGCATGGGGCTTGACTTTGGTTAGCTCCCTTGGTCTTATTTTCTCAAAAAGGATACCTCTGGGTGATGGGCACCCTATTTACTCCTATCACCTGCCAGGATTTGCAAGGTAATTGCCCAGAACTAGACTATTTGATCCAGATTTTTACATTACTCATCTCTTTTGTTTCTTCTGAGCTGCAGTTGGAGATCACTGGTTGGTTCACAGGAATAATCAGAGTTAACTTATAATGTGGGGGAAAAAAAATTAAAACAGCTAATGAGTCTAGAATTTAATGACAAATGTCTAAGTTTTGGAACATAATTTATCTCTCTCCAGTCCTCATTCTTGTCAAAAAGAAATCATGATGGGACTGAGTTGTTTGAAAAATAGACTTTAGTCTTATACTTGGCCTGATTATTTGCATAAAGTACAGCACAAATAATTATTTTTACATAGGCCTTTCAGATTGGCTTTGATGGAACTCTGTTCCACAAGGAATCTGAGATAAGACTTTTTCTTCTTTTTTTTAAAGCTGAGCCCAGCCATGAGTTTGTACCCTCAAATACCTGAGTTGCATAAACTCCTCTCTTCTTGAGGTCCAAGAACATGTGATTCCTGGACTTGTTAGAAAGCAACATTCTTTACTTACCATGGGTCAGGAACCCTGTACAGGGACTGTGAATACAAGGTGTGAGGCCAGTTTTCCCAAGGGACTTTTATCAGCTCTGCAAGTCAAGCTTGATTCCTTAACGGGATGCATACCCTTCCAGTCAAAGCTTTGGTAAAACAACCAGTTTCTCCACTTGCATTCTGTTGCAAAAGAAAATGGATTCTTATTGCACTGACACAAATAACTACTTTGCCATAAGTCATGAATACTGCCATAAGTCATGAATACTCATGACTAGTTTCCAAATTCTGGAGAAACCAGGCAAAGAGAAACAAATATGCTCCAAATTTTGTCACAGAATTGTACTTTATTCAATTATTAAAGGCCATAAATAGCTGAACATAAGGTTCCTTGACTCTGAAAAACAAAACAAGGATCAGCAGTGTTCTAAGCAAACATTTAAAAAGGCTACTTCAGTTTTCTATTAGTTCAGTCCATTCCATTAACTCTTGTTCTATTTGATATTCATGAACATTTCAGCTCTTCATGAATTCATTATTCCAATGTCACAATCTCCAAAATTACAAGAAATCTGCATTTGAGAGTACCTGTCAAAGTTCTATAGCTGATTATAAACCATCTTTTGAACAGGATCAAAACAAGACAACAATTGCCTGTGAATAAAAAAAATTCTAGGGTAGTTACAGTCAAAAACACGATTGACAAAGAAATTTGGTTATCTCTGTGGTTTACAATAACTTAACATAATATCAACCTTAATCATGATTGATAGCATATACCCAAACATTAGAATTTTAGAAATCCCATACAATTTTGGAATATATATTAATATTATTCCCTAAATTATAACCTGAAGAAGATTAAACATCATTTTGGCAATCCCATGTACCTCAACATGTCAAATAATCCTGTTTACCTCTCTTTTGGGTGCTCCAGGGGCCATCTGTAGCATCCAAAAGCTGAGGTCAGAAAAGACAACCTGAAGCTGAAATTTGATTCAGGGAAGCCTGTTAAATATGTTAAAAATTTAAAACACTTGATGCTATAAAATAGAATTTCAGATTACCATAAGTTATTTATTTTGCCAAAACGATGACTTAGGAATTTTAAAACAAGGCAGAAAATCTTTACTCATTAACAGGGAAGACTTTGTTTTCCAAAAAATTTTTCTCTTGTCTGCTCTTTCTTTTCCTTGGCAGTCTATCCACAAGGCAAATGAAAATCGCTCATTATCCTTTACTAGTACGTGAAAATCTTGTACAAGGGAGAGAAAGCCAAATTTTACCCTTACATTAATAGTAATTTTACCCTTACTATTAACGTCTATCCCAATTTTCTAATGAAACTTTACAGACAATTCTATCTTATCTTAACCAGTTTAACCACCAGGTGAGATCCTTATAATCCTTTTATAACCCTCTACAAATTTTGCTAAAGAGCAGATTAGTGCCTTAAGAAAACCTTGTTGTGCTTTTACTTCAATGTTCCATTTGCAGAAAAACCATATAATACCCTTTTGAATTAAAACCATATAATACCCCTTTGAATTTTGTCAATGTGCAAACACAGAATTTCTTTTACAAGATTAATTCTTAGAAACCTTCCACAATGTGTTTAAACCTTTAGCTTTATCTTATCTAATTTTAAAAAATTCTTTAGCCCTAGGCAAAAATTTACATTTCCATGCCCTCTTATAATCTTTTACTAAAAACACATTTTACTGTTCTTACACACCTTGTATGTAAATCCATTTTCAGTGGTCTCAATTACATGTTATAGTGGTAACTCTTAGGAATTTTTAACTGTAATGTAAAATCTGGTAAGTTGTTTTAATTATGTGCTAGGCATCAATAAAGTTTGACTAAGTTTGATCTAAGTGCTTATTTTTCTTTAAGCCAATTAATTAGAGCTCTTTTTTATAGACATCACACACAACACATATATAACTACACAGACAGAAGAAGATCCAGTAGCTATAAAATTTTTCATTTGTCAATCTCAATTCTCAGGGTGGAGAAAAAAGAAAAAAAATCCCAATCTCAACAATCCCAATTGGATTATTTGCCTCAGGATGGAGCCCTTTAAGAGCATGCTGTTTCCAGGGCCCAATAAACAGGTATAGCTGGAAGACAAAAACAGATTTTGAGAGGGATTTATCCGCTTCTAATTCCTGGGCTTCCATGAGGAAAACAGAGGTTTCTCCCAAAATGGAATCCGTGGTGTCTTTTCTGTCTTTCCCAAGGAGTCCCAGGCCATCAGAAATTATCTTAGGGGCTCTAATGCATGCATTAAGAGTGGCAAGGCAAAATGGAGAAAAATAATTCAGTCAACTGAGGAAAACCCTTTTTTCAGCAAAATAAGATTCAAGAAGAGAAAAACATAAAGGCCTTTTAAATATACCTATAACTTGGATATACACTTCTAATTAAGCTGAGCTCTCTTTAAGAAAATCCTTTTAAATCCCTTATTAGTTCACTTTAGCCATGCCAAGCAGCTGATGTATCTAGCTTTTGAACTTTATCAAAAGTAACCTCACCAGTGGGACCAACAAACCTCAATTAAGACACGCAAAGCATACCAGATTGGCTACAGCTTAAGACCAACCTCATATATCCTTTTTCATTAATCAGAACTTCACAGATAATATAAACAGTGATTCTTATCATTCCTCTTACTGGTGTGCACAGGGAGAGGGAAGCCAAAAGCCCAACTGGTAAAAACTTTTACCCTTTTGCCAGCATGTCAGGCTTCTGGGTTCCTTTCCCCTGAGCTCAACTCCAAGCCAACTAGACTAAAGATGAATGGCTACTCATCTAGAAGGGGTAACAGGCACCCCTGGTCCCTTTCTCTTTTTAGTGAATACCCAGGCTATATGAGTGAGAGAAGGAAAAAGCATCCTTTTTCCTTCTTCCATCTTTTTATTCCCGAATCCCAGTGGCCATGACAGGGTGCTGCCCATGAGTGTCAATGTGGCTTTCACCCATGTTAATAGGGGGGCCTGAGGGAGGGATTATCTGCTCTTACCCATGAACTCCATGTCCCGCCTGCTGTCAGTAGCCTTCAAGTTCCAAAGCTTGGAATGGAGTTTGGGGCAAAAATGTGTCTCATGGGGTTTCATGGACTCCTTATAAGCTGAATGTTAAGGCAAAGCTGTGGAACCAAGTTCCCCTCCAACAAGGGAGAGAAAAGAGCATCTTGTGAATTGGGGTCCTGGCCTAGTAAAAACACCTTCTAAAAGGAAAAATCTCTCACACAAAAGTTAACTCCTGATAGGGTGAAAAAAGAAGAAAATAATAATAGTTTAAGTGCAGGACTGGAAAGATGCCTGGGGGAATAACCTCTTATTCTTATGTAAATGGGTTTCTCCAACAGGGAGAGAAACTTTTTTTTTTTTTTTGAGACAGAGTCTCGCTGAGTTGCCAGGCTGGAGTGCAGTGGCCCAATCTCAGCTCACTGCAATCTCCGCCTCCCAGGTTCAAGTGATTCTCCTGACTCAGCCTCCCAAGCAGCTGAGACTACAGGCATGCACCACCACACCCAGATAATTTTTGTATTTTTAGTAGAGACAGAGTTTCATCATGTTGGCCAGGATGGTCTCGATCTCTTGACCTTGTGATCTGCCTGCCTCGGCCTCCCAAAGTGCTGGAATTACAGGCGTGAGCCACTGTGCCCAGCTGAGAGAAACTTTTAATTGCTGTTGGACTGAGGTGGACCCCTTGGCCAGGAGAGGGGAAGACTCCCGGTGCATGGCAGGGAATGCTGGCCAGCCAGCCACGCAGGGCCCTTGGGCCATGTGCCCCAGCCCCAACCGAGAGGGGAGGGGGGCGGGGAGCTGCTGCTCACCCATCTGTCCTGTGCATGCACCTGTGGCCATTGGGGTGGGGGTGGAACACCCCCCAATATGTAAAAGAAAAGATAGCTGCCATTACAGTCCTAATAAAAAGAAGGAAATTGCCATAGAAAAAACTGGGCTGGACTGAGGCCAACATTCCTGACCCCCAAGAGTGACAAGGCAAGTCTCAGTTTTTTCTACCTTTAGAAGAAATCTGAGAACAAGAAGGCTCCAAAACAAAAGGGAAAGAAACATTCAGGTCCGTATTTTACTCACCCTTCCTCAGGTCCCCATATGGGCCACCAAAATGATGCAGGATTTTTTGCTCCTTAGCTTGGCTAAAATCTAGGTCTTGTCTCAAGACCAGGAAAAATTAGGCACACAGACACATTGAAGGGTGAGGAAAGTGGTTGTATTAGGCGAAAATAAATCTCTCAGCAAAGAAAGAAGGGGCCCTGCCAATAGGCTCCCACCTCGCAGATTGAATACCAGGCCACCACACAGGAGCTGAAGAGGCCAGGCTCCTCCCCTGCATAAGGTGTGAATTCCTGGTGGCTCCACTCCATTCCTTCAGTGCATGTGGGCATGCCCAGGAAAGACCCTGTGCAGGTTCCCTTATCTGCACAAAAACATCTGGTGTAAACACTTGTGGGGCAGGTCAGAAATTCTCTGGGGACCCTTCCTTATCTGCCTCCTGCATATATCAGTGGCAGAGCATAGCATTAGGGGGCCCCAGTGGATGGAGAATGGCTGGGATGCAATGACTTAGTTTTTAGAATCACTGACATTGGTCAACACTAATAGCTCTTTCCAGAGAAACACAGGTAGTCTGGAGCCAGGACCTGATAGGAAGAAGGACAATTTTTGAATTAATTATAATATTATAATTAGGTCGTATTAGTGGAAGGAGTGGGGTAAGATACACACAAGGCCAGAAAGAAGACTACCAAATTGATAAACTCCAACTTGTTATAGCTCCATTTGTAGGACCAGTGTTGGTCCCAGAGAAGGAGGCAGGTTGCCTCTATAGCTGGCATGTTAAGTAATTAAAAGAATTACTAATTCTGCCCTCTTACTTAGCAGTGACAGGGTATGCCAGCTTATATTTATAAGGAATTTACTATGTATAGTTCAAAAAGCTTCACATGTATTAGCACATTTGGCCCTAATGACAACTGTATGAGTTTAATACTAGTATCCTTCCCATTTACAACTGGGCAAACTGAGGCTCAGTGGATGGATAAGCAATTTGCTCCAGATCACAGCAGTGGGATTGGGATTGGAACCTAGGTAGTTTAGTTTGGGAGTCACATTCTTTACTGCTATGCTTACGGAGTTTATACAAGCAGATCATCAAGCTCCAAAATAAGAACTCTAGTGGTCCAAAAGGAGCAGAAATCTGAGGGTGTAGTTAAATTTGAATTTGGTGGCATATCTGGATATAAGCCTCTTCCCCAAACATCTAGGAAATAAGGGTGGATGCAGTGAATTGGTGAATATGATAAAGAAGCTTCATTCAGGAGACTCACTTGTAGATGTTTTAGCTTAATCTTTCTAGAATGTTTTAGAATTCAGCCATGCCTGTTCATTCGTACTGACTCTGGGGAGGCTACTCTGATATTCAGCTATGTTCTGTCAACTTGTGGGCCTTTTGATGCTGTTCAGGACCCCATCCCATCCTCCTGTTTTTGCTACAGGAGCATGCCTTCTTCTAAGACTTCACCATTCCTGGTGTTCTGATTTCCATCTGAATCTTTTGGTCTAACCTACACATTACAGCTGAAGTTGTTAGAAAACAAGGTTCAGCGACTGATTAACACACATTGTTAGCCTGGGAAGCTAGTTAATTAATGTTTATTTTAAATGAAAACACCTCAAATTACTCACTTGAAATGTAAATACATATTTAACTTTAGTGTTTTTATCTTCCTTCAGTAAGAGGAAGTAGGATGGCCATTTTCTTGTGTTTTGGTTAACAAATTTACATCATGTGGATTTTATTTTCCCCTGAAATTTCTATAATATTAACTATCTGAATTTAGCAACTAATTACTTATTGCATAGCAGTATCTTTTCCACTGTTGTCTTGTACTGTCATTGAACTCATTAATTGCTATTTAACTTTTCATGGGCTTGTCTTGCTTTCTCAAGCAGATTATTAACTCCCTAGGATGGGAATTTTACCACATTGAATTTCTCCATGGTGCCCAGGGCAATGCCTTATGCATATGGGTATCAGTATACATTTTTTTTTAGAACTCAGAACACTGACCTTTTTATTATTAACCTGGCCGTAAGGAAAAGGTGGAAAGGAAGTGAAAGAGAGAGAGAAAGAAGTGTAATCTATTTATTCATCTGTATTTCTCAAAAAGGTGGGTTTTTCAAAATTCTACTAATTTTATCCCCACTTTACATTCCTACCTTACAGAGGCTGGGCCCTCTGTTCATCTTGAGCATCTAATCTGGACAAACTTGTAAGCTCTCTTAGGAATTCAAGGTTTATATTCTAAGCCAATCTTTGATCCTACAATATCTTTAGAACCTCTAATTGATTCTAAAGATGAAAAAACACTGTGAGTTGTGAAAACAAACCAGTTGTTTTGCCAGGGTTGTTAGGCTGGCCATTAAATATTTTAGACAGAAGAAGGAGGTTTGAAATCTCTGCTTGAGCTTTTTAACTGAAGCCATCTTCCAAGAATAAAGAGAGGAAAAGAAAAGAAATGGCTTCCCTTCTGCGCAGCTGCTATAGAATAACTAGAATACCTAGAAAGTATCTATGTGCATTCAGAACATTGGAGAGACATTCCAAACTTATCCATGAGAAAGGGCAGAAGGGCCTCTGGGTGGTTCTTTTGGCATGAGAGCCAACAATGCGTATGGGGAGAAGGATATTTGTTCTTGCTGTTTATAATAATAATGGCTAATAGTTATTGAATCCTGAATATATGCTAGATGCTGGTCTAGGCACTTTGGATATTTAAACTTACTCAATCTTCCTATCAACCCTAAGTGGTAGATAGTGTTCATTTCTTCACGATGATTACATTGAGAAACTTTCTGAAAGTACCACAGCTAATAAGTGATAGAACCAGTATTTAATATCAAGGAGTTTGGCTGTAGAGCAAGAGTCAGCAAACATTTTCTATAAAGGGCCAAATATAACTATTTTTTGGCATTGTGGCCAGCGTGGTCTTTTTCCCACCTATTCAGCTCCACTGTTGTTATCCTAAAAGAAGCATAGGCAATATGTAAATGAATGGGCATGGCTGTGTTGTAATGAAACTTTACTAACAGAGACAGGCAGAAGAGAGATTTGGTCCATAGTTTATGGGCTTCTAATCTAGAGCTCAGCTATATTCCTTTCCAAAATTAAAGTCTGTTTTTGCCATTAAAGTGGATGTATTAATACATGTGAGAGAGAACTTTTTGTATTGCCCATACCAAATTGTGAGTTTTTTTTTTTTCTTTTTCTTCTTTTCTCAAATACCTCATGATCCTAATAGAACTAAAATGAAATCTGGTGAATTGGGGCAGTAGGTCCACTTGTTTTACACACATGAATCTTCTGAAATTCAACAACTAGTCTTTAGGCATTCATTTCCTTGACTTCATGAGGGTGATGATGATGTATAAAATCCCCATTTCCTTTTATATGTTATCTATTGGCCACTCACAATTAAGGCTCTAGAACCACCTGCTAGATTTGTTTTCTGAATTCAATTTAGTCTCTACCAGTAGAGAGAGTATTAGATAAAAGTACAAGAAAAGAGCAGGTTCCTCAACCTGTTTAGGCTCCTTTTTATTTGTCCCTAGTCACCTGAACAGATGTGAAATCTCTGGAAGGGGCTGATTAATTCAGAAGGAGATGTAGGTAGAGCCAGGAGCACTGAACATAAAGTTGATAGTAGAATAATTAATACTAATAATTGACCTTTATAAATCACCTTGTGATTTACAAAAAGCTTTCCTCCATTCCTACTGATGACCAACCCAGCTCTCTCTTTCTATCCCTGAGTGCCTGGGGATTTGTCCTAATGGTATTTCAGAGTGTAAGGCTGCTGATACAATCTAATCTGAGCAGGTACTGGGACCTGTATACATTACTTATTCGTTCATTTGCTGATGGAGATGGAAACCCAAGCATGACATCAGTAGATCCACAAGACAATCCTTCACATCTTCTATCTCTTTAAATCTGGGTTCTTGCTTGTCAAGGAGAAGAAAAAGTACATTATTTAAAAGTGCACCTGTCACTTACATGCTTGGAAACATGTCACAGTGAATGGTGAAACATTATTAATTCCTTTTGCCTTCAAAGAATAATTCATGCACTTACAAGTATAATCTGCATCACAATGAAATATTTGGATGTAAGCGTAGGTGTAATTAGCACCAGAAAATCTCTGAAACAAGAGAAGCAAGAAAATTTACAGTTAAGTGAGCGTCATACATAATCAGTGTGCCTGGGAATTTAGGGGTGTGCTACAACCTTGTGTAGTCTTGGCAATTCTGAGGGCCAGTGAAGGGGAGGAATGTGACAGCTGTCTCCAAAGATTTTGAATATGCGGATGAGACAAAAGCTATTCATGCTGGCTTTGCACAGTCTATGCAATTTAGATTCTTCAATTTAGTTCAACTATTTATTGAGTCCCTGTCATGTCAAAAGCTCATATTTGGACATAGAATGATACAAATATAATAATAGTGTAGTGGGTGTTTCTGGTGCCTTTCCCAGATCTCCCTTACATGGTTGCTGTGAGTATAGGTTACTGTCAGCTCACAACTGCCCTATTCTTCGTGGAACTGTCCTTGGCCATGGGAGCTGCTTGGCCATGGAGGATACGTCCTTCTGTGCCCACAAAGGAAGGCAGCCTATAGCCAGTAACCAATGGATATGGAGGGTTTGAATGGGGGGAGGATAGAAATGGCTGGACCCATCCCAAGAGGGAACCAACCTTTTGGTGCAATTTATGCTTCAGACCTCCCTGTGGGATCAGGCTGAAGCTAGAGTTCAGCTTAGCTCCTCCCCCGACTCTGTCTTACTTCCCTAACTCCTTTCTTTCTGAGACCTCTCCTTCAGGTAAATCGCAGACACCCAAATCTCCATCTCAAATATTAACTCTAGAGAGCCCAACCTAGGATACAGTGGTATTATTTATCACATCAATTGCTAGGGGCAAGCATTGGCTAAGCCATTTGCATAAATGTCATTGGATACTTACAATAACTGTTTTCCTATTGGAATTGAGGCTCAGAGAGGTTAAGGGCCCAAAGCCCTACAGTTAGTAAAGTTGGCCTTCCAGGATAGGTCTGTGAGACTCCAGAGGACTCATTTTATCCTGCTGTCTGAGTTAAGTAAGGCACGTGATCATACCTGCTCCCTACCCACAGGAACTTACAGTTTAACAGGCAGAGAAAGCAAATGAAAAGCTATTATCAGAGAATGGAAGAAAGGTTATGGGGATCCAGGGGAGGGAGAGCTAGCATTCAGTTGGAAAACATGACTGTAGAGATTTTATCACATGCTTATACAGAGACCATGCTGATCTGTCAATTTTTTCAGCTGGACTCATGCCGGTGTCTAGTCTGGGGTATTTTATGCTTTGTGTTTGCAGAATAGTCATGCGGATGAGATTAGGAGGGTATGAGCATGCACAGTTATATAAGCTCCTCATACACCTGTTGCAGATAAAACTTCTGTGATCATGATGCCAGAGGATGCATGGGATGTGATGCCTCTAGATTCCAGAGATAATAGGAACAGGGTCTCAAATTCTTTAAGTCAGAAAGGAACATGATTCTTCTTTGCTATTGCCTTCTCTGAAATTGACTGCCTGAAAGTCATGAAACACACTGTCAATGCTCCTGTTCCTATCTTTTGGACCACTGATCTAAGATAGTAATAGTGGAGATGGAGAGAATAATGGAATGTGAGACCTATTTTTGAACTAGACCTGATAGATTTTAAAGACTTGCTCATGGGATTGAATGTGACTTGCATTAAACTCCCTCTCTATTAATTTCCAGTCCCTAGAAACTAATAGCCACTATTTTGTCTACAGTCCTCAGAGAGAACACAATGTAATCTGCATTAATCTGCAATAGTTTATTCCCCAACCAGGAAATGATCTGGGGAAAGATTACAGCCTTCTACGATGTTTCCCACACAGTGCCTTGTTCTGGAAGGTACTCACACTGAATAGAACTCTTGCTTTGGAAAAGTTAGTGCAGAATCAAACTCAAACATTTCTTCTCTCTACTCTATTGCTTTGGTTTTCCCCTGGAAATATGTGGTTTATTTTGTTTTTTGTCCCTTCGGAAAAGAAGATACACATGTATGCATCCATACAGCCCTAGCATCCTTAGAAGGACTTGAATGTTTTCTCCGAAAATCTCTTAGAGCAAAATTTTAAATATCAGAAAATAGTACTATTATCTGTGGGATTTGGTCTTTGTAGGGAAGATACATAATCTTCTTAATTATCATCTACAACATGAGTGTAATGCCCCTATGACTCCCTTCCTAGTATTGGTTTTGTTGCTGTTGTAATAAACTTACAGATTAATTTGGGGAGAATTGATGGCTTTATTATGTTGAGTCCTCCAATCCATGAACCTAGTAGGGATGTCTCCATTTATTGAGGTCTCTTTGATTTCTTTCATCAGCAATTTGTAATTTAATATACAGATCCTGTGTTTTTCACTTTTTTTTAAAAAAAGTTTGTACTTCAGTATTTTATTTTATTTCTCCATAACTTGTTGGGGTACAGTTGGTGTTTGATTACATGGGTAAGTTCTTTAGTGGTGATTTGTGAGATTTTGGTGAACCCATCACTGAGCAGTATACACTGCACCATATTTGTTATCTTTTATCCCTTGCGCCCTCCCACTCTTCCCCCGAAGTCCTCAAATCTCATTGCATCATTCTTTTTTTTTTTTTTTTTTTTTTTTTTTTTGAGACGGAGTCTCCCCCTGTCACCCAGGCTGGAGTGCAATGGCTCAATCTTTGCTCACTGCAACCTCCACCTCCCAGGTTCAAGCGATTCTCCTGCCTCAGCATCCTAAGTAACTGGGATTACAGGCACACACCACCACGCCCAGCTAATTTTTTTTGTATTTTTAGTAGAGACGGGGTTTCAGCATGTTGGTCAGGCTGGTCTCGAACTCCTGACCTCGTGATTCGCCTGCCTTGGCCTTCCGAAGTGCTGGGATTACAGGCGTGAGCCACTGCGCCTGGCCCATGGCATCATTCTTATGTCTTTGCATCCTCACAGCTTATTTCCCACATATCAGTGAGGACATACAATGTTTGGTTTTTGATTCCTGAGTTACTTCACTTAGAGTAATAGTCTCCAGTCTCATCCAGGTTATTGCAAGTGCTGTTAATTCATTCCTTTTATGGCTGGGTAGTATTCCATCATATACATATTATATATATATATATATATATATATATATATAAAAAATATATATATAAAAATATATTAAAAATATATATATACACCTAATATTGATTTTTAAAAAGCAAATACAATTATTCATTTCAAAGTGCCTGATAGAATAGTGCCTGGCTTATTCTTATAATAGAATAAGTGCGTGGCTAATTAAATGCAAGGACGTTTTATTTTTAAAAACAAATTCCTTTCTTGAAACTTGGTAAATTTTCCCTAGGCCAGATTATTGCTAAGTCAATCAATTTTACATTGTTGTATGTGGCATTTTCTGCTTTTTCTCATAGTAGAAAAGAAGTTCTTCCAGCATTGCCTTGCTCTGACTTTCTTAAATGCTCTTAATGTTTGTTGCAAGGATGGAGGATTACACTGTGCTCACCCTACCTGAGCAAATGTCTTCTTTGAACTGTGTCTAGGGACTGGGTAATCCACCAAAATGATGGAAGCAAAAGGTTGCCGATCACATTGCAGATCTGCTTTGTGGAGGGAAGTAGAGCAGCTTTTAAAAAATGTTTCTGCTTAGGGACTCAGAGCCAGCTTTTCTCCCTTGGACTTGAAGGGCCTCATCATTTTATTTTCCCCCCCAAATTATAAGAATCTGCAATAAATCTCCATCTAGAATCTGGTGTTGGATTTTTTTCTCTCCTATGTTCTAGATAATAAAAATGTTACAGTTTATTCAAACTGTTCATGTGGAGACAATAGTTTCAGCTACAAGTATGGGGAGCTTTGTGAGGAATAAATCCTATGTTTTCTAGAAAATTGTCATAGGAAAAAAGAAAAAATAACCTTTTAAAGGGGTTTTAAGAGGAATTATCTTTCCGAAAATTCCTCCCTGTCACTTATATGTGCTCGAGGTTAGTATGAATTGAGTCCTAACATATTGGAATTCAAAGGAACCCTGGAGATTTCATACCCTCCTTATTCACTTTATAGCAAGAGTAAAAGGGAATCAGAACTAAATCTCAAATTAGGACTCGATCGCAGGGCACCTGGCTTCTAACATGGGGTGCAGTCCCTACCGCCCCAGCTTGAGAGATTAAAAAGGGGCCTTGTGCCTGTCCTACCTCAACCTTCTCCTTTCATAGATGAGAGGGTAGGCCCATGTGAACTCAGATCTTCTGGCTCCTGGTCATGGTTCTTCTTAAATTATCAAATATATGGAATCGAAAGATCTTTCAGGAAGCAGAATATTCAAAAACAGAGTAGACAATTTGGGGTTTTATATACAGGAGTCTCCCCACCGTACTCATAATTGACCTTGAAAAAGTATGTTTGACTTGAAAAGGCCAATACTTTCTAAAAATAGCTGTAGTTTTTGTAGGATAGGTCAAAAACAGGCATGTACTCCAGCATGTGGCCAGTAGAGGGCGATCAAGTTAATACAATCTGAGCCGTGGGCTTTCAATTAATGCATGGAAGTGAATAAATAAAACAAAGAACCAAGTTAGTCTAAATGTTTTAAAACAAACCCTGTAATCAATATCTGCTAAATGGAGGAAACCAATTTTTCTTTATCTACTGTAGTCATTTACCAAGGAGTATTACAGAGTTGTAGCATAGCCTGTTACAGTTCCTTAATTAAGCCCTAGAAATCCAGGCAGCTTGCTATTCCATCATTGTCAGGGCTCTTGGTGGCCATCAGGTGGAAGACAGGCATGGAACTTGACATGTGTTTTTGTAGCACTTATAGCATTTTCATATTAACAACAACGAAAAGCTATACTCTTCCAGAGTGAAAGAACCTCTTATCAAATGTGATGGGGAGTAGCTCTTAACTCATTTCTCACACCTCCCTTTTCCTCCCTATTCAATTTTCAAGGACTCAGCAATAAACAAATCAGCGGTGGAGGATTCCACCTCCCTGGCTCACTCCACTTCCAGCATAAATCAGTTCTGCTCTTGATTAGAGCCATGGGCGGGTTGCAGCATTTGGAAACGGAATGAATGGCCCCGTGGTCAGGAAGACTTTCACGATCTTGAGTCACAGGCAAAATCAGTGTGGAGGGTGAAGGCAAGTGGAAATTCCCTAGTAATCCATTCGTTTGTGCATTTAGAAAACTTTCCTTAAACCCGTGATGCGGGCCAGCCCCTATAGCAAAATCTAAGAAATAAGCACAAGAAAGATCTTTGGCTTTACTTAGGAGCCAAGCTGGGTATTTTCTTGGACAGGAAATGTATTAAGAATACTCCAGAATTATCAACTTTTATTGAAAATTGACTATTATGTGCAATTATAACAGCTGGCATTTACTGAGCATTTACTATGTACTAGGGCTCTACTAAACACTTTTCATGCAATATTTCATTGAATCCTCATGACTTACTTCTTTTATGCTGTTTATAATCTCCTGATGCACAAAGGTGTTAAGTAGCCCAAAGTCACAGGCCTGGAGATGAGTCACTATGTCTCATATACACACACACATAAAATGCTAATCCACAATAAGGAAGGGCTCAATAAATGCTTTAGCATGTTAATAAGGTATCACTTAGTGGGACTTGCTGTATGTCATACAGTATGCTAACTTATTTCCATCTTACTTAATCCCCATGAACACTTCTGTGGAAGGTACTGTTATTATTGTCATTTTGTAGGTGAAGAAGCGGGTAAGAACCTTGCTCAAAGTAATATGGTAGTGAGTGCAAGAATAAGGATTTGAGGCCAGGTGTGGTGGCTCACGCACTTTGGGAGGCCAGGGCGGGCAGATCACGAGGTCAGGAGATTGAGACCATCCTGGCTAACACGGTGAAACCCCCTCTCTACTAAAAAATACAAAAAATTAGCCGGGTGTGGTGGCAGGCGCCTGTAGTCCCAGCTATTCGGGAAGCTGAGGCAGGACAATTGTGTGAACCCGGGAGGCGGAGCTTGCACTGAGCCGAGATTGTGCCACTGCACTCCAGCCTGGGCGACAGAGCCAAGACTCCATTTCAAAAAAAAAAAACAAAAAAACATGAGGATTTGAACCTGGGTCTGATTTCAGAGCTGGAGAGTTTAATAGGAAGCCAGTGGGTTTTGAAGCTTTAATGCATGTAGGAATCATCTGGGAGCTTGAATACAGATTCCCTGAGCCCGGGCCAGTGATTGGACCCTAATCATCTTACAAATCACCTGAGAAGCTTTTTAAAATTACCCATGTTGCCCTACCCCAGCCTAATGGAACCAGAATCCCTGGAAGCTGAGCGTCTAGACTTCAGGTGAGTCTAAAGTGCAGCTAGGCTGATCTTTCATCAGTCTGGGTGGCTCTCAGGAACCCCTTATTTTTTTGTAAGTACTCCAGCAAGAAAAGTTGCCTAAGCTCTACTGTTAATTAATCTAAGCTTTATCTAACCTACTGGGAGAAAAGAAATGGTTGTCATCCGTGCAGCAAATGATGAATCGACGGAAAGCCCTAGCAGGGCCAAGACTAGCGAGAGGCACCCAGGGCCCACAATTCAAGGAGTCAGTGCTTAGGACTTGGGAGAGGGTGAATGCCTCTTTAAGTCAGTACCCTCAGTGCTTCACTTGTTGTGCCGTGGAGTCCAGCACCTGGGAAACATTCCAGGAAGGCACCAAGAGAGGAGGAGAAGGAGGTAAGGTTGGAGATTTCAAAGAGGGTTGGATCTAGGGGTGGGAGAATGGATGCTTTGACAAAGTTCTCCCAGTAGTTATTGTTGTTTGTGCCCTCGTTTGAGAAAGACAGCTAAGAACAAGGCAGGAGGGCCAGGCACAGTGGCTCAAACCTATAATGCCAGCATTTTGGGAAGCTGAGGCAGGCGGGTTGCTTGAGCTCAGGAATTCAAGACCAGCCTGGGCAACATGACGAAAGCCAGTCTCCACAAATAAATGCAAGAATTAGCTGGGCATGGTGACGCATACCTGTAGTCCCAGCTAGCTACTCGGGAGGCTGAGGTAGGAGGGTTGGCTTGAACCCGGGAGGCCAAGGTTGCAGTGAGCAGAGATTGTGCCACTGCACTTCAGCCTAGGTGACAGAGCCAGAACCAGACACTGTCTCAGAGAAGAAAAAAAAAAAAAAGGCAGGAGGTGTGATGAGGGACCCCACCCTCCTTTGTATGGGAGCCAAAGGAGGAAGGAGCAGGTGCTGATTGCCTAACAGATGTCCTTATATTATCTTAAGTCCATTAGACTTGTGAGGCAGGTATTATTAATTTTTTAATTATCCTCATTTTATGGATCGCAAATGGAATCTCAGTAAAGTATGGTCATTGGCCCAAGGCCACAGAACTTTAGGTTCTGCAGAGCTGGGGTTTGAACCTAGATCAGTCTGGCTCCAAAGCCCGAGCTTGCTTCACTATATCAGTCTGCCCATGTGGAAACATCTAAGGTGTGAGGCAGCGCCCATGCCAGTGTGAAGTCATGTCATCCACCTAACCACCCAAGTGCTGGGGGGACTGCCTCTTGCGGTAAGGAGAAACTTGGGCTATGAACTTGAAACAAATGAGAGCCTTGGAAGAAGAAATGCGATGAACTGCACCCTTCATTTTGTGTATATGAATCACCAACAGTAGTTCCCAGCTTTGTGACTAAAGACAAACGTCAATGCCAAAATCACCCTAGTTCATCCTAGCTGCAGCATCAAACAGTCATGGCCACCTAATCCAGTAGGGAAGCTAGCAAATGTTGAGTTTCCCTAATTTAAGGGTCAGCAGTCTCGGGCACAGGCACAGACTACTGAGTTGCTCTGATTAGGAGGGAGCTTACCCAGACTCACTCTTCAGCAAGATTGACCAGCTCCCTGTGGGGGAGCAAGAATGAGATTCAGGTGACAAGCAATGGTATAAAAATGATGTGTGAACAAGTGCAAACTTGCCTCTCTGGCCTTAGAAGTCACTGTGGATTGTGCTGTGGACGACTGGGAGAGTGACTGGCAGGGAGTTGATCCTGGAGCAAGTGCCAGAGCTTGTGGTCACTGAAAAGCCTTAATTATCTAACCACAGGTGGTTCCCAAAGAAAGAAAACAATAACGCTATCCTCCTGCGCTAAATAGTGGAGAAGTCTTACTTAGGGCTGTGTACAAAAATTACCAGGGAAGATGGTTTTACAAAACACAGGTGCTGGGTATAACCCTCAGACTCTGATTCAAAAGATCTAGTGACGTTCTTTGTAGTTTCAAAATCTCCAGGTTATTCTCATGATTACCTTAGGCTGAGACAATTCTAAAAGTGTAAACCCAAGGACAACAAAAAGAAGTGAGAAGTGCGTGCACATAGCAGGAAAAAAAAAATCTAATACATGAAAGCCCTTGAGGATGTATATGCATGTCAACAGTAAGTGACTTCCGTAGAGGGTGAAGGGTACATAAGAATATATGTGGGATGACATGAATTTTGGACCTTTTGTAAGGTTTAAACACTAAGAATGAAACATCATTCTTAGTAATGAGGTTGAGGAAAATTTTATTTACATTCTTGAGAAGAATACTGTTAAAAGATAAACTGAGGCACAATAAAATTGTATAGAGTTTATTCGGGCAAACAGTGACTCATGAATCAGGCAGCAAGTGGTTCAGGGTTCCACTGAAGAAGCCCAAGAGGGAGGCTTTTATAGTGAACACAGAAGCAAGGCAAGGAAGATATCTGATTGGTTTGGGTTATGTAGTTGCCTCGTTTTGTCTGTCCTACTGGAAAGCTTCTAGTTACATAACTCTGTGTTAGATGGCAGCTTTTGATTGGTTCAGTTAAAGTTCCATGTTTCTTAATGTTGGCATTTATAAGAAATAGCTCAAGTTAAGTTCCACTTGTGGTTGCGATTCAAACAAGTTTAAGGTCACTTTCAAGGCCTATCTCTGTCTTCTCTAGAATTTTTCATGCCTGGTCTCCATTTTAGTTTATTTTAACAACATTGCATTTGCTTGAAATAATCGCTCAGCAAAGTTGTTTACTAAGGAGATGAGAAAAGGTAGAGACCTCAAGGACATGTTTGAGTAAACAAAGATGTTCCACAAACAGCCTTCTAAGGAGGCCGGCCAGAATTCTCTGGAGGAGTCTCTGTTTTCCTGAGAATCTTGGTGTTTAGGTTGGCAAGTTAAAAGCTGAGAGAGTGTTATAGGGAGTTAGAATACATGGGAAAGTAATTTGAAATTCCACAAGTGGAGGGGACAGGATTCAGGAAAGCAGAGCTGCTGGTGTCAGGGTGGCTAAGGAGGGACTTTGGAGAGCAACAATGTCTGTGGATTTTAAATTTTAGTGGAAACAATATGCACTCCAAAATATCCTTTACAATGACTCAATCACTCTTCAGTATGGAAGACCAAGGAAAAAGTGAACAGAAGAGAAAGAGAAAAAAAATGGAAGGAAAGAAAAAAGGGAGGGAGAAATTTATTAATTTAGGTGTTCATTATTTACCTTTGAATATTTCTATTTAAACCCTATGCTATATATGTTTAAGTTGATTTTATCTATACCCTAGGAATAGCTAACATTTGAAGTGCCCTTGAGAAGAATACACACCCCAGAGGGTAGCACTGAAGAGAAACTTATTAGTAGTCAACCGTTCAATGGCAGCCAAGACAAGTGATCAACTCTCCTTACCTAAATCTCTACCTAGAGACTTTGTTGGTTAACATAAGAAATATTATAATTTTTTATTGGTGAAATGGATGGTCTTCAAGACATGTGGATTGGTCAAAAGCATCACACAGGAACAGCTGCCCTTGAATAAATAAGGTATGAGGATCTAGCAAGTCCAAAAGCTGTATGCTCCTTTCTAGTGGTGGCCCTCGCTTAGGGATCCATTTAATAATTCTTATGACCTGCCACTTAACAGAGAATTTGTTTGGCTGATTTTAACTGGAATACTGGCTGAATTCTGCTGCTGACATGATGTCACATTTGCCTCAAGTAATCTTTTCATACAAGGGTCCTTTTGAAAGTGTCTTAACAGAGATGGTGCTTCGCCATCTCATATGAGAAAAAAAATTGTGTACATGCTCATGAATAAAAGGATGTATGTGTTGCAGAAATTAGTCAGATACATGTTTTCATTGCAGCATCTCACCTAGTGGCTGGGTTGGGAGAAGGGGACTTAGCTCTCACTTGCATCTCATTACTGGAGGCCATCAACATGTACCCAAAAAAATCCTGCCAGCAGGGAATGGTGGCATCAGCTTACATTATTCTCAGGGTTGTCGAGACTAGAATTCTTGGGGGAATATGTGAAGGTCTGAATTTTGCAACTACATTGACTTAGAACCAAAAAAGAGTAAGCCTTATCTGGGCAAAGGATTAGCTAATATCTGGACTGTAAGTCAGAGTAGCGAAAAATATTTAGAAGGCATCATAGACAATGAAGATATCATTATTTCCTCCAAAAAGCCTACCAAAGCTATAATACAGTACAAGAAAGACCTTACTAAGCATGTAATAAAACTGTGAGAAATCAAAGTAGGGCAAGATCGATGGTGGGTGATACTGATGGATATCAGGAAAGGCTTGATGGGGGTGATATATTTGAGATGTTCCTTGGAGGAGGAGTGAGAGTTTCAGCATACCAGCATGAGAGACCAGATATGGGGAGAAGGCTGTCAATGGCACCATTTTAAGTGTCAGAAATGGTGTGGGAGAACTGAGACAGGATAAGACGTAGTTCCGTAATTTTAAGACATTTTTATGCTGTTGAGGATATCACATTTCCTCTCCCCATTTCTCTGTTCAGAAGTTGCTTACCTCTTTCTTGCCCACTTTCATGTAGAGTTTTGCTTTTGTTTTTGTTTTCACTTGTAGTTTGTGGGGTCCCACTAGGTGTTGGCTTGTCTGTTTTTTTTGAGAGTCCTGTTGCCCTTGAGAATGGGTTATGTTTTTTTCTCAAATATAGAAGAAAATTGAGGCAGACAGAAACTCCTATACCTTTTCACTGCCCAAATAAACTATCTGTATCTCTATCCTGTCTCTTTCAGTACTGTTTCTATGAAGATGATATCTCTGTGCCTATCAGAAATCAATCCTAATGCTTTGGTCTGGATCCCGGTCCTTTTCACCTTCTCAAGGTCTTTGCTTCTGCAATTATATCTTCCTTTATTCCTGAATCATCACATTATCCCTTTCAACTAGTCCATTTCCATTATTATACAAATACGCTCTTGGTTCTCCTATTAAAAAATTGATCTCTTATTTCCTTCCAACTACCACTCTCTTCACTCCGTTCACATAAAATCTTGAGCTTATTATCTACAATCATTATTTTTACGTCCTTTCTGACATTCTTAACCTATCTGATCAGACTTTCCTCCCCACCACTCCACTAGGGCCACTATCATCAAGGTCACCACTGATCTATGTATTGCCAAATCTAGAGGGTTTTCCCTTGTTCTTGTCTACCATGACCTTACAGTAGCATCACATATAGTCAGGCCCTGCCTCCTTGAAACACTTCTTTGAGTTCACAAGACTCCATATCTTCAGTCTTCCTCTGACTTAACTGGCCACTTCTCAAATTCCTTTGCTGGTCTTTCCTCCTCTGATCAATCTGTTAGTATGACATTCCCTATGGATATGCCTTAAGAACCATCTGCTGAATATGCCAGGTCTTTTGCTCTTGCCCGACAGCACATTGAGTCTTCAGGACTCTTATTTCCAACAGTCAGCTTGCCACCAACATGTGGATGACTGGCAGCCATCTGAAACTTACCATGATCCAATGAAACTCTTGTGTTCTCTCCTCAAACATCACCCATACAACAACTTTCCCCAACCAAGTAAGTGACCCCAACAGCCAACTGACTGCTGATGCCAAAAACAAACAGAAAAAGTAGCTACCCAGTAATTCTATCTGGAGCCTTACAGAGTCTACCTCTAAAATCCAAAAACCTCAATGATCACTAAGGCTACATATCACACTTAGAATAAAATCTATACTCCTGACCCTGACTTATGTAGGTCAGCAGGATCTAACCCCTTTCTACCTTTTCAATGTCAGTGTGTTCTATCCCAACCCCCATTCATTATGCTCCAGGCAGTTTACTGACCTTCCCAGTCTGTGAGCATATTAAGCTCTTTCCTGCTTCAAATTCTAGTACCATCTATTTTCCTGCCTGTGACCCTTTTTTTTCTTATTATCTATACATGGCGTCTTCCTGCTAATAATGCAGGTCTGAGCTTAAATGACATCATTCTGACTGCCCAGTCCATAGGAGCCACCCTGCCACCCTCACCTCTTGCTATTATTTTCAGCATAACACCACCATATGAAATTCTTCTTGTTTATTTATTCATGTATTTTTGGAGCACATCTGACCCCAGCAGAATATAAATTCCATGAGAGGAAGCACTTTGTCTCAGTACCTAAAGCAATGACCACCAGGTACGAATGCTCACGCACTATTTGTTGAAGGAATGAATGAAACATTGTAAAGATGTGTCTTAGAGCCTTAGCTCCCTGGAGGATTTCTTTAATATAGCAATGGGCCCTTGTACAGCTAAAGAAGCTCAGGTGCATTGTTGGATGCATGCTAGGTATACCTTCTCTATGGACTGGCCCGGTAGAGGAACAGGTAGGTATCACAGGCCCCTCCCGACGTCACTAGCCTCCAAACTAGTGTAGCTGCAAAGAGATACGTGTATACAAAAACATATCTCCATAAATAGAAGATGAAGTAGTATTGACTTTTTTGCTCTTCCTAAAAAGACTTAGAGGACTTAGGTCAGTACAGGACTTAGGTCAGTACATGTCTGTAGTGTGACACTGTTGTCAGATAACTGATTTGACACTGGGCTGGGTCGTTATTGTTGGGTCAGAATTATGTTGGTGTTGGTTCAACTACATTTTAAGCTGCAAATACCCTTGCTACTCAAAATATGGTCCTCAGACTAGCAGCATTGGCATCACCAGGCAAGTTGTTAGAAATACAGAATCTCAGGCCCCAGCCCAGGCCTTCTGAGTCATATCCACAATTTTTTCAAAAAATGTAGATGTTTCATGCACACACTGAGGTTTGATAAACACTGTGCTTAGACTATTTTTCCATGAACCTATGTATTGTTCTGAGCACTATCATGTATGAAGGATAAAGATAGATGTGACAGAGAGTGATTGGGACAGTGAGAATACCTGTAACCAGGACACAAGTGAAAGTAGCTCCTTCCAAATATGACAGTCAAATATGTAACAGCAGTTCTGGGCACCAACCCATCAAAACAGGCCAGCTGCAGCACAGGCATAAGGTCCTGGTGTATCTCCCACACCCTGCCACCCCCTTAGTTGATATAGAAATATTGGGGGGCCTCCGCTGGAAGAGTGGCCAGGTGACGGGGGAAAGATACACAAGAGGACTATGACAGTGGATACTTATTGCAGGCAAGTTTTATAGAAATGTCTATTTTAATAAATGGTGTGGTGAGAGGGTGAATATCTGTTAAAGTCATCCTCATTCTGTCCTACCTTTGTTTCTTGTGCATACCACTATTACTGGGCTTACCATGTTGTATCATTAGTTAATTTGATGTCTGTCTCCTCTATCAAACTGTGTCTCCTTGATGACTTGACCCAGGTTTTATTCCTGACTTTGGTGAGTGCTTAATTTGTGTTTGCTGAAATGAATAAATGAGTAAGTATGTGAATGAATGAATGAATAAGTCAATGAACAAATGGATATGTAAGGCAGTGATATGAAAGAAAGGTCAGACTTATTCCGTGTCAACCCAGAGTGCAAAACCAGTGTACTGGATAGAAATATCAACAATACAGATTTGGGTTCAATTTTAAAAAACTTCTGAAAATTAGAAGTGCAAGAGAAATTGGTTGAGCTTTTCTGGGAGAAGTAAAATGTTCTGGAACCAGAATTATTCAAACAGTCTAATAAACCATTTGATGTACAAAATATATAAACAAGACTGTTTATAGGTAAATTCCAACAGCCATAAATGTATGAAAAATTTGTTCAGCCTCACTGGGATTCAGGGGAAATTAAAATTGCAGTAGCATACCATTACAAACCCATCTATTGACACACATTTAAAAATGTGATTATACCAACTGTGGCCAAAAGATGTGTTTTAAATTGTTATAACCACTTTAGAGAGATCTAATTTGTTCCAAGATAGGCATACTCTACAATTAAGCAATCCTGCTTCTCAGCATCCATTCTAGATTTTTTAAAAATGGGATATCCTAGTTCATAAACAATGAGATCTACACAAGGATATTCATTGCAGCATAATTTAAAATAGCTAAAAATGGCAGAAGTGGGGTGGATCCAGCTATTTATTTGTAAGCAAATGGACAAATCCATGATCATTTATACATTGCAGTTAAAATGAATGAATTGTATCATTGCAGTTAAAATGAATGAATTGTATCTGCATTATGATAAATGAAAAAAGCAAGTTACAAAGGATAGATAGGGCTAGATGCATTTTCTATAACTTTAATGATACCTCATAGCATATTATGTGAAGACTTTGGATAGAAAACCAAAAGCATATTTGCAAATGGCTTTGACCAACCTCAGAAATGAGATGCCTCAAGGGAGGGGAGAGAAAGAGAAAGCATACAGAGTAGAACTTCAACCCTATCTGTAATTATTTTTTTCAAGAAATAAATCTTAGTACATTTAGCAAAATATCAATGGCTCTTCCAGAAGGATATTTGAGACATTGGTGTCTATTATGTTATTGCCTGAGCTTCTTGGAATCTGATATGTAGTAATTCTTAAAAACTGAAGGATACCAATTGTCATAGCCGTTGATAGGATGGGGGATAAAAGATTGTTCGCTCTGTCCTCAGAGCCAATTCTTATCTCTTTCTTCTGTAATCGGATGTACCAGAGTGTCCAGGAACTTTTTCTCTAAAGATGGGGAAAACAAGATAGACCAGTGGTTCAAGTTCCTTGGTCATTATCCAGCCAAGCCTTTTAAGACACTCTCACAGGCTTCTTGTTGAGACTCCTTCTTCCTGACAGTAGAAGGTGTGTGTTCATTAGTGAGAACACCCACTAAGTTCCAGAAAGGAAATGTGGGTCAGAGAAAAAGCAACAGATGGAGAGCAATGAGATAATCAAGCTGTAGTGGACACTCAGGCCTGCTGCTTTCTTTATGTCAGCCTATGTACCCCTATATTGGCAGCCAGGTGAACCTTAGTACCCATGCTTTCTAGCTCATGGTGCTTTCCCCACATGCATTATCCCAAGAGATATTCACAATACCTGGGAAGTAAATAGGACTAGCCTGGTTTTTAGAGGTGAGGGGGCAAAGGTTCAACAAATTGAAACCAAGATTTCACAGGTAATAAAAGGACATCTAGACTCAAGCTAAAGTTTTCTGACACCAAATATTACTCTCCTTTTATACCACCTTTCAATTTCTGCGCTAAGCACCTTGTTCATTTAGCACGTCATGTTATATCCTTACCTACATCCAACATGGTTTTGAGGTACTGAACGGCATACGTAAAACATTTTCATCAGAAGGGAAGTGAGGCTGGAGTTTGGGGAGTGAGGAGCAGAAAGAGAGAATGAAAGTAAATATACCAAAACCCAGGCTAAAATGATTAATTTAGTATTGAATTCGTGTGTGCTTCCTGACACAGGTGAGACAGGACAGGATATATGGTTTTATTATCTGATAAAGGGAATCTTACCAGAGTGTCAGGAGAGACAAATGTTTTCCTTGGACCTTAATTATTAATATAAAATGGATAGATCATATAAATTCTTATTCAGGAAACTGGTATAGTTACAAATATATTTCCATTTGCCATGACAGAGTGCTGTTTGGTTGATTACTTGCTTTTTAAATTGAGATTAACATATAAAATGCACAAATCTTAATTGTACAGATGAATTAATTTTACACATGTATATACTACATAACTATCACACCAATCAAAATATGGAACATTTTCATCACTCCATAGGTTCACCCCCATCCCTTCCCAGTCAATTACCAACACCCTTCGCCCTCACCCAATAGAGGAAAAAAATATTCTGACCTTTATAACTATGAACTTGTTTTGCCTGTTTTAAAACTTCATATAAATAACATCATGCAGAATGTACTCTTTGTGTCTGGCTTCTTTCACTCTACAACCTGAGACTCACCTATGTTGTTCAAGGTAGGAATTGTTGATTCTTTTAATGTGTAATTTGTAGGCCATTGTATGAATGTACAAAAATGTGTTTCTCTGTTCTGGTGTCAGTAGACATATGGGTTGTTCAGTCTTTGGCTATGATAAATAAAGCTGATGTAAACATTCTTGTACATGTGTTTTAGTAGACATGCGCACTAATATTTTTTGCATCTATACCTAGGAGTGAAATTATTGTCATAGAGTAGATGAAATTTGTAGTTTTTATCAACTGTAGAAGATAAGGCCAAACACATTTTCAAAGTGGCTATACTAATTTATATTACCACCAGCAGTATATGAGAATTCCAGTTGCACCACATTCCTGCCAATACTTGCTATTATCCATTGTATTAATTTTAGCCATTCTGGTGGTGGTAGTGGCATTTCATTGGGGTTTAAATTTGAGTAGTGTTGAGCAAGTTTATATATGCTTACTGCCCATTTGGATATTCTCCTTTATCAAGGATCTATCAAGTCTCTTGCCCATAAATGAACAAAAGACTTCGTCTTTTCCCTATTAAGTTTTAAAGTATTTCTGGATACCGTATGAGTATATTTTGGATACAGTATATTCTAAATTCAATAATTTTGCCTGGATGTATATATCTTCTCCCAACTCATGAATTACATTTTCACTCTTTTGTGATATCTTTAGGTGAACAGAAGTTTTTAATTTTAAAGAAGTCCAATTAATTGTTTCCCCTAGTGTCCTGCTAACGAAGCCTTTGCTTACTCCAGTTTCCTGACGATACATTCCTATGTATTCTTCTAGAAACTTTATTGTTTAGTGTGACACAATTTTAAGGACATAATCTTTTTTTTTTTTGCTTTATACATTTATTTAGGTTTTTTTTAAATTATACTTTAAGTTATGGGTTACATGTGCAGAATGTGCAGTTTTCTTACATAGGTATACATGTGCCATGGTGGTTTTCACCCATCAACTCGTCACCTACATTAGGTATTTCTCCTAATGTTATTCCTCCCCCAGCCCCCACACCCCGCAGGCTCCAGTGTGTGATGTTCCGCTCCCTGTGTCCATGTGTTCTCATTGTTCAGCTCCCACTTATGAGTGAGAACATGCGGTGTTTGGTTTTCTGATCTTGTGATAGTTTGCTGAGAATGATGGTTTCCAGCTTCATCCATGTCCCTGCAAAGGACATGAACTCATCTTAAGGATGTAATCTTTAGAGCTGAATCTTGCTTTCAGGCCCCAGCTTTCCAACTTACCAGATGAATGACCCTGATCAAGTAACTTTGAACTTCAGTGTCTTTATGTATAAATAAGGTAAAAACTACCTAATAAATTTCTGGTGAGAATGAAACAAGATATACTTGCAAAACATCTAGTACAGAGGAGACTCTCAGAAAATTTAGTTATTGCCCTCTTTTCCATTCTACTGCATAAAAGCTAGCAATACTTAGGAGCACTGGTCTCTTGCATTCAAAATATTAATAAATTAAACATTTATTTATACTAGCATCTTCTCTTAGAGGGGCACAATGAAGACACAAAAGTATGGTTCTCTTAGTTGAAGAGACAATGACAACAAGAGAGGAGTGAAATAACAACACAAAAGTTAAGTGATGATTAAAAACCCCACAGGGAAGCAAAGGATAAATTGCTAAATAGGTGAACATTGTCATAAACATTTAGAGAGGAAGAGTTGTTTCAATTCACAGCAACAAAGGAGATTTTCCATGGGTTGGTGATGGTTTCGGTCAGGATGTAAATAGCATTTGTACAAAGAGGGAAAAACCTCAGATGAGGTCTATGAATGTGAGCAAGAAAACACATTGCATTTATAGGGGGCACTTTTCTAGTTGGCTGGAGTGAAAGATTTGCTTAGATGAAGATTGGGAGATAATTCTATGAGTTGGTTAATTCATTAATTCAATAAATTAATATATTAAGCAGCTAGTATGTGCCCATCTCTATGTTGCTTGGTTTCCCCAACTATGTCCTCTTTACTTCCCTGATATATGTATGTGTACATATGTATCTACACATATATACATATATGAACAGTATGTCCTCACTAATATTACCAGTAGATTCTTGGAAACTGACTTTAAGTGAAACAACATATAAACAAAACCAATTTTTTTTCTCGTCAACATGATAAAACATTACATTGAAGGAAATGATATTATTGAAGGACCTACTATACGTTGTTTTGCTTAAAGTTCCAGTTTCTAAGAACCTATCAACAACATTAAGTGAGGACTTACATAGACAAATTATTTTACCTTTTATTTTTTACAGAGAATAGATAGAAATCAAATGCCATATTATCTTACAGAAGCTAAGGAAAAAGCAGTTTAAGAAGATGAGCTCCATGGTATTCAATCCTCAGAGAGCAAGTACAGTAAGGACTGAGTGAAGGACATTGGGTCCTCAACATCAGAAAACTCTGTGAAGGATACATTTATTTTGTCTCAGGAATGAAAATCAGGTTGCAGGAAGTGAAAAAGAGAGCTGGCAGGAAAGGAATGGAGGTGGGAAGGATGGAGGGCTGGTTGCTCTGCTGCCTTTATACCTGTGGGTTAGGTCAGTTTGCATCTTAGGCCATGGATTTCCCAGCCCATGGATTAGGAAGAATAGCCTTGTATCACGGAGAAGGTGCACTCTGCAAGCATGTCCACATACTAAGAAGGGTGTTACTCCGGGGTCCACGGGGACTCATTACCGAACAGCCATCTTCCATTTTCTGTGAATAGGTGGCCTTTGGACAAAATTCTTCTGTAAGCTTCAGTTTCCTGATTTATAAGAAAAGTTTTTGGTTTTTTCTTAAAAACGTTTTTCCTCCTCTTAGGATTGCTGAATGGCTTGAATTAAATAGTGTATATAAAGTAACATAGTGCCAGAAAAAGTAAATGCTATATTAGTCCCCTTCCCTTTTAAGAAAAAATTCTGTGGACAAGAAAGAAGGAATGTTATACAGAGAATGAGACAGAGATAGACACTGAGAAAAATACAAACAGACACTCATAGAAATGCACACGAAGAGGGAGAAACAGACAAAGGAGAGAGTCAGAAGGAGACAGGGACAAATACAGAGACAGACAGGCGGAGAAAGAGAAAGAGAAAGACAGGTTGTTTTAACTCATCCCTCCCACAGAAAGATATATCGGTATGTAGAAGTTTGTGTAGTGATTTAGAAGCCCTATGTGAAGAGCATAGGCGGCATATACTTTTCAAAGGTAACATTTATCCCATTTTACCCATGGCTTATAAAACCTCACTGGCTATGCAGAAAGCAGGTCTTTCCAGGGCACATTCGTTTCATTGTGCAGCCCTCTTAGGAAGTCCTCTTAGGAAACCCTGTATCATGGAGATGGTCTTTGGGTTCCCTAAAGTGTTTGCCATTTCCTGCTAAATTGAATTCTAGTGTATACAGCAAGGTCCCCCTCCAACAGCAATGTTCATTGTCTTGTACAACTGCAAATCAAAATTGAGTCCAAAGTGTTACCAAGTTCCCTGAGCTTAGAGCTTGAAGTAACTCTCCAGGCTGTCCTCCTCATCAATCACCCTTAGGGTGGTTTCTCTGATTTAACATGTATCTTTTATGCATGAGCAAAACGAGTAACTGAGAATGGGGGGAAATTGTTTAGCCAGCAGCACAGTGGCCAATGTGCGGGAGTGAGAAATTAGGCTCAGAAACGGTCAATGTCCTTTGGGCTTTCTTGCTCCCATCTATACCACTGAAAATTAAATCTTAATGTTGGGAAAACTCATTATTTTTACCACTGAGAAGTTGTTAGGGTCCTCAGTGAAATCTAGTTCACTGGTTCGGGGAAGCTCAGCACACAGTGGGAGGTTTTGCCTTTTTAAAAATTTTTATACCATTTTTATCCTAATCATAAAAAATACACATTACAAAAAGTTGGAAAATAGTGGTTAGAAAATTAACTTCACTTCATCATCATAACACTTGAAAATAACCTCACTTAACATTTGGTTGTATTTCCTTCCAGATATTTTTTCCTTCTCAAAATTAGGATCATATTTTATATACTTTTTTATATGCTGATTTTTTTCAGATAGTATTTTTTGGTGAGGATTTTTCTGTCTTTACATAATCTTCAAAAAACATTATTTAATATTTCTTAGTGTGAGTGTTCCATAATATATTTAGCTAATGCTGTATTGTTCAAAATCCTGTTATTTGTAAGTTTACTAAAAAGAGTGTGTAGTCAGCAGCTATTTACATAAATCTTTGTCTTCCTTGGTTCATGGTAACTTCCCTGGGGTATCCACTTATCTTTCCTTTAAAGAAGCCCAGATCATCAGATAATCTACATAGATCTGTAACCCAGTTTTACACCACGTTCCAGTTCATCTCATGTAGGGGTGTGGGCAGAATTTATTTTAATTTCTCTGAATGTTCTGTGAGAGTTAGACTGCTGGTCTACCTAGAATGCATAAAAAACCCTTAGGTTTAGGACAAAGAGGAACCTACATTAACTTAAAGATGCTGTATTTACAGAAAAAAATAGTTATATTCTATTTACCTATTTTAAAATTTTCATTTTACATTTAACTTTTAAATCTATCCAGGATGTATATTATGACAAATATAATAATTTTTGTTACAATTAGCCAATTTTCTTAGTAATTGTTAAATAGTCCACTTCTTTGCTGTAGATTTTGATATTTACACCGTTATATCTTATACAAAAATATGCTAGGGAATATTTCAGCATCATCAATGCTGTTTAATTGATCTGTCAATTACTTATCAATACCTCATCATATTAGTTATTATAACTTTATAAAGTTTTGATATCTCTGCAAGTAAGTCTTTTTAAAAAATCTTGTTTGTTCTTCCATGTAATTTTGGAAACAGTTTTAAGTTACTGAAGAATCCCTTAATGTTACTGAATTAGGATTTCATTAAAACTACATCTATTTAAGAATTGACGCCTACTTGGCCTATCACTTTTGAACTATGAAGATTCTCACTGATCTCTATCTTACTGATTTATCTATCTTACTCTTCCCTTCTGAGGTTGCTTTTTTCTAGCTAATTTTTAAAAACACGTTTACAGTTACTTAATAACTTGTTTGTTTACAACTATACCTATTTTTCCTTGCCTATTTTAAAATCATGGCTTCTTTTAAGCATACTGGAAAAACTACTGAGAATACGTGAAATACTAATAACTCATCATTCTAAAATAGCAAATATTAACATTTTGCCATATTTGTTTCTGATATTTTCAAATAAATAAAATTTTAGTAATCTGTGTATCCTTTCCAAATTGTATTCCCCATCTCTCCCTTCTTCTCAAGATAGAGAACCAATTTCTCCAAGTTAATATGTATCCATGGTTTTATAACTTTACCACATATGCATGCATGCATAAAATTTATAGTTTTGAGAGTTTTAAAATATGTATATTATAAATGTCATATAAAATATATATACATTTCATATTATCACTGTTCTATTGTTTACTAGCTATTGTTGTTAATGTCTTACAATGCCTAATTTGTAAATTAAACTTTATCATAAGTGTCTACGTATAGAGGGAAAAAAAAAACAGTATAAATAGTCACCAGCTATCTGAGACTTCAGGCATCCACTGAGGTTCTTGGAACATAATCCCCTGCAGAGAAGGCAGGAATACTGTAACACAAAAGAGAGTTGATGTGAATTTAATGAGTCAATACATATATAAAATGCTTAGAACAGTGCCTTCCTATAAAAGCTATTTAAATGTTAGCTATTTTTATTTCTTCTCTTGGCTAACTTTTGGCTGCTAAGAAAACCTTGGAATCCAACTCAAGTCCAAGACCTAATGCCAGCCCACCCTTGGTCCCTGTGGTGACACTTTCACACATTGTACACTCACCAAGACCAGCATCTTTTCATTGAACACCATAGTAAGTGTACACATAGTGACACAAAAACTCAGTTAAGGTCAATATTGGTGTATTTCTTGCACACTTCTGTAATCTTCCTATCCTATCTTTTTGACCTTGAAAATTAGAGTACAACATTTGCATCAGCAGCATGTGGAACGTTTTCTGTGTCTGGTTTTGCCCATCTTTTGAAATTCGTGATTACATGATCCTGCCTGTTCCAAAGGAAGTAGAATTGTAGCACTGTGGAGCATTAGCCTAATGATGGAATTGCTTACTTTCTAAACAAAGCATAATCTGTGAAACCTGGCCACCATGATGAAAGCATTTTATTGACAGATTTGTATATAATCTATAGTGTATTTTTCACTTTTGTGCTTGGTAATTTTTTCTTTTCTGAAAGTTAAGGATGTTGTAGCTCTTACAAATGGCATCTGCCTCACCTGTGATTTTAAAAAGTGTAAGGGTTTTTTTCTTTTCATTTCTTGCTTTTGTAATCATATGCTGGCATGTAACATTTATAACAAAAACACAGTGTTCTTGGCATTCTCAGAAATTTGAGAAAACCTATTGTTTGAGGGGGAAAATGCCTATTTTGAAGTGCATTTTCCTTTGTTCCTTGAAAGATTAACTTTTAGAGGGGGATCTCAAGGAAAGCAGTTCCTATTGGTTCATTCTTTTCATTTGTAATAATCTGTCTTTGATGTACAAAGTGAGTAGATCTTGAGGTTATGTGGTAGAGTGCTGGAGGTGAATAATGGAAGAACAAAAGGTGCTTACTGTAACTTGTGACCCAGGAGCTTGCCAAACTGTTCTTCCACTCAATTTTCCTATACAGGGTGCACATACTCCTCTAGAGTCACTTTTCTATAAGCCAACAAGACAGAATCTCATTGTTACACATTTCTTAGGTAGAATGACTGCATGTGATATTTAAAAACTTTGGAGTTTGCTGACTACTGAACTAATTATCCTAAATAACTGAATTCAGATGTTCTGTTTAGCTGACAACTAATTCTTCCTTTTATGACTTTTTTTTTAAACTTTTTTTAAGTTCAAGGGTACATGTGCAGGTTTGTTACATAGGTAAACTTGTGTCAAGAGGGCTTGTTTTACAGATTATTTCATCACCCAGGTGGTAAGCCTAGAACCCATTTGTTGTTTTTCCTGATCCTCTCCCTTTTCCCCACCCTCCATCCTCCAATAGGCCCCAGTGCATGTTGTTCCCTGCTATGTGTCCATGTGCTCTCATCATTTAGCTCCCACTTGTGAAAACATGTGGTATTTGGTGTTCTGGTCCTATGACTAAGGATAATGGCCTTCAGCTCCTTTTAAAATCCTTTTGTATGTAGTTGATAGAGCAGCAATTTGGTCACCAGAGACCTCATAGTGTTGGCTTCTACCGTTAACTCTTCTGAAAGTTTTTATTCCTCTAGGACTCTGTTTCCCCATCTGATAAATAAGGGGGGCATAAAACACTGTCTTAAATCTCCCTTTCACATGTATAATTCTATGTTGTATTTTCATTTTTCTGAACATGCTGTTTCATATTTAGGAGAAAATTAAATGTAATTAAATAATTTCTGTATAAGATAATTACAACTTATTATATTCAATATGTTGTAATACAACTCATTCCGGCAGCTATTCTCACTGTATAGAACAGAATTGAAGACAGCATAGGGAGTCATGTTGAATATTTGCTGTTGAAGAAAAGTTATTCAGGGAAGAAGGAACCATTCTCCATACCTTCTACCACTGAACCTTTAATTTCTCTAATCTTACTTTCTTGACATTTGCCTCTTTTTGTCTAGCATTTAAATACAAGGAAAGGGGCCAGGTGCGGTGGCTCACATCTGTAACCCCAGCACTTTGGGAGGCCAAGGCAGGAGGATCACCTCAGGTGAGGAGTTTGAGACCAGTCTGGCCAACATGGCAAAACTCTGTCTCTACTAAAAATATGAAAAATTAGCCGGGTGTGGTGGCACACGCCTATAATCCCAGCTACTCAGGAGGCTGAGGCAAGAGAATCACTTGAATCCAGGAGGCGGAGGTTGCAGTGAGACGACATCAGGCCACTGCCCTCCAGCCTGGGCAACAAAGCAAGACTTTGTCTCAAAAATTAATTAATTAATTAATTACAAGAAAAGGTATCTGGGTCATCAGGTTTCTAGTAATTGTGTCTTCTGTAGCCAATTGAGTTGTTTGTATTGACTTATTGGCTGGCAAATGGTGAGTAAGAAAGCAGGGGAAAGAGATAGGTTGTAGGAGGATTGAGAGAAGGTGCACATTCTTGATTTCATTTAGGCAACAAACACACAAGACAAAATATGGGTCAATATGTGGATAATCTGGTAGAAACCTAAATGCCCTACAACAGAGTCTTCAAAATGGCTAAAGCTGCATGTGGAAAAGACTGCTAAGTGTAGAGATGATCACATAATTTATCATCTAAACTGGGACATCTTTGAGACCCCATTTTATAACAATATTGGGACAACAAATGCAAATAGAATATTCTAGACAAATTAGAAGTTATAACCACTCTGGCTGCATGTTCTCCAAAAAATATTTACTCCTCTTCTTGGTCCATTTTAAGGGAGTGGAAAACTTTCAAATTCTCTTCAGTGTCATTGTGTGTGAGGGATTCTACAAGACTTCCCTCAGTTCTATCCAATCCAACACCACTGTGTAGTCCACAGCTGGACTACATTTCCCTAGCCTCCTTTTACATTTAGTTGTATTAAAGAGGCCAAGTTCTAGTCAATGAAATGTGGGCAGAAGTAGTGAATATTATTTCTAGGTTTAAGCCAGGAAAACAACTTTTGAAAAATCCTCCACGCTTTTTTCCATTCTGGCTTGACCTACACAGCATAGCGGCCTTTGAAGTCTTGTATTGCAGATAGCAGAGCCACAGGACAGAAGAAACCTGGGCCCTGACTTGGAGAGCTATATGCCAATCAGGAAAACCAGTTTGGAAATTTATATGTATGAGAAATAAACTTGTACTATGCCATTGAGATTTTAGAGTTTGCCTGTTCTCGCAGGTAAACTAGCATTGTCAACACTATCATTATCTTAATTTGTATATTGCATACACTTTAGCCTAGAATATATTAAAGACATCCCCTTATTTCTCATTGCACTGTAAACCACTCCAAAATAAAGACCTAGAATGAGTATGCAAACATAATGAGTATGTTCTAAATATTAATATTTTCTGGATTTGATTGAATTGAATCATATCGAATTGGACTGAAATGAAATAAATTGTATACAATATGGTAAGAAACTTCAGAGATTATAATAGAGCTTTCTTTTATCTGGAGAAACCACGGAAGGTTTTTAGAAGGTAGTGTTTGAGCAAACACTTGAAATATTGGTTTACTTTGGATATACAGTAAAGAATATGATATTCCAGTAAAAGTAAATAGTGTGAACACATGGCAAACATCACCAAGAGCAGATAGTTCAGTCTGACTAGGGTTGGTCAGTGAGAAACAAATGTCTAAATTTACTTCAGTCCAAATACATTTACAGGGCACCTATTCTGACAGGAGGACAATCTCATGAAGAGGTTATTTAAGAAAAATATATATGTTATAAGTAAATGTATATAATAAATGCCATGAGAGCACAGAGAAAAGATGCCCAAAGGAGATAGGATGAGTTTTGGAAAACAGATAAGTTAACCACACCATACAGTTTGTTGAAAGTTTCATTGGAACACTTGCACATTATCGTGTAACCAATAGGGAGTCATTGAAGGGCTTTGCAGAGAGACTTGAAAGATGGTCAATGAGTTTGGACCTGGCTGTGTAAATAGCTGGTAAATGAGCTTCATAGGAAGACTCTGTGCATGTCTTTCACTACCCCTCAAAAGTGAAAGACGACATGGACACAGTGCTGCTGTAAACAGGAAACATAATCATGCAGGAGGTGTGAAGACCACAGCAGGGAGCATGGATGGACATAGGAGTCCAGTTATTAGGCCACTATAATTGGCCATTTAAGTAATCACTGAGGGCCTTTGTCTAGGATCTGTGTCTAGGCAGTAGAAATGTGAAGGAAAGAATGGATTAGAGCTATAGCAGAAGTAGAGTCAATGTCTTCACTCCATGGGTATTGAAGGCAAGTGTGTATCAGCTAGGATTAGTTTCAGCTATGAGTGATGGATAAGTCTAAATAAGATGGAGATTTATTTATATCTTATAAATGTAGGCCATGCAGGGATCCCAGCTCTTTCTATCTTGATGCTGAAAATAAGGCATTTGCATGATGGTTCAGGATGGCTATTTGAAGTCTAGCTATGATGTCCACATCCCGGCTTGCTGGAAGAGGTGAGGAGAGGCATAGCATTTTCTTTTAGCACTTCCTGGAACTCTTATACATTTTCTAACATCTCATTAACCAGAACTTATTCACATGTCCACACCTACCTACAAAGGAGATATGGCTAATATAGTCTGTATTCTGTGATGTCTTACTAAAACCAGAGTTTTCCTTGTTAAGGAAGAAGGGGAAATAAATATTGGGAGATTTAGTAGCACTATTTTTGCCACAGGGGCAGAAGACAGTTGTGATCATGAGGTCCTGGAAAATAGCAGTATTCTAATTAGTAGGCTGCTGAAAAGCTTGCATGGAACTGGAATAAAAAATCCAGGTGGGGAATATAAATTTGAGAATCATCCTCATTGAAGTAGTAGCTGAGATAGGGATGGTCCTCAAATCTCCTCAGATACAACTCTCCAGACAATTCAAGTTCCAAATTTTAGTTTGGTCTTGGTTATTTATATAATGAAACTCCAGTTTGGCTTGTGGAAAGCCCAGATATGGTCATAATTCACTGGCTCTACCACTTATAAGTATGTGACAGCACCTGTCATATAGTGCATGCTCAGCAAATGCTGTGTGGATCAGAATCAGAATGAAGGACAAAACTATGTTGAGCTATGATATACATAAAAAATAAATCTGCCCTGGCCTTTTCCTATGGTTTGCATGTGGCTTTATGTCCCACCATGGCAAATTGACTTAATAGGTCATTTTGCCTACTTTTCTACCGGGCATTGGGCTTTCTCTGGGCTTTGTCCCAGCGAAGACCACATGTTTCCTGCATGAGTTCCCTGAATCAGTTTTTTTCCTGCTGCAAGTCTTATATTCTGTTCCCCAAGTTTCTTCAGTGACTGTACTTTGACTCACAAATGGCACGAATGTCCTCAGAGGCTCTTTAAGTCTTTTTTCAGTCAGGGAGGGCTATCTTTTTTCTTCCACAAGTTGGCTCACAATTTAGAGGAGTTTTCTTGGTAACTAAAAATAGACTACCATTCAATCTGCAGTCACAGTATTGGGTATCTACTCTAAAAAAGAAATAATTACATCAGAAAGATAACTGAATTCATATGTTTATAGCAGTACTGTTCACAATAGCAAAGATATGGAATCAACATAAGTCTCTATCAATGGGTAAGTGCGTAAAGAAAATGGGGTATATCCATACCGTGGAATACTACTCAGCCATAAAAAAGAATGAAATCACATCTTTTGCAGCAACATGGATGGAACTGAAGACCATTAGCTTAAGTGAAATAACTCAGAAACAGAAAGTCAAATATCACAAATACTTATAAGTGAGAGCTATAAGCTATAAATGTATACACATGGACATAGTGGAATAATAGACATTGGAGACTTGGAAGGGTGGGAGAGTGAGGGGGATGAGGGATGGGAAATTCCTTAAGGAGTATAATATACCCATTAAGGTGAGGGTTACACTAAAAGCCTAGACTTCACCACTAAGCAATATATCTGTATTTAAAAAACTGCATTTGTACTTTTTAAATTTATACAAATAAACATTTTTTAAAAAGAGATGAAATAATTCGCCCAAAGTGACACAATTAGTAGCAAATTTGTGATTTAACCCCAGGGTGCCATGTATTTTCCATCATTTCACACTGCCTCCCAAACCAACAATTCTGCTGGATTTCTTTCTTTTCGTTGCATTTAGCCTTGCTGAATTCAAGCTTAAGAGAGATACAAGGAGATTTTAGTCTCATTCAGAGATTTCAGCTGTAATAGAAAGTTTTATGTGACATGAGATTAACCCCACAATTGACTGACCCATTGATTTTAGGAATTACCAGTAGTTTATTTCCAATTGTAGTTTAAAAATGGAGTTATTAGTATGCTCCTAGCATTCTGAATATAGCACATACACATTTTCCTTATTGCTATGATTTATGGGAGGCTGCATGAACCTAGGCATGGACTTGTACTCTTGGGATCTGAAGTTTCATCCATCTGTTTAAAAACATAAATACACTCTACTACAAAAAGGAGCTACAATATTTACAGAGAATAAATCTATACCTGATTCCAAACAGATAAATAATAGTAAAAATATGGAATAGATTTCTATGAAATGTCCATCTCATGAGCTGATGACAGAACAGATTCATTCATTAGACTAATGATGCTTCTTAAGTTGCCTATTTGTCAGAAGTCAAAATTATATTTAAATGGTTAGCATTATTTTATTATGTAGTTATCCTGAAAGTACCACCAGAATTTTCCTTTGAGAAATAATAATTTATACTTTTGTGGCAATGCAGATTGTTATAACATTTTTTACAAAGTAACTCAACATATATACTTCTGTCCCTTGACTGTGATTTTGGCTCACTGTGCTAAAGAAAGGTCTAAAAGAGGATGAGTGAGGGAAGCTTTGTACCTGAGAAGGTTAAGTGCAGTATTCAAACAACTAGATAACCAATAGGGAAGGAATAATTGGTAAATTATGGCATAGCTACTAAAATAACTAGTATCTGTACATTAAAAATAAGAATGAAAAAACAAGACGTAATGTTTGGTGAAAGAAGCAAAATTATAGTTACCCTCTTAAAATTACAGAGATTAGAGGTAATCTTTTTGTCCCTTTTCTTTTGTGTTCCACTATTATTGAGTTACACTCTTCTTTGAATTCTAAGGACCTTTTATCATTAAACTTATTCCAAGGAAATCATAGAGGGTAGTCATCAGAGTGAATATTTCTATAAAACTTGTAAATAACATTTATAAATGGAGGTTCACATGTCATTCTCCCTTTCCTAGATTTATTAAGCAAATATTTGTCAAACACTGTGCCAGTGTACCTACGATATGTGTTGCATTATGGAAGACAAAGCACAACATTTTTACCCTTGAGACAGCTTTAATTTAGTCAGGGAGAGAGAAGTAATAGCAAAATATATGTTAAAAATATACAAAGAAAGTGTTGCAGCCATGAGGAGACTGAAGATGCTCCCAAATTACTCCCTTAGTCTCCCTGGTCATCTCAGTAACTGTCAACATCTAGTCACTCAGACTAAAAAGGGTGGGAGTTTTCCTTGAGAGAAGTCTTCAACTTCTCTCATCCAGTTCATTACCAAGTCTTATCCATGCTTCATCTAAATCTTTTTTTTTTTTTTTTTTTTTGAGACGGAGTCTCGCTCTGTCGCCCAGGCTGGAGTGCAGTGGCGGGATCTCGGCTCACTGCAAGCTCCGCCTCCCAGGTTAACGCCATTCTCCTGCCTCAGCCTCCCAAGTAGCTGGGACTACAGGCGCCCACCACTACGCCCGGCTAATTTTTTGTATTTTTAGTAGAGACGGGGTTTCACCGTTTTAGCCGGGATGGTCTCGATCTCCTGACCTCGTGATCCGCCCGCCTCGGCCTCCCAAAGTGCTGGGACTACAGGCGTGAGCCACCGCGCCCGGCCGCTTCATCTAAATCTTATGATGTTCTATTTTCACCAGCACTGCCCTAGTTGAAGCCACCACCACCTTTCTCTTGGGCCGCTACTTACATTGTCCGGCCTCATTTTTAGCCTGCCTCTCCCCTGTATCTACTATTATCACACCTATTGGCCACTTTTAGTTTTCTTAAAGAAGCCAAACTTATTTCTGCCAACTTTCAGTCTTTGAATCCACCTGAAATACTACCACTGCTGATCTTCATGAAGCCAATTATTTTTATTTAAATCTCTGATTAAGTGTCATAATTTCAGAGACCATCACTGTCATACAATCTCATATGTTCTTCTAGTCACTTTACTACCTCACCCTCTATATCACAGAGTACTTTTCTCCAATTTTTCTTATATATTTGAATTCAGTTCTTTCCTTTTCTCTGTCTCCCTCCCGGAGAATGTATTAGGTTTACACAAAAGTGATTGTGGGTTTTGCTGTTAATGGTTTTGCCATTACTTAACAGCAAAACCCACAATTACTTTTGCGCCCACCTAATAACTTCATGGAAAACAGGAACTTTGTACCCTCAATGCTTAGAATACTTACTGACAATCATAGGTACTCACTAGATGTTTCTTGAATTAACAGGAATGGCAAATGAGGAATAGACACTAAAGTTCTGAAATTCAGGGAAGTTAGGGATTACAGTAGAGTTGGAATGATCAGTACACCTTTCTTGAAAGGAGTGTAAATTGGAGAGGCTTTGAGAATTGAGTAAGACCAGGTCAAGAAAAAGTAGACAAAGAAGGAATTTCGGGGGGAAAAAGGGCAGAGTGAAGGTGTGGAGAGAGTAATAAACGTGGTATACCTGGGGACAGCAGGAAGAATGACTCTTGTAAATTTTATGAGAAATGATATTAAATGTGTGGTAAACCCAAATTGCAGAAATTCTAGAATACTAGGCTGAGAATTAGCCATAATAGGGACTTTCCTCCTGATGATTTTCAAGTCTAGTTACCTTTGAGCTTCTCTCTATTTATTTTAATATTTATTTATTTATTTATTTATTTATTTATTTATTTATTTATTTATTTTTGAGATGGAGTCTCGCTCTGTCACCCAGGCTGGAGTGCAGTGGTGCAATCTCGGCTCACTGCAAGCTCCGCCTCCCTGGTTCATGCCATTCTCCTGCCTCAGCCTCCCGAGTAGCTGGGACTACAGGCGCCGGCCACCAAGCCCAGCTAATTTTTTGTATTTTTGGTAGAGACGGGGTTTTGCCGTGTTAACCAGGATGGTCTCTATCCCCTGACCTCGTGATGCGCCCACCTTGGCCTCCCAAAGTGCTGGGATTAGTGGCGTGAGCCACTGCGCCTGGCCTTGAACTTCTTAAAAATAGTATCATGCTAAGCATTTTAGATGAAAGTAATACGGGCTACCCGCCATCAATATTTTTTTCTTATCTCCCAACACAAATATAATTTTGTCAGCTTGCTTAGGTCTGGTCCAACACGCAAGGTGATTCTAGGTCATACCCATCTTCTCTCTTTGGAAATAGTCACTTTGTCACCCATTAACCAGTTCAATTCTCAATGTTCTGAGTGTCCTGTCTAGTTTGTATGGCAAGTGGGGTTTTCACATAGGATGGAGAGATAGAAATGAGTTTCATCCTGTCTTGCGAATTCAGGAAAAGCAAAGAAAGACAGAGATGTAAATAGTTCCAGGTATGACACATCTTCCCCTTTGCTTTTAAATGAAACACATTGTGCTAAATAAAAGTGGGTTTGCTAAGGCTTTGATTTCCCTAGGCAGGGTGTCAGCTCCTGGTACTCTTCCATCTGTCAAGCACGTGTGGGCTTGTCAACCAACTTGAAACCACTTTTGTCCACATTCCCACTGACCACAAATATAGGCGTCACACCCACAAGTCTTTGGATAGAGACTAAAACCTCCCAAGGATTGTGTGAGCTGGACTGCAAGTTGGTATAATATACAACTTCACTACCACGTTTATCAGGCATTCACCCAATATTTTTCTGGCACTTATTATGTACTAAGCTTTTGCATAAATAATGGAATTTTTTTTTTTTTTTTGACGGAGTCTCGCTCTGTCCCCCAGGCTGGGGTGCAGTGGTGTGATCTCTGCTCACTACAACCTCCGTCTCCCGGGTTGAAGCGATTCTCCTGCCTCAGCCTCCCAAGTAGCTGGGATTACAGGAATGTACTACCACACCCTGCTAATTTTTGTTTGTGTTTTTGTTTTTTGAGACGGAGTTTCGCTCTGTCGCCCAGGCTGGAGTGCAGTGGTGCAATCTCGGCTCACTGCAAGCTCCGCCTCCCCGGTTCACGCCATTCTCCTGTCTTGGCCTCCCGAGTAGCTGGGACTACAGGTGCCCGCCACAGCGCCCGGCTAATTTTTTATATTTTTAGTAGAGACGGGGTTTCCCCGTGTGAGCCAGGATGGTCTCGATCTCCTGACCTCGTGATCCGCGTGCCCCGGCCTCCCAGAGTGCTGGGATTACAGGAGTAAGCCACCACACCCGGCCAAATAATGGAATTTTAAAATAAGATATATTCTCTGACCTCAGGAAGGTTACGGTTAGGTGGAAATGAATGATATGGAAACAGATAGTGTGGGGCACTATCTAAATGTTAGAATGTAGGACCACACATAATACAGAGAGTGCACAGAAGAAAAATACCTTCCGGGTGTTGTAAAAGTCAAGCACCTGAGGAAGGGCATTATCCCCGTTAGTCTAGTGAGTGCCATGCAGCTCAATGGGGCAGTCATTTATGTTTCTTCTGACGATCCATGCACTTCTCAATGTTCCTGCTTCCCACTTAGAACACAAAATTGGCCATGCAAGGAAAGAAGTGATGTCATGGATATGCATCCAATGTTAGAAGTACTTTTTTACCTTCCAACTTATGTTGTTTCCTGGTCAGTAGACTTGGTACCTTCCTCCTTGAATTACCTCCTCCAGTGGAGAAATGCAATTTCTGAGGGAAACAACCATTCAGGGCTTCTACCATTACATTAAAATGAAGTAACCATAGCAGTGTATGTACTCTGCCTCTCCTCTATATCTGGCTTCATCTTTGCTAGTTGTAGACCACTTGGCACAGGTATAATTGTACTGACCCAGGGCTTGGAAGCTTATTTTTGCAATGTATGTGCTTATGGTTTGGTATGTTTTGACTGATGGTGGAGTTTTATTAAGCAACATCCCTTCCCCAACTGGATCCCTTTGTGAGGGCTCTTCTGTTCCCTATTGCACCATTTCCTTCCCTACCTCAACTGTGCTATCTCAGATGTTGCTTTTAAGTCTTGTTTCCCACCAGGTCAAGAGACCACTGTAATTTCCAAATGGAGGTATTTCGCAGTTATGTTTTCTCTGAACCTAAGTTAGTTAAATTAGTTGACTTGGAGCAGTAAGCTCTGTTAATGATAGGGATCTACTCACAGGCCAGATCACATCATCTTTGGGAAGTTTTAGTCTGGATCCAAAGACTTGTTGGTGTGATGCCTGTATTTGTGGTCAGTGGGTATATGAACATAATTTTTTAAGTTGGTTGGCAGGCCCATACTTGCTTGAGAGAGTTTATGGACTTGTGGGAAGAACAAAAGGGGATCAAGATATTGTTCAGGTCTTTATTGACTGGTTTGAAAAACCCAGCATGGGTTGTAGGCCTTGTTTATATAAAGCTCCACCAGCTTTGGTGGTTTAGCCCAATGGAAATCGGGTGGAGAGAGGGAAATATTCAATTTTATGTAGATGCTGGTGACCAATTTCAGATCTGGAAAAGATTTAGTATGATAGATACCTTCTGCAGTACATACTGATCAGATATCAGGCACATGTAATTAGAAACCCATATATTTCAACATTCTGATTTTTTTTTTTTTTTTGTAAAGTAGCTCACTTCTGAACATTTAAGTAAGAAACAGAACTGGATAACAAAAATCTTTTAGATCCAAGACAGAACTGAGCAAACTATGGCCTACAGATCAAATCCAGCTCTTTGTTTTCATAAATAAAATTGTACTGGCACACAGCTACACCCCTGCATATTGTATACAGCTGTTTTTGTGCTACAATGGCAAAGTGGAGCAGTTGGCACAGAAATAGTATGGGCTTCAAAGCCTAAAACATGTATTATGTCGCCCTTTATGGAAAAAATTTGCTGACCTCTGTTTTAAGACCCCAACCTCTTACAAGTGAGGTTCCCTTCTCTGTGCAAGAAGGGATCACCAAAAGCCTCTGTTCCATCCAGAAAGTTGCAAAACACTTTGCTCTTTCTTCATCCCCAACGATGACTTCTTCAGCTATCCCATTCATTCAGAAGTAGAATTATGTAAGATAATTCTGCTCACTTGTATAAGAAGCCATTGGAGCAATGAACATTGTCTCTCAAAATTCTGAGATTCAGAGTTTCCTTTGGAAAATCATCAGTTCTCAAACTGCCACAGTGAAAAATAAACCAAGAATAAAACTGAAATAGATTTTTCCTTGCTATGTATATCTTTTCCTCTGGCAGTGATGACAATTTTTATTGTCAACACAATTTTTTTAATTAGACACCTGGATTTTTCCCAGGGGCTGGTTGCACATTAAAAAATTCTGATCCATACCTAGGCAAAGAGGAGCATAGAATGCTGTAAAAGCTCAGGCGGCTCTCTGTTCACCTGTTTGCTCTGAGGAATTCTCAATCAGCTCTTCACTCACTTCAAATCACATGTAAACAACAACAAGATGACTACCAAGGATCTGGTGGGAGGCGTTAAAATAAGAATCCTGTATTTCTCTAGGAGATCCATCTATAATAAACTTCTTGTAGTACTGTGGCAGAACTTTAAGTGAGGTACCTTTTTAAATGTGCCATCCTGTCTTTCTAAATTACCAAACAGTATGAGGCCAGCCTGAGCATCCAAGGGAATTTGAAAACATTACATAAATCATCTTTATTTTCTTCTAGTCTGCAGCCATTAAATTTTGTAATTGATAGACATCAAATGGGCTCTTCCAGCTGATTGATTTTTGGAGGGTGAATTTGGTTCTTCACAATGCACATCAAAGACAGCTAACAGGAGCTCTGCAGTTCTACTATTACAATAGGCTTTATTCAGATGGTCTGATTGTCTTATTACCTGCTAAAATCTTACATAGTTCTGCTTCTGAATGGATGTGATAGCCAAAGAAGCAATGATTGGAGATGAAGAAAGAGCAAAGTGTTTTGCAACTTTCTGGATGGAACAGAAGCTTTTGGTGATAATCTTGTCAGTGCCAATACTCTTACTTACCCAGGGGCTTCTTTCTTCTTCCTTCTAGATAGATGTTTCTTAAATTGATATTTCAGTTCGACTGATAGGTTGTCCTTAGAGGGGAGTGTGGAAGATATGCACATGTAAGAAGAGAGATAAAAAGAGGGACTAGGAATGCATCTAAAAATCTGAGAACCTAGTCATCTTACTCAGGTTTTATTAGAGTTAGCTTTCCCTTTTTTGCCGTCTTGACAACATGCATGTATGCTTTCTCTTTTTTCCTTACTGCTTTATCCCTTGTAGAAATGAAAGTTTCTTAATGATATGGTCAAATGGCAGGAAAGAGTAGAAAAAATATTTGAACATATAATGGGGTAATGGGGTGGCAAATGTATTCCATATGACACTACAATTCAGATAGATGGGGAAAGATGTATCTTTTGTCTACTTAGACAAAGCGCTATCCTCTAGTGTTCAACATAATGTTTCATTTTATCCTCTTTTAGCACATGTAAGTACTATAAATAGCACCTTTAGGTCAGTGACTGTCAATAGGGATGTCACCGTTTCTGGGGGAATATTTTGGAAATGGGTGAGGGCACTTAAGATTGTTATAATGAAAGAGTGGCAATTAGCAACAACTAAAGGGGGACAGAGATGCTATGCTCTGCAACATATTAGATAGTTAGAAACAACGATAAATTATCCCATGTCCCAACAGACATTCAAGTGATTGGAAAAACTGTTTTATTTATTTGACCCTCCAATCAAACTCCATTTTGCATATACACACAAAGCATGTCTTACAAAGTTTTATTATACCTGGTTCTTTAGCAATGCAAAGATCATGTAAATCAAGAGAAGGTGGTACTTAATTGTGTTCTAATCTTTCCCAAGAGTTCACTATTTTGGAAAACCACATACCATTGAGAGAAATGCCACTTGTGGATTCTGGAATCTCTAATATAATATGAAGTTGTTATTTGTGTCTGTGTTAATTAAGCATCCAACTTCTTCATTTTATCTTCTTCTAGTGCACCATGCCCAGGTATTTACATATTGAAATATATAATATTTTGTTTTACATTATGTTCCTTGTATTTCCCCCTTGTATTATAGTTAAAGCACTATATTGATTATATTGATTGTTTTTCCTTTTGAAATTATGTATGTAAATTAGCACTCAACAAATTTTTTCAGTAAAGAGCCATGGAGGAAACATTTTAGGCTTTGTGGGCCAAATGGTCTCTGTCATAACTATTCCACTCTGCCATTGTAGTGAGAAAGCAACTCTAGAGACTATGTAAATAAATATGTTTGGCTATTTGGCAATAAAACATTATGGACACTGAAATTTGAATGTAATATAATTTTAACATGTCAAAACATTTTTTTCAACCCTTTTTTTTCAACCATTTAAAAATGTAAATTCATTTTTAGCTCTTGTGCAGTACAGAAACAGGCAATGGGCCATATTTGGCTAGCAGGCACAAGTTTTCCAATCTCTGTTCTAGTGTATCATACTCAAGCATTTTCACATTGAAATATATATTATTATAAATTACATTTCTTTTATTTATAGTTAAAGCACTACATTAAATTTTTAAAGTGATGTGTAAACACTGTAAAAATTTTTTTGTAAAATAATTAGGTAAAAAGCTTAATGTAACAAAATTTGAGTGCTAAGTGTATATTTATTTGGGGTAATGAAACACATGCAAGATAATGCAGCTTCCCCAATGACTGTCTCGTAGAATAAAGAGAGAAGGCTGGATTTATGGTTTAAATTGTTTGATGACAGTCAGTAATCCTGACTGGATAAAACTTGGTGTGAGTTTTTATAAAACTCTGAAGTTTTTGCCTGTTGTAAGGAAAACCAGTCCTGGCTTATCTCTGATGCAAAACTGTTAGGTGATGTTTATAGTTCAATGCTTTTAAGATCTTAGAAACATGCATTTTTCCCAGGCTTGAGACATTTTACATGTCTAGCAGAGCTAGGCTGAAGTTTAGAGAATTATCAGGTTTGGGGTTTGGTTTTCTTGTTGTTGTTTTTTAGTAGGTTGTACTGTCCGTGAATTTTATTTAATTATACTCAAGGTGAGCATTACAAAGTAGTTGTTTCATAAGAGGGCCATTAGATATCTGATCTCACAGGTTTCTAAGCCTTTGGGATTCTCCTCTGGCTCCTATGATGACTGTCTAACGAATTGGGGGAGAAGGAGGGTGAGTCAGGCAATACCAAGACCCAGAGGAAGAATCAGAACCCTTTCTGAACTCTAGAGAAATGTTGTCTACCCACTTGGGGAATTTTGCAGCCATATCCAAACCTTGATTTGGTTTCTTGGCTTGGTCGGGTCTAAAGACCTCCTGGCTGACTTCAAATCTCCTTGTCTTTCCCTGGTGCTGCAAATTCCCAGAGTCTCAGTTGAATCTTCCGCCTGACTCCCTGGTTGGACAGAACCTTTCTGGCTTCTGCTTTGAGGTGACTTCCTCCTTTGCCTGCTGTCCCAGAGCAGATGCATTGGCTTCCAACTCAGCTGACCTCGGGATCTTCCTCAAGGGCTATGGAAATGTCTGAACTCTATCCACACCACAGGGGCAATAAGAATACCAGGAAATCCAGGATACTTTTGTGTGTCCATGCCTGAGATTTGTGCTGGGCAAATTTAAAGGTGTTATTTTTTCCAGAGTCTTAAATAAGCTCTTTGTCTCTCTTTTATTTGTTTTTAAAGTCCCCTAAGCCCACTGTCAGTTCCAGAAGGAGTGGGCTTCAGTTTCACTCATCCTATGTCAGAAAATCTCCTTCAACCACAAAGATACAAGCCTCAGGGCTCTTAATATCATAGGAAGAAAAAGTATCTTCACTATACTATAAGAAGAGACTTGAAGCTAAACAGTCCAAGCTTATCTGGAAACTAGAGAAATCTAGTAAATCTTCTCTCTATACAAAGCCTTGCATTCAAACCCATTGTCTTATACCCATTCTTTCTAACTCAGAATGATGAGTCTTTTCCCTAGAACTTTGAAGAGGAAGGCTGGAAAAAAACCCCCACCAGATTTAAAGAAGAAAAGAAAAAAGTTAAGATTTAACATTAATAGTAGCCAAATTACAAATATGATTGATTCACTTATTTTCTTCCAATGTGTCTGGGAATTGAAATATGAATGTAGTTTAATAAAGGGATAAGCATAAATTTATGTATCATGTATACTTTGGGGTTTGTGTGCATGTGTAATGGCATTGCCCCAATTCACTTGTCAACTGTCATGAATTCAAGGGTTTCCCTGAGGTCATGTCAGCATGAGCTTACAGATCTCCACGATATTTTCCAATATCTTGAGCCCTCTGCCCTTTTTGCCTGTGATGTCAAAAACCTCCACCACAGTTATTTATATTCTTGTTTTCATTTTCCTGGGACCTAAGGAAAGCTGGCTGGGTATACCTTTCAGCCTTCCAGACTGGCTCCCTCAGCAAACTTCAATCTCTCCCAAAACAAGGGTTCCATGGACATACATGGATGGGATCTGCCTACTGTCTCCTCAGTTTCAGCAGGAGCACTGTGTGTGTGTTGTGTGTGTGTGTGTGTGTGTGTGTGTGTGTGTGTGTGTATGGGGAAGATGATGAGGACAGGTAGCAGGGGACTTAAATACATAATTACTATCTCTTTAACATCAATTAAAATATCAGAGAACTTTCAATAAAAATGTTTTTATATTTACCGATCAATGATCTATTTGAAAAAAAAAAGGGAAGGGAGAAGGAAGGTTCTGTTGTAGTATGACTTTGGGGTAGAAAAGGGTTATTTTATGGATATTCACCCTTCTTACTCGGACAGCCGGGACACAGTGCTTCTCTGCTATCATCTTAATCTCTCTTCTTTGCTTTTCCTTTAGCTCAACAGAATTCACCAAAAATCCATGAAGGCTGGTGGGCATACAAGGAGGTGGTCCAGGGAAGCTTTGTTCCAGGTAAGTACACATTAATTCTTTAATTTATTTATTAAAAACAATTAGAATGAAGGCTAGCATTATTTCCAGGATTTTACATTGCAAAAGGTGAGGCAGTCTAATTTATGTGTGCAATGAATACTCCATCAAGACAAAGTTTGTTAAGTAACAGGCAATTAGATTACTTTTTTTTCCATCTGAGCCTGCAGTCTCAATGTCCTTCAATCTATAGGATGCCCTCAGGGGCAGGGGGATGGATGATTAAGGGCCGAAGCTGTGTCTGCTGACATTTGGTTAAGTAAGGAAGAGCCATTTCTTAACATTAATGAAACAGGAACTATGAAAAGACTGACCATGGCAATGGAGCTGCTGGAACACATGCTGTCACTTTAGCAGCATCCATGGCCAGCACTTAGCACATCGCGCCAAGTATCAGCTAAAAATACCAGGTAAAGTGGATCTTGTCAGCATGCGGGCAGAGGACAGAGAACTGAATACAGATTAAAGCAAGGATTATATTATGACTTTCGTTCAGAAGCAAGGTGGAGGGTCCCTGTGTCTCCTCCCACTACTCTTACCCTCATTATGGTCCTCTTGCTTTTAATGGTCCTCTTGCTTTTGCTGCTTTAGTAAAGCGAGGCAAGAGAAAAAGCAAGCAAAAGGCAAGGATAGAAGGGAAGGCAGGTGACATATTTCAAAGTATTTTTAACTGCTCAGATGTGAGAATAAGAAATAAAGCTCTCAGCAGGAGCCAGTGTGCAATCTCTACTCCGGCACTGAAAGCAGAGGGCTGGAGATGTCAGTTGAGGTCTCTGTAGTTGGTGGCAAATAGAAAGAGCAGAGTCCCAGGTCACCTCATTCATTCTTGGCTTCTATGTCTTCTTTTCCTGTCCTTCTGTAGAGTCTATTACACCAGCTGTGCAGAGCTAAGCAAGTCACAAAACCCCTCTGAGCATCATTTTTTCTCATTTGTATGATGGGGCAATTATAAGTACTCGTGAGGCTTTGCAGTTGGAGGAAAGCAGGCATGGTAAGGGAGAGTGGGTGACCCAGGAAAAAGCCAACTGGCTGCCAAATAGCCTCAGAAATGAATATTATTAACTTCATAAATTTACTATGGCACATCTATTCTATGGCCCAGTGAACATAGAAACCGAACTTGATTAATTCATCTAGAAATGACCAGGTTTCTAATGATATAACAATTTCATTGGCACAAGCTATGTTCATGTGAAACAATATTGACAAATGGCATTCAATACTTACAATTGAGGATGTCCCTTTTAAAGAAATAGAATGTTTACATACTTTTTTCCTAGGAAATCTGTTATATTCAAGATATCTCAGAAGTTACATTTATAATTATATTCTTGTACCTTTTGAGTATGGAATTAGAGAAATAAAGGGTATTCTCTCCAGGTAATAAGAAGTCTTGCTAAGTTAGTACAACCTGTAAAGAGAACATCCTCTGTAGTGATTGACATGCCCATGGGTAGAACTGGGTGGTCACTGCAAAATGTTGTGTGTCTGCCTCACATTTTTCGATGTTTTTTTCTCTGTTGTCACATTCTTTCTTTAAAGTGTTCAAGGCCCTATTTTGAGTTGGTTGTTGCTTCTAAGACAACCACAGGAAATAATTTTTATTGTCCCCTTACATGTTGATATAAAATAACTTTTCCTCACTCTCAAATTTAATTGAGATAATATATGTAAACCTTACTACATGGGAAGCAGTAACGTGTGCAAGTGTGATCATGGCCTCTGAAGTCAGAGTTGATGGGACTTGAGTCTGGGTTCTGTGGTTTCTTGTTGGTAGGACTGTCAGCAAGTTACCTACCCAGCTCAGCTCCCTGGGTTCTTCATCTGTAAAATGGAGATAAGGACTAAATCAGCCTTGTGAGGTTTGCTGAGGATTAAATTGCATAATGGAGGTAATGTGTGTATGTTCATGTCTGGTGCATGTTGAGTCAGTATATGTCAATTGTTGTTGGTATCTGCTTGAGGGAGACAATTACAAACTGGATAGTGTAATAATGTGTGTAAGGGTTTCTCAAGATGCCTGAAACATGGGGGATGCTTGAATTTATAAGGTCAAGGGTTTCTACACAGTGGACAACTAAAAGATGACTTCCTCATCCTCTGAATTTAACAGGTCTAAAGCCTTTTGTCTTTCTGGTAGAGAAGATTGGTATCTGATGATTCCACTTTCTAAACTTTTGGGAACTCCAACTCTGTTGAAAAGGATAAGAGTCATGAGAATTTGTGGATTAAGCAACTGAACCTGGGGCTCTAACATCTGACTCCAGATGACCTACTTTATCTGAGTGGGTACTTGTGGCAAACAATGGACCCCTTACCTCTTATTACTTGACTATAAAGTTAAGAGTGTTCTTCAATTTGTTACTGAGATTTTTTTCAGGTTATGGATGTGTGAAATAGGAGAGAACTTGATATGACTGAACTAGTTTTATCGTCCCATAAGTTCCTCACTGAAGTGTCTAGAAATAATAGTCAGTTGGCATAACAGTTGTGAATCTGTGACTTCAACAAAGCTGTGGTGGATAAAAATATATGAGCTCTATAACAATGGTGAGTACAAGGTTAATTCAGCACGCAAATGCCCCACTTTGGTCAGTTCAATAGCATTTATGGAGTACCTACCTTGTGCTGAGCACCAAGTTTGGGCGGTTAATAAACAGGTAACTCACACATGATTCTTACTCAAAGGTGAGCCTACAGTCTAAAGAGGAAGATAAGCCATAAATCCATGACTCAGGGTAACAAGGGCTCCAACAGGGTTTATACATGTAAAGGAGGCAACACAGTATTGGGATTCTGCCTGCCTAAGTGTTTAACAGATGTTGTTTACCTGCTCAAACCTATGCCTTCCTCTGACCTTACCCACAACTAGAGTCTGTCTTGCAGGCAGAGCCCTGACTATGCTTGCACATTCGCCCTCCATACCATCATATACTCAGGGAAGGAGCCCCTTACCAGCCCCAGAGGGTTACTCTTGGCTGAGATTTATACCAACAATGGTGATTCTGGTCTCTTTCTTCTCAGTAATTGGTTTAGACATTGTGATGGCTAATTTGATGTGTCCATTTGGCTAGGTACGTACCCAGATATTAGACCAAACATGCCTGGATGTTGTTGGGCAGGTACTTTTTAAGACCAGATTAACATTTGCATCAGTAAACTTTGAGTAAAGCAGATTATCTGTATAATATGTGTGGGCCTTATCCAATGAGTTGAAGGCCTTAAGAGAAAAAGACCAATGTCCCCAAAGAAAAAGGGAGTTCTGCCTCCAGAAGCCTTAGGCCAGGAGCAGCAATATCAACATTTCCCTAGGCCTCCTGCCTATCGGCTTACGCTGTAGACATCATCCTTGCCAGCCATCATGTGAGCCAATTTCTTAAATAAATCTCTCACTGTCACCCCATTCTGTTGATTCTCTTTCTCAGGAGAACCCAGAGTAATACATTAATATAGTCATGCATATGTGATAAACAGTTCTATTCATGCCATGTAAGGAGAAGCCTTCTGAATAAACTTGGGTACAAAAGACACACTAAGATGGCAAAATGGAGAGTTGAGAAAAACCCATATCTTCTATGGCTCACTTAAGGGTTGAATTCACCATGGAACTGCCTCACCACTTATTGTGTTAAGTGACGTAACAAACTTCTTACTGCTTGAGCCACTTTGAGTCAGACTTTCTGTCACTTGCAGCCTAAAGCAGTCTTCCAGGGCCAGGCATCTCACTACAAGGCTAAAGGAAGAAAGGAAGTTAGAACTGGGTCTTGACAAGGTTCAGGAGTACTCAAAGTGGAGAAGGGTGGTAATGTGAGGAATACTTGACAGCACAGGCAAAGAGGGATTGTATTAGTCCATTTTCATACTGCTTTAAAGAACTGCCTGAGACCGGGTAACTTATAAAGGAAAGAGGTTTAATTGACTCACAGTTAAGTATGGCCGGGAGGCCTCAGGAAACTTACAATTATGGCAGAAGGCAAAGGGAAAGCAAGATACCTTCTTTACAAGGCTGCAGGAAGGAAAAGTGCTGAGTGAAGGGGGAAGAGCCCCTTACAAAACCATCAGACCTTGTAAGAACTTACTATCATGAGAACAGCATGGGAGAAACCACCCCAAGATCCAATTACTTCACCTGGTCTCTCCTTTGAAATGTGGATATTATGGGGATTATAATTCAAAATGAGATTTAGGTGGGGACACAAAGCCTAAACCTACCGTACCACTTTGGGTCCCTCCCAATCCTCATGTCTCTGACATTTCAAAACCAATCCTGCCTACCCAACTGTCCTGCAAAGTCTTAACTCATTTCAGCATTAACTCAAAAGTCCACAGTCCAAAGTCTCATCTAAGACAAGGCCAGCCCCTTCTGCCTATGAGCCTGTAAAATCAAAAGCAACTTAGTTACTTCCTGGATACAATGCAGGTACAGGCATTGGGTAAATAGAGCCATTCCAAATGGGAGAAACTGGCCAAAACAAATGGGCTACAAGCCCCATGCAAGTCCAAAATCCAGCAAGGCAGTGAAATCTTAAAGGTCCATAATGATCTCCTTTGACTCTGTGTATCACATCCAGGTCATGCTGATGCAAGAGGTGGGTAGCTCTGCCCCTGTGGCTTTGCAAGGTACAGTCCACCTCCCAGCTGCTTTCACAGGCTGGCATTGAGTGTCCACAGCTTTGCCAGGTGCATGTTGCAAGCTATTGGTGGATCTACCATTCTGGGGTCAGGAGGATCTTGGTCCTTTTCTCACAGCTCCACTAGGCAGTGCCCCAGTGGGGACTCTGTAGGAGTTCGCACCCCGCATTTCCCTTCCACACTGCCCTAGCAGAGTTTCTCCATGAGGGCTCCCCACTGCAGCAAACTTCTGCCTGGACATTCAGGTGTTTCCCTACGTCATCCAAAATCTGGGCAGAGGTTCCTAAACTTCAGTTCTTGGCTTCTGTGCACCCACAGGCCCAACACCACATGTAAGCCACCAAGGCCTGGGGCTTGCACCCTTTGAAGCAACAGCATGAGCTATATGTTGGCCCTTTTTGGCCACAGCTGGAATGCAGGGCACCAAGCCCAGAGACTGCACAAAGCAGCTAGGCCTTGGGCCCAGCCCAGGAAACTACTTTCTCTTCCAGGCCTCTGGGCATGTGATGGGAGGGCTGCTGTAAAGACCTTTGACATGCCCTGGAGACATTTTCCCCATTGTCTTGGCTATTAAAATTTGGCTCCTTATGCAAATCTCTGCAGCCAGCTTGAATTTCTCCTCAGAAAATGGGTTTTTCTTTTCTATCACATCATCAGGCTGCAAACTTTCCAAACTTTTATGCTCTGCTTCCCTTTTAAACATAAGTTCCAATATCAAACCATCTCTTTATGAATGTATAAAATTGAATACTTTTAAGAGCACCCAAGTCACATCTTGAATGGTTTTCTGCTTAGAAATTTCTTCTGCCAGATACCCTACATCATTTCTCTTAAGTTCAAAGCTCCACAGATCTCTGGGGTGGAGCAAAATGCCACCAGTCTCCTTGCTAAAGCATAGCAAGAGTCACCTTTATACCCGTTTCCAACAAGTTTTTTTATCTTCATCTGTGTTAATCTGTTCTCATGCTGCTAATAAGGACATACCCAAGACTGGGTAATTTATAAAGGAAAGAGGTTTAATTGACTCACAGTTCCACATGACTGAGAAGGTCTCATAATCATGGCTGAAGGTGAAGGAGAAGCAAAGTCATGTCTTACATGGCAGCAGGCAAAAGAGCTTGTGCAGAGGAACTCCCGTCTATAAAACCATCAGATCTCATGAGACTCATTCACTACAAGAACAGTATGGTGGAAACTGCACCCATGATTCAATTATCTCCACCTGGCCCTGCCGTTGACATGTGGAGATTATTACAATTCAAGGTGAGATTTGGGTGGGGACCCAGCCAAACCGTATCACCATCTGAGACCACCTTAGCCTGCTGTATTTCATTGTCCATATCACTATCAGTATTTTGATCAAAGCCATTCAACAAGTCTCTAGGAAGTTCCCACATCTTTCTGTCTTCTTCTAAGCCCTCCAAACCATTCCAACCTCTGCCTGTTACCCAGTTCCAAAGTCACTTTCACATTTTGGGTATCTTTAGAGCAGCACCCCATTCTCTGTGATACCAATTTACTCTATTAGTCCGTTTTCATACTGCTATAAAGAACTGCCTGAGACTGGTTAATTTATAAAGATATCAAGTTTAATTGACTCATAGTTCAGCATGGCTGGGGAGGCCTCATGAAACTTACAATCGTGTTGGAAGAGGAAGCAAGTCACCTTCACAGGGCAGCAGGAAGGAGAAGAGCTGAGTGAAGGAACAACTGGATGCGATGAAAACTCACTCACTGTCAAGAGAACTGCATGGGAGTAACTGTCCACATGATTCAATTATGTCCCACCAGGTCCCTCCTACAACATATGGGGATTATGTGAACTACAATTCAAGATGAGATTTGGCTGGGGGCACAGCCAAACCATATCAATGGGCAAAAGCCTGGAAGCTTGGAAGAGAATGTTCACTAGTGCAAGAAGAGCTCTGGGAATTAAGGCCTTGGAGAGCAGCAGGGGCCTGATTATGGAGGGCCATACCAACTGGGAGTTTGGATTTTACCTGAAAGGAACTAGAAGTTTGGATTTTACCCTAAAGAATCAAAGGAGAGATTGAAACTCTTACAGAATTCAAAGTCAGAGAAGAGGGCCATATGAGCTAAGATAGGAGCAGTGAGGGGCCTAGGGATGGTTCAGCTTCTAGAGTTAGGGACCTTATCTCTTCCCACCACCTATTCCTCGAGGATATACCTCAGGCCTTCCATGCACCAGGGGCTCAATGTTTGCCAAACAAACTTGGGTCAGAATAGACAGCAATATTCCTTAAAGAAAAAGACAAAGGCTTGACTCGGGAGACAGAGTGAAAGGCTGTTCCTCAACCCTTAAATTGAGTTATAAAATAATAATAGTAACAAACACATCAGTACAATCTGTAGTACATGCTATAAATGGAAAGTACTCAAGGTTTTAAAAAGCCTAGTAGAAATAGTCTGGAGATCAAGGAGAGCCTCCTTGTGTAATCTAGGAGAAGCTAAGCTAAGGAAGGACGTTGCTAGTGCAGAGTCATCTTAGACCAGCTGTTTAAGGCAGAAGCATGAGCCTCAAGCGTGGGCATGACATGTATGAGAAATGGAACAAAGGTCACTGTGGCCAGAGTGCAAAGTGACAAGTGCAAAATGGTTGGAGATTGGGGTGGTCAGGGGCCAGCTCATAGAGGGCCTTGTGGGCCACATAAAGTATTTGGATGGAGATCCTGGAAATAAAGGACAATAGATAGTTTTAAGCACTTTACTCTTCCTCTGAGATCTGGGAAGCAGGAATTTCTGAGGAATTAGATCACCACTTATTCAGCAGCTTAAAATCATAATACAGAATTCCTCTGAATGATTAATAGAGGAACTCATTGCTGCCATTTCTGATCAGCATTGGACCTAGCAGGCTACTTTGGCTCAGGACAGCATCATCTGTTGCATTCTTTAAAATTGGGTACAAATGGTTTACCCAGGTCAATAACCCTCCCAGCTTGCTATTTTCCATCCTTTTCTTTTTGGGTAGTTTTAAAATCTAAAGATTATTGGACAAGGAAGGTAATTATACCCAACCACCTACAAGTTACCACTGATGTCTAATTGTTTATCAAAATGTCCACTTTAAAAAAAAAAAAAGTCTCATGATTAACAGGTAAGGAGTGTAAGCTCTTCTTTCTTCACAGTACTCCCAGGAAAGAAATCTGGCTGGTTGGTGAGGGTTACTTGCTGATCCAGGATGGCCAGCCTGGGGCTGTGCATGCTCTTCATTCCTTAATTCATGGAGTAAGTGGTACCTGCCTTGATTTTTTGGTTGCTACTTAAGAATTACCATTTATTTAGTAGTTTAAAATGACACACATTTGTTATTTCACAGTTTCCTTGGGTCAGAAGTCTGGACATGGCTTAAATGGATCCTCTACTGAGTCCCATAAGGCTGAAAAAGGTGTCATTCTGGCTGCATTCTCATCTGAAGTCAAGCTCATGTGGGTCCTTGGCAGAATTCAATTCCATGCAGTTGTAGGGCTGAGACCCTTGTCTCCTATGGCCTGCCACTGCTGAATAAGCAGTTCACAACACAGTTTGCATCTTCAAGGTTGGCAGGAAAGTGCCTTACTTACTTTAAATCTCCCTATCCTGAGAAGGCCTAGACTCTCTTTTAAAGGTCAAGCCTATTCAGTATAACATGCCTTTTTATTAACTGAAAGTCAACGGATTAAGAACGTTATTCACATCTGCAAAATCTGTTCATCTTTGCCAGAAATGGCAGTCTACTCAAGGAAGTGAAATTCCATTATACTCAGAAATCTCACTCATACTAGAGGGTGTGTACACTATGAGGTAGGAATGTTGGGGGCTGTCTTATTCCATTTGTGTTTCCGTAAATGAATACCTGAGGCTGGATAATTCATAAAGAATTTTGAGATAAAGAGATTCATTTGGCTCATGATTCTACAGGCTGGTGTACAAGAAGCATGGCACCAGCATCTGCATCTGGTGAGGGCCTCAGGCTGTTTCTACTCATAGTGCAAGTGGAAGGGGAGGCAGCATGTACAAAGATCACATGGTGAGAGAGGAAGCAAGAGATACAGAGAAATTGCCAGGTTCTTTTTAACAAGCTCTTACAGGAACCAATAGAGCAATAACTTGCTCATTACTATAAAGGTGGTACCAAGCCATTCATAAGGGATCTGCCTCTATGACCCAAACACCTCTCATTAGACCCCACCTGCAACATTGCGAATCAAATTTCAACATGAGGTTTGAAGGGTCAGATATTCAAACTGTAGCATTCCACGCTTGACTCTCCATGCCTCACATCCTTCTCACATTGCAAAATACAATCATTCTATCCCAATGGTCCCGAAAGTCTTAACTTGTTCTAGCATCTACTCAAAAGTCCCAAATCCAAAATCTCATCTGAGACTCAAGGCAAGTTCCTTCCACCTATGAGCCTGTGAAATCAAAAGCAATTCATCTACTTATAATATGCAATGTTTGTATAGGCATTAGGTAAACATTCTCGTTCACAAAGACAAAAATTGGCCAAAAGAAAGGGGTAAGCAGTCTTCATGGAAGTCTAAAACCCAGCAGGGCAGACATTAAATCTTAAAGCTCCAAAATAATCTTCTTTGACCCATGTCCTGCATCCTGGGCATACTGATATGAGAAGTGGGCTCCCAAGTCCTTGGAAAGCCCTGCCCCCACAGTTTTTCTGGGTGCAGCCCACATTGCTGCTTTTACAGTTTGGAATCTAATACCTGCAGCATTTCCATGCTAGTGTGGCTCATTGCCAGTGGCTATATAATTCTGGTGTCTGAAGTGTGGTGCTCCTGTTCCCACAGCTCCCCTGGGCACTGCCCTAGTAGAGGCTCCCTGTAGGAGCTCCTTCCCTGCAGAAGGCTTCTGCCTGGGCACCCAGGCTTTCCAATACATCCTCTGAAATCTACAGGCTTGGCAGCTTCCACTGCTCTTGCATTCTAGGAGCCTACAGACTTAGCACCAAGTGGATGCTGCTGAGATTTATGGCTTGCACCCTCTGGAGCACCAGCTGAAATAGTATGTGGGGTTATTTGTGCCTCACCTGGAGCTGGAGCAGCTTGAATGTTGAGAAAGCATATCAAAGTGGCTTCGGGGTAACTCGGGCCTGTTCCCTGAAACCATTTTGTTTTCCCAGGCCTGTGGGCCTATGATGGGAGGGGGCTACAAAGATTTCTGAAAAACCTTTTTCCAATTTTTTTGACTCTTTGCACCTGACTCCCTTTTATCCATTTTAATCTCTTTAACAAGTGGTTACCCCTCAGCACCACTGGATTTTTCTCCTGAAAACATTCTTTCCTTTCCTGTCACATTGCTAGACTGTAAATTTTTCATGTTTTTATATTCTGCTTTCCTTTTAATTACAAATTCCACCTTTAGGTAATTCCTTTGCTGCCATATCTTACTGTAAGCTGTTAAAAGTAGCCACACCTTAGCCAGGGATGGTGGTGGGTGCCTGTAATCCCAGCTACTTGGGAGGCTGGGGCATAAGAATCACTTGAACCTGGGAGGCGAAGGTTGCTGTGAGCCAAGATTGTGCCACTGCACTCCAGCCTGAGCAACAAAGCATGACTCCATCTCAAAAAAAAAAAAAAAAAAAAGTGGCCACACCACTTCTTGAAAGCTTTGCTTTGCGGCATATAGTGAATTTATGAGGTTTTCTCCCTCAGAAATTCAGTATGTGACCACCCCTTCCAAGAGACCCACATTCAGTCTCCCTTTGATAAGCCAGTAAGTTTATCCTTCAATACATCCCAATTAAGTGATAGTTAAAGTAATTGTATTAGTTTCCTATAGCTCCATGTGCTAGTCCTTTTTCACACTGCTATAAGGATACTACCCAAGACTGGGTAATTTATAAACAGAGGAGGTTTAATTGACTCACAGTTCCACATGCCTGGGGAGGCCTCAAGAAACTCACAATCATGGCGGAAGGTGAATGGGAAGCAAACACCTTCTTCACATGGAGGAAGGAGAGAGAAGAAGCCAGCAAGAGAGGAACCAGTGAACACTTACAAAACCATGAGATTTCATGAGAACTCACTATCATGAGAACAACATGTGGGGAAACTGCCCCCATGATCCAATCACCTCCCACTAGGTCTCTCAACACCTGGTAATTACAATTTAAGATGAGATTTGGGTGGGGATACAAAGGCTAACCATATCAGTCTTATAACAAATTACCCTAAAGTTAGTAGCTAGAAACAACAGATTTATTATCTTACCATTTTAAAAGTTGGACACACTAAAATCAAGGTGTCACTAGGGCAGCCTGCATTATGGAGGCTCTGAGGAGAAATCAATCCCTTGCCTTCTCCACCTTCTAGAAGCCACCTGCATTACTCAGTGCAGGGTCCCTTCCTTGCATGGCTCCAGCCTGTGCTTCTGTTATCACATATCTTTCTCTAACTCTGACCCTTCTGCCTCCCACTTTTCAGAATGTTTGTGATTGCATTTGGCCCATCTGGATAATCTAGGATGATCTCCCCATCGTAAGATCCTTGACATAATCATATCTGCAAAATATATTTTGCCATATAAGGTAACACATTCACAGGTTTGGTGGATTAGAATATGGACATTTTGGGAAGACCATTATTCTTTTTTTCATACTTACATTATCTCCAAAGCTAATGGAAGCACAATTAACCCATCACATGAACATATGATTTTATAGTTGTCAGTACTGGTTTACTCATGTTACTTCATTCATCCCTTACAAAATTTGCACTCATACTCCCCTTTTTCCAGATGAGAAAACAAAGCAAATTAGATAAAGTTACTATCTAAATTTCCAATGCAGGTCAACGTAGAAGCAGGTTTATAAATAAGCACATTTCTAATCCAATGCTCTTTCCACTACAAATATGTATAAATTTGATTAACAGGTGATACTTCTTGGATAGACAATAGTACTGTTCTGCTTATCTTCTAGAAAAAAATGAACTACAGGCAAAAATAAAAGGCTATATGCCAGATTAATCCACTGAAAACTCAACACAAATCTATCTTCTCTCTAGACATGATCTAGCATTTGGATATCATTTATTACATTTTAGAAAGCCTTTCCAGGTGTCATCTTTCAAAATAATTTTTTTATTTTGGGATGACTTTAGATTTACAGAAAAGTTATACAGGGAGTTTCCATATACTCTTTATCCAAGGTCCCTAATTTAATGCCTTACATTAGCAATACATTTGTCAAAACTAAGAAACCAACCTGGATACATTACTGGTAAACTAAACTCCAGATTTTTTTTTAATATCCGAGTTTTTCCACTAAGGTCCTGTTTCTGTTGCATAATCCAATTTAGGATACCATATTACATTTAGCCTTCATGTCTCTTTCGTCTCCTCTGGGCTGTGAAAGTTTCTGAATCTTTTGATTTTTCATGACTGACAGTTTTGAGAAATACTGGTGAGCTACTTTGTATAAAATTCCTGAATTTCTGTGTGTTTGATGCTTTTCTTGGTTAATCTGGGATTGTGAGTTTTGGGGAAAGGTTCCCTGGAGATAGAGTTCCATTTGCATTACATCCTATCAGAGGGTACGTGATATCAACATGTGTTTGTCTCATTTGTGACAACTTATAAAAAGACACGTATTTCTATCACCAATCAGTAAATGTGGAAGATTCAACAAGGCTAGAGATTGATCTTTAGTTGTAGAACAAATGAATGATGGAGTTGGACCTAGAACCAGATCACTTGCATTAACAGGTAGTATTTCTCGAATTGGACTGTACTCCAAAGCCCCTCCTGATGTCTTACTTTATGACATCAATTGTTTTGCTACAAAATTGTATGTAAACCTTTGTGTTTGAGAGTAGAATTTTGTTTCAAGTTATCTTAAGAATAAAACTTGCATTTTAATGAGCCCTGTGGCATATTGAATAACTCTCTCCATTGGAGGTAGTCAGTCATTAACTGTGTAAGGTCATATTTCAGCCATTGAGTTTTCTTTTTTTTTTTTCTTTAGCACTTTTTTTTTTATTATACTTTAAGTTCTAGGGTACATGTGCACAATGTGCAGTTTTGATACATATGTATACATGTGCCATGTTGGTGGGCTGCACCTGTTAACTTGTCATTTACATTTGATAGATCTTCTAATTCAGCCATTGAATTTTCTTGGGCAGGGAGTGTGTGTGTGGGTGAGCACACCAGTATTTTGTGCCCCCGGACTTTTTGTTATCAATTGTCTTCCTCCTTTGGATAATAGATGCAGCAACGGGTTCTGGAAAATGCTCAGTGGCTTGTGTCTTCCACTGACCAAACATGAGATCTTAGGCAAGTCACTTAGCATATCAGGAGCTTGTTTTCCTCACCTATAGAATCAGGGTATTGAGCTGCATGGTTTCCAAAGAACCATTCCAGCTCTGATATTTTTTTGTGAGCTTGCTAAGATTGGTTTGGAAGTTATAGTTAGCAGCATTAAGGAATAGAATATTGATTTCATCCACAGGATAATTTTATTATGTTCTCAATATCAGTGTTTGTAAGTGGAGGCAGTGATGCAAGTCTCTCTCTCTAGATTTCTGATTTTTCATCTCTAAGAGGAAGCAAGCAGAATTTAATGGATATATTCTCTCAGTATGAGAGGGTGATGTTACACTGACTCACCCTCAATTAGAAATACTTTGTTATTTCTTTTCCCCAAAAATGGGGATGCATAGTGTGTAAAATTTACTCAGAGCCTGATGTGCCAGACACTCTGCTAGACACTAGGTATACAAATCAGAATAAATGACAGCTCCTGATCTTAAGAGCTCGCAGTTGAGTTTAGAGACAGACATGCAAATTAAGAGTTACAGTTTAGCCTAATAAGGCATGTGAGACATGAGTGGTGGGATCCACACATGTGGATTGGCTGCAGAAAAAAGAAAACAACTAACCCTACCTTTGGGGTCAGAAAAGGCTTTGCAGATGAAGGCTTCTCTTGACATAGGGCTTAAAAGATGAATAGGCATCTGCCAGGTATGCAAGATGGAAAAGATCATTGCTGGTGGATTAAACATAGTGAAATCTGAACTGCTACTTAATAACAGATTGAAAACTTCATGTAACCAGTAAGCAGTCCTATTTATCATTTCATTTATGAGAGTCCCTATTATTACCACACTTCAGAGCTGCACGGCAGAAAGCCCACTGGACTTAGAAGGTCATGCTTTGGATCCCACTCCATTGTGTTCCAACCATTTGATGGACAATAATGTTTGAAAATCACCTAATGTCTCAGAGCCTCAGTTTACTCATTTGTAAAATACAGACAATAAGACAATGAGAAATGTGTCTCAAACATTTTTGTAAAAATAAAATTTTGTATTAGAGTTAGTCCTGCATCATAGACTATGAAAGTATACAAAGATATTACGATTTTTATTATTATAATTTTGCTTTAGGCTATTTAAAGTTGTATAAAAGCAACCTGATCAATTGTACCATTACTGAGTTCCTGATCCTTCTGAGTTCCATCTGATCCAGGGAGGCACGTGTAAGGCTTTTCAGTATGTGCCAACTACAGCGTATTGTACTTAAAGACACTACCTCATGTAAGTGTATATAAACCTGCATATATATTTCAGCACTGAGAGGGTTTGGGTCACGTTGCAGCCATCCAATATGAAGTACTCCTGTTGGATAGGCTTTTGTACCAATCCTTCTCAGAGGTTCATGGCTTTCCTAGTCACACCAGGAAATTTCTGGCCAATCAACACAAGTGGTTCTAGCTAATCAACCTCTTGAGAAACACTTTGGAACTTCAGGATCTACACAGTCAGAAGTGCACAAAGGAAGGAACATAGGGAGTGTTCCATGCTGGGTGCAGGCAGTAACAGCGTGCATTGTCTGGAGAGAATTTAATAATAATAATGAAACCCACCAAATGACCTGCTTTTTATTATCCCCAGGTGCTGGAAATTGTAAAAATGCCAGTGATAAAATACTCCACTTCGAAAAACCTTTTGTGGGTCTAAGCTCTAAACAATTGCTGTAGTTACTGTTGAGTTTTAACAATACAATTTACCCTTGAGCAATGTGGTGATTAGGGATGCTGACCCCCATGCCGCCAAAAATCCATGTATAACTTTGACTCCCCCAAAACTCAACTACTAAGAGCCTATGGTTGACCGGAAGCCTTACTGATAACAAATAGTTCATCAACACGTATTTTATATATTTATTAAATACTGTATTCTTACAATAAACAAAGCTAGAGAAAATAAAATGTTATTAAGAAAGTCATAAGGAAAAGAAAATAGATTTACTGTTCATTATGTGGAAGTGGATCATAATAAAGATCTTCATCCTTGTCTTCATGTTGAGTAGGCTGAGGAGGAGGGAAAAGAGGAAGGGTTGGTTATGCTGTTTCAGTGGTGGCAGAGGCAGAAGAGGTAGATAGATGGGGAAGCAGGATGGGCAGGCACCCTCAGTGTAACTTATTGAAAATAATCTGTGTATAAGTCGACCTACGTAGCTCACACCCCATGTTGTTCAAGGGTCAATTGCATGTTTTTGTTACTGATTCTCTACTATGCACTGTATTTTACATAGAATTTGATGGGGGAAACTCTAATTATTCAGTTAGCCTCCAACACAGAGGCATTCAGCTACATGAGTTTTGTTCCAAGAGAACATTTCAAAGGGTTCCAGATTGGTGGAGCTACTGTAGGCCAAGTCGTGTCTCTAATCGCTGTTGTACCACATATTCCTGAATTTCAGCAGTTCATATAAAATAAACAATAGCACTATGATTGTAAACACAAAGAACAGAGCTTGAATTACATCAACTATATCATTCTGTGTGACTATTTAGAGCTTTTATTTGTACTTGAAATCAGATATAGCTTTACTGAAGAGCAGTTTAGTTATCTGTTGATACTTTGTAAGGGTAAGTAGTGCTCACTGGGTGGTTGTATGATAATGGGATTGTTTACAGAATACACAGCAGGATGCTTTAACCTCAGGTTATTCCTTTTTGTCAAGCAGAAGAAAATCAAAGACAGGAAGACTATAACTCCCAACCAGGAATTCTACTTCTTATAACTGCAAAAGCATGACAGGGATATGCCTGTGGACACTTATAAAATGTAGTTTCTATAACAGTCTTAAAAAAGATAAACTATATAGCAAAGGCTTTTATGCAGCAAGTATCCAGCATGGGATGCTCTTACTTTGAAAATTTCACAACACTAGCAAGCCAGCTCCTCTTTCCCAGCCCAGCCTCAGTTGAAGGACCCGTTTTGATGATCATGGCTGAGGTTAGGGGGCTTCTTTCTCCCCACCAACCCGCTTCATGACTTCTTATGAATAGACGCCATGGTGACTTATGATTTTTGCATTCCAATTCCAAATTGCCCTGCAAGCTGCCTTCTTCCCTCACTGAACAGAATTGGGTCATCACTTCCTGCCAAATGCCCTTGTCGCCTTTCCAATCACCAATCACCAGTGAGTCTCATTTTGGACACCTCCTCTTCCTTTCTGGAAGAGTGCATATTTATAGATTTGAGGGTTCCTTTGCAGCCCGCTGTGCCTGCTCTTCCTCATGTCACCTCCTAAAAGGTAGACTTCCAGAGCCTCTTCATCTGCCATCTCCTCTTCTCACAGCTTCCATCAGTGGTCACCTGCTTTATGTGAACTACTACAAAATCTCCCACCCTAGTTCCAGTCACTTCCCAGTTACAACCTCATATTCCAAGAATTTGGTCAGCTTTACCTCCCCATGTGATCACCTGAAATTCACAGGGTGTAGCTAATATCAATTATAAATACTTTTATGCTTTATTTGAGGCTATCTGCCTTATTCTTAGAGATATGATGGGTTTCCCCTGAAGGATCTTTCTAACACTATATCAGTTGCCCAGAATTATGCCTCATTTAAAAGAGTTTTATATTCAGACACTGCCATTCTTGCATTTATTTTTACTAGGAAAATATTACCTTTTTATGGCTAATTGGGAGAAAATAACCCTTCATCTCATCTGTCTGAAACGGTATCAGTAATATATTATTATAGGACTTTTTATAATATATCACACAATAATATATCAGTTTCACAATACATTTACAGTCTTGATTTTTAATCAGGAATTTGGTGTTATGACAACTACTTTTTCTTGAATACATTCTTGGAGCCTCCAACATGCTGTTCTAATATCAACTGATGGCTTTCTAACCTTGTTTTCAGATATCACACTAAATTTGTTTTACTGCCTAGATTATTTCTATTCTTTCTCACATATTGTGGTATATATTTAAATTCACTTTATAGTTTTGGAAACTCCATATTTAAGTTTTGCTTTGTTTTTTTTTTTTTTTTCACCAGAAGGATATATGAGTGATGAGTTTTCTGAGTCCTCAGGTGTCCAATAAAAGGTTTGTCTTCACCCTCACACTTTACTGACAGTTCATCTGGTAATAAAATTCTAGTGTCAAAATTACCTTCTTTCCTTAAGATAGTCCTAGGTGTTACTCTATTGCCAGCTTGCAAAGAGTCTCAGATAAGTCTAATGCTTTTGTAGATAAATGTTCCCTACCAGACCAGGCCTTACTGGCTTTTTTAGGATATCATCTTTATTCCTGAAGTTCAAAAATGTCACTGGGATATATCTAAGTGTATATGTTTGTTAATTATTTGTGGGAGGCAGAGATTTCTTTTCCTGTTTTGTTTCCTGATCTGTAAATGCTAAGAACAATGCCTGGCAAAAAGTAAGAGCTCAGTAAATCTTATCGACTAAATGAATATTCAAGTCACTTCCTAGAAAAATTTTCTTCTATTATTTCTTTGATTATCTTCTCCCATCTGTTACCCCTACTCTCTCATTCTGGATAGTTTTTGCAACACATGGGTCTTTAATGCCTTTTTTTCTTTCCATTTATAATTTCCATATCTATCGGGGGAAATTCACCCCCGATATTTCACGTAAGTTCTTTTCTATTTTCCCTAAGTGTTGGCCAGTCTGAGAAATAAGGGAAAGAGTACAAAAGAGAGAAATTTTAAAGCTGGGTGTCTGGGGGAGACATCACATGTCGGCAGGTTCCGTGATGCCCCCCAAGCCGCAAAACCAGCAAGTTTTTGTTAGTGATTTTCAAAAGGGGAGGGAGTGTACAATTAGGGTATGGGTCACAGAGATCACATGTTTTACAAGGTAACAAAATATCACAAGGTAAATGGAGGCAGGGTGAGATCACAGGACCACAGGACCAGGGCGAAATTAAAATTGCTAATGAAGTTTCGGGCACGCATTGTCATTGATAACATCTTATCAGGAGACAGAGTTTGAAAGCAGACAACCAGTCTTACCAAAATTTATTAGGCGGGAATTTCCTCATCCTAATAAGCCTGGGAGTGCTACAGGAGACTGGGGCTTATTTCATCCCTTATGTACGACCGTAAAAGACAGCTGTCCCCAAAGTGGCCATTTCAGAGGCCTCCCCTTAGGGACACATTCTCTTTCTCAGGGATGTTCCTTGCTGAGAAAAAGAATTCAGCGATATTTCTCCTATTTGCTTTTGAAAGAAGAGAAATATGACTCTGTTCCGCCTGGCTCACAGGCAGCCAGAGTTTAAGGTTATCTCCCTTGTTCCCTGAACATTGCTGTTATCCTGTTCTTTTTTCGAGGTGCCCAGATTTCATATTGTTCAAACACACATGCTCTACAAACAATTTGTGCAGTTAATGCAATCATCACAGGGTCCTGAGGTGACATACATCCTCCTCAGTTTATGAAGCTGACGGGATTAAGAGATTAAAGACAGGCATAGGAAATCACAAGGGTATTGATTGGGGAAGTGATAAGTGTCCATGAAATCTTCACAATTTATGTTCAGAGATTGCAGTAAAGATGGGCATGAGAAATTATAAAAGTATTAATTTGGGGAACTAATAAATGTCCATGAAATCTTCACAATTTATGTTCTTCTGCCATGGCTTCAGCTGGTCCCTCCATTCGGGGTCCCTGACTTCCCGCAACATGTATCCTTTCTGTGCACTCAATTTCTATCTCTGCCTTTTTATGTTAATTTTTAGATTTCCTTTCTTATCTTCCATATTTCTTCTTTGGCTTTCAGCAATGTCCATTCTTTTGTACAGGACTTCTGTTACCTTCTTAAATTTTGACAATTATATCTTAATTTCCAAAAACTTTTCATTTTTTCTATTTATCCGTTTGAGTATTTTCTTATTTTATAGACATATTAGTTTGCTAAATTCTTGCAAGTATACTGATTGAACTTTTTAAAAGTTTTCTTTTGTTTTTTATGTTACCTTTCTTTGTTAATCTTGGTTCTTCTCTCTCATGCTATTGATTTCCCTCAGATGTCTGGTTATGTTTATCTATTTGTTCCTGTTTTAAACAAAGAGCTCAGTTGGTATTGGAAGCTGGTATGATTTCCTCTGCAGTTACACCTGTGCCTATGATAGCCCCCTACTTTTAATGAGAGGGTTAGAAATGGAGACAATGCTGATTTCACCATCTTCCTTCAAGATATAGGAGCAGAGGATAAAGAGACAAGTTGGTGAAATCTATTTCTAAAGTAAGGAAAACATTAGGAAGTGATATGTATGGTTGCATTTTAGTCCTCTAAAGAATTGTCCTTATTTTTTCATTTCTGTGTCAGCTGTGTGGTTCTGAAGTTACCTTGGTTTGGTCTGCTTCTCTCTGGCCCCAGGCACATAGTAGGAAGCCACCACACACACACACATCACTCACACTCACACACACTCTCTCTCTCACACACACACATACTCATACACACTGTATTGCTTTACTGGAAGGCCCTTTACACGGTTTCAATATGGGAGCAAATGCCATATCCAAACTTAGCATTAATATGCAAAGGAGGAGAAGGAAAAGCAGCCAAGGCTTTCATAGGTTGTACTCTAGTTATTGCCCTATGTAAGCTGCTTCTGCTCCGAGTACTTTTGTCAGCAGGTTTAACCTTTATCTAAGGAGCCAGTGAGAATTTAGGAAGAAAAGCTATTATACTACAAGGAGCTTATTCTCAGTCCTAGTTATTTATTTATTATTTTATTAAATCTGATCCTATTCACTTGATATCTTCTGAAAACTCCTCAAAATTCCTGGTCTTACAAGTACCACTTGTTCATATTTATTGAAGTTGTTATGTATTCATTTCTTTTCTAATATCTTTTCTGTAATAACATGTGGGAAGCATGCATGGAGGAGACAGTAAATATGTGTGCCCTGAATGATAATAAGCCAAAACTAAGTGAGTCCTCTTTTCATACCAAACTGGTTTATCCTTCTTAACTCCATTGTTTCAATGCCTTGCCAGGTCTGAGAGGCAAAAGTCAATGGCTACTCATCAGGGTTGGTGAATGCCTGTCTTTTTTTTTTTTTTTTTAAAAAAAAAAGCCTTTTAAGTTCAGGGGTACAAGTGCAGGTTTGTTTGTTACCTAGGTAAACTTATGTCATGGGGGGTTGTTGTTCAGATTATTTAATCACCCGGGTATTAAGCCTAGTACCCATTACTTATTTTTCCTGATCCCTCCTCCCTTCCCCCACCCTCCACCCTCTGAAAGGCCCCAGTATGTATTGTTACCCTCTATGTGTCCCTGTGTTTTCATCATTTAGCTCCCACTTATAAGTGAGAATATGAAGTATGTGATTTTCTGATCCTGTGTTAGTTTGCTAAGGATAATGGCTACTAGCTCCATTTATGTCCTTGCAAAGGACGTGATCTTGTTCTTTTTTATGGCCGCCTAGTATTCCATGGTGTATATGTACCACATTTTCTTCATCCAGTCTATCATTGATGGGCATTTAGGTTGATTCCGTGTCTTTGCTATTGTGACTAGTTCTACAGTGAACATATGTATGCATGTGTCTTTATAATAGAATGATTTATGTCCTTTTGGGTATATACTCAGTAATGGGGCTGCTGAGTTGAATGGTATTTCTCTCTTTAGATCTTTGTGGAATTGCCACACTGTCTTCCACAATGGTAGAACTAATTTACACTCCCATCAACCATGTATAGGCACTCCACAACCTTGTCAGCATATGTTATATTTTGACTTTTTAATAACAGCCATTCTGATTGGTGTGAGATGGTATCATTGTGGTTTTGATTTGCATTTCTTTAGTGATCAATGATGTTGAGCTATTTTTTGTAGACTTGTTGGCTGCATATATGTCTTCTGTCGAAAATGTTCATGTCCTTTGCCCGCTTCTTCATGGAGTTTTTTTTTTTTCTTGTGAATTTAAGTTATCTATAAATGCTGGATATTAGACCTTTGTAGGATGTGTAGTTTGCAAAATTTTTCTCCCATTCTGTAGGTTGTCTGGTTTCTCTGTTGATAGTTTCTTTTGCTGTGCAGAAGTTCTTTAGTTTAATTAGATCCCATTTGTCAATTTTGGTTTTTGCTACAATTGCTTTTCCTGTCTTCATCATGAAATCTTTGCCCATGTCTGTCCTGAATGGTATTGCCTAGGTTGTCTTCCAGGGTTTACGTGCCTTTGTTCCTTTGTTTCTTTTCTTCTCTCTCTTCATCCCTCCCTCATTTCTTCCTTTCTTTTCTTTTCTTTTCTTCTTCCTTCCTTCCTCCCTTCCCACTCTTCATTTCCTCCATTCTTCATTTTTCCCCTCCCTCCCTCCTTCCTTTCCTTCCCTTCCTTCCTTCCTTCGTTCCTTCCTTCCTTCCTTCCTTCCCTTTTTTTTCTTTTCTTTCTTGTCAAAACATACATTTCAACCCAGGCACTAAACAGGGTCTGGGTGTATAGCAGTGAACAAAACAAATATGGTCTTGTCCTCTCAGCTTATAATTTAGGAGATGAGGCAAATATCAACCAAACAAGTCTACAATAAATACGTATTTTCAAAGTATGCACATTCTATGAAGGAAATAAGAGTTGGGGGGCCTTGCTGGGAAGATGTCATTTGAAGGGAGCCCTGAAGGTTAAGTAGAATTTGTTCAGTGGACCAGCAAGTTTAGAAAGTTGCAACAAGGTGGAGCACAAACCTTGGAAGTCCTTGAAGTGAGAAAGAGCTTGGCATGTTGGAAGATGATAGAGAAAGCCAAGGAAGGGATTGAAGGACATGAAAAGAGAATGAGAAGCTGGGAAGAAGAGGCCTTGTAGGCCATTTGAGAATATTGAGGTTTAATTCTTTATTCAGTAGTGAGTGATTATAGAGTGTTAACCAGAGTAGTGGCATGCATGATATACATTGTTTACCAATCTGTTTAGCCGTTGTGGGGAGAATCAACTAGAAAAGGGCAAGCATGGAATTAGAGAAACTGCTTAGATGTCGATTACAGAAGTGCTTTTGAGAAATAACAGTGACTAGACTTGGAGAGTCAGGAGTAAAGAGAGCGATAAATTGACTGACTCTGGAAATGTTTTGGAGACAATGTCTACAGAACATACTGATGTATTGAATGGGGGAAAAAAAAGCAACGAAGGATGAATCTTAAGTTTGGATTTACAACACCTCCATGAATGATGGTGCCATTGTCTGAATTGGTAAACTATAGGTGATTCAGGTTTGGGGTGGGGAGATTCAAATAGTCATGTGTCACTTATCAGTGGGGATATGTTCTGAGAAATGTGCTAGACTATTTCATTGTCATGTGAACACACCATAGAGTGCACTTACACAAACCTATGTGACATTGCCTACTGTACACCTAGGCTATGTGGTATAGCCTATTGCTGCTAAGCTACAAACCTACACAATATATCGCTGTCCTGAATACTGTAGGCAACTGTGGCATAATGGCGAGTATTTGTGTATCCAAATATATCTAAACATAGAAAAGGGCCAGTAAAACATATGGTATTCCAGTATAATCTTATAGGATTATGGTTGTATATACAGTCCACCACTGACTGAAACATCTATATGCAGCACATAAATGTATTCTGTTTTAGTCATGCTAATTTTGATGCACTTGTGAAACTTTCAAAAGAAGGCATCTTGTTGGCAGGAGAAGTCTGAGGGGACATACACATTTGTCTCCTGCCAACATACAAATGATATTTATAGCCACTGAGTGAATGAAATTGGCTAAAGAGAAAATATAGCTTTCAAACAAAAGATTAAGAACAAAGAAAAGACAACGCTTTAGGAGATGGGCAGAGATGCCAAAAGTTTCACCCACAATGGCAACTCACATTAATATAGGACTATGTGAACATAGTGAGGTTTTGTTTGTTTTAACAAACACTTGTAAAACACTTACTTTGTGCCAGGCATGACTCCAAGCACTTTGCAAATGTTAACTTGTTTATTTCTCCTAACTTTCACATAAAGGAATTATTATGATTGTTGGCCATATTTTATGAGAGGAGGCATGTGCTGGTTTAGTAACTTACTCAAGGCCGCATAGCTAGTAAGTAGCAGAATCAGGACTCAAACCCAGGCAGTCCAGCTGCAGAATTCACATTCTGAGTACTCTGCCATGGTACTATTCTGAGCATCCTGTGGTCACACCTGGATTCAGTGAGACTCTCGCAATCATAAGTGAATATGTGAGATGGCAATGAAAGTACTTCTGCTCCTGTTTAGCCTTCTGGATCTTGATTCTTCCTAACGCCCACCACTTAAAGTCAATATTGCTCAAACTCATAGCTTTTAACTACAAAATAATTCTTATATATGTCATTTTATTTTATGCCTTCTGCTACCATTGTGGTTTCAGGCTTTCAGAATATTGTGATAAACCCCTACCTTGTTTTTATTTTCTTCAATCATTTTTTAGTCATTGCAACAAGACTAATCAAAGCACAACAGCATCCTATTATACCCTTGATCGAAAACCTTCAATGACCTCCCATTTCTTGTAGGGTAATGTCTACACATCTCTCCTGGTAGCCAAAGCCATCTGCAATTTGGCCTCAACTTCTAAGCTCATCAGTCACAATTCCCCAGCATGTAGCTACTGCTGTCAACCTGGACTAATTAACTCTTCCCTGGGTATGTCCTCAGCATTCTCAGCTCAGCAGCTTTGTCATGCCTCTCAGCATATTCAGATTATTTTCCTACTCTACCCCACCCTGAGGGCTCCTATACCTGCCTGTTGAAATCTGACTCATTCCACACAAGCCAGCTTTAGATTACCCCCTTTCATGGCTCCTTGATGTTTCAGCTGAAAATGATCAAATTCAATTCTGAATTCTTAAACTTTCTTTGTACTCTTTACGATAGACATCACATTATAGGAATTTGTGTGTACAGACTGTCAAGTCCTAGAGGGCAAGTAATTTGTATCTTTCCACCCGCTATACTGCCTGCACGGTGCCTGGCTAACAGTAGGTGCTTAAAGTATTTATGTACTTGATAAACAGATGCAAGAAATCGCTCTCAGCTGCTTCTTTCTATCTGATTAGTACCTGCAGAGCACTGCCCCCTTTGTCTTGCTTTCCAGTGGAATGATTCTGCTTCCCAGATGCATTTGTATCTTGGAGTGATTTATTACATCTTTTCCTGAAATATATACTAAAACCAAGAATGTTAAGTGACTGACTCCAAAGTTAAGACTTTTGCAGATAGGGTGAACTCTAAACAAGACATTTTTTCCCCCAGTTTGGCTCTCAGCAAACTGCCTTTCAGATGCTTCAGCAAAATAAAACCAAAAACAAATGTTTTTTTTTTTTTTAATTTTTGTGGGTGTGGGAGATTGGATGGAGCCATTGGTGTATAGATGAGAAGCAAGTCTTGAAAATTCATTTGTTTTCATCTAAATAAGACCAAATGAAACTTTTTCAGGCTTTTATTTTACTAATATAATATTGTTTCACCATAAAACATATTTTCTAACTGGAATTTTTTAAGTTGGAAAGAGTTATTTTGCAATACTTATGAACTAGATATTCTGAGTTTTCTAATCAGGGAAATAAATTCCATATATTAGGTTTTAATTTTGTAGTTTTAGTGATAAAAGCAAGATATTGAATCACATATACAGTATTATTAAATTTTTTATATTCTCTCATAACTATAGAAGAAAAACTCTGGAAGGAAAGCTGCAAAAAATAAGTATTTATCTCTGGATGATAGTTATTGTCTTTTTGTACATTTCTACATTTTCTATTTTTAAAAATAATTTGCATGAATTACTTTTGTGTGAAACTTTTCTTAAAATTGAACTTTCATTTTAAAAGACTTAGGAAAAAGGGAGATGTTGAGAGTTTATAGTCTAAAATTTAAGACTTGTGAAAACCTTATAGTCTTTTAAATATCTATTCTGTTGAGATATTATTTACTTATAGTAAAATTCTTTAATTTCAAATTTACAATTTTGTGAGTTTTCACAAGTGTATACAGTGCTGTAAAAGCAGGATATGTAATATTTTTATGATCCCAAAATGTTCCCTTGTGCCTCATTGTAGTAGAGGAACTCCTCTGACCCCTTCACCCTTGGAAACCAATACAATTTTACATTTCCCAGAGGTTCATATTAAGAGAACCATATGCATATAATCTTTTGTAGCATTTCTTTCCCTTAGCATGGTGCTTTTAAAGTTCATCCATGTTATATTGTTGACTGTATTAGCAGTTCATTCCTTTATATTGCTGAATAGTGATTTATTCTATACATACATCACAATCACATATTGATGAACAGTTTGAGTTGCTTCTAGATTTTGTTTATCTGAAATAAAACTTATGAACATTCATCTGCAAAGTCCGTGTATGAACATATGTTTTCATTTCTCTTGATTAAATACCTAGGAGAGGAATTGCTGCATCTATGGAAATGGCTGTGTGGTCTTTTATTTTTAGTGTGTTAAAATGGTGAATTAATGATTTGTTTTTGAATGTTGGACCAACCTTTTATTTCTGGGATGAACTGCACTTGACTATGATATATTATTCTTTAATATATTGTTGTATTCCATTTGCTAATACTTTGTTAAAGATTTTTGAACTTATGTTAAAGAGGTATATTGGTCTAAAAGTTTTTTTTCTATATAATGTTTTTGTCTGGTTTTAGTGTCAAGGTGATTCTGTGTCTGGTTTCTGAAAGGAGCTGTAAAGTGTTCCATCATCTTCTATTTTCTAGAAGATTAAATGTTTGGTAGAAAGGCATCAATGAAACCATCTAGGCCTACACAATTTTTATAAAGATTTATAACTACTTCAATATCTTGAATTGTTATATGACTATCCAGATTATTTCTTCTACAGTAAGCTTTGGTAGAAAGTATTTTCAAGGAATTTGTCATTTTCATATAAGTTGTAAAATTTATTAGCATAACATTACTCATTATATCCTTTTAGTATACTTTCGGTGTCTGTAGAATCTTAGTGATAAATTCCTTCCTTCCCTTTGTACTGTTGATAATTTATACCTTTTATATATTATTTTCCTATTAAATTCTTTTTTTTTTTACTAGAAGCTTACCAATTTTGTCAATTTCTCAAAAGAACAGTTCTTGGTTGGTGTCATGGATTTTCTTTTTTCTTTGTTTTCCATTTAATTGATTTCTTTATTATGTCTTTTTCTTTATTTTAGGTTCAGTTTTCTCTGCTCTTTCTAGTTTTTTAAGCTGAAAGCTAAAAACCTTGCATGCATTATTTTTTAATATAAGAATTTAGTGCTGGAAATTTCCCTGTAGGTACTACATTAGCAACATCCCACAAATCTTAGTATGTGTGATTTAATTTTTATTCAGTTCAAACTATTTTCTTATTTCTCTGTAATTTTTGACCCATGAGTTATTTAAAATACACTAGTTGAGTGCCAAATATCTTAAAATTTTCCTAGGTATATTCCTATTACTCATATCTAGTTCATTTCTGTTGTGATTGTCATACGTCTTAACTTTTTAAGACTTGTTTTATGTCTCACAGTATGATCAAATTGCAAAACATGCCACGTGCACTTGAAATGAATGCATATAGTGCTGTTATTTGGTGGAGTTTTAAAATACATGTCGTTTAGGTTCCATTGGTTGAAAGTGTTTTTCAAGTCTTCCGTACATTAACTGATTTTTTCATAGTTATGTCAATTATTTAATGAGGTGTGTTGAAATCTCCAATTATCCTTGTGGATTTGCATATTTCTTCTTTCAGTTCTAGCAATTTTTCTTTATTTATTTTGAAGCACTCTTATTAGCATATGGAAACCTTACAACAGTATAGTTCCATTGCCCTCCTCTTGGCTCTGTGGTATTAATGTCATATATTTTATTCCTACTCATGTTATATACTGTATTACAATTGTTATTTTCACTTTAAATCATAATTTATCTTTTGAAGAAATTAAAAATGAGAAAAATCTTTCATATTTATCCAAATATTTAACTTTTATGTTTATTCCCTTGTGTAGATCCAAATTTCCATCTATAAAGCTATCATTTTCTATACGATTTTAGTACCTCCTTAAATAGTTCTTTGAAATATTGCAGAGCTCTCGGCAATGAATGTTTTTATATATTTTTTTCTGAAATGGGCTTTATTTAACCTTTATTTATAAAATGTGTTTTTACTAGATAATAAAATCTAAGTAGGTTGATGGTTGGTTTTCTGTATTTGATATTGCATCAGTTAGTTTTGTTTTGCGTAGTTTTAAGTAAGTTTACTAGCATTCTTACCTTTGTATCTCTGTATGTAATATATTTTTTAGTTTGCCCACTTCTAAGATTTTTTCTTTGTTCTGGTTTTCATTTATTTTGTTATGATGCATCTTATTGTGGTTTTATTTATGTTCAATTTTTTATGGTTCATTGAGCTTCTTGGATTTATAGGTCTTCATAAAATTTGGAAAGATTTGGCCATGATTTCTTCACAGTTGTTACCATCACCCACTTTCCAATCTCAATTCCTTCTGGGATTCTAGTTATACATATCTTAGATTGCTTGATAGTGTTTCACAAGTTGTTGAGGTTCTGTTCAATTTTCTTCTTTATTTCTCTTTGCACTTTAATAGTTTCTGTTGCTGTTTCTTCTAGTTCAAGATCTTTTCTTCTGCAGTATTTAATCTGCTACTAATCTCATGAAGTATATTTTTTCATTTCAGATATTTAAATTTTTTATGTCTAGAAGTTCCCTTTGTATATTTTGGAAAGCTTCCATTTCTCTAAAGAAATTCCCAGGCTGGGTGCTGTGGCTCACACCTGTAATTGCAGCACTTTGGGAGGCCGAGGTGGGTGGAGGGCTTGAGCTCAGGAGTCCGAGACCAGCCTGGGCAACATGACAAAACCCCATTTCTACAAAAAATGCAAAAATTAGTCAGGTGTGGTGGCATGCACCCATAGTCCCAGCTATTTGAGAAGCTGAGGTGGGAGGATTGCTTGAGCCCAGGAGGTTGAAGCTGCAGTGAGCAATGATCATGCAACTGTACCCCAGCATGGGCAACAGAGGGAGACCCTGTCTTAAATAAAAATAAAAAATAAATTCCCAGAAACATACAACCTCTCAAGACTAACCATGAAGAAACAGAAAATCTGAACAGACCAATAGTGAGAAAAGAGATGAAACCAGTAATCAAAAACCTCTTATCAAAGACAAACCCAGGAGCAGATGGATCATGGGTGAATTCTACCAAACATTTAAAGACGAATTAATACCAGTCCTTGTCAAACACTTTGATAAAGTTGAAGAGGACAGAATTCTCCCAAACTAATTTTACAATGGCAGCATGATTTTCATATCAAAGCCAAATAAGAACACTAAGAGAACAGAACATTACAGGCCAACATCCCTGCTGAACATAGATGCAAAAATCCTCAGCAAAATACTAGCAAATTGAATTCAACAGCACATTAATAGAATCATACACCCTGATCAAGTAGGATTTATCACTGGAAAGTAAGGATGGTTTAACATACAGAAGTCAGTAAACATGATGTACCACATAACAGAATGGATTATGAAAAATATATGATTATCTCAATAGATGGGGAAAAAGCATTTGACAAAATCAACATCCTTTCATAATAAAAATTCTCAACAAATTAGGTATAGAAGAAATGTACCTCAACATAATAAAGGCCATGTATGACAAGCCCACTGCTAACATTATACACAACAGTGAAAAGCTGAAAGCTCTTTCTCTAAGATCAGAAATAAGAGAGGAATGCCCACTGTCACAACTTTTATTCAATATAGTACTGGAAGTTCTAGCCAGAGCAATTAGGAAAAAGAAATAAAAGATTCAAATTGGAAAGGAAGAAGCTAAATGGTCTCTCTCTGCAGATGACATAATCTTATTTATAGAAATGCTAAAACTCCACCAAGAAACTGTTAGAACTAATAAATTTAGTAAAGTTGCAGTATATAAAATCAATGTGCAAAAAATTTTGTTTCTGTACATTAGCAACAAAATATGCAAAAAAGAGATTAAGAAAACAATCAAATTTACACTAGCACCAAAAAGAATAAAATACTTAGGAATAAATTTAACTAAGGAGATAAAAGATCTATAGTGCAAACTGTGAGATGCTGATGGAAGAAGACACAAATAAATAGAATGATATTCTGTGTTAATGAATTGGAAGGATTAACGTTGTTAAAATGCTCATGCTACGAAAAGTTATCTACAGATTCAACACAATTCCAGTGGATTTTTTCACAGAAGCAGAAAGACAATCCTAGATTTCACATACAACCACAAACAGCTCTGAATATCCAATGCAAAATTGCATTACAATAACAAAACTGGAAGCATCACACTTCCTGATTTCAAGCTATATTACAAAGCTCTGGTAATCAAAGGAGTATAGTACTAGAATAAAAACAGACAAACAGACCAATAGAACAGACTAAGAGACCAGAAATAAACCTATGCACATCACTCAACGCATCTTTGATAAGGGTGTCAAGAATACACAACAGGGAAAGGATAGTTTCTTAAATAAATGATGTTGGGAAAAATAGGTATTCACATGCAAAATAATGGAATTAGACCGTTGTTTTACATCATACACATAAAAAAAGTTGAAATGAATTCAGATTTAAATGTGACATTTGAAACTAATACTCCTAGAAGTAAACATAGGGGGAAAGCTCCTTGATATTGGTCTTGCCAAAGATTTTTTTAATATGACATCAAAAGCACAGGCAACACAAACAAAAATAAACAAGTTGGACTACATAAAACTAAAATCTTCTGAACAACAAAGAAAAAAATCAAGATGAAAAGGCAAACTATAGAATGGGAGAAAATATTTGCAAATTATACATCTGATAAATGGTTAATATCTAAAATATATAAGAAACTTATACAATTCAATAGCAACCAACCCAAACAAAAAAACCCCTAATTTAAAATTGTGCAAATGATCTAGATAAATGTTTTTTTTAAAAAAGGCATACAATTGACCAGCAGGTACATGAAAAGGCATTTAACATCATTAATCATAAGAGAAATGCAAATTAAAACCACAAGGCATCACTTCATACCTGTTAGGATGGCTATTATGAAAAAGACAAGAGATAACAAACGTTGGTGAGGATGAGAAGAAAAGTGAACCCTTATACACCGTTGATGGAAATGTAAATTGGTACAGCCAGTATGGAAACAGTATGGATATTCCTCAAAAAACTTTAAAATTGAACTACTGTATGATCCTGCTGTCTCACTTCTGGGTATATACCCAAAGGAAATGACATCAGTATCTCTAAGATGCCAGCAGTGTCATGTTCATTGGAGCACTATCCATTATAGCCAAGAGATGGAAACAATCTAAGTGTCCATTGATGGATGAATGGATAAAGAACATGTGATTTTCTCACAGACACACACAGAGGAATATTATTTAGTTGTAAAAAAGAAGAAAATCCTGTCACTTGCCACGACATGAATGAACCTGGAGGACATTATATAAGATGAAACAAGCCAGACATAGAAAGACAAGTACTATATGATCTCACTTATATGTGAAATAAAAAATTAGAACTCATAGAAGCAGAGGGTAAAATGGTGATTGTCAGAGCCTGGAGAAGGGAAAAGAGCAGAGCACAGTGAAAATGGGAGATGTTCGTCAAAGAGTACAGACTTTCATTACAAGATGAATAAGTACTGAGTATCTAATGTACAGCATGGTGACTATACTTAATATCATATTGTATACTTTAATTCACGAAAGGAGTAGATCTTGTGTTATCACCACACATTCACACAAAATGTAATTATGTGAGATAATAGATGTGTTTATCAATTTGGTGGTAATCATTTCACAATGTACACCTGTATCAAATCATCATGTTGTGTGCCTTAAATATATACAATTTTTATTTGTCAATTATACCTTAATAAAGCTGGGGAGTAAAAAGCTTCCATTTATCTTCTAATCATGCTCATGCTTTTGTCTACTTCCTGAACATATGGAAAATCATGATAATAGCAATCTCAATGTTTCTGTCTTCTAATTGTATCATTTGTGTTGTTTCTGCTTTTGTTGCCATTGATTGGTTTTTCTCCTGGGCACAGGTTATCTTTTCTTGCTTCTTTGTATGTCTTGCCATTTTGAATTGATGGTAGATATTGTGAATTTTACTTTTTGGGTTGCTGGATTTTGTCATATTCCTTTTCTAGTGTTGGATTTTCTTCTAGTATGCAGTTAAGCTACTTGGAATCTCTTGTAGGCTTGGAAGCTTTGCTTCATTAGGGTAGTTCCAGAAATCATTCTAAGGCTAATTTAGCTCCTCTACCAAGACCATGCCCTTTCATGGGTTCTACCTGATGTTGTGTGTATTATTTACCTGTGTATTGCCCCTTTACCTGTTGGGAATACAAACTCTTCCCAGCCCTTTGTGACCTTCAGAAATTGTTGTGATTACCTCTTTTCAGTTTTCTCCCCTGGCTTTGGGTATTCTTCTCTCCAGCATGCTAACATTCACCCTCAGCCAAAGACTCAAAAGACCCATCTGCACATTTCTGGCAGTCCATCTTGGAATAGTTCCTTCCTCTTCAGTAACTTGCACCATGATTTCTAGCTGCCTTGGTCTCTCCGAACTCTGAACTCTGTCCCCTCCACTCAGTGAGGCTACTGGATTCGGTTTGGGTTCTCCCTCTCTGTGCTTTGATCTGGAAACATTTTTTTCAGATGATGCTCTGGGCCATTTATAAGGGTCATCTTGTTTGTTTCTCTTCTTTCAGGGATCATTGTCCTGCATAGCCTGCTGTCCAATGTCTGAAAACCACTTTTTATGTATCTATACTAATTATCTAATTGTTTAAGGCATGAGGGTAATCTCATCCCTGTCATTCCATGGTGGTCTGAAATGAAAGTTTCTTTAATGATTCTCTATTTGAAGACCTACATTCAACATCTCTAGAATGCAGAGAAGGCTTTCAAGGAAAAACAGAGAGCAAATTGCTATCATAGAAAAGGATATGAGGGTCCTAATACCTGTAATAAAAATGATACCACTAGTGGAAAACAAACATGAGCACTCATAAATAGAGCAGATATTTATGGAACCTGATATCAGGGTTCCATGTTTACAGATGAAGATGAGAGCCCATGTCTTTCCTCCAGGGGAGATGGTGGTTTTTCTGTTATTGATTTTGAAAGTGACTTGAGAATGACTCCAAAAAAAAAAAAAAGAAAAAAAAGAAAGGAAAAAGGGGATCTTAATTTTATAAAGAATATTTGTTACTTCCCAGCTATATCATCTCCAACTGATAGCCATTTGCCCACTCCTTCACACATTGTGTGTCTAGTCAGTGTCACCTTCTGAGAAGACCTGTTCTAACTCAGGATTGCTTGATCCTTTGGAATCTTCTCTGTACCATTTAATCAAATATCTCTTCCTCCTGTTTATCTGCTATGTCCTCCTGAATAACATAGAATGTACTGTATTATATATTAATAATTGACGACCATTATGAGGTCTCTCTTAAATCGTCTTTTATCTGAATTACAATCCTCTGTTGTCTTATAGAGAACATGACTTTCAGACCCTCTTAATGTACTACCCATTATTCTTTGGACAAACTCTAATGTGTTACTTTTACACTTAGCATATGATTAAAAGAAATGAATATTCTAACTTAAATATAGGGTGAATGAGTCAATTACTTCCCATGACAAAGAAATTGATTTCTATTAATGCAGCTTAAGGTGGTATTAGCTTTTTTCAAATGTGTAGAGATTTAATTTCTAGGTCTATCTGGAACTAAAGGTAATTTAAAACCCATTTATTTTCTACCCAAATGATATATGGGTAGCAGAGATGATCACAGGGAGCCCATTGGTTCAGCCATCTGTCTGGGCTTTGGATAGAGATTCCTGCTGGTTTCAGATCACTTTAAAAAAAATCAATGTAACTTTCATTCCCTGAATTAAAGCCAGGGCCTGCTGTTTAAGATGATCACTTCTCCCCTGAAATTTTCTATCAGCTTCTAGCTGACAAAAGGTGCTGTGTGGAATGGAAGTATTTTTTTAATCCCTGTCAACAGTGAGAATAGGAACTTAATCTAATATTTAGAGGAAAAAGTTACTCATCCTGGATTTCAGTGCTACAATAATAATACTCAGAGAGAAATTTGTCTAATACGTATTTGCTTTCTTGGAATCATATCAAGAACAAGAAAATAAAGATATTCTCAGATTCCTAAGAACCAAATTGTCAAGATGGGGGAGAATTAATCTACACTTCCCTTATCACAGGAATTTCAGAAGAGTAAATAATTATAAAATGCATGAGTTGGGAAAAATTTTAGAAATCATTTAATTCCGTTCTCTCACTTTACAGGTAAAGAAAGTGAGGCCAAGAGAAATAACAGGCCTTCTGACCCCTAGTCAAAATTTCTATGACACTATTTGAAATACTTCTTGAAATATACCATGTTATTAAAATAATTCGAAACAGGACCCAGAGAAACACCAAGTCTTAATTGCAATCATGTTTTGATGATTAAGGCAAAAAGGAAAGGATAAGCAAAAAATTGGCAAGAGAAATGTTTAAAGAGTGTAGAGCAGGGAGGAAGTCAGGAGTCCTATAACTTATTGTCTCTTAGATACAGAGAGTTGTTCCAGTTTTGCAAAATGCCTGCAAAATACATTGTCTTACTTGCTTCTCATCACAATTGTATGAGGCAAGTAGATGAGACAGATCTGATTTCTCTCCTTTATAAATCCATTTTTTATACACGTATCTGTTATTGCCTCAGCAGTACAGATGCCATTTACTAGATCAGTTAATGGATGCCAAGTCTCTATTTACATCTTGCTTTAGTGTTTAATTCAGTTTAGTCTTCTGTATTCTAATTCCAAAAAGCAACATGGTATCAGAATCCTGAAGTATTGTAAGAATCATATTCAATTTTGTACTGACATAAGCTGCTCTATTTGGGCAAAAATTGGTAGCCTCTCCAAGCTTCTGTGCACTCATTCTTGAAATGGGAACGATAACAGTATTTTAAAGTTTATGTGACGATAAAATTACTTTTGACAAGTGTGCCTAGTAGATACCTGGTTACTTTCCTCTTCTTCGTAAGCCGTCCCCTCTCCCACATCCTCTCTGTAAACTTCAGTTCTCTGTATCCCACTCAGTTGTTCAGTTTATGTGCATAACTTCTTAATTAATTTTCTTTTGCTTGTCCTGAATTATTTAGAAATGCATTTTAAGCATGATACCTGTTTCCTCCATCCTTTCAATACTGTTTATTGACTGCCTTCTGTATACCAGGCACTTGGATACAACGAAACAATTGGATAGAATACACACCAACAGAGAGGGAGTAGTTTTTCACCTTGAGGAATTGAGGAGGTAAATAAAAGGAGTGTAGGTTGTGAAAAAAAAAATGCTATAAAGAGTTTTGGGCCAGAGGATAGTAGTAGGTGGGCAAGATAATGAGGGTCTGGTATGGAACAAGAATCAAGCTTTAAGGTATGAGAGAATTATTTCCTTATTTTAGGAAAAGTTAAGGGAATTCTTCACTGAGGGAGCAGGATGACCAAAGGCACAGAGGCTAGAAAAGTCACGGTGTGTATTGGGAAAATACAGACTCTGCATAGTTAAGACAATCTTCATAAAAATGTCAGAGGAGTTGAGGCTGGTCTAGTGTCATCTGGGGATCACAGAGGGCTTGGAATGTCCTTGGGGAGAGGGTGAGAGTAAAGCTTTCAAATCTTTATTCTTGAGGTTTTTAGGAGGAGGGTATTTTGTTCATTATGGGGAGAAAAATTGCTCTTTGACTTAATTTCTGCTTATCCCCTTTTACCTTATATGCAAATATATATTTCTTTATGAAATGTACACAATGCATTCCACCTAGTATAAAGCAGAGGTCTAAGTTGCCTCTCCTGGTTCTAAATCCAGGTGTTACTCACTGATCTTTATCTTGCTTGATCTCTGGAGTATTCTATATTGTTGACTGCAACTCCTCCTTAAAATTATTCTCTCTTAGCTACTTGGATGCTGTCTCATGATTCTTCTTTTCTACTTCTTTTCTACTTCTCAATGCTGACTTTTTAAGCATTGGTGTGAACTCTCTTCTCCCTACATAATATTGCAGGGTGATATTTCACTTCCATCTATTCAACTGCCAACCCAGGGATTTCGAATTTGGGTAGCCAAGATCTTTCTTTTGAGTTCCAGACATTTCCATTTCGATATCCCACTGATTTCCAAAATTGACCTCATCATCTTTTCTTCAAAATCTTTTCCCAATTCTTGGTTACCACATCACTTGTCTTAATCATTCTCTCCTCCTTCAATTATAATGGAGACCTTAGAATGCCACTCTTCTGCCACTCTCTGCTCACTGCCCTCCCTGAGTCAGGCAGGGACTAGAGTCCTTCATTTTCTGGCCTTGCCCGCCTCAGTAGCTCCACCTGCACCTCATACTTTAGTTCATTAATGACTGTGAATGTATCATGCTCTGATACATCACTGGCTATAATAATAACACAAATAACAATTGCCCATATTTATTAAGGACTAATTGTGTTTCAGGCACTAGGCCAAAACACTATACATTCATTATCTTATGTAATTCACACATCAACCCTAGGTGGTCAGTTCTTTTATTATCCCTATGTTTGGAAGAAGACACTGAGGTTTTCAGGTTAAATAACTGACCCAGGCTAGTAAGTAGCAGAGCCAGAATTCCTACTGTGAAGCATGATGCCATGTTGCTTCTCTTATGCCTTACACAATCTGTTCCCTTTACCTGGAATTTCCTCCCCTCACCTGCCTATTTTTCCTGTTGGATGACTATTTATTCTTCAAGATACTCCAGGTGGCCCCTCCTTCAAGAAACCAGGTAATTCTCTGGGGTCCCAATGTTTCCTATGCTCCCAGGAGTCTTACATACTGTATCATCTATTATCTCATTTCTTCTACTATACTGCAAGCTTCTGGAAGGCAAGGACCATGTCACATTTATCTTTATATACCCAGAGCCTAGCACAGCACCCAGGATACAGTTGTAACTTTATATGTTATTTTAAAATAAACAAGATTTCGAATGAAGCCTAAATTCTTTTACTTGCTGTCTGATCTCACTTAACAAAATTGGATCAATTCTATTCATTGATCCAGTTTGGCCTCATTCTATTCAAGTATAAAATGAGAAAGTTACATTATAACGGTGGACACCCCCACATGTGGCCCCTGGCCCAGCAGCATCAACATCCTCTGGGAACTCGTGGGAAATGCAAATTCTCAGGCCCCACCCCTACCGAATCAGAAAATCTGGGGGTGGGGCCCACCAATCTGTGTTTAACTAGCTCTCCAGGTGATTCTGATGCATAGAATATTTGAGAACCCCTAGACAAGGTGTTGGCCAACTACAGCCTGAGAGTCCATGAGCCAAATCCTACCCAAGGCCTGTTTTTCTATGGAAAAGTTTTGTCAACTTCTGTACTAAATGCTAGTGAAGCAGGATACTTCCCTGACCCCTTCATGGGACTCACAACAGGAATGCCTCATTTACATAGCCCACCGCCCTCAACTCCTCATGGGAGAGAGTGCATGAGCGAACGAGGCAGGAACTGGAGTGCATGAGTGTTGGAACTGACTAGACACATCGGCACCAGCAGGAGTGAACTCCATGTGGGCCCCACGGCAGCATCCAGGTAGGGGTGCCTGTGACCCCTGAAGCCCCAGATGATGTGTTACAGTGCTCTTTTAGCACTGCCATCTGTGGATGGCTTAAATGTTAACAGCTCAGTGAGTCTTTTGTTTTTTTGTGTGAGGCAGCTGCCCTCTGCCAGCAAGGGCAAAGGGCCAGTGTGACAGCTTTTTGTATCTACACTCATGGCTCTTGGGCTCTTGTACAGCATCCAGGAAAAGTGAGGTCACACAAATTGAAGAATGGTAAATGCAGGAGATTTTATTGCCAATGAAAGTGGGTCTCACTGGGAAGGGGAGCTGAAAAGGGGACGGATGAGAGGGTAGGTAATCTTCCCTTGAAGTCTAGCCATCTCTGGCCAGATTATTCTCTGAAGTTACTCCATCAAGCCATCCCTCTGAAGTCAAGCTGCTGCTCTCTGACATCCAGCTGCTCCTCCTCTCTGCTGGCTGACTCTGGGGTCTTTATAGGCACAGGATGAGGCATGGTGGGGCCATGGGTGGTTTATGAAAAGGAAACATTCAAGTGGAAAAACAGCGATAGAATTTCTCACTTTGGGCTGTTGTTTCAGGCTTTTCAGCTTGAAGGTGGGGCTTCACCAGAGACTCACCCTTTTCTGGCTAGAATTTCTCTGCCTCCTGTCCCTATCAGTAGGATCACCAAGGAGCCTTCCAGTTATACAGTTCTTTTGTTGTGAGCCCAGTGTGATATCTCTGATTGCTTCTACCTTGTAATCAAAGTTAATTCTACTCCCCTAACCTTAGTTTCCTTGTCATGAAAAATGAGATTGAAGTAAGGTTATCATCACCCATCCCAGCTCTCCTGTCCTCTACCTACTTGAGCTGTGCAATACATTGTTTATTTTTATTTCACCATCACTTATTTATTCCTGTAGTCTCTAAGAGCTTTCAAACACTAACTCATTTAGTCATTGTAGCACTGTTATTAGCCATATCTTATAGGAAAGGAGTTGACACTTGGAGAGGTAAAATCATTCTCCCAAGGTGTCACGCACTGGTGAAGTGGTTGAGCTGGACTGGATTGGACTCAGACAGCTTGGCTTCAGATCCCTACTAATCTCCCCATAAAATAGAGGGGACTCCTATGTAACCATCCCCCAGCTCTATCAGATCTAAAAACCTGCCAATTTGTGTCACATTTCCCTCTTCTCTTTTAAGAAATAAAGATACAATCACAGTTAAAGGCAACTATGTACATCTTAATTGATTCTCTTCTTTACTTTTCTACCTAGATCAAACCACTGTCCAAGACTCTATATTTGCATTCTCACACAAGCTTTAAAAAACTTTGAGATATAATTGACATAGGCTGTACATATTTAATATATACAACTTCATGAGTTTAGAGATAAATACACACTCATGAAACCATCACCACAATCTATGCCATAAACCTATCACCTCCAGAAGTTTCTTTCTGCTCTCTTTATTATTTCTACTATTTTGTGTGTGATAAGAAAATTTTACATAAGATCTACCATCTTAGCAAATATTTAAGTATACAATACAATACTGTTAACTATAGGCACTATCCTGTACTGTAGATTTCTAGGACTTGTATATTCCAAGTGCGGATAAAGTGCTTTGTACCCTTGACTAATACCTCCTCACTTACCCCTTCCTGAATTTTTGTCAACCACCATTTCACTCTGCTTCTATGAGTTTGACTAGTTTAGATTTCACATATAAGTGATATCACGCAATATTTGTATTTTTGTATCTGGCTTGTTTCACTTAGCATAATGTCTTCTAGGATCATTCATGTTGTGGCAAATGGCAGGATTTTCTTCTTTTTAAAAGCTGAATAATCTCTTAGGAGTGCAAACCCTATTGTATATAATTGATCAAAAGAGATATTTTCACTTGCATGTTCATTGCAGCATTATGTACAGTAGCCATGCAAGCCTTTTAATGTATACATTAAACAGTTTGTAGTACTATTTCCATGCTGTTAATCTTTATTGTTATGGTATCTTATAGAACATATCTTTCTGTAGCTTGTTTTCTTTTTCCACTTAATATGTTTGTTGAGACTTATTTATTTTGATAGATCCATTGGGTTTTAGTTCATTTAACTGCTGAATAGTACCCTATTAAATGGATTTACTACAATTTATTTTTCCATTCTGCACTTCATGAAAACTTATTTCTAATTTTTCGCTATGATAAACAATATGCAATGAATGTTCTTTTTTATTCTTGGATACACATGTGGGTTTATATCAGGAATTTGACTTCCGGATTATAGGGCATATGCATCTTCAATTTTATTAGACACTTCGGTGATATTCTCCAAATTAGTTCTACCTATACATGGAGTATTAACCTATGCCTTTATGAGTACTTGGCATTGTCAGTCTTTTGTATTTTTTCAATATGAAGGGGAAAAATGAAATCTTCTAATTGTTTTCTCTGGGTTCAAATTGGTATGAGCCACAGTATCCAATTTTACTACTCTATATCTTTGTCCTTGCTCTTTCATTTTGTATGAAACATTCTTCTGATTCTCCACTTAACAACATCTATTTTTCCTTCATGACCCAACGCAAAAATTTCTCTGAAACCTCTGGTGGCCCACCTTCCTCCAAATCCATGTTGTAGTTGGAGTCATTGCCAACCACTTAGTAAGCCAAAAATCTTAGTTCTCTTGACTCATGCCTTGACGTATACTTCAATTAGGGTTCTCCTTTGTGTTTCAAGACATTTAGATCCTAATTAGGATAATGTTTATGTCAGTTGTCCTTGCAGAATTTTTGATGCTCCCCTTTCATTCTCAAATGTCACACTGTTTGGATAATGAATCAATGCTGACCCTTATAGGCTTTATTGGAGTATATTGACATCCCATGTTGGCCCATTTTTCTCCCTGGCAAATCTGAGATCTCTTAGACCAGTGATATTTTCAACGTGCCTGACTTCCAATATTTGCTCAATAAATGTTTGCTTCTAGCCAGCCACTCCTTTGTCATGCAGAAGGAAGGTTTCCAGTCATATTTTATTCTCTTTTCATGGGGCCCGACTTGGCCCAAACCCAACTTCTCCTTGCCAGAGAGAAGTGTAAAGAATGCTTTCTCTGCAGAGGCATAGCCCATTTTCTTATGAGCAACCGGCCAAGAGGAAGGTACCATGAAGACAGTAACTAAAGGAAAAGAAAGAGGCTGCTTTCTAATTTTACTTCAAGCTTTATTTAAGAGTGAAGTTTCATGAGATAATTAGATTAAGTCAGAGTGTTTCCAGCATGCAAAAAGAGGTACAAAGCCTTATGGATTACAGTTATTCAGAAAGCTATCAAGCAGACCAATGCATAAAAGGAATTGCTCTTCAAGGAAGATTCCTTGCAGAATGAAAATAATAATAATAATAATAAAGTGATATTGATATCCTTTGGTTGCCTTGGAAATACTAGTTCATCTGCTCCTGTAAGGTATTATGGTTCATCCCACTATATTAGGTTTAATAGAAAATCACATAACCAGCTATATTTTTAACCATGTCTGGGATTTAAAGCATTCACTGGGCTGTAGTGATAGTGGGTAAGCATAGAATTGTGCATTTTAGTTTGTGCATTGATATGACCTCCTTGGGTTGAGAGGGCAGAAAAGCCGGTGCTTTTAACTTACTCGATTTTTATTTGTGTGTATTAGAGATCTTTACTGTGCTCATGGCAGCTCTTGTATTTTTTCAGAGTGCTTTCAATTTCAAATTTTGGTCCCTCTGTTAAAATTCTGTATTGCCCTAAATATGTGGTCACGGTAACTAGATCTCAAAACTTTCAGGGAAGCCAGACATTCTCAATTTCTAATTTTTATCAACTGTATCTTTTTTTCATCATTTGATTTATCGATTGAGCAACTTATTGCAAAGGGAAATTTGGCGGAATGGGAGAAGATATTAGCATTAATTAAACACATGGCATCACCAAAGAACTGTGTGAAGAACTCTTTACTTATTATTGTCTTTAATCCTTGAGATGTTAGAAACCCTTGATATTTTTAAAAAATATTTTGGGAAACTCTACTAGAAAATGATAGAGCTTTATATGAATCCTTTACATGAACAGTCACAGAATCCCATGTTATTCCTATTATACAGTGGTGAATTGGTGAACACTACCTATAATTTAAAAGTGTCAAAATTCACAAGATTGGGTGCAGTTAAGTAAATGTGTTTGTGCTTTACCCGTTGGAGAGTTGGAGTCACAGCCAGGCACAGTGGCTCACACCTGTAATCCCAGCACTTTGGGAGGCCGAGGTGGGTGGATCACTTGAGGTCAGGAGTTTAAGACCAGCCTGGCTAACAATGCAAAACCCCATCTCTACTAAAAATACAAAAATTCGCCAGGCATGGTGGTGCATGCCTGTAGTCTCAGCTACTTGGGAGGCTGAGGCATGAGAATTGCTTGAACCCAGGAGGCGGAGGTAGCAGTGAGCTGAGATCATGCCACTGCACTCCAGCCTGCACGAGAGTGAGACTCCATCTCAAAAAAAAAAAAAAGAGTTGAAGTCATTGCCAACCACTTAATAAGCCAAATATCTTATTTTTCTTGACTTATGCCTTGATGTATACCTCTATTAGGGTTCTCCAGAGAGGCAGAATCAATAAAATATGTATGGATAAATGAGAAGAGATTTATTAAAAGCATTGGCTCATGTAATTATCAAGGCTGAGAAGTCCCATGATATCCTCAAGCTGGATACCCTGGGATGCCAGTAGTGTGGCTCAGTCCAAGACTGAAGGCCTTAGATCTAAGGAAGCTTATGACAATCCCCATTCCATGACCAAAGACCTGAGAGCCTCAGGTGGGGAAAGGGGTTGCTGCTATAAATTCTGGAGCCCAAAGGCTGGGAGCCTGAAGTTTTTGTCCAAGAACAAGAGAGGAAGAGTGTATCCCAGTTTCAGCAGATAGATTGACACATTTGCCTTTTCTGGACTTGGAAGAATGAATGGTGCCTCCTCATATCAAAGGCAGATCTTCCCCACCTATTTTACTCAGACCCACATGCTAATCTCCTTGGAAAAACCCCTCACAGACACCTAAAAATAATGCTTTACCAAGTTTCTAGGTATTGCTTATTCCAGTGAAGTTGAAACCTAAAATTAACCATCACAGTACCCAAGGACTGCATATTTAGAGCAGAGATGGAAATGGAATCCCATTTGTGCCTCCTGTGCTTCCATTTATGTGGGATTCTTCAATTCCCACAGGACTAAAGCAAGTTTCCTTTGTCAGCCTGAACATCCCTGTCCCACCTCCTCCTCTCCATGGGTGCTGCTTCTGGTTACACACTCTTTCTCCCTTTCATCCATTGATGTTATCCCACTGTTTTGCAACTCATCGTTAAGAGAGAAAGGTCAACAGGCCCTACGGCATGATCTTTAAAAGGCTGATAAGGTCAAGATAAATGCATCCTCTTAAATCTGTTTTTAAAGGCCAGAACCATTCATGCATTTCTAGGAGAGGATAATGACATCAAAATTATTACCAGGAGCCAGTCCCTGTGATCATCAGGGGCAGCCAGGATTTACTGCTCAGCTGGACAGAAGCCTTTGCTACTACACGCCTATGTTTCATCCCTGGTGGACTCAATTTTAGGGTATGAAGAGCAAAGTCATTCTCTCTGCACTCTGCAGCAAAGCAGTATGTGCTCTACAGAAATGAACAGATGCCCTCACTTGACGTAAAAAGTCTTATAAAAGTCTTTCTCTCTTAAAGTATAAATACACAGTGTGTGAGATGTATACATATGTATTATAATACAATAAATTATAGAGTAGATCCACTTTTTAGTTCAGTTACATAGCTTTTTTCATACTTGGATTTGAAATGAAACATATGGCTAAGGAGTTATAAGTTTCTTAGAATATTTGTGGTCAAGGTTCAATGGCTCACATGCTTCTTAATTTCTTTTCTTTTCTTGAGAGAGTCAAGCTCAAGGTGACTGTGAAAGTCACTGAATGACTGAATCAGGTACCACTATTGGCCAAACATCCTGACAGGCACTTTATGTCTCGCTGATCTTCCACAACAGTGATGGGGATGGCAATCTTTGGTGTTTTACAGATGAGAAACAGCAAACGCCTTCGCCTTGAGAGGTTGAGCAACCTTCCTAAGCCTGTTGTGGGGTGGTGGGGTTGGGGGTGAGGGCGGGTGTGGTTTAACTCCAAGACCTGCGCTCTATTAATACACCCCTGCTTCAATCTGAACAGGATTATTCAAGGTTCAGAAACATGGTGCTCTATCTAAATCAGTGTGTTTGCTCTAGAATCAGGAAGAGCACTCAAAAGTTGTGGGAATATGATTGGGCTTGTTGACAAAAGCGTGTTTTGATACCATCTCTTGAAAACTTAAATTTGAGATGATAATTTTTCATCTCCTATGATGATCTACCTAAATCAGGCAAGAGGGGGTCCAGGAGATCTAGGTGGGTTCCTTCTTGGGTTATAGAGAAGATGTGAGAGAAGGCAAGATCTAAGAGGAACTTCAGCAATGAATAAACATAAATGGGCTCAATTAAGTTGTAGAATTAACTTATCATTTAAAACTGAAGATGTTCACTGTTTACTAGTGAAAAACAGACCTTGACATATTTGGGCTATGATAGCACCCTCAAAGGAATTATCCAGTAGTTTTAGATAAGATTACTGAACAGGTTGAGGGACAGGAATAATGTTGGAAAGGGAATGTAATGCCAGAAAAATACATTCTCCAGGCCACAAGTTGGGAAGAGTTTTAGCGTAAGCTATGTGGGAAAAGGTAAAAATTGAAATGTAAAAGTTAGTGTTAGCTTCTTCATGGCCCTAAAAGTCCTATCGTCACAGCAGAAGCTTTGTGGGCACTCTAAGAGTCAACAATTTTGTGGGTTTGCATTAGAGAAGTGGACAGTATGTCTAAATCAAGATGATGGCCCCACTGCTTTTGACCAGCACTGGCCCTTTGCAATACACTGGCTCATAGCTGAGTATGGCTCCCTTCTTATTTTGTCCACACCCAGGTATTATTTTTAGTTGCTTTTCCAGAGCAACGGCCTCCAATATTTGCAAGTGATGCAACTGGCTGGTAGAATCTTCTTTTGGGAGGGCTCCACAGCCAAAATCTCAAATGGTTGTCTAGAAACTTCAGTCGTACCTCACTTCATGCCAGATCAGTACCTTTAAAAGGTTTTCAGTAAATCATTATTTTACAATTCCAATTTCACTGAAATGCCACAAAGCATGAAGTGTTTTGAAGTTTTTTAATAAGGAAAACTAGAATAGTTTTGTGAAAGATAGCTATATGTATAGATCCTTGATTGGTATACTTTTTCTATTAATTGGATTTGCATAGAATAGGTTTGTTTAAAAATGAGAACACACTTGTAGTCAGTTTCACTATTGGGAATACTGATTTCATATCTATGTCTCCTTGCTAAAAAATTGAGAGGTGTAAGAATTTGGCCAAATGTAACTCTGCAGCCTCTGCATTTTGTTAATAACATCACAGTACCTCATGGGGTTTTTAACACCATCATTAAGAGGAGCTCATTTGGTTCTCACCTTTATTATCTCATTTATCTTACTATCCCTGGGAGGCATGGACTCAGATATTGCTGCTTGTATTTACAGAGAGGAAACTGAGAGGTCAGCCAATATAAAGTGATGGTCAGCAAGATGGCTTTAGAGAGAACTCACCTCAGCCAAAAGCAGTCCAGCCTACCAGTGTTGAAAGTAGGATCCCAGAAGCTCTTGACACAAGGGTTCAAGGGAAGGGAGATTCTGTCAAATGACTGTCTCTGTCTCCTACTTGTTTCTCTCTACCACTTATTAGATACACTGTGTCACTGTGGACAAATTACTCAACTGTGACTCACAGCTTTCTCATCTGAAAAATGCAAAGCATTGTATCTGCCTCACTTCTGGAAAGAGTTTCTTTCCTAAGAAAAATTAGCTCTGATTCTGAGTAGGGGTGAGGGGAAAAAAGTGAATGAGGGTCTGCAAAAGGGAATGAGGTCTCCTGAACATGGCTTCTGTAAGGAGAGTTGCATAGTCACTGCTTCAGCCTCAGGGCTTCCTTCTTTCCTACACTATATAGATTTTTAAAATGTAATTTCTATGTGCATGTCGTCTTTCCCCAATTTTAGATCCTAGACTCCCAGAGTAACCAGCTGGGGCAGACTTCAGATAATTATAGTTCAAACTCCTCTTATTATAGATGAGAAAACTGAGAACTGATGAGGGGATTCCAAGAAGAAAGCCAGTCTGTTGCATTTCCTTTCCTCTAGGAGAGGGGTCTCCAACACCCCCACCCTCTACCCCCATACCAGTCAGAGGCCTGTTAGGAACTGGGCCGCACAGCAGGAAGTGAGCAGCAACAGGTGAGTGAGGGAAGCTTCATCTGCATTTACAGCCACTCCCCATGACTCACATTACCACCTGAGCTCTGGCTCTTCTTGATCAGTAGCTGCATTAGATTCTCACAGGAGGTCAAACCCTATTGTGAACTGCACATGTGAGGGATCTAGGTTGCATGCTCCTTATGATAATCTAATGCCTGATGACCTGTCACTATCTCCCATCGCCCCTAGATGGGACCATCTAGTTCCAGGAAAACAAACTCAGGACTCCCATTGATTCTACATTATGGTGAGGTTGTATAATTATTTAAATATTACAATGTAATAATAGAAATCAAGCACACAATAAATGTGATGCACTTGAATCATCCTGAAACCTTTGCCCCAACCCCCACCCCAGGTCCACAGAAATATTGTCTTCCACAAAACTGGTTCCTCGTGCCAGAAATGTTGATGATATGGTTTGGCTGTGTCCCCGCCCAAATCTCCTATTGAATTGTAGTTCCCATAATCCCCATATGTTGTGGGAAGGAGCCCATGAGAGGTAATTGAATCATAGGGGTCGTTACCCCCATGCTGCTGTTCTCATAATAGTGAGCTCTCTTGAAATCTCAGGGTTTTATAAAGGGCTTTTCCCCCTCTTGTTTGGCACTTCTCCTTGTTGCTACCACATGAAGAAGGATCTGTTTGCTTCCCCTTCTGCCATGATTGTTAGTTTTCTGAGGCCTCCCCAGCCATGCTAAACTATGACTCAATGAAACCTCTTTCCTTTATAAATTACCCAGTCCTGGGTATGTCTTTGTTAGCAGCATGAGAACAGACCAATACAGTTGGGAACCGCTGCTCTAGGACGTTTTCTCCCATCATCTGCCTCTGTCTTTGAAAACTCTAGGTCTCTGGGAGGATTAAACTAGAAAAAAAGGGACATAGTAGATGCTATTGAGTAGAGAACCATGGGAGTTGTATGAGAGAGGAAAGTGAGATTCCTCAAGTCTGGAAAGACAGTGGTGGTTCAGAGGAGACTTTGAGGCTTACGTAATTTTACTCTAGTGCACATTTATTGCACAACTCACTTTGATGAAGAATCCTCAGCTGCATGGGGCCCCTAACCCATGTCACTCTGTTCCACCTCAGTGGAAGACCCTTTGGCTTTCTTAGACAATTTCCTCTGTCTTCACTGGGACAAGTTTACTTATGAATGGGAGCCCATATTTGCTAGAATCTTAACCTCAGCCAGATTAGGGGAAAACTGTTATTCTTCTCTCAATTTAAAAGATATTTTCCTTCTGTGTGTACATGTATGTGTACACACAGATATATATATTTATATGTAATATACACATTATACATATATACTATGTGTATATATATATTTCTATGTTTGTATATTTCTTTGTACATAAAAAAGCATAGAAATACATCCTGGACAAGTTTATTTCCTCAGCCTTTCCCATATGGGTTCCATCTCTTCCCTGTCACCATCAATTCTGTCTTTATCTACAGCTTGAAAAGTAATCATCAAATCCATTTGTATCAACAAAGTTGCCTATCACTTGCTGAAAAGGCTGGTATTTTATGCATGTTTTACTTCTCTACAATCAAAAATATCTTAAGTTAAATGAAGACAGAAAAGGCATTCATGAATAGAAATGGCAGTGTCCTGATTTTATCATTTTCTATCTAGGTGCTTTACCCATTTGGTTTAAGTGGCACTTAGATTTTTTTTTAATTATTCCCTTCTAAAAATGCAGTGAACTTGAAGCAAAAAATCCATCTAGTCCTATGTGAATGAACCTTGGGAAAATTGCTTTCTATTATCAATATTTTCCAGCAAGAGCCACAATGAGGAATGTGTCTCTTCTGAAGTATGTGCTGTTTCTCCTTGGAGTCCTTGCTTATTAATCATCCTGAAACTCTGAGCTATAAAAACTAGTGTGAAGTCCTTCTTCAAGCTCTATGACAATAAGTTAGCTTTATTCTCTCCTTGACATTACTTGTATGAGGGAAAGTGGAGTAGAACCCAGGTGGAGGCATGTCCTATGTCACAGAGACCCTGTTTAGGGCACTGGTGCCCTGATATAGAACTCAGCCAGTTCAATCAGATAGAGGCTCAGAAGCATGACCACTTTACAGTAGAAAACATATTTAAAAGCAGTAAATATCAGACTTCCCTTTTTACCTTGACCTTAATATACAGTATGTATGTATATTTAAGACATTTTTTTCCATGGACCAGGGGTTGGGAGGGAAGGTTTTGGGATGGTTCAAGCATACATACTTACTGTATATTAAGGTCAAGGTAAAAGGGGAAGTCTAGCATTCTGTCATGTCATAGCTGACTTTTTGGGGGAGTGTATATATACATATACTATATATATGATATCCTCTTTCTTCATGGTAATGATAATCATTTTTACTTTATGACCATCATCACAATCATCAATATCTTAAACACAATAATTATTATCACTATCACCATTATCATAGCTGACTTATTAAGCAATTACCCTGAATAAGACACTATTCTAAGCACTTTGCATATTTATTATTTACAGTCATTACCAGCCTGTAATATAATTATTCATGATTATCATTTTAAGAAATCTGAAGCTTAGACACAAAAAGTTATCTGCTTTTAGAGGGAGGCCTGGGTATCATCTGTGGATGAGGAAGTAGCCTGTGAGGGCCCCAAAGTGCTTCTGGATATCTTCCAATACACAATATGCCACGCTGCTACTTCCTTCACCTGGCTCCCTTCCTCTGCTTCCCTTTGGCTTGGGATTTCTGGCAGTAGCTTTACCCCCTCCCACCCCCCACTGACTCCAGCTTGTGATTTGGCAGCCCCTCAAGCATGCACGGGTTTATAGTGAGGTCACATTGCCCTAGTACTCTCACTTAGGGCAACTGGTGACTAGGACTGCAGATCTTAATGTTACTTAATAGGCTCAACATTATTATCTTTTTACATAACTTAAATTTGGCTCACATTTCACATATGTGACTATGTCTAAGTAAAAATAAGTATATTATGTGTTCAGTCTATGGCTAGGATTATGACAGTATAAGAAGTATCACCTCAAACGGGGATGTTCTCCTTCTGGCTATGGAGGATTAGCTTAGATCAGATTGATCCTTTTGCAGAGAACCAGATAATGTGCATAAAATGATTTAAAAATATCCCAGAAGGGATTTTAGAGTAACTGAGGTTATGAAGCCCTAAGCAGCCAAGAGCCCAGATAGAAGGGAAGTGCAGAATAAGGTAGGAGTCATGTTCGCTGAGATAATGGTTGAGAATTTTCTAAAACTGATAAACACTAACCCACAGAAACAATAAACTTGACAAACCCCAACAAGAATAAAATAAAATAAAACTACACATAGGTAAAACATAGTAAAACTGTTAAAAGATAAAAGTAAAAATTTTAAATATAGACAGAAGAAAAAAGAGACATTTAACCTTTAAAGAAAAAGACATAAAATGCAGACTTCATTCAACACAAATTATGTCTGTTGCCCACTTTTTAATGGGGTCATTTTTTTTGCTTGTTGGATTGTTTAAGTTCTGTCTACATTCTGGATAGTAGGCCTTTGTTGCATGCATACTTTGCAAGTTTTTTTTTTTGCCATTCTGTAAGCTGTCTGTTTACTTTGTTGACAGTTTCTTTTGCTGTGCAGAAACTCATTAGTTGAATCACATCCCATTTGTAAATGTTGGAGGTTTTTTTGTTGCAATTGTTCTTGAGGACTTAGTCAAAATTCTTTGCTAAGGCCATGTCCATTAGGGTATTTCTTAGGTTTTCTTCTAGGATTTTTATAGTTTTAGGTCTTACATTTAAATCTTTAATCCATCTTGAGTTTATTTTTGTTTACAGTGAAAGATAGAGGTTTAGTTTCATTCTGCATATGCACAGCCAGTTATCCCAGCACCATTTATTGAATAGAAAGTCCTTTCCTCATTGCTTATTTTTGTTGACTTTGTCAAAGATCAGTTGGTTGGTTGATTGGTTGTAGGGATATGGGTTTATTTCTGGGCTCTCTATTTTGTTCCATTGGTGTATGAGCCTGTTTTTATACTGGTACCATTGCTGTTTTGGTTACTGTAGCCTTGTTATATAGTTTGAAGTTGGGTAATGTGATGAAGTCTGACTTTTATTTTTGCTTAGGATCGTTTAGCCATTTGGGCTCTTTTCAAGTTCCATATGAATTTTAGGATTGATATTTCCAATTCTGTGAAAAAAGACATTGGCAGTTTGCAAGGAATAACATCAAATCTGTAGATTGCTTTGGGCAGTATATTCATTTTAATGATATTGATTCTTCCAATATATGAGCATGGAATGTTTCTCCATTTGTTTGTGTCATCTTTGATTTCTTTCAGCAGTGTTTGGTAGTTCTCCTTGCAGAAAATTTTCACCCCCTTGGCTAGATGTATTCCTAGGTATTTTTTTGTTGTTGTTGCTATTGTAAATAGGATTTTGTTCTTAATTTGGCTCTCAGGTTGAATATTATCAGTGTATAGAAATAGTACTGATTTTTGTACTTTTATTTTGTATCTTGAAACTTTATTGAAGTTGTTTATCAGTTTTAGGAGCCTTTAAATGGAGTCTTTAGGGTTGTCTAGATATAAAATCATGTCATCAGCAAAGAAAGATAATTTGACTTTTTTTCCTATTTGGATGCATTTTATTTCTTTCTCTTGCCTGATTTGTCTGGCTAGGAGTTCTAGTACTCAGTAGAATAGGAGTGGTTAGAATGGCATCCTTGTCTTGTTCTAGTTATTAAGGAGAATAGGGGAATTGTTCTAGCTTTCACCCACTCATTATGGTGTTGGCTGTGGGTTTGTCACAGATGGTGCCAATAATTTTGAGATACATTCCTTCAATGCCTACTTTGTTGAGGGTTTTTATCATGAAGGGATGTTGGATTTTACTGAAATCTTTCTGTGTCTATCAAGATGATCATATGATTTATGTTTTTAATTCTGTTCATGTCGTGAATCACATTTACTGATTTATGGATGTTGAACCAACCTTGCATCCCAGGAATAACACCTGCTTGATTGTGGTGAATTAACACTTTGATGTGATGCTGGATTTCAGCTTGCTAGTATTTGTTGAGGATTTTCATATCTGTGTTCTTCAGGGATAGTAGTTTGTAGTTTTCTTTTTTTATCATGTCTTTGCTGGGCTTTAATGTTGAGCTGATGCTGATTTCATCAAATGAATTAGGGAGGAGTCTCTCCTCCTTGATTTTCACTTGATCTTAGCCAAAGGGCTGAGAAGCAGTCCTCCTCCTTTATTTTCTAGAATAGTTTCAGTAAGGATTGGTACCAGCTCTTCTTCATATGTCTGGTAGAATTTGGCTGTGAATCCACCTGGTCCTGGGCCTTTTTTGGTTGGTAGTCTTTTAAAATGACTGATTCAATTCTGGCACATGTTATTGTTCTGTTCAGGGTTTCTATTTCTTCCTGATTGAATATTTGAAGGTTGTGCATTCCTGGGAATTTATCCATTTTCTCTAGATTTTCTGTTTGTGTGCATAGAGGTGTTCATAATAATCTCTGAGTAACTTTTGTGTTTCTGTGGGATTGGTTGTAATGTCATCTTTGTTGTTTCTGATAGTGCTTATTTGAATCTTCTCCCTTTTTTCCTTTGTTAATCTAGCTAGTAGTCTATTGATCTTTTTTATCCTTACAAAAAATAAACTTTGGTTTTCCTGTATAGATCTTTATTTTGTTCAGTTCTGAAAAGAAGACATACAACATTACTAATTATCAGAGAAATGCAAATCAAAGTTACAATGAGATATCATCTCAAGTCAGAATGGCTATTAAAAAAAGAAAAATAACAGATATTGGCAAGGCTGCAGAGATAAGAGAATGCTTATACACTGTTGGTGGGAATATAAATTAGTTCAACTACTGTGGAAAGCAGTTTGAAGATTTCTCAAAGGACTAAAGATGGAACTACTATTCAACCAAGCAATCCCATTGCTGGGTATATCTCCAAAGGAAAATAAATCATTTTTCCCAAAAAGAAACCTATACTCAGATGTTCATTGGAGTGGTATTCAAAATGGCAAAGACATGGAATCAACCTCAATGCCCATGATTGGTGTAGAATTTCAAAATTTCTGTGATTCGCTTTAATTCTTAAAAAATGCCATTCCATTTATTCTGCCTTCCATAACTTTTATTCAACTTTTATTTTAGATTCAGGGGGTACATGAGTAGGTTTGTTATATGGAATCAACCTCGATACCCATCAATGGTAGACTGGATAAATAAAATGTGGTACATACAAACCATGTAAAACTCTACACCAATAAAAAAAGAACAAAATCCTGTCTTTTGCAGCAACAATGAGTGATGCTGGAGGCCATTATACTAAGCAAACTAACACAAAAGCAGAAACCCAAATACTACATGTACACATACATGGTAGCTAAACATTAGGTACACATGGGCATAAAGATGGCAACAATAGAACTAGGGACACTGGAGGGGGTAAAGAAGGATGGGGCAAGGGTTGAAAAACTATTTATTGGGTACTATGTTTACTACCTGGGTGATGGAATCAATCATGCCCCAAACATCAGCATCATGCAATATATCCATGTAACAAACCTACTTATGTACCCCCTGAATCTAAAATAGAAGTTGAATAAAAGTTATGGAAGGCAGAATAAATGGAGTGACATTTTTTAAGAATTAAAGCAAATTACAGCAATTTTGAAATTCTATACCAAGTAAAATTATCCTTTCAGTGTAAAGACAAAATAAAGACATTTTTAGACAAAAAATGACGGATTTGCAGAAAACAAAATACAAGTGAATTCTTTAGGCAAAGAAAAATGATCCTAGATTGAAGCAAGAAAATTCAGAAAGTAATGAGGAAAAAGTAGACATATAAATTAATATTGACCCTATAAAGTGATATTAAAATATGATGCTACTAATATTGTTTTGAGTTTAAAATTTATGCAGAATTAAAATACCACCCCCCCAAAACAATGATATAAAATATGGAGAGGGTATCATTGGATTTGAAGCTTCTAAGAAGCTTGCATTGTTCAGGAAATGCCAAAAATATCTGAAAATATATCATCCAAATTGTTTAATATGAGGTAATGTAGATTTAAGGCAAAAAATATTACCAGCGGTAAACAGGATATTTTATAATGATAAAAGGGTCAATCCACTAAAAAGATATAACAGTTCTAAATTTGTATTCACCTTAAATCATAGACTTAATTTCAGTAAAGCAAAAATTGACAAAACTAAGTGAAGAATAGAGCAATCTATAATTATAGTAGGAGACTGTAACAATTCTCAACAACTGATATAACAAACTTTTTTTAATCCAGAAAACACAAAGCAGATTGTATATATACATATACATATATATATGTATATATATCTCTTCACAGTGATATTACACTGTAAGTAAATAACAGGAATGTAACTAGGAAATTCCCAAATGTATTCCCAAATGTTGGAAAATTAGGCAACGTATTTCTAAATAACCCATGGATCAAAGAAGCAATTACATTGGAAATTACAAAATATTTCTTGCATATGCCTACTTTGATCTGGGGCTTCTGGGATGCTGGTAATGTTCTATTTTTTAGTGTAGGACCTAGATTTTTGGTGGCAAACACATAGATGTATTTACTTTGTAGAAATGAATCAGATTATATACTTATCATCTGTGTACTTTTCTGCATGTGTTGTATACATCAATTTAAACATAGTAAAAAAAATTATAAAGTGTATGCTTGGATTGTTTCATGTAAGAAAATCTCCAAATACCTTCTATCTGCTGAAAACTGCTTGTGGGATTGACAAATTAAAACCAAACCAAAATAACCCTTCTCTCCCAGTATTCGGAGAGGGTGAATCAGTCAAAGATAACATTTTTGGTGGAAGAGACAATACAGAGAAACATTAACATGTTTACAATGTACAAATTAATGTAAATGGCTACACTATATTTCATTAAAATATATAATTTCACAACTAACGTTTTGTTCATTAAAGAGAATAATGGCAATGAGACTCTTTACCCTAATTTTAAACCACTAAAATGTCTGAATCTTGGTGTTTGTAAAAAGAACCTAGAATTATGTGTGTCTGTTTTGTGCTGCTATAAAGGAACACCTGGAATTTTGTAATTTATAAAGAAAAGAGGTTTATTTGTCTCATAGCTCTGCTGGGTGTACAGGAAGCATGGCATTAGAATCTCCTTGTGGTGATGGCCCCCAGAAGCTTCCAATCATGGTGGAAGGAAAGTGGGAGCAAGCATGTCACATGGTGAGAGAGCAAGCAAGAGATAGAGGAAGGAGTGTCGGTCTCTTTTAAACAACCAGATATCATGTGAACTCATAGAGTGAGAACTCACTCATTATCATGGGGACAGCACCAAGCCATTCATGAGGGATCTACCCCCGTGACCCAAACACCTCCCACTAGGTCCACCTGTAATACTGGAAGTCACATTTGAACATGAGATTTGGAAATGGCAAAATATCCATACCATATTACTTCTTCCCTGGTCCTCCAAATTTCATGTTCATCTCACATTCCAAAATACAATCATCCTTTCCCAATAGTCCTCCAAAATCTTAACTCATTCCAGCATCACTCAAAAGTCTAAAGTCTCATCTGACACTCAAGGCAAGCTTCTTCTACCTACGAGATTGTCAAATCAAAAATAAGTTATTTATTTCCTAGATATAATGGTGGTACAGGCATTGAGTAAACATTTCTATTTCAAAAGGGATAAATTGGCCAAAAGAGAGGAGTAACAAGCCCCATGCAAGTCTGAAACACAGCAGAGCAGACATTAAATCTTAAATCTCCACCATAATCTCCTTTGGCTCTGCTTCTTGCATCCTGGGAACATGGGTATGAGGGATGGCCTCCTAAGACTTTGGGCTGGCCTGTCCCTATGGCTTTGCAGGGTACAGCCCCCACGGCTGCTCTCACAGGTTGGAGTCTATTGCCTGTGGCTTTTTCAGACTGAGGGCATAAGCTGTCAGTGGCTCTACCATTATTTGGTCTGAAGGGCAGCATGACCCTTCCTACAGCTCCACTAGGCAGTGTGCTGGTGGGGACTTTGTATGGGGGCTCCAACCCCACACTTCCCCTCTATACTGCCCTAGCAAAGGCTCTTTCTGAGGGCTCTTCCTCTGAAGCAGGCTTCTGTCTGAGTACCCAGGCTTTCCCATACATCCTCTGAAATCTGGGTGGAAGCTGCCAAGCCTCCTTCACTCTTGGGTTCTGAGGGCCTAAAGGCTTTGCACTATGTGGAAGCTGAAAAGGCTTACAACTTGTGCTATCTGAAGCATCTGGCTGGAGTTGTACCTGGGATGCCTTGAGCCGCAGCCAGGAAGTGGGGAGCAATGCCCCAGTTCTGGCTCATGAAACCATTCTTCCTTTCCAAGCCTCTGGGCCTGTGGTGGGAGACCTGCCTCAGAAACTTGTGAAATGCCTTTGAGGTCTTTATCCCGTTGTCTTGGCTACGAGTGCATGACTACCATTTAGTCATGTGAATGTCTCTAGCAAGTGGTTGCTCCACAGCCTGCTTGGTCTATTCTCCTGAAAATGGTCTTTCCTTCTCTACTATGTGGCCAGGCTGTAAATTTTCCAGATTTTTACACCCTGCAGTCCTTTTTATTGTAAATTCAAACTTTAAGTTATGCCTTTGCATGTGCGTCTAATTAACTGTAGGCTGTTAGAAGCAGCCATGCCACATCTTCAATACTACTGCTTAGAAATTTTCTTCTACCAGATACCCTAAGTCATCCCTCTTAAGTTCAAACTTCCACGGATCCCTAGGACATGGACACAGTGCAGCTAAGTTATTTGCTAGCACACAACATGGGTAAACTTTATTCCAGATCCCAATAACTTCCTCATTTTCATATGAGACTTAATTAGCCTGGCCTTCACTGCCAATGTTTCTATCAGCATTTTGGTCACAACCACTTAACAAGTCTCTAGGAATTTCCAAACTTTCCTTCATCTTTCTTCCTGCCTTCCTCTGAGACATTCAAACTCTTCCAACATTTGTCAGTTACCAAGTCCCAAAGCTGCTTCCACATTTTCAGGTATCTTTATAGCAGTGCTCCATACCACAGTATGAATTTTCTGTGGTAGTCTGCTTTGCATGGCTATAAAGGAATATTTGAAATTGGGTAATTTATAAAGAAAAGAGGTTTATTTTGCTCACAGTTCTGCGGAATGTACAGAAAGCATCTCACCAGCATCTGCTTCTAGCGAGAGCCTCAAGAATCTTCCAATCATGTTGGAAGACAAAGGAGAAGCTGGTCAAATGGTGAGAAAGGGAGCAAGAGAGCAAGGAAGAAAGTGCCAGGTTATTTTATTTTAATTAATTTATTTATTTTGAGATGGAGCCTCATTCTATCACCTAGGCTGGAGGGCAGTGGCACAGTATCGGCTCACTGCAACCTCCACCTACTGGTTTCAAGCAAGTCTCCCACCTCAGCCTCCTGAGTAGCTGGGATTACAGGCATGTGCCACCACACTTGGATAATTTTTGTATTTTTAGTAGAGACAGGGTTTCACTATGTTAGCCAGGCTAGTCTTGAACCTCTGACCTAAAGTGATCTATCCACCTCAGCCTCTCAAAGTTCTGAGATTACAAGTTTGAGCCACCACATCTGGCCCCAGGGTCTTTTAAACAGTCAGGTCTCACATGCACTCAGAGTGAGAACTCACTCATTACCTTGAGGACAGTACCAAGACATTTATGAGGATCCACCCCCATGACTCAAACACCTCCCACTAGACCCCAACATTGGAGGTCACATTTCAACATGAGATTTGGAGGAGGAGAAACATCCAAAGCAAATCAAATTAGCTTTTTGCAATCAATGCAATGAATACATTTACCGAGTGGTGATTGAAATTCCCAGCAATCTGCAATGCACTGGAAATATAGAGTTAATGAAATGGTGGGTGTGGTCCTTCCTTAAAAAGTTAATCTCTCTCATGTAGTTGTAAGGCTTTTCTTTGTTTCTTCTAATTTCTTAGGACAAATTGTGCAATTAAGAACAGAAAGATTGCCTGTATTATGGGAAAGGATGGCTACAAAGCACTCTGGATGCTTTGCATGGAGATGCTCTGAGCTGCTTTGAATCCTGGTGTCTGAAAGCCCCAGCCTGTCAAAGCTCTTAGATCAAGCTATGGCAGCAAACTCCAATGCCTCTCCCAAAGGATTCTCCTTTTCCATCCATCCCACCCTTCTCCAATGTCTACTCCAAGGTGAGCAGAAGTAGACTCCAATGTCTACCTCTACTCACCTGGAACTCTGATGTCTACTTCCACTCACCTGGAAACTACCATCTCTGAGGAGCTCCCATTCTAAAAATGATCCTCCCCACATCCAACGTGGTTGACCTGAAAGAATATCTGATTTGTTTAAATAAAAAGCAGCATTCCCAATTAGATCCTATGCCAACAACATGTAGCCTAGGACTTGTCCACAGAAATTCTTAACAGTGGATGTTCTTAGGTAAGGTTTCAGACCTTAGGCTTCAGAAATTATATGCAAATTTTGCAAATATGTGCTCATTTCTTGAAGAAATGGTGAAATTGAGACTTTAAGCTTCCTTCAGACTCTCAAGGAAGTCTCTGACACAAAGAACTTTATGTACCACAGGCTTAGAAGAAATAGCTGGAGACCTGTGGCTTGTAAATCCTTACTTCTCATCAGTCACTTGGCCTCTGGCAATTGCCTTCCTCCTTAAGCCTTAGTTTTCAATTTGGATAACTTCCTCTCAAGTTCATTCAAGATCTAGCTATTAACTTTCTTAGGATTTGTTCATATTTTCAGTGTTCTCCTCATCATGCTCCTTGTTGACAACTCACATTTTATAAATTGTATCAGTCATTGAAAATATACTATTGGGGACAAATTCCATTTGCTTTTAAGGAGCTAAAAGGCAATTGAAGAGGAAACTAACAACATCCATGCAACTTACATCAAGTCATCAGCTTCATGACCCAACCCCGGCATGATGTCAGTTCCAAAGACAAATGGCAGCAACAAAAAATAATCAAGTATTGTCTCAGAGGTTTTGTTCTTAGAAAAAGTGTCATTATACGTCTATATACTTCTTCATTCCAGTTTGTTGTTTGTTTTTTGTGTTCTGTGTTTTCTTGGTCACTAGAAGGGATCACTACACTGACGTTAGTACATCACCTTTTACTCTTGGTACATACATGTGTTCATAATTATTGCACATACTATATGTGTCCTTTGCAAACTGCTTTTTTAATTATATTTTGAAATATATTCATGTTCATATATGTAGGTATAGTTTATTTATTTGATCTTAAGGATTATATTGTATAAATGTACCACAATTATTCATCCATTTTCTTCTTTGACATATTTGCCCAATTAATTGCAAGATTTTGCTGATGTGAATAGATATCTTTGTTTTTCAAATACGCATTTCTCTGAATCACAAGTGAAAATGAGCATCTAGTTACTTGCTTGGGTATCTTCTACTGTGAGTTTTTAGTTTATATTATTTGCCTATTTTTTTATCAAAGTGACAGAGTTCTGGATACTAATATTATATCACTTATGTGCCCAGCAAATATCTTCTCCCAGTCTCAGGCATTTAACTTTGCTTATACAGACGATTTAAAATGTTAATATGTCACATTTATCTACTTAACTAACTTTTCCATGATAGCTGATAGATTTTGTACCTTATTTCCTTAATCCTCCTCTGTGCTAAGATTATAAAAATATTATACTTCTCTCTAAATTTTATAACTTTTCTTTTCACATTTTGGTATTTTATCTGTATGAAATTCTTGAATTGTATTAATATGAAGTAGGGATCCAATTATTTCCCACAGCCAGTTGAATTACCAAAATTTGTTAAATAGCCTATTCTTAAGTCCATATTAATTTTAATGCCACGTTCTTCGTATTCCAACTTTGCACATAATGCATGTGATTCTAGGCTTTCCCTTCTGCCACTGGTCTAGTTGTCTATAACTTATACTTGTATGGGTCCTGATGTCAGCTGGCATGATTAGTCATCATTCCTTATATTTCTACACTTGTCTTGGTGCTTTCCTCTTTCATAAGAATTTATAATTTTTCATTCATAAATTCATATGAATTTATAATTTTTCATTATAAGGTTATTTTTAAATGGTACCTGATATTATTTTTAATATGGAAGTTTAATTCCAATTTTCATCCTGATTACTGGTATATTTGGTCATACTTCCACCACTTTCTATCATATTTTTGTTTGTCATGATTTATCTTTGCTTCCTCTAGTTTCCTAGAGTTCTATTTATATTCACTTAATAAATAGTTAAACTTGTACTATGCTTACACGAATTAACAGAATCAAAATTGGATCAGTGTAGCACAGTAAGCGCTCCATGAATGGGGAAACTATGGCTATGGAGGGTCAACTATACTACGTTATTTTATATAAAGGACTTGAGCAACTACAGATTTTGGTATCAGAGTGGGGTTCTGAAACCAGTCCCCTGTGGATAATGTGGGATGACTGTAATCTACTTCTGAATATGTAAGTAACTCAGACATCACAAAAACAAAACAGGAAGTCAATTAAATACCATCATCGAAGACATAAGGGAAGACTAACAAGCCACAAGTATATACTCTAACAAGTTGTTTCTTGGATGGTAATCTATTTCTTTCTATGTTCCATATCTCTTCATCTTTTAAATTTTTCTATATGTTTCTGTGTGTTGAATTCTATGTGGCTTCTTCACATCTGTTTTCCAATTCCCTAATGCCCTCTTTAGCTAATCATAGCTGTTGTTTAATACACCCACTGCATTTTAATTTTATTCTTATAATTTTCATTTTTATCAGTCTATTCTGGTTTCTTTTTAAATCTGATTTTTCTTTTTCCCATAGGAGGTCTTGTTCTTTCATTATGATTGTGATTTCTATCTCTTCTGTTACATTTTTATTATAAATATGTTGTCTTTTTCAAGAGTATATATTATTTTTGATTCTTACAGCATACATTATCAATTTAATTTTAGCTTCTGACTACTCCTACATTGATTTATTTCCTCCTGTTGTTTCTAATTTTGGTTAGGAATCTGTTATTCAATGGATATCTCTTTTTCTGTGGAAGTTCCTTGTGAGGATGGTTGTAAAAGTATTTCTATAGAGCAATTTTGTTTTTGCTTTTCCTGGTTCCCAGAGAATGGTTGCTTTATCAATTTAGGATTTTCTTATACTCATTGCAGGATTTAAGTTAAAATTTGTTACATGACATTGATGTCTATATGTACACCTTGGCCAGCAAGTAAGCTACATTGGTATTTTCATTTTTAGATAGGAATAGTTTTCCTAACTCCCTATCTACAGCAGAGGAAGCCCTCTCAGGGTCAAGCCTGAGCAGAAAAAAAATGCTAACAGCCACCTAACTTTAAAATAGGACATTTTTTTTTTTATAATTAACACATTTCCATTTCCTTTTTTATGTTCAAACTTATCATTCTCCAGTTTTCTACTTTTACAAAGAGAATTATTTGATATTGAAAAATTGTAGACAATTAATTAGAAAATGTTAAATTTGGCATCACAAAATTACCCATGTAGGTGGGGCAGAATCTTCTGTGTGTATGATTCCATTCTTTATATTAATAATCACTGAACGTACTGAACATAGTTTAACTTTGAACCATTTACATTTCTTGGAGTATTTCCTTATGTATAAAGTAAGCATATTGCAATAAAAGATATCTAAGGGCCCTTTCACCTCTAAAATTCTATAAACTTTGACCTTTGCATATAATAGATATTCCATAACCATGTGACCTAGACTCAGCTTCTACCATTTCAAATAATAGGAGACAGTGTGTTACCTCAAGTCCTCATAGATGCATGTATGTGATTCTGTGTTTTCTCACAGATCCATATTCATTCTTTGATTCTCCTACCTATCAGCTGTGTGGCCATTGTTAAGTGACTCAGTGTCTCCAAATTTCAGTTTCTTACCTGAAAATAAGGTTAATAATGCTGAACTAAGGTTGTTGTAAGAATTAGAGATTTTGAAAGAATCAGCAAAAGTTAACATCTTTTTCCCCTCAGTTTCTTCATCTGTAATATCAAGATAATCATTACAAAATCATTGTAAAGATTATGAGACATTGTAGTAAATTGCTTAGTATTAATATTAAACCTAATAAATGGCAAGCTACCATAACCAGCTCAGTTCATGGCATATTGGGGTCCCAGGTGGAAGGTCTCCTTGGCTAATCCCTCCCTTATTCATCCCAGATTTGCACTCACCTTCACTGCTGTTTGGCTTCACAGACTATTCTGCCATTTTTTCTGTGGATTGCATTAAAACACAACTGTGTTCACCACCATACCCTTGAGACTAGTTACCTGGGAAAAACAATTCTCATTTCTGAGTTTTTACTTATTTCTTCTATGATGCTGAAGTCATTTCTCCATTAGCATGTATTTCTGGTCCCTGTCTTCTTTATGACTCTCTCTTCCCCACCAGTTCATAGACCCTTGTTTGTATCATGATCTCCTGTAGTTCTTCCTGGGTCATATCACTTATCATACATGCCGTCCTTGTCTTGCATGTGTATTTCACATACATTTTCATTATAAAGTAGGAAATAGCTCTCCCATGTTACAGAGCATTGGTATATAGTAAAGAAAAAAATCCAAATGTTCTTTTGGCAAAGTAGATTTTTTTTCTCATTTGCTTTAATAAAGCATCTCATGTTTTATATATTGGTTAATATAATTGAACAAAATTATTTGGCTATAACTTCTTCTTAAGATGGACTATTCCACTTTATTATGATTATTTAGAAAAGATTAATGCCCAAACCATTGAGAATGTAATTTTTTAAATTGCCCTAATTATTTGCACCAGAGCATACTGTCATGATCATGACCCTCAGGACAAACTTCATTTACCTGATCGCAGCAGAAACTCAAGTTCTAATTTGCAAGTCTGATCATAGGGCTATGAAGCCCAGGATTGCTGACTATGGAAAATTTTCATCATCATCCTCATAATAATAAATGATTATGATAAAGGATCATAAATTATAACATAAATGATAGGCTCCAAATATGGTATTAGGAGCATATGTACATACATTTCAGTATTCTTAACAAACATTCTTCAAATCCACAATACAATTCCCAGTTTTTAGGCATAGAAAGTAAGGCTCAGAAGGGCTAAGTAACTTCCCCAGGTTGGTAATTAGCTGACTCAGGACAGGATCCCGTCTCTGTGCCCCCTCCCCCGCCCCCGCCAACTGCTTGTGTGTTTGTAGCATTCCACTTTGCACACTTCTTATCATCATTTTCTACAGTAAATTTGCTGAAACTTGACTTCATTCCCTGCTCATTGAATTTAAACCTTAATGATACATCTACTGATAGAATGGATTTAAGTTTTTGATTGGATTACATCAGCTTTTCTGAGTCTAACTGAAACAGCACTAACATGCATTTTTCTAATATAAATAATATTAATAAGTTCATGTTGAACAAAATATAAAAAATCCCAGGCATTCTTTAAGTTATTTAGTGGTGATTTCTGGGATTTTGGTGTACCCATCACCCAAGTAGTGTAAACTGTACCCAATGTGCAGTCTTTTATCCCTCACCATCCCCCACATTTTCCCCCAGTCCCCAAAGTCCAATGTATCTTCTATGCCTTTGTGTCCTCATAGGTTAGTTCTCACAAATGAGTGAGAACATACTATGTTTGGTTTTCCTTTCCTAGGTTACTCCCCTTAGATTGATAATCTCCACTTCCATCCAGGTTGCTGTGAATGCCATTATTTAATTCCTTTTTATGGCTGAGTAGTATTCCATGGTGTATGTGTATGTACATACACATACACACACACAGCACATTTTCTTTATCCACTCATTGATTGATGGGCATTTGGGTTAGTTCCATATTTTTGCAATTGCAAATTGTGCTGCTGTAAACATGTGTGCACAAGTATCTTTTTTCTATAATAACTCTTTTCCTCTAGGTAGATACCGAGAAGTGGGATTGATGGATTAAACAGTAGATCTACTTTTAGTTCTTTAAGTAATCGCCACACTGTTTTCCATAGTGGTTGTACAAGTTTACATTCCCACCAACGGTGTAAAAGTGTTCCCTTTTCACAGCATCCATGCCAACATCTATTATTTTTTAATTTTTTTATTATGGCCATTCTAGCAGGAGTGGGGTGGTATTGCATTGTGGTTTTGATTTGTATTTCCCTGATATTTAGTGATGTGGAGCATTTTTCCATATGCTTCTTGGCCATTTATATATCTGATTTTGAGAATAGTCTATTCATGTCCTTAGCCCACTTTTTGATAGGATTGCTTTATTTTTTCTTGCTGATTTGAGTTCTTTTTAGATTTTGGATACTCGTCCTTTGTTGGATATATAGATTGTGAAGATTTTCTCCCACTCTGTGGGTTGTCTATTAACTCTGCTGATTTATTTCTTTTGCTGTGCAGAAGCTTTTTAGTTTAATTAAGTCCCATCTGTTTATCTTTGTTTTTGTTGAATTTGCTCATTCTGATTTAAAATGTGAGTTTTGAATCATAATTTTTATCACTCTAAAATTAAACATCTCAGAATTATAAATTTAGAAGAGAAATTATCCAACAAATTATAATTGACCTTTGCTTTAGAGGTATTCTAAAAGCCTGGTAATTTTATGTAGCCTTGCTACAAAGCCAACGTTGAGGGGTTGATTCTTGTTAAAAGGAAGTAAGGCAACATTTCATGCCCATAGGACATCTGCTCTCCAGGTGACACATCAGCACCATAGTTCAGCAATCTTCTTACTGGCCTGGTGAAAATAATGATTAATTAAAAGGCAAACAAGTGAAAAATTCAAACATGATCATTTCCTTTATGTTATAAAGTATTTATTCATCAAATATTTATAAATTGTTTTGCTTTGTATAGAACAAAAATTAGATGGATCCTGGTCTTAGAGGGTTTACAGTCCTGTAAAAAAGAAAATCTATGTCCATAAATCACTGTCTTATGGTATAGAAAACAATAAGTGGCATAAAAGAGACACGTTAAAAAAAAACTTTCAAAATTGAATTATTTCCAGTTGTCACTATAAAGAAAAGCTTTACAATAGAGGGAGGCTGACTCTTGAAGGAGTGAGATTTAGACTTGTAGTGTCTTTAAGGGCTATGTTCATATCTATAGAGATGAGATAGACTAAGATAAATGGCAAAAGGAAGCACTTGTAACTATTAGAGAAATAACTCTTCAGTACTCTGTGCCAGGCAATGTACTAGGCACCAAAGTCAAAAAGATAAGAAGCACTTCCTATCCTCTAGAAGCTCATGGTCTAGTATTTAGGTGAGGAACTGAGGGAAAGGTGAAACCTTAAACAAAGAAAGGCAGAAAAATGCCAAGCCCTCAAGAGCAGCATCAGCTCTTCTGTTTGGAAAGAGGGAAAGGTATTCAAAAGCAGGATCAAAAAATAAGCTTGGATAGGAAGCCCAATACATTCATGTTTCAGTTCCATTTTTTTAATTGAGCAAGTTCAAAGAACTTTATGTATCTAAGATCTACATGACACTTGAGACTGAGGTTATCTTTCAAAGTTTCCTAAGTAAAAGAAAGATACTGGAGGATCTATAACTTACAATATGTAAGTTGTCAAGATGACATTGCCCTTCTTCTGATTCAAACACATAGCAGTAATAGAAAAAAACAAAAAATTGAAATTAGAAAAGCTCTAGCAGAGTACTCCATTAAATTAACATACTTAACCAATATGTAAATTATTTAGTTTTCCTATGCTGTTCCCTCCAAAAGACAATTATACATTAAATACTTTACGCACCCCATTCCCTAGTGATTGTTGTCTAATACGTTATCTTCTCAATAAAAATAGTTCTTATGTTTTTATCTAGGCATGTATTCTGAACCATCTCACTTAAAATTTACTTTCAGTTTCCTCTATGATCTTTATTCTATTTGGAGTATAGTCAAATCTTAATTGTTGATTTTATCGACTTTCTTTGTAATAGTTTTCCTCAAATGGTTTAGAACTTTGTTTGCAAAGGAATCCTCTGGAAAGAAGCAATAATGAAATAGAAAACAAAGAAGAGATGATCAATACAAGTAAAACTGGCCCTTTGAAAAATAAAACTGATTGTATTAAAGAATAAATTAGCAAGACTGATTAAGAAAAAAGAGAGACTGAATGAGTAATGAAAAAATAATGCAACTGTAGATACAGTGGAAAGATAAAACTATGGTACTATTTTGATCAGTCATTTTATTACACCAAATATTTAAAATATTAAGAGATGGATAGTTTTCTTAATAAATTAAATTATTAAAGTTGCTTGAAAACTTAGTTTGAAACCAAAACGAACCAGTAGCTATTATAAAATGTCTTTCTTAGAAAACTATAGGTATAAATGGATTTATGAGTAAGTGATGGTACATATATAGTCCAAACTGTTTCAGAGAATAGAAAAATAAAGAATGCTACCCAATTCATTTTATGAGGCTAATATAGTCTTAACATCAAGAGGAGATAAAAACAGAAGAGGAAAAAAAAGTATAAGCTATTCTCATGTGTGATCATATATACAAAATTGTAAATAAAACATCAGCAAATTAAATCCAACAGAGTATTATAAATACATTGAACTATTTTTTAAGTCTTTTTCTTCCAGGAATATGACCATAGGCCACTATCATAAAAATTCATAAAAATCTCTCAGTATAATTCTGTACATTGATTAAAGAAAACAATCACACAATCACTTCAATAGAAGTAGGAAAAAATATTTCTAAATTTTAGCATTATTCATAATAAAAATTCTTATCGACCTAAGGATCAAATACTCTTAATCTATTGAAGAGTATCCACCAACATTCTAGCAAACACCTTACTTATGGATGAAATGTAAGAAATTTTTCCATTAAAGACAGGTATTTAGTAAGATATAAGATATTCAAGGCTACTGCTAGCACTTAAATTTGTTACTGGAAAGAAAAGAGAAGAATATAAACTATAGGTTGATTGGAAAAGAAGAAAAAAAATTGTCACTATTTGAATATGATATGATTATATAGATATTTGAAAATGAATTTCCAGCCAAACTGTTAGAAGGGTGTTTAAAAGGTTTATTGCACATCAGATCAATATAAAAACTTGAGAGTGTTTTTACATATCAGCCATAACAAAATAGAGAATATAATAGGAAAAAAATTTCCATTGATAATAATGACTACAAGGAACCTCTAACTATGTACATAATATGTGTAAAATGGCTTTAACAACAATCAAAAAATTATAACGTGCAATTCAAGGATCTAAAAGATTGGATGAAAGAGAAAGAATCACAATGTGCACGACTGGCTAAAGTTAATATAATGAAGACATTAATCTCAGATTAATCAACTTAGTAATATTCTAATTAAAATTCCAAGAGGGTCCAAGAATCACAATGACATTTTTTAGAAGATGTATTTATACAGGAATATATTATTGAACTTGAATGAGCTAGATTTTTCCTTATCAACACTGAAAAATCTCAACCAATCTTGTGTGAAAAAGCAAATTGCAGCATAAATACTATATGATTACATTTATGTAAAACTTTTTAAAACTCAAATGCTATGTGTTATGTGGAGATGCAGATAGGTGATAAAAATATACAAACAACAATCAGAAAGGATATAAAACAGCTTTGGGACCTTGATTACCTCTAGGGAAAGAGGGAAAAAAATGCTTAAAAGTGATGAAAATTGATCTTCCACTACATTTGCCTTTTTCTCACAAAGAGAGATTTGTTGAAAGAATGGTAAGTGTTAACATTTGCTAAATCTGAGTAGAAGCACATGGCATTAGCATTTTAATATTCCAAATTTTATGAAATTTTTATTGTGATATTTTATAATTTTAGCCCCATATTTAGCCCCAATTTTATTTAAATATTTTATAATTTTCTACCCCATTTTCTTTTTTCAGTATAGCTAGTTGGGAACAAAGGGACAGAATAGAGTAATCTGCCCATCATGAGTTCATACTTCCTTCTGTAGGAACTGCTAGTGTAATACTGGAGCAGTCAATAGAAATAATATCAGGTGCTACTTCCTTGTACAGAGACAGAGACCAAAATCTGTGGTCTCTGTTCATCAGCGATTTTATAGTATGTGCCTTCAGCATCATCTCTCTTTGGCCATCTCATTACCTTACCAATTACATGGGATAAAAGTTGCAATATGGCATCACCCCTAAGAACAAAGGACGCTCTCTGTGTGATGGAAATTTTTATACATAAAGGCAGTCTTTTTTTCATCTTTTTGCTTTGAACCTTTAAGTCAGCTCACCCTCACCTTTCTTACCTCTTCAAGTGTCACTCTTCTCCTTCCATGACCAGATGTTGAAAGCAAATCTGGTTTATGGCCCACCATTCTCCAGCCGCTGGTTGTTTATCATATGACTAATTATTATAAGTCAATAGAGCCAAGAGATCAATACATTTTAGAGAAAGTTCTCTGAAACAGAATTTGTGAGGATGTAAAAGGATCTTTTTGAAAAGTTTATCATTACATCAACATAGCAGACAAAACCCCAATAGCTCCCCTGGACCATGAAAGTCTGGTAAAGAATTGTCAATCCATGAAATGGCTTTGACAGCTGTTCTCCAAACCAGTTAAAGGGAGCTCTTCCAGGCAGTATGCAACACTCATGGTGTTTCCTATTGACAAAGTACCCTAAAGAGTCATATTGTGTGATGAGTATAATACCACTGAGGCATAGACTGGAAACACACAGTGTGATCTGGCCAATCTCTTTGGCCAGGGAGTAGCCCAGGTGGACTGCCCACCTTCTTCATCTCAATAAGCTTTGGAAGTCATCCATTATTCATTGTTTAGAGATCAATAATTAATGGAGATTAAAAGTTTCTTTAAAGATTCCAGTAACTTCACAATAATGTCACAACAGTAATGTGGAAGCATAATGGGGTGTTGTGTTTATTTGGGAAGCAGAATTTATTTTTATAGATTTTTAAATGATTTTATTAATGTATTTGTAGAATCATTAAGGTCCTAAAGGGTTCACTGAATTATTATTTTGTATTTTCCTACATTTTATGGGAGAAATGATGTGCTATAGAGGTATTCACAACTTGAGATTTTTGGAGATCCAGGATCTTGGTTATATACTTCAGAATAACTTGCTAATATACGATTGAAGTTCAAAAGCACTTTAGTACTTGAGGGTCTTATTTCTTAAGTCTTTGTTTTACTTTATTTTAGACAAGTTTATGACTTGAGGGGGAAAAAGAGTCTTGTTCTTGACCTAGCTTTGGATGTCTGAGAACAATTAGCAAATTTCTTCAGAGGCTAAAAATAATTGGGGATTTTCATAATTTTACAATAAAAATAGAGAGTTTTGCATTAGAGGATGGGATTGGTCTGTTATCTTATTTTCATTTTGCGTTTTCACTATCTCATTCATATTTTTGAGGCATTATCTGAACTTCTCCATGCCTCACTTTCTCTAAAAGATTGAAAAAGTACATATTAATTATTAAAATACTTAGAGCATTTTGTAGAAATGATGTGAAAATAAGGTAAGATAATGTCATGTGTACTAATAATGCAAAAGTCATACATTTATTCCAGATCTCCAGTGTTACATCATTTTATTAATTGTCTTGTTAGTGTCTAAGGCGTAGAATGGCTGTACTAAAAATCTCTACTGTGAACTTCTAAGAAAATACATACATGTGTCTTTTCCACAGTGTTGGTTATAAATTACAGTTTTGGTGGAATGAGCAAGATGTTATACTTATTTTAGAAATATGCAGCTGACTTTCTTATTAACTGGGTAATTTTGTTGTTCTGATTCCTAAATAGGTAGGTACTTCTCTCTGTGTCTTTTGGTTTGGGTTCCAGTTAAGAAATTATGAAGTGAGAAACTTGTTTCATTAACTTTTCATATGCATGTGTGTATATAAAATGCATTGATTGGGACTGACTGCTAAAGGGTAACATAGGGAAATTATTACTTATGGGGATTTATTCTGGTGCTGAAAACAAGATATTAAATTATAGTATAAGAAGAAGCATAATTCAATGAATTTTTATGATCTGTAAAGATGGGCAAATTGCAGTGCAAATGATAAATGGGTTTTCAGCATCAACATCTACAAATCAATCATCATAAGTAGATATTTTGATGTATTAATGTAACGAGGAAGCAGCCCTTTGGGATGTGCATGTTATTTTTGGTGGTTGTCCTCATAAGAGACAGATACTTATTATGTGTTGTGTTAAGGGTTTTTTTTTTTTTGTTTTAGTTTTTACTATAAGTATCTATTCTGAATATTTTTAGGAAATGTTTTAATCCCTTAGAAATAAGCTTTTTTGCACATAGAAGTGGAAATAGATACTAATTTGATTAGCTCAGTATCAAAACAAAGTAAAAGCTGATAAAAGTCAACAGGACAGGTGGGAGGTCTCTTTCTCTGCCTTTTCCTTAAAGTCATTGCAACTAAGTGTATCCATTTCCCTTTTGTGTGAACTTTTGTTTCCTACCTGAGTTGCAAGTTCCATATCAAATCCCTCTGTCTGAAGCTTCTCCTACTCCAGTATCATTGGATAAATAATAAAATAATGAACATTCCTGTTTGTATTTCTTTGATCTACTATTCAAAATTGTAGCCTAAAAATTATTAAAAAGGTAAACAAAGCTTTCATCTACTCATTCTTTTAACAGATACTAACTTACCACCAGTAGTCAGGGACCATGCTGGAGCCCGGGGAAACAGTGAGCACAGCCCCTGCCTTCAAAGAATATATGGTAAAATAAAAGAAATACATATGCAATCTGGCTCTTACAATGTACTGTGGTATTTGCTTGTAGGGAGATGATAAGGTATTATGGGAACCCACAGGACAGGCATCTTTATAAACTGGAGGGCATCCGTGGGGAGCCATGATGGTTGTCACAGTGAAAAAGGGGTGAGGGAAGACTTCCAGGAGGAGCTGATGCTCAAGTTTGACTTGAAAAATGTAAATAACAGGTCAGGTTATCTGTGGCAAGGGGAGCAACATGTACAGTGGTCCACAGGTTAATGGGACTATATTCAGGGATCAATAAGGAGATCAATCTGTTGACAGGCCCATCGTATAACCTGAGGAAAAAAGTGGAAGCAGCTTGATCTCTAGAAAGAACAAGAGACTTGGAGACAGCAAACCTCATTCCTGTGCAAACCTTTGTCTCCTTATTTCTGAAGGTAGGATAATCCTACATAGAGAAGGAAGGATTGTATAATGGAAAGAGGTCAAGGTTATAGCCAGACATAGGGCTCAAATTCCAACTTTAGAGCTTGCTAATTGTGTGGGATCTCGACTAAACTTCTCAGTCACAACTTTTTCATATGTTAAAAGACAACAATAACACCTAAATACATGGTAATAAGCAAACTGGCTTCTTGCGATGCTTATATGAGGGAATGTGGAAATGTCTACGGAGTCCCTGAATGTCCATCAGAGGAGCTTAATGGATATACTTCCTTTCCCTTTTTGAAACTTTTCTAATTTCTGAAATGGAGAACTTGATTCCTTCTCCCTACATGAATTTTAAGAATAAAATAAAATTATTCATTGAAAATAATCCATAAATAAGTGTAGATATAGTGCATGCTCATTATTTATTTTTGTGCAGGCATCCATTTAAAGAACCCCCTGAAGTCTCACCATTGGTTTAGACATTGGACTTTTTTTCTTTGACTCCATAATTATCCATCTTGCCTCCTCTACATTCTCTGTTCGATGACCCCAGGCTGGTCACTTCTTTGCAGTAGCACCTCCTGTATGTAGTCCCAGAGTCACCTGCACTTTTTATGGCCCTGTATGAATTTGTAGGCTTGGCTCACATGCCCTCTGGCCTCCCCTCTCTCCCTGATACAGATCACTGCTTGTCTTTCTCACACACCTTACCTCTGCAGTGGGCCAACCAAGAAACATTTCCAGGAGATTCATGTTTTTTATTTTTTTTTTCATTTATAACTTTTCTTTTTTTTAAATTATACTTTAAGTTATAGGGTACATGTGCACAATGTACAGGTTTGTTACATATGTATACATGTGCCATTAATTAAAGTTTCATGGGAGTCTTGGAAGCACTTGTTTGCTTTAATATGTGTGGGCTCTTTACTCTCTTCCTAACATATTTTTGTTAAAACCAGGATAAATCTCAGAGTGGCTATCAGGTTATCTGTCTTAAGTGCTTCTTGCCCCTCCTTATTTTTGACCTAGAAAGGAGGCTAGTAGCCTTGAACCTCAGGGTAACTGTTGCCTTCAGGGTCAGCCAAATGGAAGGCTGCCCTGAGCTCTCCAGCACAATGACTTCGCTGTAACATTATTATGTGTATTTTTCATGAAGATAAATGCTGTCTCCCAAACACCCATTTTTATCATAGAAAGATGTGAATGGTAGAAACTTAAAATCTGCTTCAGGCAGGATAGTTTTGAGAAGATACATATCTAACCCTAATAAAGTTGGGCTGCCTCATGGCCTATTTCTATACAGTGCAGCACCCTAAAGAAAACACAAATCCACTTTCAAAAATTTATAATAATCTTTACTAGAATGTCTCCTAAAAATGGTAAGAGATTACGTGGCATGACAGGGAGCAATATCCCCTATTAAAAAAAAAACTTCCCTATAGTTACTTATACTTTAATTGCTTACAGAAAGGTGCAACAGCAACGGCAGAGAATATCTACTATCTCATGTAGTCTTATTCACTTCACTGAAAAACACCAAACACAGTTTTCTTCTACTTCTTTCATTCACTCCTCTATCTTCCAAGATCTCTAAGTTGAGCTCTGCATTTTTAGACTAAATCAATATAGGCTTTCTGTCTCTTTTAGTTCTGCATCACAAGGTTGAAAAAACAGCATGGATAGTCTATGGTTTGGCAAACTTTTTCTATAAAAGACCAGATAGTGAAGATTTTAGGGTTTGCAAGCCACACAGGCCTCTGTTGCATATTCTGCTTTGTTTTTTACAATCCTTTGAAAATTTAAAAACATTCTTACCTCATAGGCCACACAGAAACAGGCCTCAGGCTGGATTTGACCCATGGACCATAGTGAACTAATCCCTGGTTAAGCAATAAAGGCACCAGGTCTTCGTAGACTAAGCCCTAGTGAGACAATTAACAACAAAAAGAGTGCTCAGTACATGTCAGGCATGGTATCAGCAGCTTACTTATCTTAGCTTGGTTAGTCCTCAGAATAACAGTTTGAGATAAGTACTGTACTGTTTCATTGTTAATAAGCTGAGGCTTAGAACACTATACCCACCCCCACCCCCCAGCCACTTGATCATCTGTAGTCGAGATTTTAATCCTCATTACCGTTTAACTTGATACAACATAGAGATAACTTAACCTCTCTTAATATTTGAACCTCAGTTCCCTAATCTATAAAAAAGGGATACTATTATTACCCTCATAGGTTTATTTGTGAGGATTAAATGAACTGATATGCATAGGCAATATCTGACACATGCTTATATGTTCCATACTTATCAGCTCTATCATTATTTCAGTGAATTTGATTATTGGTCCTTGTTGTACCACTTGCCAGCCATATGACCTTCAAGCAAGCCATTTTTATACTCTGTGCTTATTTCCTCTTAAGTGGGTGTTAACAGCATTTCAAGATTACTCTGAAGATCCACTGAAGAGAGCTAGCGAAAGTCAAAGAGACATACAAAAGTAAAGCATAGTAATTACCATTAATTCATGACTGTGTGCCTAGCTTCATCTTGAGGTCTCCAGATCCATTATCAATGTGTTTCTCACAGCAAGTTTATAAGGCAAGCATTTTGACAAGTGTGGCCACTATCTGTGAAAGCACTTGAAAGAAACAAGGTGTTAAACTCATGTGTGGATTTATTGCTTTCACTACACCTGCATGAAACCAGGATATTCAGAAACCATAGGTCTTGCTCTCAACCTTCATCTTCATCACAGGCTTCGTCACATCAGTGGCCCAGGGCTTGAGGACTTCCTTAAAATGTTGCTCACATCATGAAGTCCAAGATATAATTCCCAATAGTGATTCTTACCTTCACAACAGCATCACCTGTTAATTTAGCTTATGATTATTAAAATGCAAATTGCCTATTTTGTGAATTATCTGAACAGAAAGAAAAAACCCTTAGCACAATTCTGTGTCATGCTTCATTTTCACCATAGAGCCAGAGGGACTAATTATTGATTAAGAAACAGTTACGTGAGGAGAGGAATGATTTCCTAGGATTGCTCATTGTCAGAGTTTGATCCGAGAAGCAGACCTGATAGGAGCTGTAAAGAGTAAAGAATTATTCCAAGGATTGGATGTTACGCAATTGTGGGTGCTGGATAAACAGTCTATATGAAGCTACTGCTTCTGTGTCTTGGTGCTAGAGCCTGAAGCCCACATGTAAAGCAGTAGAGAAGAAAAGACAGATGTGAAGTCAGGGAAACAAGGACAGAATGGACAGGCTGGAACCTATAAGGACAGCTGAAACATACATCAGTCTCTCACCATACCCAGCTTTCAACTTTGATGATGGAATGATCTGCAGGAAGAGCTGGCATCCTTCTTCACAGATATGAACACACAGAGGATGTCCAGCAGGAACTGAAGGTGCTGCAGGCCCAGTCACTGCCCCACACTCACAACTCAGGCTGGCAGAAAAGTGACAAGGCTTGTGCACTACACCAGTGCCTCATACTCAACACCAATCTTGCCCACATAAAAAGAACATGGCTGACACCTTACTTCTGCCTTCCAGTCCCACACAAAATGTCTCTTGTGGCCCACACTAACTCGGAACTGCAGCAAAAGAACATTTTAAAAACAAAATTCCAACTTAGCTACATTGCCGCAACACATATCCTTCATTTTCAATACCTGTGTGATGATCTAGAACTGTTTTCCCTAACTCTTAGCCCAGAGGTTTTCCCACAATCCTCTGCTGCTCTGAACTTCCTACTCCATAAACTAGAAGAATACCTTCCTCATGGAGTGATTGCACAAGACAGTGTTTACAAAGTACCCCAAACAACGCTTGCTTGGCATTCTAAAAAGTACTATCTTCTTTTTCTTGATGTCTACTTAGAGATCAAGAAAACATCATTAATAAGAAATGTACATCTTTTGGAGGGAAAAAGCATATATTGTGTTACTCAAGACAAGTATCATTAATTCAGAACCACCCATGATTTTAGATTATTCACTCCATTAATTCCCATTACAAGTTGGTAATAGAGAGTCAGTTACAATTTCACGAGACTAATTTGGAACCTGGCTTTAGCTCCAGTTTATGTGAAGTGGAAGAAATGCACTATTCTATATGGAAGAGAGAGAGAAGAGGTGGAGAGACTCATTTGATTACTCTCAGCTGATGGCCTGCCTGACACCCCTGGATTATTACTGAGAATTATTCTGTGATCAAAATAAGTTGATTAAAACCAGAGTCCTAGCATTAAAGTGGAATTAAACTACACAGTGTGATTTTAATACTAGACTCTTTCCCTGTGGTGTGTTGCATAATAGAAACCAATTGAAAACATAGGTATTAGGACAAATAAATATAAATAAGTTGATATACTGCAGAAAGTGGGCCAGGGGAGCCCACAGTGAAAAGGGGTACTGCCAGAGTTTAGAGCATTATCTTTTAATTAATAAAAGGAAAATGAGAAGAGAAATCCACTCGAGGAAAAAGGGATGGTGCTCTAATTTTATAAGGTTGGTGTTTTATGGGATAAGAAATTCCCAGGGACAGGCATTAAAAGAAAGTAAAGTTAAATTTATTCTTGGCTGACTACACTCCATGAAGAACTGCAGGAGGGCAAATACTTGTATCCCATTCTTTTCTGGATGGCCATTCTCTTGTCACTAGCTATCTACAGCACCTGCAGTCTGAATGTGTAATTAAGCACAAAATTATTATACTACTTTCATTGTTCCTTCATTTACTCCCATGAGAAGTCATTTTTATCCTTGATCCCCAGTATGTAGCAGTCTAGGGTGGGTGAACAAAGGACATGGTTCTGTAAAGAACATAGGCTTTGACCTGGGTCCCCACCTAATGGAACAACTTAGCATCCCAATCCTTCCTCTGTCTGTCTGCACTGGGCTGGGTCCAGGGCGACCTATCTTTTACCTTGGCAGATACTACAGTTAATATGCTGCTTTCCAGTTTGCCACTTGATAGCCATGATCCCCATATGTTTCTGTCTCTTGGTTCCCACTAGGAAAGTGACCTTAGGGTTATCACAGGAGGCTGACATTGTTACAACAGCTTATGTTGACTTTCTTCCATTACTCTGAGTGCTTCTTTCACTGGGACTCTGGTGCGATGTTTACTCAGTGGTGTCAGTTTTCTTTGATGATCCCTGAAACTATTGCCCTGTTCTTTTAATTTTTTAGACCATGCTATTTTAAATATGATTTCTCCCAGTTTGAGTCAGATAACATTTGTCTCAACATTGTGTTACATCTAAAATTCTTTTCACCTCACATACACACACACAAAAATCAACATGTTTCATGAAAGAATCTTGGACAGCTTAACTCTCTTCTACCTCCAGATGAGTTTTCCATCCCCTGGAGAGTGTGAGAAGAACTTTGCTGAGCATGATTGCAAATTTCAAAGTACTTTTTTCCTTCTTTGTCTCAAGGTATCCATAGGTTCCTCATACAGACAAAACTCTTGGAAACCATTTAGCTACCCTGATAGAAGTAGATTTTCATCAATAATTGATTATCCATGGACCAAACTAAGAACATACCATCTACTACTTTTTTACACTTTTATGTCACCTGGCATGATGCAAAATGGAATTATATTTATTCTACACATACTTATTGAGACTTACTCTGTGCCAGGATAGTGCTAGGTATGCATGGATGAACAAAACAGCGCTAGGTATGGATGGATGAATGACTCATTACAAAGCTTATGAACAAGTGCAGAAAAATATAGCCAACAAATAATAGATCTACAATGGTAAATTAGCGTAAGTACTATGAAGGAAAAGAACCAGATTCTATGAGAAAGATGATAGCGGGGATCAATCTGGATTGAACATCTAGAAAGATCTCTTGAGGACATTGAACATAAGCCAAAACTTAAAGGCTGAGCAGGTACCAACCAGACAGAGGGATTGAAAGTCATGAAGCTTAAGGTACAATCTAATATCTGTCACCTAGAAGCTCTGAACCCCTAGCCTACATCTGTTGGCTGTGAGAAAGTTAGATATTTTCAGAAATTTATTAACATCTTTAGATCTGGGGGAAATTGTTGTGCATATTACAGAAGTTCTCTTGGTGACGTTTTTATCACCTGTGATTGTTTTGTGTTTGGCTGGAGTGGGGTCCTCAGCTGTTATTTACAAGGTAAGTTTTTGCTCTCATTTGGGGTACCCTGCTGTGGTTGGGTGTAGCCATCTGTTAGCCCTTTACAAGGTGGGTGTCAAAAAGGCCAAGTGGGCATGATTTCTGATCAACTGAATAAGCATTTTTATGAAGAAGATGGAGTCAGGAAGAAATTCTTACCAAGTAGAGAAAAGTACATGCTGTGAGCTACAGATAATTTAAAGAAGAGGGCATGTTTAGGGAATTAAGGAAAGTTTTGTGTATCCTGAAATATGAGATAGGAAATTAGGCTGGAGAAATATAAGAGGGCCACACTGGGAAGATTTAAACCATGGGCCATGTCGAGGAGATTGAACTTGTTTTTGTGAATAAGTCAGACCAAATGGAAATTTTTGAACCAGCACCGCTTAAAAATAATAATAATTTAAGGAAGGAAGATACTAGTGGCAAAGAGGTGATTGTAATTGTCTAGGCTAGAGATGTGGAGGACCTAGTTCATTACAGAAGAGATATGAGCTATTTCTGAAGGAGAAAACACCATTTAATATAAAAAGGTGAAAGAGGAGAGGGGTATGATTGTGAAGTGTGGAGGACAGGATGGATGATGACACCATGAATAGGGAATGTGGGAGGGTCACCATTTGAATGAGCTGCTTCCTCATTGGTGCTCTTCCTCTGACATGAATAACTACTTACATATTTGCCTCTCTTGGTTTACTGGGAGCTCCTCAAGGACAAAAATGCTTTATTTATTACTGAACCCACAGTACAGGTGACAAGGCATATCTGAGGAGTTCAGTTAAGTAGTAACTACTATTATCATTAAGCTTTCAATAGTTGTGTTTGAGTGAATGCATGGATGGCAGGCTTTTGACAGTATAATAGTGAGTTCTGAAGACTCCAGAGAGAATGATGGGAAGTTGATTGAGAGAAATTCTCTTTAGATGAATTTATTTCAAGAAGGAGAAAAATGACAGCTCCTTGGGGAAGAAGAAATGTAATATGTGAGGAGACACAAAAGCTGGCCCAGTTAGGTTCCACTGCTAAAAGTCAGCCACTGGAAAAGTTTGAAAGCAAGAATAACACAGGAATTCAGTTCTGAAAATCCAACCATCTCAGTTGAGTCATCCTTAGGCCTGGATAGTCAGAGAACCTTTGCACAAAGAACACATAACTTTCTCAGATATTACAGAAATTTTGGAATTAACCTTGGCTATACTTTTCTCTGTTTACATCCTCTTTTTGTTAGACCCAATTCCCCTTATTTAGGGAATGTCACCAAATGTAAGGATTTAATATAACTTTCAGGAAAATGTTAAAGTGGCCTGATGAGGTTTTTAAAATTTTCTCAATGGTTGAATGATGTCTTCTCCTAATGACCAAATTTCAATTATTTAGTTAAATCATTGTTTGCATATTTTTTTAAAAAATGCTACCCCATATAAATAAAATTCAGCATTTGTGTTTCAAGCATCTTATTCCCTATTTTTTTAACTTATTTGTAGTACGTGAAGCACAACATAAAAGCAATTAACAATTTTAATTAAAGAATGACATTTTTCTAATAATCCAAATGCTGGGTGTTGGGTTTTATTTTATTTCTCTTGGTTGTTTTGTTTGTACCAAATATTTTATAACTTGAGATGTGAGCAATAAATCATATTACATGGTTTTACTCCTCTGTGATAACTTTGTGTATCAACCATAATCTTGATATTTTATCAGTTTTATTCTCTTTCTTCTTATATGGCTACGCCTATTTGTTGATCTCTGGGTTGCCATCACATTCAGTTCCATTCACGCATCTTTTGTAGTAAACTATAGGAAAGAAAAAAAGACCTATAGAAAAGGAAAATTGGTGAGTAGTAAAAGTCTAGAAGAAAATAAAGTCTGAGAGGTGATTCTTTAACACTGTTTTTAGAAAAGGGTTTCTGGCCCATCTTATTAAAGCCATTCTCCTTGACAGACAAAACTCTACCATGGATATGGATATAATGAGGTAGGTGTTTTTAGGGTCTAATATCATAAAATATTTAAATCATTCAATTCTTTTTGCTGGAAGTCCATACTTGAGTAACTTTTGATTAAAATGTAGATTTCCCTATAATTTTTAATAAATTTTAGGGCAAGCTGACAAGAGTATTTACTATAAATCAATAAATTGGTCTATATGTATATAGTTTATTCTAAATTTAGTCTGTGTAGATCAGATACTCAAGTCCAGATCTCTGTAGCATTGATGAGAAGTTTCTGGACTTCCAAAATTAGAAACCAGATACTGAACTATAGTAAATTCACCAAGGTAGCCTTCCAGCCTACCTCTCCTAAAGACAGACCAATCTCATTTCATACTGTCTCTCAGGACTTCTGCAAACCTTCAGTCGGATGTGTCCTGCCCAAAACTCCTTATATTAGAGTTGAAAAAATTAAAGCCTAGAAAAGAAACGTGACTTGACTAAGGTCACGTGCAAATTTGGTCTCTTGCCAGATCTATGTTCCTTTCATTATACCATGTAGGGTCTTAATACATCATTATCCTTGGAAGTCTAAGGAAACAATTCAACAAATAATCCAAGTCATAGGGGGAAAAAAACTCTTGGATTATGTATCAATCTAATCCCTACTCTTGTACCTCAATGGACCATGGGGCTACATGCAATTGAATACACTCTGTGCCCTTTTTCTTTCTGATGGAGTCGGAACCTGGACAATATCTATTCACTCTTTAAGATTCACCATTTGTTGCCTCCAGTTTCAAAGTTTTTCCCATTTCTCCAAGTAGAGTTAGTCATTCTCCCTTCTGCCCATGTGTATCTCTGTTACGTGCCATATATTATATGCCACATGATATTAAATATGTACCTATTTTATTGCCTTTAAGATGTGAACTACTCTAAAAGAGTAACTACTGGTTCCTTATCTCTGCATGCCAGCACCCATCACAGCATCTGGCACTTAGTAATTTATCAATAAAAGAAGAGAGTAATTTATCAATAAAAGTAATTTATCAATAAAAGAACAAAGGAAGGAGGGAGGTAGAAGAGAGAGAAAAAGAAACTTGAGTGCATCTTCCACTGGGAGAGACTTCTGTTTCCTCAACTCCAGATTACATGAGAAGAGGAGGTGTATAAATTTAGGCAAAATCACATATGCAGCTCAAAATAATACTTATTTTTAAGGCTGATTTGGAAGACCTTGAGTTATTTTCTCTTCCTATCACCTTAAGCAGAATACAATGATAAATAATTAGAATTTTTCTTCACATTCCACCGTGAATTTAAATAATAATGCCCTTAGAACACCTGAGGCACTGGGGAGGATTTCTGTTCATGGTTACACGGATGCTAATAAATAACTATATCAGTTCTCCAAAGTGACCTCATGTCAGAGCTGAAGGATAGTTGGTTCCAGTGGCAACTGAGATGCTGCATCAGTTGAACAGATGGGAAAGAATCAAAGTGTATGCTTCAGAAGAGGTCCGTATAACATTCAGTGTCAGAGACAACAGTAGATGTTAATCCAGCAGAGCGAATTCTGTAGTGGGGAGTGAAATATTATTTAATCAGCAGTGCTTCATACATAATTCAATTAACTGCCTTCACTCATCAGTATTAACGACAACAGGAGCTTGGATTAATGTGCACGAGCCTCATAAAAAAGCTCCCAGACTACCTAAGTGCTGCCAAAACTTAATAAAGTCCTGCCAATCAAATCCTGGTATCTGGACCCAATGCATCAGTGCACTGATATTACAAATTATCCCAAGCACTTCTTATTGTTTCCTAATTCTTTAATTATGCTGATATCTGCATAAAATGTTTAATTAGTGTATGGGGGAAACCGAGTAAGATTGCCTGCCACTTCCTTGCCTATCAGTATTTAGCATCAAGTAAACAAAATCGAATTTTATCGCGAATAATTTTTAAAGACAAGTTCACCTTTTTTTATTCTGTAAATCTTGATAATTGAAAAGGAAACAGCAAGTTGGGTTATAACAATCTAAAAGGCTGAGAGGGTATTGAGGATGCCAGAAGACTGAGTGCTCATCTATCCATTATCTTTTAGTTCAGCCTCTGGACTTTGGGAACCTTAGTTTTGTCCTGGTTGTTTTTGTTTTTCTGGTGTCAGGTATTGGAGATGAATATGTGATACTAACAATCAGGTGATCAGGGCCCCTTGAAAGAATAAAGAGATTGTCATTACTCTGGATTTTTGAGGGTGAATGGATATTAGCCTGCATATTCTGGTCAAGTTACTATTTTAGAGAACTGGTGAAGAACTATGCCTAATGTGCTTTAAGATTATGCCTGAAATCAGAGAATGGAAGGTAATCAGTCCAGCCTTTACAGCATGTATTTACTTTACAAGTTTTGTGTACTTCCTATATATCAGGAACTGGGCTAAGCTATAGGCATATAGAGAAAATAAATAGTTCCAGATCTCAGAAAAGCAAAGACCTACTGGAGGAGACATATGAATATGCAGAGAAAAATAATAAGGTCAAGAGTGAGGATAACAATGATGGTGATGATGAGGATGACAGAGACTACTATTGTTTTAACTCTTTGTCAGTCACAGTATAAATTTTGCTTAAGCCTCATAACCCTTTAAGAGGGGTATTGTAACTCCTTTTTTTTATAGTAAAGCAAAAATGAAACTTATGGACACAACAGGACAGTGGTTGCCTCCAAGGAGGGAGGAAGAGAATAGGATTGGAAGGTTCACAGCTATATCAGAAACATTTATAGATCTTTAAAAACCAGAACCAAAATAATATAACGAATGTCAACATTCATGAAAAATTGAGTGGTAGAGTAAATCACGGATGTTTTACTTCTTGGTATGTTAGAAATGTTTTGTAATAAAAACAAAGGAACAGTGCCCAATTTGCAGTTAAGTGAATAAGGTCTGTGATGGAGGGCCGCAGAGATAGGTGAGAGGGCAGAGCTGGAGTGGGCAGAGGAGGGGTGGTTATGGAAAGTTTTCCAAAGACTTTAGGAATGCCTAGCATCAACAAAAGGCATTTATTTATTTATTTTGAAATGGAGTTTCGCTCTTGTTGCCCAGTCTGGAGTGCAGTGGCGTGATCTCGGCTCACTCCAACCTCCTCCTCCCAGGTTCAAGTGATTCTCCTGCCTCAGCCTCCCAAGTAACTGGGATTACAGGCATGTGCCACCACGCCCAGCTAATTTTGTGTTTTTAGTAGAGACAGGGTTTCTTCATGTTGGGCAGGCTTGTCTCAAACTCCCGACCTCTGGTGATCCGCCCACCTCTGCCTCCCAAAGTGCTGGGATTACAGGTGTGAGCCACCACGTTTGGCTTAACAAAAGGCATTTATTAAGCACCTGTTTATTCCTGGCATTGTAGTAAATGCCCAAGAAGGGAAATGAAACTAACCTAGACCCTGTCCTAGGATGTTGATGATGTAGTTGTAAGTAAATACAGGGGTCATTGCATACAAAGATTATTCAGCAAGAAATACATCTGAAATAGATCTAAAGGACAAATAACATTTTGGAGGGAGTTGACATGGATGTGTTTGCAGCTGGCCATTAGAAAGTTTAAAATAGGGATAATATCAAGTTGAGGCCTCAAAATTCCTGTAGTTCAGTAGGAAATATATTGAAGGAAAATGCTAATGGATTATTATTTGTCAGGTGCTGGACTCTGCACTACATTTTCCATCATTTTTCTCATTGCTGTCAGAAACCCTAGGTGATAAGTCAAAATGCCAAATTACAGATGGAACCTGAGATTCATAGTGTTTATCTAGTTCACGTTGACACAGTTAAAAACATAACGTTCAGAGAGCCTGAGTAACTTGCCCGAGGGCACACAGCCCTTAAGTGGTGAGGGTATATGCACACCATGGTCGTCTTTGTACCTCTCAGAAAAGGGCAGATTCTTCTCCCTGTTTCTGGTATCTGTTTTATTTGAGGCAAAGACTGGGGCCATCTATGATACAAGTGGTTTTTCTGACCTGGCAGCACCTCCTACGAAAAGCAACTAGGTGTTGACAGCCAAAGCGTGCATCCACCTAAGGGTACAAAGAACTTCCCTACCCATAACTCTCAAGAACATCCCAGCCACTTTATTGCAGTCAAATGAGAAATAGAGAGTTGAAATTTCCAAAGGAAGAAGAATTGGACCCTTTCCAAAAAGCAGTCATGTTAACTGAGCAAATGTAAATGGAATTAGATTGATTAGAATGAAAAGAGAATCTGAAAAGAGGATCACTAATTGATGTACAATAAAATTTACCACCTAGATATCAAGAAAGTGGTTGTTTGGACTTAGAATTATCTCAGTTTTGTACTGTCTCCTCTCCTACTTCCTTTATGGGCATTTCACTGATTAGCAAAACTTCTACTTGTAAAACTCAGACCTGTTAGGTTATCATTTATACTAATTTTTTTTTAATTAGGAAAACATTTTAGCAAAAATTCTGTTTGGATATTATAGAATTTCATAAATGTTTTCTTAATATTAATGTGAAATGATAGACACAGTGATAGCACCTGGCAGGTGTTCTGACCATGGCTTCCACACAATAATATGTCTACTAGCACCTATAAAACAGGGATCTTGAGTACTGGAAATTCTGGGGCAATTGGACCTGGAAGGGCAGTCCTAGCAGGAAAACACAAATGAAGCCATCCCTCCCTCCCTTCTTTACAAAAACATTTACTGTATTAAATAGTTGTAGAAAAAAGATGTATAAGCTATATATCTTTGAAGAGCTAGATGTATCTTAAGTAGAAGAGACAGATATATAAACAAATAATGGTTGGTTAAGACACTGGATTCTGGAAGCAGGCTAGTTGGTTTCAAATCCCAACTCCACTAATTACTAGCTGGGTGATATTGAGCAAGTTACATAATCTATTAGTGCTTCTGTTTTCTCTTCTGTAAAATGTGGATGATAGAACTTGTAAAGCATTAGCACGCAGTAACCAGCACATAATAATTGCTTTTTGGAGGAATGATGGACATGAAGAGAGGATTACAGCAGAAAACAGGTTAAGGAACTGCTGAAGAGCTTCTAGAAAATGATTGGGCTGGATATAATTAGTCTTGCTACTCAAAGTGTGGTCTGTGAAGCGAGCTGCAACAGTATCATTTGAGTGCTTGTTAGAAACAGATTCTGTTCCTGTGTTAGTTTGCTAAGGATAATGGCCTCCAACTCCATCCATGTCCCTGTAAAGGACATGATCTCATTCTTTTTTACAGCTGCATAGTATTCTATGGTTATAGGTACCACATTTTCTTTATCCAGTCTCTCACTGATGGACATTTAGGTTGATTTCATGTCTTGGCTATCATGAATAGTGCTGCAATGAACATACTCATGCATGTGCCTTTATAGTAGAATAATTTATATTCCTTTGAGGCCATTATCTTTGGCAAACTAACACAAGAACAGAAAACCAAATACCACATGTTCTCACTTATAAGTGGAAGCTAAAAGGTGAGAACACATGGACACTTACAGGGGAACAACACACACTGGGGCCTTTCAGAGGGTGGAGCATGGGAGAAGGGAAAGGAATCAGGAAAAATAACTAATGGATACTAGGCTTAATACCTGGGTGATGAAATAATCTGTAGAACAAACCGCCATGACACAAATTTACCTAGGTAACAAACCACCTGTACTTGTACCGCTGAACTTAAAAGTTAAAAAAAAAAAAAAAAGAAACAGAGATTCTGATATAGTAGCTCCAGGATAAGGATTAAGATTCTGCATTTATTTTTTTCTGGGTGAAGCCAATGCAGCTGATCTGTGAACCATATTTTGAAGAACAAGGATCTAGAACACACTGTCCAATATGGTAGATACTAGCCACATGTAACTGTCAAGCACTTAAATATGAATTGAGATGTGCTATAAGTGTGAAGTACACACAGGATTTCAAAGACATCCAAAAAAAGGTGAAATAGCTCATTAATATTTTTATATTGGTTATATTTTTGAAACTATAATACATTGGATATACTAAGTTAATAAAATATTAATTTCACATTTTTTTCAATGTGCATACTAGAAAATTTAAAATTATATATGCATCTCCTATTGTATCTCTATTGAACAGTGTGCCCTAGGACATTTTTACCAACAGATTTCCCTATAATATGTGTATCTCTAAGTATTGTACTTAGAACCTGACACTAGTAGAAAGGTAAAAATAAAGAATGTTTATTCTTAGGTAGGAGTAAAGGACCCAATACTTTAAAAATGATTTTTATTTTATTTCTTATTACAACAGTGTTGCATATTTACTGCATGACAGTTTTAAAAGGTAGAAACAGAATGGAAAAAAAATTAAATCACCCACAAAAACCACCACACCAAAACAACCACTGTTTAAATTCTGTTTTATAGGTACTCAACATCTAATAATATACTTTTAAATGTACTTTTTAACCTCCTTTTATGAGGATCTTTCTTCATGGGCATTCTGGAAACCATCCTCTCTTGGTTTTTCTCCTATCTTACTGACTGCTTCATTTCATTTTCTTACCTTATTTCTCTTCATCTTCCCCACCAACTATACTTGCATATTTAATAAGTTTCTCAAAGTTTGTGTCTAAAACCCAACTCGATTTCTGTCTCTTAACCAGACTTCTTCTTTTTCTTTTTTAACTTAGTGGTTGCCCTGGGGTTTGCAAAATACATTTACAACTAATCCAAGTTCAATTTCAAATACAACTATACAACTTCACAGGTAGTGCAAGTTTCTTAAAATATTCCCAATTCTTCCCTCATTTCCCTTATGACATTACTATTATTCATTTCACCCACCCATAAATTATAGTCACAAGATACATTATTATTTTGAACAAACTTATCTATTAGAGTATTGAAGAATAAGAAGCAGAGAAGATTTTATTTTACCATTTATTCTTTCTATAACATTCTTCCTTTCTTATATAGACCTGAGTTTCTGACCTATATTATTTACCTTCTTCTGATGAACTTATTTTCACATTTTTTGCATGGCAAGTCTGCTGATGACAAATTCCCTCAAATTTTGTTTTTCCCTTGAATTTTAATTTTCATGTATTTTTACTGTACCCCTCTCTTAATCGCCTTGGTGAATAGTTTATCTATTTTGAGTTGTTATTTATTGCTGTTACTTTTTTCCATAGAACAAAATATCAGATTTGGTAGTCAGATCTGCAGTTTTTCTGTCTTTTTTTTATTTTCTGCTTTTATCTGGCACATAGAATATTCTGAATAAATATTTGTTGAATGGATTATTAAGTAAATATTTCCTCATCCTTTTTTAAAATCTTTTCTACATTTTTTTAAATTTTTTTATTTCCACAAGTTATTGGGGAACAGGTGGTGTTTGCTTACATGAGTAAGTTCTTTAGTGGTGATTTGTGAGATTTTGGTGCACCCATTACCCGAGCAGTGTACACTGCACCCTATTTGTAGTCTTTTATCCCTCGCCCCCTTCCCACCCTTTCCCCAAGTCCTCAAAGTCCACTGAGTCATTCTTATGCCTTTGCATCCTCATAGCTTAGCTCCCACTGATGAGTGAGAATATATGATGTTTGGTTTTCCATTCCTGAGTTACTTCACTTAGAATAATAGTCTCCAATCTCATCCAGGTTGCTATGAATACCATTAATTCATTCCTTTTTATGGCTAAGTAGTATTCCATCATAAGTAGTATTCCATCATATACATATTTGTATCACAGTTTCTTTATCCACTCATTGATTGATGGGCATTTGGGTTGGTTCCACATTTCTCCAGTTGCTAATTGTGCTGCTATAAACATGCATGTGCAAGTATCTTTTTCATATAATGACTTTTTTTCCTCTGGGTAGATATCCAGTAGTGAAATTGCTAGAGCAAATGGTAGTTCTATTTTTAGTTCTTTAAGGAATCTCCACAGTTTTCCATAGTGGTTGTAGTAGTTTACATTCCCACCAGCAGTGTAGAAGTGTTCCCTGTTCAGCACATCCATGCCGATATCTACTTTTTTTTCATTTTTTGATTATGGCCATTCTTGCAGGAGTAAGGTGGTATTGCATTGTGGTTTTGATTTGCATTTCCCTGATCATTAGTCATGTTAAGTATTTTTTCATGTTTGTCGGCCATTTGTGTATCTTCTTTTGAGAATTGTCTACTCATGTCCATAGCCGACTTTGTGATGGGATTATTTGTTTTTTTCTTGCTAATTTGTTGAAGTTCGTGGTAGATTCTGGATATTGTTCTTTTGTCAAATGTATAGACTGTGAAAATTTTCTCCCACTCTGTAGGTTGTCTGCTCTGCTAACTCTTCCCTTTGCCATTCAAAAGCTTTTTAGTTTAATTAAGTCTCAGCTATTTATCATTGTTTTTTTCTTTTCTTGCCTTTGCTTTTGGGTTCTTGGTCAAGAAATCCCTGCCTAAGCCAACATCTACAAGGATTTCTCTGATGTTATCTTCTGGAATTTTTACAGTTTCAGGTCTTAGATTTAAGTCCTTAATCCATCTTGAGTTGATTTTTGTATAAGGTGAGAGATGAGGATCCAGTTTCATTCTCTTACATGTGGCTTGCCAAATATCTCAGCACCATTTGTTGAATAGGGTGTTCTTTCTTTACTTTGTTTTTGTTTGCTTTGCCAAAGATCATTTGGCTTTAAGTATTTGGGTTTATTTCTGGGTTCTCTATTCTGTTCCATTGGTCTATGTGCCTATTTTTATATCAGTACCATGTTGTTTTGTTGACTGTTGCCTTATAGTATAGTCTGAAATCAGGTAATGTGGTACCTGCCTCCATATTTGTTCTTTTTTGCTTAGTGTTGCTTTGGCTATGTGGGCTCTTCTTTGCTTCCCTATGAATTTGGGAATTGTTTTTTCTAGTTCTGTAAAGAATGATGGTGGTACTTTGATGGTAATTGCATTGAATTTGTGGATTGCTTTTGGCAGTATGGTCATTTTCACAATATTCTACCCACCCGTGAGTATGGGATATGTTTTCATTTGTTTAGGTCATCTGTGATTTCTTTCAGCAGTGTTTTGTAGTTTTCCTTGTAGAGGTCTTTCACCTCCTTTGTTAGGTATATTCCTAAGTATTTTTGTTTTTTTATAGCTATTGTAAAAGGGGTTGAGTTCTTGATTTGATTCTCAGCTTGGTTGTTATTGGTGTATAGGACAGCTACTGATTTGTGTATATTAATTTTGTATCTGGAAATTTGCTGAATTTGTCAGTTCTAAGAGCTTTTTGGAGGAGTCTTTAGGGTTTTCTAGGTATATAATCATATCATCAGCAAACAGTGACAGTTTGACTTCCTCTTTACCAGTTTGGATGCCCTTTATTTTTTCTCTTGTCTGATTGCTCTGGCTAGGACTCCCAGTGCTATGTTGAAGAGGAGTGGTGAGAGTGGGCATCCTTGTCTTGTTCCAGTTCTCAGAGGAAATCCTTTCAACGTTTTGCCATTCTGTATTATGTTAGCTGTGGGTTTGTCATGGATGACTTTTATTACATTATGTCCCTTGCATGCCAATTTTGTTGAGAGTTTTAATCATAATGGAGTGCTGGATTTTGTCAAATGCTTTTTCTGCATCTATTAAGATGATCATGTAGTCTTTGTTTTTAATTATACATATGTGGTGTATCACATTTATTGGCTTGCATATTTTAAACCATCCCTCCATCCCTGGTATGAAACCCACTTGATCATGGTGGATTATTTTTTTGATATGTTGTTGGATTCAGTTAGCTAGTATTTTGTTAAGGATTTTAACATATGTGTTCATCAAGGATATCAGTCCGTAGTTTTCTTTTTTGGTTATGTCCTTTCCTGGTTTGGGTATTAGGGTGATGCTGGCTTCATAGAATGAATTATGGAGATTTCCTTCTTTCTCTGTCTTGTAGAATAGTGTCAGAAGGATTGGTACCAACTCTCCTTTGAATGTCTTAGAATTCTTAGAATTTTGCTGTGAATCCGTGTGGTCTTGGACTTTTTGTTGGTAATTTTTAAATTACCATTTCAATCTCTCTGCTTGTTATTAGTCTGTTCAGGGTATCTAATTCTTCCTGATTTAAGCAGGAAAGGTTGTATTTTTCCAGGAACTTATTCATCTCATCTAGGTTTTCTAGTTTATGTGCATAAAGGTGTTCATAGTAGCCTTGAATGATCTTTTGTATTTCAGTGGTGTCAGTTGTAATATGTACTGTTTTGTTTCTTAGTGAGGTTATTTGGATTTTCTCTCTTCTTTTCTTGCTTAATCTTGCTAATAGTCTGTCAATTTTATTTATTTTTTCAAAGAACCAGCTTTTTGTTTCATTTATCTTTTGTATTTTTTGTCTGTTTGTTTCTATGTTATTTAGTTCTGCTGTGATCTTGGTTATTCCTTTTTTCTGTTGGGTTTGGGTTTGGTTTGTTCTTGTTTCTCTAGTTTTTTGAGATGTGACCTTAGAATGTCAGTTTGAGCTCTTTCAGCCTTTTCAATGTAGGCATTTAGGGCTATGAACTTTCCTCTTAGTACCGCCTTTGCTGTATTCCAGAGGTTTTGGTAGGTTGTGTCATTATTTTTGTTCAGTTCAAAGAATGTTTTCATTTCCATCTTGCTTTCGTTTTTGACCCAAAAGGAGCAGGTTATTTAATTTCCATGTATTTGCATGGTTTCTTCTTATTTGTGTTTGTTTTGTATCTCTTTTCCCATCATACTATTCTGTGAGATTGTATAGAGAATTATAGATGCACATTTCTTGGTGAAAGGGTAGAGTGCTTTCATTACATTAGTAGTCTAATAGAATCAGAATTCATTAAAACTTGAAAAACACTAGAATAAGAATAATTTGGGGAAGATAATCAAATACAATAGTAATGATAGTTATACTATTCAAAGTCAACTCTTGCATAGAGACTTCGTGTTGGAAATATTTGCCAAAAAGAACAGAAATCAAGGTGAGGTGCTCTTACCAAAATAGTTGAAAAGGTCTTTCACCTTTTTATATGGCAAGCTTCCCCTGCCACCCAAGCAGTGACACTACTGTCCTTGATTTGTTGGCATAGGATTTTAAAAATTTTATCTCCAATCATGACAGTGTGAGGGACTAACAAAGTCATTGAGTTTCATTATTGTTGTCCAGGAACTAAACCATCTTGTTGCTGATTGTTTGCTGAAACTTTACCTAATTATAGTGTTTTTTATGCTTGATATACAGCCAGACATGGTGTCTTATTTTGTTTTGCTTTTGTATATGACTTTAAATCAATAAAAAGTAAACAAATAAAAGGTGAAATACATATGCAGTCATCTGGAAAAAAAAACACCTTTTTTATTTTTTTGTAAACTGGGATTCACAAAAACAAATAAGACCTGCCATCCATTCTCAGAGTTATTTAAGTAGAGTATATTATTGCATTCAAGAGACAGAAGAGGTACTCTAGGTACAGATAATTTATTAAGATTTCCAATGTACTTTTGATATTGCATATCATACTGGAATAAATCAGACAAATCAGAAAGCCTTATGTGAGAGAGATTGTGTACAATAATCCCCAATTTGTTTTTAGGAAAGAAAGAAAAGTTATTCATGATGACAGAAACCACTCTCTGTTATGAATGCCCTAGATAGGAATATAGCTTGAAAAGTGTTCAGGTTTGCTGATGTGAAGAAAGCTGACAGGGAACATAAAATGGTGAGTAATCTGGACAGAGTTAGTTTCATGGTGGATAAATGGCACACTCTATTAAGGGTGACCAAATATAAAACACAAAAGAGTTTAAAATGAAATATAAAAAAAAATTTCCTATAAAAAATTGAAAGCAGACTCAAAGATGTGAAAGTAGATTAGGCTTGAGATAAAAAGCAATATTACTGTAGAGGAAAACTCGAGAAAAAATAATCTAAAACATAACTGAATATCTTAAGCTGAAATTATCTTTATAAAGTTGGCACCTAATCTAATTTTAGGAGTGATGGTATTTCAAAATTTCTGCTTTCTACGGGTCATTGGTCCCTCATCAAACAGTTATTTGACATGTACTGTGAACCAGACCCCAGGGACAAAGATTAATATTACAAAATACCTGCCCTCAATGAGCTCCTAGTCCTGTAAAAAAGAGACATGAGCAAATATATTTAAAATACCTAAAGTTGATGATGTAATTTATTGGGAAAAGGTTGTGGTATTTGCCAGTCTTGAGTGAAGAGTAGGGCAGAGTAGGGCTTTAACCATCAGGGAAAAAGAGAGAGAAAACATTCCAAATAGAGAAAGAGACATAAAGGAGTCTTGACCACTAGACACAGTTTGGAATGGTCTTTGCAGTTACAAATTAGTTCAACCAAAGTTTGAACATGTGAAACTGGGATGTTCTTTACTATATTCTTGACTTAATGCTTTGTTTTTAAAGGTTGGAATGAGTCAGGGCATTACATTTCCCTCCCTGGACACCTTTAACTCATAGACACAAAAGGCTCCATCATAAGTGACAGAATATAGCTGAATGTGTGGATAGACCCTGATTGCACAATTTAAGTCAACCAAGAAGCTGAACACAATGTGGCTGTTGATAGTAGTGATGAGAGTCTTCCTAACTTCACTGCCTTTATTGCCACCACAGCTAAATCCTGAGGGGGAAGGTTGCACACAGTAGACACACTGGCAAATGTTAAATACCAGGAAAAACACTCTGTGAAAGCACAGTGCCTGTATTATTTATGCATAATTTCTCCTTGATGTTTACCTGGCCCCTATAGTTCTAAATGTTTGAAGAGGGAGGAAATGTTCCAAATAATTTGTATAGTCTGACAGTATAAGTTAAAATTTCATGATTAAGAATGTAGTTCCACATCTGATATTTGTTTAATCTATAAGTCTGAATGGCAATTTTCCAAGTGTGCCTTAACTTCTTAATACCCTCATATATTACATCATGTTGGGCTTACTGTAGAAAATGTTAGGGAAAAATATATTAAATAAATTCAGCTGGTTTTCTGAATTCAGCCCATTTCTTCTTATCATTTAAGTGAGTTCTTTTGTCTTATGCAGTATCTTCCCAGTGTTCTGACCAATTTCAGTACTGTCAAAATCTGCTATTTTGATTATCATTTGTTGTACATCCCAGTAATGGGGGAGAAAAGAAATTAAATGGCTCTCCTAGGAAAGGCAGAAGCAAGTATCAGGTTTTATTACTAATCACATGGGTAGTCTTGTAGAAATGAAAATATTATTTATTTACAGTGAAATGCATATGCCATAGCTGTAAAATTCAGTGAATTTTGACAAGTGTAAATGTCTATGTAATACACCTCCACCAAGATATAACACTTTCATTACCCCAGGGAATTTCCTTGGATCCTTTCTCAATCAACCACTCTCTCAGAGAGAATCAATGCTCTGATTCCTTTCACCATAGGTCAGTTCTACCTATCCTAGAATTTCATATAATATAGTCCTTTAATATGTATTCTTTTTCTGTTTGACATTTTTGCTCAACATCATGTTTTTGAGATTCACGCATGTTGCATGTGTCAATCGATCTTTGCTTTTTACTTCCAGACAGCATTTCACTGTACGATTCTATCACAGTTTATCTATTTTCCTTTTGATTTTTGATGACCATTTGGGGTGTTTCAGTTTGGGGTTATGATCAATAAAGATACTATGAATATTTGTGTGCAAGTCTTTATGTCAACATAGATTTTAATATTTATTGGGTAAATATTTAACAGTGAAAAGGCTGAATCTTATGGTAGGTATATCTGTAACCTTTTAAGAAACTATCAGAACTTCCAAAATGGCAGTACCATTTTATACTTGCAACAGCAATGTATGGGTATTGGAGTTGTTTCACCTCACCAGCATTTGGTGTCACCAGTGTTTTCAATTTTATCTATTCCATTGGGTGTGTAGTGATAATCAATTGTGTTTTTAATGTGCATTTTCCCTGATGGCTAATGATGCTGAATAGTTTTTCACGTGCATGTTGTCTAGTTGTAAATAACTGTTTGTGAAGTAACTGGTCAATGGAACGGAAGAGAAAGTCGAGAAATGATGCTGCACACCTACAACTATCTGATCTTCAACAAAGCTGACAAAAACAAGCAATGGGGAAAGGACTCCCTATTCAATAAATGGCACTGGGAAAACTGGCTAGCCATGTGCAGAAGATTGAAGCTGGACCCCTTCCTTATACCATATACAAAAACCAACTCAAGATAGATTAAAGACTTCAATTGAAAATCTAAAACTATAAAAACCCTGGAAGACAACCTAGGCAATACCATCCTAGACATAGGAACAGGCAGAGATTTTGTGACAAAGACACCAAAATCAATTGCAACAAAAGCAAAATTGACAAATGGGATCTAATTAAACTTAAGAGCTTCTGCACAGCAAAAGAAACTCTCAGTAAATAGACAACCTACAGAATGGAGGAAAATATTTGCAAACTGTGTGTCTGACAAAGGTTTAATACCCAATATATATAAGGAACTTAAATGTATAAAAGAAAAGCAACCCCATTAAAAAGTGGGCAAAGGACATGAAGGGACACTTTTCAAAAGAAGACACACATACAGCCAACAATCATGTGAATAAAAGATCAACATTACTGATCACTGGAGAAATGCAAATGAAAACCACAATGAAATACCATCTCACACCAGTCAGAATGGCTTTTATTAAAAAGTCAAAAAATAACAGATGCTGGCGAGGGTGTGGAGAAAAGGAAACACTTATACACTGTTGGTGGGGGTGTAAATTAGTTCAACCATTGTGGAAAGCAGTATGAGGATTCCTCAAAGAGCTAAAAGCAGAACTAGAATTCAACCCAGCAATCCCATTACTGGGTATATACCCAGAAGAATATAGATCATTCTAACATAAAGACACATGCATGTGAACTTTCATTGCAGCACTATTCACAATAGCAAAGAAGCAAAGACTTGGAATCAATCTAAATGCCCATCAATGACAGATTGGATAAAGAAAATGAGGTACAAATATACCATGGGATACTATGCAGTCTTAAAAAACAGGACCGTGTCTTTTGCAGGATCGCGGATGGCGCTGGGTACTCATCTCTGGGTACTAATCCCTAACAAACAATAGCAGTAACAGAAAATGTAGCTCCTGCATTTCATGGAATCCATGTAAACAAATAAGGCCTGCCGTCCATTCTCAGTTATTTAAGTAGAATATATTATTGAACTCAGGAGACAGAGAAGGGGTATTCTAGACATAGATGATTTATTGAGACGTTCGTGAGATTTCTGTTTTCATTCTTATGAAATGCAGGAATAGAAAACCAAATACCATGTGTTCTAACTTATAAATGGGAGCTAAATGATGAGAAGTCATGAACACAAAGAAGAAAACAACAGGCACTGGGGTCTATTTGATTGGGGAAGAGAAGGGAGAGGAGCAGAAAAGATAGCTATTGGGTACTAGGTTTAATACCTGGGTGATGAAATAATCTGTACAACAAACCCCAATGACACAAATTTACCTATATAATAAATATTCACATGTACCCCTAAATATAAAATAAAAGTTTAAAAAATATTAAGATGTTTATTTTGTATTACTAAGATATTTGTTCTGGGTACAAGTTCTTTGTCAGATATATGTTTTGCAAATACTTTTTTCTATCTGTTACAGGCTTATTTCTCATTAAGGCTGTGTCATAAGTGGGGGAGGAAATACCCCTTGTGGGGTCTTTAAGGTTCACTCCAGTATGGTCACGGAAATTATATCTGGAGAGGCATAAGAAATTAAAGGATTTATTATACTCATAGGTCCTAGAGAAGGAGACACCACATGCTCAGAGGGCCATGCAAAGTCACCCAAAAGCCAAACGTTTGTGGCAGGCAGGGAGGAAACAGAATAAGGACCTCTAGGCAAGTGGCTTTACTGAGGGTCATGGGTGAAGTAGCTGTGGCATGCAGGAAGCCTTCTTATGGGTAATTTGAATGTAACTGAGTTACTATGGAAAGGAAAGAAGGGGTAAAACGGTGAAGTCATCATGAGACTTATTGCTTGAAAATATACATGTTAGGGATGAGTACCCAGAGATGGGCAATGACTAGGTAAAAGTTCAAAACAAGTGGGGGTGGGTGCTGGCATTCAGGCAACCATGGAGCAACAAATAGCTTTACATTGCAAAGGCCTTTTAATGAGGAGAAGATTTTTCATTTTGATGAAATATAATTTATTCATTTTTCAATTAATGGTTAATGCCTATTGTGTTCTGCCTCAGATATTATTGCCTACCTTAAGACCAAAAAGATCTTTTTGTACATTTTTTGTATACTTTTTATAGTTTTAGTTATCCTGGTTCATTGAAAATGATATGATATGAAGTAGAGGTTAAAGTTTGCTTATTTTTTCCTATATGAATATCTAGTTGCAGCAGCACCATTTGTTGGAAAGAGCTTATTTTCCCCATTGTATTGCTTTGGTACCTTTGCATACACACAGACACACACACACACACACACACACACACACATACAGACACACACACAGATATGAGTATGTAAGCATGGATCTATTTCTGGGCTCTTAATTCTGTTCCATTGATCTATTTGCTTATATTAATGTGAATACCTCACTATTTTGATTACTGAAGCTTTACGGTAAGTTTTTAAGTTATCCAACTTTGTTCTTTAGATTGTTCTGGCCATTTTAGATTATTTGAATTATTATATAAACTTTAGAATCCATTTGTTTCTGTTAAAAATACAAGGCTTCTGAGACTTTGATAAGAATTACATTGAATTTTTAGATCTATTTAAAGATAAAAGACTTTTTATTAATACTGAGCCTTCCAAACCCTAAGCATGGTATATCATTCCATTTATTTGGACTTTCTTGAATTTCTCTCAGCAATATTTTAATTGTGTCAGCAGAGCATTCTTGCACACCACCCATTAAATTTAACCCTAAAAGTTTTATGATTTGAATATTTTGAATGACATTTTTGTTTTTATTTTTCAAATGTTTATTGCCGGTATATAGAATCCGAATTTTTTTCTAGATTGGATTGTATTCTGCAGTATTAGTGAATTCACTTTAGTTTCACAGGAATTTTTCTTCTGCGGATTTCTTAGAACTGTATGTGTTCACAATCACAGTGTCTATAAACAACAATGGCTTTACCTCTTTACAATCTCTATGCCATTTATTTTTATTACTTTACTGAACTATCTAGGACCTCTAGTAAAATATTAAATGAAATGCTGTCAATATACATCTGTGTCTTTTTCTAGATCTCAGAAGAAAAGTGTTGAATATTTTATAATCATTTATGTCATTAGCTATAAGTTTTTAGCAGATACATTGTATTAGTTTGAAGACTTCCCCCCATTTCTAGTTTGCTAAGAATTTTTCCATGATTGACTGTTTAGTTTTTAAAAATAGATTTTTTGAGCCAATCTAAATGATTATATGCTTTTTTTCTTTAATATTTTAATGGAGTAAATCCCATTAATTTAATTTTGTATATTTAGCCAAGCTTGAATTCCTGTACTAAATTCATTTAGTCATTATATAGAACCTTTTTTTAAAAAAATGTGTTATTGGGTTTTGTTTACTAATATTTTGTTAAGAATTTTTGTGTCTGGGTTCATGAGAGGTATTGGTCAGGATTTTGAGGGGTTTTTTTCCCCTTTGTCTGGATTTGGTATCAAAGATATGCTATTTTCATAAAATAAAATGCGAAGATTTCCATCTCTATTCTCTGAAAAAGAATATGCTAAATGGATATTGTACAGCTCTTAAATATTTGATAGTATTCACCAGTGAAGCCATTTGTGCCTAAGAATTATTTAATTAAAATTAAGTTTCTAAAATGTATACAGGGTTGGTCACACTTTCCATTTCCTGTTCTATTAGTTTTGCTAAGTTTTGTTTCATGGAATCTGCCCGTTTAATCTATATTGTAAAACTAATTAGCATAAAATTATATAATATTTCTTTATCATCTTTATAATGTCTGTAGAAAGGTCCCTTCTTTTGCTTCTGATACTGCTGATTCTTGTTTTACCTTTTCATCGTGATGAGTTTTATTAATCAATTTTACTAATCTTTTCTTCAAATTTTGATCTTGTTGATTTCCTTTTTTTTGTCTTTTTTTCACTCTCATTTTTAACATTCCCTTTCATTTACTTTCAATTTAATTTGTTTTTTATTTTATCTTCTTAAGATGAAATCTTAGACCATTGCTTTTATAGCTTTTATTTTCCTTTCTAATGTAGACATGTAACACTATAAATTTCCCCCAGACGAACTGCTTTAACTGCATTCTACAAATTTTAATACATAGTGTTTGTATTTTCCTTATGTTCAGTAATTTTTAAAAATTTCCATTGGGCTTCCTTGTCTGACACATAAGTATTTTAGAACTGTGTTGTTTAATTTCTAAATATGTGCGTATTTTCTTAAAATAATGATTAACTTTTAATGTATGACAGTTTGGCCAGAGAATGCAATCTATGTGATTATTGATAGTCTGAAATAAACTAGTAGATGATCTATCTTGAAAAGAATATGTATCCTGCAGTTCTTATGTGTAATGTTTTAATTAGGTCAAGATGATTTATAATGTTATTCAAAACTGCTATATCTTACAGACTTTTGTTCATTTCTTCCAACAATTACTGAAAGACTGGTGTTACTGTTTTTAACTACGATTGTGAACAAATCTAATTCTCCCTTTAGTTTAGAAACTTTGAGAGTTTGAGAGATTTTCTGTGAAATGAATGCACATTTAAGATTTATGTCTTCTTGATGAGTTGTCACTTTCAACATTATAAAATATGCATCATTATCTATGATAATGCATTACTTGGTGAAGTCTAATTTGTAAGGTATCTATATAACTATATTGGCTTCTACATGATTAACATCTTCATGATGTTTTCTCCATCCCTTTCCTTTTGACCTGTGTCTTTGTGTTTAAAGAATATTCCTTATAAACAGCATATAGTTGACTCTTGCTTTTTTTTTTTTTTTTTTTTTCCGAGACAGAGTCTAACTCTGTCACCCAGGCTGGAGTGCAGCGGCGCGACCTCAGCTCACTGCAACCTCCGCCTCCTCGGTTCTAACGATCTAGCGATTTTAGTGCCTTAGCCTCCTCAGTAGCTGGGACTATGGGCATACCCCACCACACCCAGCTAATTTTTGTATTTATTTATTTATTCATTCATTTGTTTTTGAGACAGTCTCACAATGTCGCCCAGGCTGGAGTGCAGTGAGGCGATCTCGCCTCATCACAACCTCTGCCTCCGGGTTCAGACGATTCTCCTGCCTCAGCCTCTCGAGTAGCTGGAATTACAGGCATTCGCCACCATGCCTGTCTACGTTATTGTATTTTTAGTAGAGACGGGGTTTCACCATGTTAGCCAGGCTGGTCTTGAACTCCTGGCCTCAGGTGATTTGCCTGCCTTGGTCTCCCAAAGTGCTGGGATTACAGGCGTGAGTCACTTCGCCCAGCCAGACTCTTGCTTTTTAAATATAATCTGACAGTCTTTGCCTTTTAAGTGGGCCATTTAGTCTGTTGACACTTAATGTAATTATTTACAATTTAGATTAAGCACACTATGATTTTATTTTCTACTTTTCTATATTTTCTCTTTGTTATTTCATTTTTGCTTTCTATTTGTTCTGTTTGCTCTGTTACTTCAACTTCTCCTTTTCTACCTCCTTTTTGGTGAACTGAATAATCTTTAGTATTCTATTTCCTCTCCTTTATTGACATTTTTGCCATGCCTTTTTAGGTTACTATTTATTAATCTAGAGATTATAATGTGCATGTTTAACTTACTGCAGTCTCTCTTCAAAATATTAACTCTCCAAGAAACACAAGTTTTATTTACCTATACATTTTACCATTTCTTGTGCAATTCATTCTTTCAACTAGATATGTGTTCCATCGTCCTTTAACATAAAAATATTATGACATTTCTTGCCTTTAAAATTCTCCTCATTTTAGTTTTTTACTGAAATGTCTTTATTTTACCTTTATATTTGAAAGATATTTTGTTGGGTATAGAAGTCTGGGCTGAACAAGAGTTTTTTTCAGCCCTATCATGTCCCCTTTTCTTCTTACTTGCCTTGTTTCTGATAAGTCAGCAACAACTCTTATCATTTTTCTCTTGTATGTAATGTACCTTTTCTGACAGCTTTTAAAATTTTATTTTCGGTAAAATAGTAAAATAAGTTTTCAGCAGCTGGATCATTAATTCTTCAAATAATATTTTTGCCAAATTTTTCTCTCTCTTCTCCTTCTAGCATTTCAATTATACATTAGACTATTTGGACTATTTGACATTGTCTCACAGATCATTGAAGCTCTTTTCTTTCTTTTTTTTTGTTACAGTTTTTTGTTTTGTTTTAGTTTGTATGACTCCTTTTATTCTTGTCTGCGAGTTTACTAATATTACTTTGGCATTGTCCATCTACTGATAAGGCTATACAATTCCTTTTGTTTTTGTTTTTTTTTTTTAAATGAGATGGAGTCTCACTCTGTTGCCAGGCTGGAGTGCAGTGACGTGATCTCGGCTCACTGCAACCTCCACCTCCCGGGTTCAAGCGATTCTCCTCCCTCAGCCTCCCAAGTAGCTGGGATTACAGGCTCCCACCACCATGCCCAGTTAATTTTTGTATTTTTAGTAGAGACGGAGTTTCACCATGTTGGCCAGGATGGTCTCGATCTCCTGACCTCGTGATCTGCCTGCCTCTACCTCCCAAAGTGCTGGGATTACAGGCGTGAGCCACCGCGCCCAGCCTATAATTTCTTTAAAAATTTATCTTGTAGTTTTCAGTTGTAGAATTTCTATTCTTTTTTGTAGTTTTTCTTTAATGAGATTATATAATCTCATCAAGGAAATAAGTATATGCTTACTTTATCTTTTTGAAGAGAAAAATTGAACATATTTATGATAGCTACTTTTATAATCTTTATCTGCTAATTACAGCATCAGTCTTATCCACATCTGTTGACATTATACTTCCCAATTATGTGTCATATTTTCCTGCTTCACATTCTAGTAGTTATTTTATTTTCTGATGTACATTGTGGTCACTTCATATTTAGAGCTGAAATATTATTGTCTTTCTTTAAAAAGCATTGTCTCTTTCTAACAGAGGATAGTTAATTTTCTGGAGAATCAGATTTATGCTGTGGAGACTTGGATTTGGCTTTGTTAGAATGGGTCTAAAGACTACTTTAAGGCTCGTGTATCCCTATTCTTTATTTGCAATTTTTATGAAATTTCAGCTGAATGCTTGAGGCATTAGGAAAGTCTCTCCACTCTGAATGTCAGAACTACAGTATTTCCCCATATTATGCAGGCTTCAGAAACTCTATTCAGCTCACAATTCCCCAGAAGTTATTCTCTGCTAGACCTCACAAAGTCTAGCCTTGCTTATGTACACTGTAATACTCACTACAGTCTAGGAGACTCGTAGGCAGATTTCTGGAGCTCCTTATCTGCAGAGCGTCCTCCTGTCCTCTTCCCTGCTGAAAGATTCCTGCCCCTCACAATCTCTGTAGTCCAATGTGTTTCCTTCATCCAGCTGAGAATGCTCCTCCTTGCATGGGCTCCACTCCATATGTCAAGACTCGAAATGTGCCCTCTGGCAACAATTCAGGATCAGTATGGATCTCACTTGGTGTGTTTTTCTTTCACAGATCACAGCCTTGTGTTCTCTCTTATCCATGTCTGAAAATATTAACTTCTAGTCATATAGTTGTTTATGGCAGGAAGTTTGATCTGGTATTCATTACTCTGTTATATCAGGAACTGAAATTGGTGATGCTAATTAGTATTTAATACTAAATTAGATTGAGACCCTGTAGAATGCTGCCTCATCAATTGGCTAGTACTCTGCAGACCCATTTTCCAGCATTTCCTAATCAATTTGACCACATCAGCCTGAAGTGATATGAGTGAAATTCTGTCCTTGTGATTCCCAATAGCCATGCTTGCATTTTTCCTCATTTTTATATAGGTAGCATTTGGATGGTCTCTTGATAAGCTGGCCTTCATGTTTTGACACATTCTTTTAGTACTGCTTACTAAGTTTTTGGTTTTAGATTTCTGTTTTTTTTTTCTTTATTACTTCTCTCCTTTACTTACTAATTTAATCTTTTCTATTGTCTTCAGAGGTGAAAAGATTAGCACACTATGCTAGATATTTCACTTTTTGTTTTAAGACATGGTTTTCAGAAATGTGTGATATTTTCAAACAAGGGCCTCTTTTTGATCACCCAGTACATTGTGCTATTACAGTATATTAGATTTATATGTTCTTGAATCCACTTCCTTTAATGGATGGACCTCCTCTAAGACCAGGAGTCTTACGAATCTCTATATCAATGGTTTTACCCACCTCTATATCAGTTCTTATTAATCTCTGTATCTATAACAGTAATGAAGGTCACAACTGTTGTTTTCAGATAACTTAGATGTTCAGAAAAGTGCATTGTACAAAACTTAGTTTAGAATACCATCGATAATCTTGAGTATTAACTTTAGATATGGAATCTAAAAATAAAGATTGAGGACTCATGAATATTAGTGAGGATAAAAAGTAAAATGACAAATTATGACCATGGCATGGTTTTTCAGCTGGTCTCCAAAAAATTTTCAGTGTTCAGTCTGAACCTTTCCATGACCAGAAAAAAGAAAGAACTGAGTAATCTCACATTTCTTCTGTAATCTTGTTCTTTTTTTGATTCCCCAAATGGCATGCTTCCCTTATATAACTCACATATCACATTTTCTAAAATTTCTGGTTCTATTTTGTTATATAATTACATATGCCCATATCTTTTTCTTCCTCCGAGGCTGCAAGATATTTGAAATTAAAAAAATTGTGCTTATTTTTTAATCCCACTCTAGTGTGATCAAATGACTACTCTGATAAATCAATAGAAACTAAATAAATGTTGGTTGGTAGAATACAGGAATAATTATTATAAATTGGGAAGAAATCAATTAAATTTTCAATTTTAACTTTTATAATTTCTAAGAAAAATATTTAAAATTATTTTAAATATACGTTATACTAGCTTAGGCTAATAAAATAGATCTCTAGCATCTTTATTTTATGTATAAGTAAGAATAGCTTTTTATTAACACAGGACACTATAAAACACAAGTTCTTTTTAAAATGGTAGAAATGGAAAGCTCAAAAATGCATTAATATTTTTAAACATTTCCAATATCTTGTTAAAATTCTGGTTTGCCTACTAATAAAAAATCAGTAAATAAGATTAACTTTCACTCCTACATTAATGTTATCTGAAATAGCACAAGTCCTGATTAAGCAAGTAATAATTTTCTATAGTGGTTGCTCTCTAGCTAGATCATCCCCAAATAATGTTAACTAAGCTTTATCCTTCAACAAGAAAAGCCTAGACTTTCTGAAGATTTCCTTTATAATACAGGATCCATGTCTCATACACAGATGTAGTTTTGATTTATCATGCCCAAGGACAGACTTAAACAAAATCTCACTAAGTATTTTGTGCTTCTTATGAAAGAAATTTCTGGGTAGAAGTTCCATATGATTTTTCTGCTCTTAATCCTATGAAGATAGTAAGCATAATGTTGCCCTTTACAGATAAGAAACTGTAAGCTCGGAGGTGCCTGTAAAAATGAGCATGTTTTATTCTAGGTTCATTTCTAGGCACTCCTCATGGAAATATGGAGTGGTTTGAGACTTTCCAAAAATGTTGGTCTGAAATTAATGAACAGCTGTAGATCTTTAGCTTATGGAAATATTCCATTCAAGTCAAAAGTCTGATCTGGAATTTCTTTCATAGTGTATTTTGAAATCCATATTTAGATCATACCCACTAATGAATGAACACCAATTACCAAATAGTACCTACCCAAATATGGAATGGTCAGGGCAATATTTCCCATGCAAATCCATTGTGTAGTCAAGTAAATTTTCATCACTGCTTGTCCACTTTCTCTACTGCTTCTCTTTCCAGTCTCAAAACCACTTATTATTGCCGATTCTTCTTGGTTCCTCTGTGTAGGTATTTTACCTGACAATATAAATGTGACTTTATTTTTAAAAGGAAATAGTAAGAAAGCAAATGAAACTTCTCTGTGATTTGTGATAAGCAGAATAAACAAAACACAATATTTTCAGGATAGAAGAATAAAGAATCTGTGAAGAATAGCTTTAGTAACTTGGAAAGACTGATGAATTAGATCACAAAAGGATTAATGCATATCATGCTTATCTCATGCGAGTTAATGGTTCAAATAATTCTGAATAAGCCAAATAGTCATTTTAGCATTGGATTAGCAACACATCTATGCTCTGCTATAAAAAAATTATGCAGGGTAATAACAGAATCGCTTTTCCTCTCTGAAAGCTATATAGAATAAAATTTAAAATACGCTGCAGTAGTAGCTTTTAATTCCGATTTTTAGACTTTCCATTCTCTTTTTATTCCTCATGTGTAAGAGGAACAAAAAAATAATAAAACTAAAATATTCCTTTTACTTTGTGGAGGACTTTTTTTTTCTTTCCTGAAGGAAATGCCTTTTTGGATAATTCCTTTTGTTTTTCATATATATTTTTAATCCACACTCTCATAAAATTAAATTGAAGAATAAGACTTTCTAGATGTCATAAAAGGATATTTGAGAAGATTGTGCTTTAATAGGATTTAAATGAAGTAAAGACTTAGCTTGGGTAGCTCAGAATTGGACAAGTTTTGCCCAGCCTTGCATAGTATCTTTTTAATTAAAGAGGCTATGAAAATTCTATTTGGAGTAAAAATCTACATTGGCCTGAGGTGTGCGTTCCATCTTTCCCCTTTCCACTCCTTGAGCTAGCTATTCTTTGAGCTTATATTACTCTACAAACAGCTCACTCAGTAACTCCATACGCCTTGGTCATTTCACTGCAGTTAGAGCATCCAATTCCCACTGTCAGACAGCTGTGAAGAGAAGCAAAGAGCATTTAAGGGGCAGAAAGGGTAGTTTCTCAGAGCATAATTTTTATTTTATTTTTTTTCCGTTTCTTTGTTAGTACTGTTTGCCTCTGCCTGGAGTGGACTTTTCTGCTTATTTCCTACTCATAAGATCCCCACAAAAGTTTCTTATGGTTTATTTCTTTTATAAAATTTTTGATCTAATCTCCATTGCTTAACACAATCCCTCGCACACAGGGGGTACTCAATAAATATCCATCTGTGTGGAAATATGAATATGTAGCTGAGTTGAAATAAGAACTGGGCTGTTTCTTACGGTTCCAATCTATTCTTCTATTCAACATAGCAGATTAGGGAAGACGTTCTAGAGGGGACACTGTTCTCCTCTAAGACTGTCAGTCGGTTTGCTAGAAATAAGGTGAAAAAAGGCATCACATTTGAAAAACTATTAAGGGAAAATAAGAAAACTATCAGTGTGGTGTAGTAGTAATAGAAAGGGCATAGCCATCTGGACTCAGACGCACAGTGAAATTACAGCTCTGTCCACTTACCAGATACGTGAACTTGGGCAAGTGTTTAACCTAGATGAGTGTGTTTTCTCGTCTGTAAAATAGGAACCATTATTTTACCTGGAATGTGGTGGCATATGTAAAGCATCTAGCAAAGTGTCTGTCACAGAGAAGATGGTAAATAATTTGTAATAACCATATTACTGTTGTTAATTAGTTCATCGTGGTGGGAGTGTTGAGTGGAGAACTAGGCAGGAGATGAAGCTCAAAAAGCATGCTTATTTAGGTTTTGAAGACATTTTACATGATATTTGGAACAGATTGCTGCACTTTATCCAAATATATGTGGGCTTTTGTTTTCTTTCTTATCAAAGCTCGGTGGAGAGAAAAAAATCCATGCTTTGATGATTCTTTAAGACCTGAGCAATGTCTATTAGACGAAGGCAGCTTAGAAAAAAGATATTCAATGTAGTTCAAGTTAAAAACAAAAGAAAACTAATATTTAATGCGGTTAAAAATGAGATTGTGTTCACCTTATAGGTTTGTTTTCAAGGTAAATATTTAAACTGAGTAAATCATTTTTTCCTAAAACTACTTGGTGAGTATCATCATGCCCTTCATTGCCACATAAATACAAATTTGAGTTTAAAATCTTAGATTACAATGTAGAAGCTAATCAAAGCAGTTCACTGTTTTTATTTTTTATTTATGTACAATAAAATTCACTCTTTTGTGGTGTATAGTTCTGAGTCACATAACCACTACCAGAATCAGGATACAGAACAGTTCACTCACCCCTCAAGATCCCCTAGTATTACCCCTCTGTGGTCAATATTAATCCCCATTTCCTAACCTTTGGCCACTACCTGTCTGTCTCTATAGTGTCTGTTTCTTTAGAAAGTCGTATAAATGGAAATATACAATAGTCAACCTTTGAATCTGTTTTGTTTTTGTTTTGTTTTTGCTCAGTGCAATGTATTTGAGATTCATTCATGGTGTTACATGTATCAGCAATTGATTCCTTTTTATTACTGAGTAGTATTTCATCTATAACATGGAATACTTCTCAGCAACAAAACCACTGTTTCTTTATCCACTCACCAGTTGAAGGACATTTAGGGTATTTCTAGTTTGGGGTGATAATGAAGAATGCTGCTATAAATATCTGCATACAGGTTTTGATTTAACATAGTGTTCATTTCTGTAGGGTACTGCTGTGCTGTGGCCTAGGTGGGTTATAAAGATGTATGTTTAACTTTATAACAAATTATCAAACTGTTTACTAGAGTTGCTGTACTATCTTATGTTCCCTCCAGCAATGTTAGAGTTTCTCTTGCTCCGTATCCTCACCACACTTGGGATGTCTCTGACTTTCCTCTCTGTTCTCAACTGGAGACAACACTAGGCTTTTAAATGGATCATGTGATTAGATTACTTATACCTCAATAATCTCCCTTTTCAATATAGGGTAACACACAGGAATGATATCTCATCATACCCACAGTTCCAGGCATTAAGCTGGAAAATATTGGGAGGCCATTTTTCGTATTCTATCTCCTTATTTTCTTTTTTTTTATAATTTCAACTTTTATTTTAGATTCAGGGATACATGTACAGTTTCATTACATGGGTATACTTCGTGATGCTGATGTTCAGAATGTAAATGATTCTGTCACCAAGGTAGGACCTGACAGTTTTTCAACTCTTTGTCCCCTTCTCTCACTTTCCCCTGTAGTAGTCCCCCATTTCTATTGTTCCCATCTTTATGTCAATAAATACCCAATGTTTAGGCCCCACTTATAAGTGAGACTATGCAGTATTTAGATTGCTGTTTCTGAATTAATTTGCTCAGGATAATGGCCTCCAGGTGCATCTATGTTACTGCAGAGGACATGATATCAGTCATTTTTATAGCTGCATAGTATTCCATAGTATAGATGTACCACATTTTCTTTATCCAGTCCACCATTGAGGGACACTTAGGTTGATTTCACGTCTTTGCTGTTGTGAATAGTGCTACAATGAACATACAAGTGCATGTGTCTTTTTGGTAGAATTATTTATATTCATATATATATATATATATCTCCAGTAATGGAATTGTTGACTGAATTGTAGTTCTAAGATTCTTCAAGAAGTTTCCAAACTGCTTTCACAGTGGCTAAACAAATTTACATTTCTATCAACAGTGTATAAATGTTCTCTTTTCTCTGTAGCTTCACCAGTATCTATTGTTTTTTGGCTTTTTAATAGTAGCCATTCTGACACATCAGATGGTATCTCTGTGGTTTTGATTTGAATTTCTCTGATGATTAGTGACGCTGAGAATTTTTTCATATGTTTGTTGTCTTCTTTTGAGAAGTGGCTGTTCATGTCTTTTGCCTGCTTTTTAATGGGGTTGGTTTTGGCTTGTTGAGTTGTTTAAGTTTCTTAGAGATTCTAGATATTAGACCTTCGTCAGATGTGTAGTTTCTGAATATTTTCTCCCATTCTGTAGGTGTGGTCTGTTGATAGTTTCTTTCGCTGTACAGAAGCTCTTTTATTTAATTAGGTCCTGCTTGCCAATTTTTGTTTTTGTTGCAGTTGCTTTTAAGGACTTATTCATAAATTCTGTCCCAAGGCAGAATTTATTTCTGTCCAGAATGGTATTTCCTAGGTTTCCTTCTGGGATTCTTATAGGTGGAGGTCTTACTTTTAAATCTTTAATTCATTCTGAATTAAGGTTCATATATGGTGAAAGGTAGGGGTCCAGCTTCATTCTTCTGCATACAGCTAACCAGCTATCCCAGGACTATTTATTGAATAGGGAGTCCTTTCCCATTGCTTATTTTTCTTGACTTTATTGAAAATTAGATGTTCATAGGTGTGTGGCTTATATCTGGGTCTCTATTCTATTCTATTGATCAATATGTCTGTTTTTGTACCAGTACCATGCTGTTTTGGTTACTGTAGGCTTGTAGTATAGCTTGAAGTCAGGTAATGTGATACCTCTGGCTGCTGCTTTTTGCATAGAATTGCTTTGGCTACTTGGGCTCTTTTTGAGTTTCATATAAATTTTAGAATTGTTTTTTCTGGTTCTGTGAAAAATAACATTGGTAGTATAATAGGAATAAAATTGAATCTGTAGATTGCACTGGGCAGCATGGCCATTTTAAAAATATTGATCCTTCCAATTTGTGAGTATGGAATGTTCTTCCGTCTGTGTCATCTGTGATTTCATTGAGCAGTGTTTTGAAGTTCTTGTTGTAGAGATCTCTCACCTCCTTGGTTAGATATATTTTTAGGTGTTTTTTGTATGGCTATTGCAAATTAGATTACATTCTTGATTTGGCTCTCAGCTTGAATGTTACTGGTCTATAGAAATGGTACTGATTTTTGTATGTTGACTTTATAACATGAAACTTTACTGAAGTTGTTTGTCAGTTCCAGGAGCCTTTTGACAGAGTCTTTAGGGTTTTATAGGTATAGAATCATTATCAGCAGTGTGGACAAAGAGTTTTACTTCCTTTCTTCCTATTTGGATGCTTTTTATTTTTTTCTCTTGCCTGATTGTTCTGGCTAGGACTTTTAGTACTATGTTAAATAGGAGTGGTGAGAATGGGCATCCTTGTTTTATCCCAGTTCTAAGAAACATTTTCAAATGCTTTCAGCTTTTGCCTGTTTGGTATTATGTTGGCTGTGGGTTTGTGATAGATGGCTCTAATTATTTTGGAGTATGTTCCTTTGATGCTTAGTCTCTTGAGGGCTTTTATTATGAAGAGATGCTGAATTTTATAAAAGGCTTTTTATGCATCTATTGAGATAATTGTATGATTTTTGGGTTTAATTATGTTTATGTGGTGAATTACATGTATTGATTTGTGTATGTTGAACCAACCTTGCATCTCAGAAATGAAGCCTACTTGATCATGGTGAATTAACTTTTTGATGTGCTGCTGGATTCGATTTGCTAGTATTTTGTTAAGGATTTTTGTGTCTATGGCCTGCAGGTTTTTTTTAATTGTCTTTACCAGGTTTTAGTATTAGGCTGATGCTGGTTTCATAGAATGAGTCAGGGAAGAGTCCTTCCTCCTTGATTTCTTGAAATAGTTTCAGTAAAATTGATACTAGCTTTTCTTTGTCGGGTAGAATTTAGCTGTGAATCTCTCTGGTTTGGGGCTTTTTTATGTGACTGATTCAATTTCAGAACTCATTATTGATTTGTTCAGGGTTTCAATTTCTTCCTGATTCAGTCATGGGAGGTTGTTCATTTCCAGGAATTTATCCATTTCCTCTAGGTTTTCTAGTTTGCAGGCAAAGAGGTGTTCATTATACTCTCTGAGGATCTTTTTCATTTCCATGGTATTGGTTATAATGTCACTTTTGTTGTTTCTGATTGTGCTTATCTGGACCTCTTCTGTTTATTTTTTAATCTAAGTAGTGGTCTATTGAAATTGTTTATCCTTTCAAACAATGAACCTTTTGTTGACCCTTTGTATGGATTTGGGGGGGTCTCAATTTCTTTCAGTTCTGGTCTTGTTTTAGTTATTTCTCTTCTATTGCTAGCTTTGGGGTCAGTTTGTTCTTGTTTTTCAGGTTTCTCTAGGTACAATGATAGATCACTAATTTGAGATCTAAGTTTTTGAGGTAGGGATTTAGTGCTTTAAACTTTCCTTTTAGCACTGTTTTTGCTGCATCACAGAGACTTTGGTATATGGAGTCTTTTATTTCAAAGATTTTTTTTTTGACTTTGGCATTAAATTTGTTTTTTACCCAAAAGACATTCAGAAGCAAGTTGTTATATTTCCATGTAATTGTGCTGTTGGGGGCAGGGGATTTTCTTGGTGTGGATTTCTATTTTTATTCCATTGTGGTCTGAGAGTATGGTTGGTGTAATTTCAATTTTTTTTTAAATTATTGAGACTTGCTTTATGGCCAAGAATGTGGTCAATCTTGTTGTATGTTCCATGTGCAGTTGAGAAGAATGTATATTCTGTGGTTTCTGTGTGGAGTGTTATATAGATGTCCATTAGGTCCAACTGGTCAAAATGTCTAAGTTCAGAATTTCTTTTAGTTTTCTGCGTTGATGATCCATCTAATGCTGTCATTGGGGTACTGAAGTCCCTGATGATTATTGTGTGGCTGTGTAAGTTTTTTCTACAGTTCTAGAAGTTGTTTTATGTATCTGTGTGCTCCAATGTTGGATGCATATATATTTAGGATAGTAAAGGCTTCTTGTTGAATTGAACCTTTTTTCATTATTTGATGCCCCTCTTTTTCCTTTTTTTAATGTTGGTGGTTTAAAGTCTGTTTTACGCAATTTAAGAATACTGACCACTGCTCTTTTTTGTTTTCTATTTGTGTTATAGAACCTTCTCCAGCCCTTTACTTTAACCTATGAGTGTGTTTATGTTTGAGATGGGTCTCTTGAAGACCACAGATGGATGAGTCTTGTTTTTTATCCAACTAGCAACTCTATGCCTTTTAAGTGGGGTGTTTAGACTATTTACATTGAAGGTTAATATTGATATGCAAGATTTTTATCCTATTGTGAAGTTGTTTGCTGGTTGCTTTATAGTTTCTATTGTTTGGTTGCTTTATAGGGCCTGTGAGATATGCACTTAGGTGTATTTTTATGGTAGCAGGTGTCATTAATTTGTCTCCATGTTTATAATTCCCTTAAGGGTCTCTTGTAAGCCGGTTCTAATAGTAACAAATTCCTTCAGCACTTGTTTGTCTTTAAAATATTTTATTTCTCCTTCACTTAGAAAGCTTAATTTCACAAGTTGTGAATTCTTGGTTGGAATTTCTTTTCTTTAAAAGTGCTAAAAATAGACCCCAGCCTCTCCTGACTTGTCAGGTTTGTGCTGAGAAGTCCACTGTTAGCCTTAGGTGGTTCCTTTTGTACATGATCTGATCTTTTTCTCTAGCTACCTCTGAGATTTTTTTCTTAGTGTTGATCTTGGACAGTCTGGTGGGTAACTGCTTTGGTGATGTTCATTTTGCATGGGATACTGCAAGTGTTCTCTGGATTTCTTGTATCTAGATGTCTACCTCTCTAGCAAGATTAGGGACGTTTTCTTGAATTAGCCCCTCAAATATGTTTCCAAGGTTGCTTATGTTTTCTCCTTCTCTCTCAGGAATGCCAATAATTTGTTGGTTTGTTCACTTTACACAATCTCATATTTCTCAAAGACTTTGTTCATTTTTCTAAATTTTTTTTCTTAATTTTTGTCTGACTGGGTTAGTTCAAAAGACTAGTCTTCAAGCTTTGAAATTATTTCTTCTTTCTAGTCCAGTCTATTGTTAAAGCTTTCAATTATATTTTGCAATTCCTTGAGTTTTTCAATTCTAGAAGCTCTGATTGATTTCTTTTTAAGATGTTTGTCTCTTTCTTCATTTCATTGATTTATTTAGGAGTTTATTTGTGTTGACTTTTAACCTTGTTTTAGATATCATTGAGCTTCCTCTCAATACATGCTTTGGATTCTTTGTCATTTCTGAATTTCCATTCTGGTTGGAGACCATTGCTGGAGAACTACTGTGATCCTTTGGTGGCATCACTACATTCAGATTTTTCATGGTGCCAGAATTTTTGCACCATTTTTTTCTCATCCAGAGATAATAGGACTTCTAATTTTTATAATTATTTAACTGTGTGTAGGATTTTTCCCTTTTTTCTTTATTTCCCTATAATATCATTAGCGGGTTTTTTCTTTCCCTTTCTCTTTCCCCCCACTCCCTGTGGGGTGTGACCATAGAGAATGTTGAATATGGTTTTTTGTTTTGCTTCTATAGCCATATGCACTTCCTCTTGGTAAATTTATATTGAGTTCTGTGGTTTGACTTACAAGCCAGTAGATGGTACTTATGGGTAAGAGCTGGTTGTGGCCAACATGCCTGGGTATATATTTTATTCTTGTTTACCAGTAGAAGCTCTAGCTTCTACCTCTAGCAATGGGCTCATCCATGGAGCCCACAGTTGTCTGAGCTGTCTCCTCAGTCCTGAGGGGTTTGGGGACCCAGATGGGTGAGGTCAGACCGGGCAGGCCCATGTACAGGTCCCCCAGTGTCAGCCACATGCATCAGCACCAAGGAAGAAATGAGTGAAGGGCCACCAAGCCCCCAAAGGTGTGACTGGGCAAGGGGCTGGGAAACCTTTTTTGCCTGAAGTTCTCTGCACAAGTGGCAAGGTCAGCCTAAACTCCTGATTCAGGAAAGTGTGTGCTCCAGATGCCTGGTTATCTGCCTCATCATAGAGTGTAGAGGGCCCCACTGCACCACAATTTCTGCACAGAAAGGGTGGGGCAGTTCAGGCTTATAATCCATGCAAATATGTTGTGCTCTGACTGCCTGGAGATATGCCTGGGCATTGGGCAGAGAGGGCCCTGCTTCACCACAGTCTCTGCACAGGAGGAGTTGGGTGGCTCAGTCTGCTGATCGAGGTGACTTGGTGCTTTGACTGCCTGGAGATCTGCTTGGGCATGAAGTGGAGAGGGCCTGGATGCACCATGATTTCTGTGCAGGAAAGGTGAGGCAGCTCAGGCTGTCAATCCGGGTGAGCCGGTGCTTTGAATGCCCGGAGATCTGCTTGGGCACGGAGCAGAGAGGGCATCGCTGCACCAGAATCTACGCACAGTAAGGGTTGAGTGCCTCAGACTGCTGATCCAGGTGACCACTACCTCCCATTTCTTGTCAGTTTTGGTAGTTTTTATCTTTCAATAAAATGATTCATTTAATCTGAGTTGTCAAATGTGGGGGAATAGAGTTGTCTATAATTTTCTCTTAATATCATTTTAATGCCTGTGAGGTCTGTAGTATTATGTCTTCTTTCATGTCTAATAGTAATTTGCTACTTCTCTCTTTGGTCAGTCTTCTTAGAAGTTTATCAAATTTTATTGACCTTTTCAACAAACCACCTTTTGATTTCATTGACTCTATCTGTTGTTTTCTATTTTAAATTTCATTTATTTTTTTTCTTTTGCCTTTGACATTTCTCTTTTTCTTTGCTTGGTTTTGGCTTAATTTGGTTTTTGTTTTCTAATATTTTAATATGGAAACCTAGGTTATTGATTTGAATTTTTCACTTATAATTCAGTATTTAGTGCTGTAACTTTTCAGTATTTAATGTACAACTTTTTTCTCTAAAGCTTTAAATGCATTACAGAAATTTTAATATGAGGTGTATCAGTCAGTTTCCACAAAAGAAACTCTGTGTGTGTGTGTGTGTGTGTGTGTGTGTGTGTGTGTGTTTGTGTGTACATACAGAGAGAGAGTAGGGGCAGGAAATTGGCTAATGCAATCGTGGGTTCTGGCTAGACAAGTTCAACATTCATAGGGCAAGCCATTAGAAACTGGAACTCTTGGGCATAAGTTGGAGCTGAAGCTGCAATCTATAGTTAGAATGTCTTCTTCTGCTTCAGGGAAGCCTCAGTTCTGCTCTTAACGCCTTTCAACTCAGAATCTTCTTGCTTAAAGCAAAATAATTATACAGTAATCATGTCTACAAAATACCTCACAGGAATACCTAGACTCATGTTTGATTAAATAACAAGGACTACCTCTTAGCCAAGTTGAAAATACAGAACTGACCATCACTTGTGGTATTTTCATTTTCACTTAGTTCAGAATATGTTCTAATGTTTCTTTTGACTTCCTCTCTCATATTTTGATTATTTGAAAGTGAGTTATTTAATTTTCCAATATTTAGAGGTTTTTAAATATCTGTTTTTGATTTCTAGTTTAATTTTGCTATGATCAGATGGTCTTTATTTCACTTTTTTCTGAAGAATGTTTTTGGTTAATATAGAATTTAGAATTAATGGTTCACTGTCAATACTTCAAATAGATTATAATACTGCTTTCTGGCTTCTATGATTTTCACTAAAATACGTTGTCATTTGAATTATTTTTTTCTATATGTAAAGTGTTTGTTTTACTTGTTGTTTTCAATATTTTTTCTTTATCTTTGGATTTTAGTGTTTTAAGTATGAGAATTTGCATGAAATTTTTTTTTTGGTGGTGGGGGGTGTTTCTCAGCCTCCCAAATCTGTAAATTTATGGCTTTCCACAGATTTGAGAAGTTTTTAGCTATTTTTTTCTGCACCAATCTCTTACCTGCCCCCTCTGGGATTCTAGTAACACAAATGTAAGACATGTCCCACAGGTCCCTGAGGCTCTGCTCATATTTTTTTATTTGTGTTTTCTCTCTTATTTATAAAGGATTATTTCTGTTGATCTACTTTTCAAATTCAATGACTCTTCTTTTTTTTCTGGCATCTCCATTCTGCTATTGCATTCATCCAGTTTATTTTTTAGTTATTTTTTATTTTTAAAATATTTACTTCGTGTTTATATTTTCTATTTTTTACAACATTTCTTTCCATCCATTTTAAAAGAATTTTTTTCTTTTCATAGAGGATAGTTACAATAACTCCTTTAAAATCTTTGTCCAATAATTTCAACATCATGGGTCACCTTGGGGATTGATGTCAGTTGATTGACTTTTGAGATGCTCTTTTTTATTTTTAGTAATTTGGGATTGCCTTATGGTCATTTGAGTATTATATATTAGACTCTGGTCCTGTTAAAATCCTCTAGAGAAGATTTTTCTTTTCTTTTCTTTCCTTTTTTTTTTTTTTTTCATCTTAGCAGGTAATCAGTCTCCCATGGTTCTTGTCATAAGTCTAACCTCAACCTGCTCTATTTAGACTCTGGCTTCTGTGTTAGTTTAGTTTTCAATTCCTTTGTAGAGCTAGTTTGTCTGCTCCACACACACATACCAACCACCCAGGGGTCAACCTGAGCTTTGTTCTATATCATAGTTTAATTATCAAAGCAGTTGTTACGCTGCCTTGGTTAATTTCAATGCATGCGCCAATTAGTGGTGAGCCTGAGACTTCATACACAAAATTAGGTGTACTTTTTCTCTACCACTTTCTCCTCCATGATTTCTCTTCACTCTCTAGTCCCCAGGGGCTTATTTCTCTGGTCTTCTGTCATAAATGGCAGGGCTTTAGGTTCCCTATGCTATTTCACACTTCCCATGATGACTTGCTTCCCTTGAGGGCAAAACAACCAGAGAGAGACTGGAAAGAGAAAATTAATGACGATTCACACACACACACACACACACACACACACACACACACACACACAGAGAGAGAGAGCGAGAGAGAGAACAATAGGAACCTAGTTTTCCAGTTTCTCTGCTCAAAAAAAAAAAAAAAAAGAATGTCTTCCAGAGTTTGAGGTGTATGCATAGCTGCTGCTTTCACTAGTCTAAGGCTTTGTGACTGGGGCTTTTCTAGAATACAGACAGGTACATATGTTTCCCTTGAAGCATTTCCTGTCTCTGCTTGATGTGCAGTTCTGGGATTTGGGCTGTCCTAGAGTCCAAGCTGGAGGATTAAGAAGAAAACTGAAAATACCTTTAAGCTTAATACCATATTGATACTACTTTCCATTTCATTTCATTCCCCAATTCACCTGTCATTATTTACTTTTCTGAATTTTCAGATAGACTCCTTATATTTATTTATTTGTAATCAATGGAAAATGGAGGATGGTATATGCTTAATCACAGCCAGAGCTGGAACCAAACCAAATTACATATTTTTCTTCTATTGGTATTCTCATGTTTTCTTCTCGTTTTGTTTTTGCTTATCTGTTTGTTTTGTTTGCTTTGTTTTTACATCATGAATATTTTAGCCTGATATGTTTGAGTTTTAAAATAATTTTCCTTAGCCTGCCTTGCTAAGGTATATTTCTCTTTTCCTGTAAATTATCTAGAGAAAAGAGCCCAGATATTACTTAAGGAAAAGCCATTCACAACTGTTTCAAAAATATAATGAACCGCAATATTGAGGAAAAAATAATACACTTTTATATTCCCTGTCTAGTGTTTTTCTTCTTGCCTTTAAGTTTCCCTTCCTAGGCACAATTATGAGCTATTTATTTACTTTAATAAAAGCAAACATTTCACCCTGTGCTATCTAGGAAAGGTAATGAATCCAGTAGCAAATGGCCTGCTTTGAACATAATTTCTAAATGAGATTCATGTGGAATAGCCTCACTTACCCACTCAAACATACACAATTTGCTTGCTTGCCCAGGGAATTGAACCTAAGATCTCTTGGTAGAGCCAAGGGAATTAATGCCAATTATCAAAAAAAAAAAAAAAACTCAGTTATTTTCAGTAGAATCATACTTACATGGAATTTGAGGCAATTCTACTACCACTATCTGTTGACTACTCTAATTCCTAATGCTACGTGTTTTTTTCTTTGCAGCTACATACGTCATTTAATGAACTTCACATTGAACACTTACTATATGTTAGCACTGTGCCACAGATTGAAGGCACGACAAAGATGAATTAGATGAGTCCCTGCCTTCTAAGAGTAAAGGACACAGAGGCATGCACAATTTACGAGACTATTTGTCAGACTGTGCTGAGTGCTGTATTTTACAGAGGCAGAAACAGCCTTCTCTGGGAATATACACAAGGGAGGGATGATTCACCCCTCTCGGGGGGAGTGAGAAAGGTTTCCTAGAAAGACAATGCTTAAAATTAGCTTTAAGGTTGCATTACACAGTGGATAAGTACAGAATACAGGGAATGTCATTCAAAGCAGGAGTATCTGCAAAGGCTTGGAGGCTTGCAAATGCATGGCACTCTAGGAGAGCAGAAAATAGTTGAATATAGCTGGTGTGTGGCACACTCCATTTTGTTTTTATTCTCTTGAACTAAGTTGTATTATTTTTCTTACTTCATGGTTTGGGCAGTGATGGAATTGGCCAAACTATGAAAACCAGGACTTGGACTCCAAGTAGATGTGCTATTGCAGGTGCTCCTTGGAGGCAGTGATAGATGGTTACAACTTGGCCTTCACTTGCATCCACCCTCTATGTGGAACATGCTTCCTATGTGACTCTCCAGAACTACTCAATCTCCTGCCTTCCTTAGTGAACCATACCATCACTCTCTCTTTACAAAAAAAAAAAAAGTTTTCATATATTCAGGGAGTAGCAAGTAACTTCTTAAGAGCAGACATCATCTTATTCACCCCAATGTTCTACCACCATGCCTATGAAATTAGATACTCTCATAATAAACAGAAGGAAAAAAAGTGATAAATGTAAATGTTTCAGTAGAACCAGTGGGAAGTGAGATGGTACAAGGCCTGCCTTGAACACCTTGGAATAACGTTTCTTACTTTCCTTTCAATTTGTATAAAATCGTTACGAAATAAATCCAAGTTCTACTTTAATTAACTCGCAAAATACTTGAGCTCATCTATTACCCTCTATTCCTGTAGAATATTTATAGGCATATTTTAAAACTGAGGAAAAACAATCATATTTTTTGTAAAAGAGTTTATTATTTCAACAGAAAATAAAAGCAATCTGGGCCAGTACTGAATACAGAAAACTAGGATATAAAGAGGTAAGACTCCAGGTGCCATTTGGACTTAATTCTGCCATTCTGTATAATAGCATGAACAGCATCTCCTACCTCCATTCTTGAGACTGGGAAGAGCTTGGCAGACGCTAAAGGGCCCCTGTAGCATGTGTAGTTCCCTTAAAAATGCTGACTGATTTCCCTCTGCTTTGGGTGTGGGTCAAAAAAAAAGCCTCTGCTTTTTTGTAGGTCTAAAGAATAAAAAGTTTTTTGCTGAACCAAAAGGAACAGGAAGCCTCTCACCACTGCCAAATGTATCATTTTGATTTCCCCATAATTTCTTTTCTACCCTAAGGGCTTAAATGATGTTTAAGGATGGGTAAGATTCATAGTTAATGGATCAATCCAGATCCACTTCCTGTTTTTGCTAATACAAGCAGTGCTGCAATGTGCACTGTTGTATGTTTCTCTTACTCTACATTAAAAAACAAATGAGAAGCTAAAATTTCTATCTGTTGAAGACAATTATTTTTGTGTATCCACACAATAAAATACTATATAGAACATTCAATAAGTGAACTACATCTGCAAAAATCACAAATGTATTGTTGAGTGAAAATCAAAATATGTACAGCTGATCTATATATAGAATGAGGTCATATGTGTACAACAACATACAAGGCAATCAAATATAACTTCTGGGATACATACATGTGTAGTGAATATATAAAAGCAGGCCAATTAACCATAAATGCCAAATCAGGAGAGTGCTTAATTCTGAGTAGGAAGAATTAGAATCAAGTCTCCTTAGAATCAAGGAGACTTACATGGAGAACCAAGTATTGTTTTATATCTTTAAAAAAAAATCTGAATCAAATGGCAGAATGTTGAGATTTGATAAAGATGGAAAATGAGTATACATGTGTTTTTAATATCATTCTTTATGCTTTTCTATAAAATATTTCTTCTAAAAATTATTAGGTGGGGAACTGTCTATACTATCTCTGCAACATTTTTGGAAATCTAAAATTAGTCCAGATTTTTTGTTATTTTAAGTTCTGGGACACATGTGCAGAATGTGCAGGTTTGTTACATAGGTATACACGTGCCATGGTGGTTTGCTGCATCCGTCAATCCGTCATCTAGGTTTTAAGCCCCGCATGCATTAGGTATTTGTCCTAATGCTCTCCCTCCCCTTTCCCCCTACCCCCTGATAGGCCCCGGTGTGTGAGGTTCCCCTCCCTCTGTCCATGTGTTCTCATTGTTCAACTCCCACTTATAAGTGAGAACCAAAAAGTTATCAGATCTGTTATTGGTTTACAAATGGCTTTGTCTTTAGGTCTAATCAAAAGAACCAGAGCTTAGAGTAGAAGGCTTTGAGACCAGAGAAAAAGCTTAGGTGGGGGAGTGATTCATTTTGGCTGGAAGGTTTCTCAGAAACAGGAGCCTCTGATCTGAGTCTTGATTCTTAGGGAGAATATTGATTGATGAAAGAAAGGGGAAAAAAGTAAAAGCATGCCCAAGAGAGTGGGCAGCCAGTGGCATGTTTGAGGAGTGGCAAGTTGCCACGGTGGCCAAAGCATGAGTTACCTGGAGAAGTGGAGCAGAAAATGAAGCTGGAGTGGAAGCTGAATTTCCAAAAAGCACCTGGCTTGCTATGCTAAGGAATGCGGACTTTACAATGTGGAAATAACCAAGGTTTCTATGGGTGGTGACAAAGTCCAACCTGTTTAGCATTCTGAAGGATGGTAGAGATGAGTTGAGGCCATCAGGAAACCTCTCAGAGGTAATGAGGCTCTGAGATAAAAAAAGGTGACCACTTCGAGATGCAGAAAGATGAAGGAGCAGTAGGAAACCAGTTTTTCTCTTCTTTTTTGCCTCTTGCTTTCTTCTTTCTCTTTTTCACTCTATTCCTTTCAGTACTTCTCCCAAAGTTTTCAGTTCCTTTATGAAGGCCATCAAATACTCCACCCAAGAGCCGGGCTATTTTTAAAAATGAGATGCAGTGTATTCTGTGGGAAGGTCACCAGTAATAGAGCCTCAAACTTCCTATCTCTTTTGTGAATCTTGACAGCCTGAAAAGAAGCATACATTATCTGTTACACAGACTCCCTGGAAGGAACTGATGTTCTTTCCTCTGGAGCTGTAATGGGGTCTCTATAGAAAGAAGCCTCATCCCTCGACACGCAACCTCTTTTCATTTCCTTACAGAGGAGCTGCTTTGTGCCTGCAAAGGGCACCAGGGCTTCCAATTTAATAATTCTGAATATCACTGTTGCACAGTATTGTACTCATTTGCAGTCTCTCCTGTGCATCTTTGATGACCTTTCTTGGCTTCAGAGAAAGCAGAATAAAAGCAATCTGATCAGGACTTTATTCCAGCTGGTCACTCTCTGATTAAACCAGTGCCAGATTTTACAAGCATCAGAACACTGGTTTGGGAGTGAGGATATCTGGTTTTTTTTACTAGCTCTAGGACGTAGTGCCTTAGCTTTTTTATTTATAAACCAGAGAGCATTATTTAGAAATCCTCTAAGCCCATTCAAATCCTAAGCTTATGTGACTCCGTGACTCCCTAGAGTCTAAAGATGAACTGTCTTCATTTGTTCATATTTTATGACCATCTGCTGAGTGCAAAGAAGTGGATGCCTCAAGTGCTTGGAAATGCTTAGAGAGAGATGGTTGGCTTGTGCTAAATTTGCATTTCAAGGGAGGCATAAAAATGGAAGTAAATGAACTTTTTTAATGTTTAGTTTAATTTTCCTCAAAACAATAAAAATTTAGGAGAGGGAGCATTGGAATTTGAATCTGAAATTATAATAGCATACAAGCTTTGTCAAACTGGCTTGTAACACTTTAGTTTAAAAAGTCACTTATCTTTGAACCTCAGTTTTCCTTTCTGTCAAATTGTAACACTTTAGTTTAAAAAGTCATTTATCTTTGAACCTCAGTTTTCCTTTCTGTCAAATGAGAATAATGTTTGTCTCTCAGAGTTTGCAGAAAACAAATGATAATGGACTTGAAAATACTTTATGGTGGAAGCTCTAATCACAACAGAGTAATACTTATCACTATTAAAATTGGTTTTATTTGTTGGTTTAACTTTCTTGGAGCACTGAGCAATTGCCAGGTACAGTGTCTGGCACTGAAGTTTTGTAATTCAGTTTTGAAACCTTGCTTTCCCTTTTTATGTTTGATATTTGTACCCTTTATATATCTAAGAGCAACAAGTTAAAAAGTTATAATGGAAGAAAAGATGCCATCACAATAACCAAAATGATCAAATATTTAGGAATAAAAGTAATAATATGCAAGATTTATATGAATTAAAATGCTATTGGTATATTTATATCAAATATATTGTACACTATAAATATACACAGTGCTCCTTTTGTGAATTAAAAAATGTTTAATACTGTTGAGAAACACCAAAAGAGACTTGAACTAATAAAAAGTGGCTAGTTCTTGAGAAGACTCAGATGTCAAATATCCCTAATCTACAAACGTATTGCAATTCCCAATAAAATTTCCAGCAGGAAATCTAGACATTCTGATAACAAAGTTCAAATTAAAAAAAAAAAACAAAAATATCCAGGGACTATTCCTATCAGATATTAAACAGATATTCAAACAATGTGGTAGTGGAGATGGAAAAGACAGAGTGTAATGGAATACAATTTAAAGTCTGGAATAAACCCAAATACATGTGGGAATTGAGTATATAATAAAGATGGTATTTAAAATGAGTTAGGAAAAAAGTTTTTCAATAAATGTTTGGATCAACCAGATAGCCATCTGTGAAAAATAAAGCTAGATCCATACTCACAGCTTATACCAAGATAAACTCCTGATGGAGCAAATATTTCAATGTAAAAACAAACTGGTACTAGAACAGACTGCATCAGTCTGAGTCCAATCAGGAGACAAACCACACAGTGATTTAAACGAGGAAAGTTTGTATAAGACTTTGAATCTAGGCTGCATGCAGTGACTCACACCTATAATTCTAATACTTTAGGAGACTGAGGCAGGAGTATCTCTTGAGGCCAGGAGTTCAAGACCAGCCTAGTCCTTTTTTAATTCTCCTATTTTGAATGACCTCCACAAAGCAAGTTGCTGTAGATATGTCACATAAGTCTCTGGATGGGTTTTCATATAGGATGAGTCACTGCTGCTACTTCCCCTCCACAAATGCATGTGAGTCTCAGCTTTGGGAAGAATGAAATAAAGGCAGTGTGTGCTTTGGAAAGCACCAGAGCAGAGCCTTGTGCCTCGTGCTCTGAGTCTATGTTGCTATTGCTGACAGGTAACCCTGGATAAGACATTTTCCCTTTCTATTTATCACTAAAAAACAAAAGAGCTGGACCAAGTGTTTCTTAGTATTTTCTTAAGACCTAACATTTTTTATTTTTACCATTTGTTGTGGTTAAATTGTGCTCCCCCAAATTTATTGATCTTCTTTTAGTTTTAATTTTTTTTTTTTGAGACAGGGTCCCTCTCTGTCACCCAGGCTGGAATGCAGTGGCATGATACTGGCTTATTGCAGCCTTGAACGCTTGAACTCCTGGGCTCAAGTGATCTTCCCACCTCAGCCTCTCAAATAGCTGAGCATGAGCCAGTGTGCAGTTACATCCCCTTTCCCAAATGTACAAGTTGCAGTCCTAACCCCCGGTACCTCAGAATATAACCTCACTTGGAAAAAGGGTTGTTGCAAATATAATTATTCAAGTTAAATGAGAACTCTCTCCAGAACTGTGAGACAGTAAAGTTCTGTTGTTTCACCACCCAGTGTGTGATACTTGTTATAGCAGCTTTAGCAAAGTAATACAACATTGGAGAGTCATACCACTGCTGGCAGAGGGAAATACAAACGCCATTCAAGTGAAAGAAAATTATATCTTACTTTGCACTTACCTATTCATGCAAGCTGTTCTATTCTGGTTCTAATAGAAAGTAGAGTTCCATTTTAATAATTTTGGCAGTTAATTTTCTCTTCTTCCCAAAGACTGTTTGAACATCACAATGTTTTGATTTACAGCTCAAGAAACTCAAAACCACACGAGAAAACTCTTACTCATGCCACTATATATAGCCAGAGATGAGCACAGCATTAAAAATTGTAGCCACATGCACATAGAAGTTATTGTGTGTACAGAATGTTTCCTCCTGGATACAGGATTCAGCAGTTTCTCACCACTTAGGTTCTCCCTCCCAAGGCAACCTCAGCAGGTTCCACGAGGTTGTCTTGAAGATCAGATTTTGTTCAGTATGGTAGCAACTCTTAGAGTACATCTGCAGTTATTGATTAGTACAAAGAAAGGAAACTCAGGCATGTGAAAAATAATCTGGTTTTTCCAATAGTAAAGTAATGGGCATGTTTAATAGGCATAGAGCAATTCATAAAGAATCCATCACCCAAATTTTTGCATGGAGGACAAAAAGGTATTTGTATGTGTTTGTCATTTTTTTAAAAAATCATTTTCTTTTGAGTTAGCTCTTTGCTGTAAGGGATGTTGTTACCAAAGATGATTGTTAAGTCTGATTTGGGCAACTAAGCCCTAAGAGTTATAAGATAATTAAGTAATGGAGCATCATATGCAAATTAAGTAACTGAGCCGGGGAACAGGATTTTGATGATTTTTCTCCTGTTGCAAGTAGGGACAAAGTGAGTGAGCCAAGGCTTTGCTTCCTTGGGCAGTTTTTATGGTCCTTATTGAAAGAAAAGAAGAAATGTTCTTAAAACGGAAATCAGGAGGGAGAAAGAAAATCTGTTAAAGACAACTTGAAAAGGTGAACTAATAAGGTCCTTCTCATGATTGGCTCAATATCTGTTGGAGCTTTCATTATGAGAATCTTGGAGGAGGAACCTGAGAACTTTCAGGAGAGTTTCCTGCTACATTACATTTCATGTGCTTTGAAAATAATCAGGGATATGTATTATGTAGGAATTAAGCTAGGTTAGTCCAACACTTAGTAAAACCTGGTGAAGAATAATATATATTTGTTCCTTAAGTTGGTGATTTCCAAAATGGAATGTGCAAGACAATCCATTGGGACCTAGGAGGAAAATATTATTCATCTATGTATTTGGCAGGTACCTGGGTGCCTACTAAATGCTGTGCACTATCCTAGGAGCTAAGCACATAGCAGAAAACAACAACAGGTGAAAAATCTCTGCGCTCGGCTATTTTCCATTCAAATGGGAGGAATCAGACTATCAATATAAATATATGCTATATTTATTGGTGATAAGTGCTGTATCATTCAGGGTCTTGGGAAGAAACAGATGGCATGCTCAAAGTAAATGTCTGAGGAGAGTGCACGAAAAGCTATTTATAGAAAGCTAGGCAGAGTTTAAGAGAAACTAACAAGGAATGGTGAAGTCGTCTAGGGCCTTCTAATAATAGGGAACTATCTCCTCCAGGGCAAGAAGCGGTGGCCCAAATGAAGAGGAAGCAGTGATTGGTGGTAGGAGAAGGACACCCAATAGGAGGTGTGACCTTGGGAGAGGAAAACAGCCATTTCCCATCCATAGCCCTGCAAGGGTGGTTGCTGATGGAATAAACGTCCAGGCATCTCTCTTCTCACCCTCCAGTTCCCTGCGAGTGCCTCCTATTGGCCAAACCCAAAGAGAAGCCATAATTCAGGGGAGCCCAGTTGAATGTAATCCATGCAAATCAGCCTCCCAGGGCACAGAAAAGGACAGAGAAGGGGAAAGCAGTGTCTGCAAGGTAAACAGAGGAACCCAGCACAAGTGTTCTAGAGTAAAGAGGAGACAGAGGGTCAGAGGTAACACAGGAAGTCAGAGAAGCCCTTCTGAGATTGACCTTTGAGCAGCCCTGAAGTAGGTGAGAATATGAACCAAGTGGCTAGTGGACAGAGAGGCATCCAGTGCAGGGATGGTGAGACAGGGCATGTTTAGCAAGGCTAATGATCAGTAAGAAGGTCAGTGTGACTACAACTGAATGAGAGGGTGCTGGCTGATATTCAGTGTCTTGGAGGGTACCCAATACTAATTGTTCCTAATTGTACTAATAATTAGTATAACAGCATCCATATGTAATTTATGAATAAATATTCACATGGTGGCATTGCACGCAAATTTTTTTCCCCAACAGGGATATACTATCCAAAATTTTTGCAACTACTGCCTTAGACTGAGTTGCTTTAAGACATTGTAGTTAAGTGATCTTGTATAATGGCAGGCTGCACAGGGGCCACAAAGCTCTATAGTCCAATGTCCATCTTCACAGATTAAGATTAGCCCAAGGTTCCTCTATGGAACATCACCCTTAAGGCTAACCTTCTGTAGTTCCTGCTCAACATTTGCTTCCATACATCATACTCCCCTCCTGCTTTATAAGACTCTGAGGGCCAACTGTCTTAATAAGGAGTTCTGCGTTGGCTTACACGCTAAATGAACATTCTTTGGCGTGGAATCTTGGCCACAGTGAGAGACTAACCTCCTTGCCTGTGCCTTAGAGCCTCACCCACACAGCTCTAAGTGGAAATTTTGACAAAGGAATCAAAGTGTAGAAATTTCCAACATATGTGCAGATATTCAAACACTGTCATTTTCTGACAGGTACTTATGGCTTGATTGAAGGCAGAGGCACAGAGTTAAAATTAATTCATGAATGAGTTTGAAAATAGAAGTGTAAATGAGACCACAATTAAAGTTTTTACTAATTCTTCTTCCCAGCTGTAGACTTTTCTGTGAGTTGGTTTTAGTTATATTTAGTTAAAAAGTTAAATTTTAGATGCAGTAGCATGTGTGCCTTTGAATTACACATATTATATAAATGTTTTGGGTTTCAAATTGTGACAAAGACATAAATTGCATCTTAATTGTTTGATAGTTATTGCAATCCCAACTAAATATTGGGCAGAAGAAAAATCCTGCTGCCCCAATTACTTATGCTAAAGATATTCTCAAAGTTATTTAAATAGGAATAACAAAGTATTCTCATAGAGATCATAGTATCCGTTATTTTTAACTTCTTCATAATTTTATTTATTTTTCTTATATATGAAACAAATGCTTACTAATAAAAAATCACTGCTGTTATCACTCAATATATTATGGACATCTTTCTGGACAGTAATAGTGATCTATCATGTTCTTTTTAATAGATGCAGATTAATCATACATTTTTAGCATGTAAATATACCTTCAAAAATATATAATATCAGCAATTTAGCAAACATCTGTGTAACTCTGTTACAAGTAATAAGTTATGTCAATTAGGGCCCAGTGAAGAAAATAGAAACCATGCAATTATCTCAACTGTGATAATTTCATATAAAATAATTGTTTAATTGGATATTAGAGGGCTGGAAAGGCACACACATAAAAGACCCTGGTGCACCACAAAAAAGTCATAATAAAAGGAACCAACTACCACTTCAGGGACGGCAGAATAAGGAGAAGGGACTGGGAAAAGAATTTAGAAGCTGAGCATCGGAGAGCACAGAACTGGAGACTCATAGCAGGGCTTTCTCCACCTGCTGTTGAGGACTCTGGAGCTTGGAGGAGGCCCTTGCAGAACTGGAACCCAGTCCTCTGGGGAGCGTTGCAGCTGGTTGGTGTTGGTGTGTCCAAGGGGTTATGATGAGTCTTGTTCTAGGAATATGGGAGGGTAAATCTGAAGAGTGGAACCAAGTGCCAGGGCAATGACCCATCGCTGGAATAATGCCAACCGGAACAGGAGGCAAACAGGAAGAGCTCCAGCCTTCCAGTGTCTCTCTAGATTTCCTATGGGCAGAGCCTGCAGGAATGAGCTGACAAAGCAGAAATATGGCTTATTGAGCCCCTGCCCCAGCAATACAGGCGGAGTGTAGAAAAGTGGATTGAAAATGGAGAGAACCTCACAGGGGTGGCAGTCTTGTTGCTGAGTCCCAGCAGTAAAAGAAATTTCACTGTGTCTAAACTTGAGTTGAGCTCAGTTTCCTTGGCCTCCTTTACTTGAAGTCCTAAAGGATAATTAACCTTGACAACAACTAGCAAGTTGAAGATGGATCTGTTTGTTGAATGCCAAAGCCCCCAAGAATGAATCTAGATATGTGGGTTTGGTCTATCCCCAGCTACTTTTTCTTTTTCCTTGAATTTTTTGAGCCTTGCTGATATCTCTAGGATAGGCATGTTTCATATTCTCCTAAGAGGGGAACCTCACAACTGGACATATGTTGCTCCATGTTATTCTATAGGGCTTTGCAAGCAGAAGTGTTTGATAGTGCTCAGAGAGACTGATAAATATCCTCACAGCCACCTCCTGCATCATCTCAGGATTGTCAAGGTGTGCTAAGTGCACCATGGCCCCTGCACATGGTGCTACAAGAGGGGCTTGAAAGAAAGAGCAGAAAGTTTTAGTCAGAAAGAGGTAGTGACTTAATCTATGCTACAAAGTGCTGCATTGTTAAAACTTTGCATGTGTAGTTTCACCCTAGCTCCAACAGGACCTCTGTCTCACATTAAGAATTCAGATTATAGTGTCATATTAAAGTGAAGCTAAACATCTGTCTGTTTGCTGGGAGAATAATTTCCCTGAGTATAATGTGCCTTTACAATTGAGTAGAAATATTTGCACAGCACTAATATAGTCTGCAAAGAGACCGGCAAGGTCACATCTACACTGACAAGAACATATGCTGTGTTTACAAACCTCAGGTATGTGAACCTTTGTCGGATTTTATGAGGCTCTCCCATTCACTGTAGCCATTTGGGCTGCTCCTACCGGTCTTTTACAGTACACAAATAAAGGTGACTCAAAGTCTAGACAAGGTTTTTGGCTTTTTTTTTTTTTTTTTTTTTTTGCACATGAAGATGCATTCCAAAATCAAGATGTTGCATTGTAAAAAGTGCCTGAGGGCCTCTAAAGAGCAAGGTGGATTCTACATACAGAAATACTTAAATAATTACATTATAAAGGCCAAGTAGAAAAAGGTCTGTCATTTCTGAGACAATGGAAGCATTCATCATATTTTTGTTTTTACTGTTTTTCTCTCTGCTTATCAATATTTTATTTTTCAATTTAGATACCCTAATTGTGCTGACAGAAATGTGCGAATATATGAGAGCCAGAGCAAGTAAACAAGAATAAGAGAAAGGTCCAGCTGTGTGGTGTGGTAGCATTCACTCAGAATTTATGCCCAGGATACCTTAAAAATTCACTCCTCATTCATTCATCAAACAACGTATATTTCATTATCATACTATAAGCTACAAGGATTATTAAGACGCAAAAACATGCTTTCTGCTATTGTTATAAGACATGTTACAAATGGCAGAGACATTGGATAAAACAGAATTTTAGAGGAAGAAGAAAGTATCACTTAATGTAAGGAGCATTGAGGAAAATCCTCAAAGGAAGCAATACTTGAGTCCAGCCTTGGAAAATGAGTAAGATTTGAATGAGTAGGCATGCCAGGTGAGGGACATGGTGTGATGGAGAAAGGAAAGCACCAGGACACACTGGAAATGTCAGACTCTCATCCAGCCAGAGGCCAAGATGAGGAGCCACAGAAAACAGGTCCCACGGGATGGATTGCTGCCAGACAGCAAAGGGCAGTCAAAGCCAGACTAAAGGAGGTTCAGTGCACCAGTGGCAATGAGGAGCCATTGAGTGTTCTTAATCCCCAGAGATACTACAAGCATCTGATCAGTAGATTGAAGTAGTTAAACTAAATCAAGTTAATTAACATACGTCTTACCTCACACACTTATTTTTTTGTGGTGAAAACACTTAAAATCTGTTCTTAGCACTTTCCAAGTAGACAATGCATTGTTTTTAACTGTAATTACCATGTTAATAAAATAGATTTCTGGAACTTATTCCACTTAACTGAAATTTTATATCCTTTGACTAACATCTCCCCAATTGCTCCTCTTGTCCCAGCCCTGGTAACTACCATTCTGTTCTCTGCTTCTGTGAGTTCAACTATTTTAGAATCCACGTGTAAGTGAGATAATGCAGTATTTGTTTTCGGGGCCTGGCTTAGTTAATAAGCCGCCCCCCAGGTTCATCCATGTTGTCCCAAATGACAAGATTTCCTGTGATCTTTTTAGGATGGTTTGGTCATAGCCCTCATCTGGCCTGAATTTCTTAGCTAGCACAAATTTCTATCATCATTCCCACCTTTCCTAAGTGTGTTTTTGTTTATATCTGATCGTAAGTACCAATGAGCAGTTCAGACTGTGTGACTGTGAGAGGTGTAATCTTGCATGGGGAGCAGGAGAGCTAGACTGAAAGGGAGTGAGAAATGGAAATAGCCTACCTGATAAGGGAGTCGAGGGGAAGGAGGCTTAAAAGGCAGGTGACAAGGTGTGGAAGACCAATTTAGCCCACCTCAACATTTTGCAGAAGGCTAGCTCTACTAAGTGGTTTTATTCTGATACTTTGATGACAGTCCCAAGAAATGAGATTACTAATCCCCCTGTTAAGTGGTAGAACTGACTGATGTGGGAAAAGTAGGAGCAAACTCAGCTGACATCGGCTTACCTGGCACCTTCAGAAGGCCCACATAATGCAAGAGCCTCAGCCCCCTGGAGTTTTCTGTCCCTACCCCAGAACGAGTCCGTGTTGATTTAATCTGAATTTAGCATTAGATGACAAAATCGAATGTGTGCCATCGTTTTCGGTTTTTCTTCAATGAGACAGGAAAGCCTGTGGTCTCCCAGCAAGGATATTTACCCCACCCTTGATGGAGCCCCAGTCTCCCGGAAAGCTAATACTCTGAGCTCCAGGACCTCAGACCTCATGACACATAAAATGCCGTCTCTAAAACATCAATTGGCAGCTGAGCCCTCATTTGTTTCTTCCTCTGCAATTTTTCTTGAGATTGGAATGGATTCATCAGCCAATTAGGATGAAAACCAGCCAATTAACTAAATCCCTATTAGCTTCTCTTGTCCAAGGGCAGGGATGAAAAGGAGGAATTCTTGCTTGATATAGAGAAGTCTCCCAGGTCTTCTTTCTGACAACTGCTAAGTGTGACTGCCCTTTCTCTCCTTTCCTACAAGGGGAGGGTGTACCACCTGCATGTTATTCCTGGGTCTACCCGGATCATCCCAGTTGACCCAGAAATTCGGAAAGTGGGTGCAGAGAAGTAGAGTCTCTTTATCATTTCCTTGCTAATGAAAAGAGATGTGATAAGAAAATTAATCAGTTTAACAGAATATAATTCTCTGTAGTGTTAAAATCTGGCCCAAATAAGCAGTCTTATTTTTCAAATGTTTTAACTCTGAAAGTACTACCTCCTCATTGTAAATAGCTTGGAATATACATGTATGTTAATATTCACCTGTAATTTCACTATCCAGAGATAACATCTATCCACATTTTGGTTATTTTTTTGTCCCTCCAGTGCACATTGTTTTATATATTTGAGACTATATATAAAAATTTGCTGTATTGTTAAAATTTATGTTAATGATGGCACCAATATTCTTTATGTGAGTATACCTAATTTACTAAACCGTTCCCCTATTATTGTTGCACATTTAGATTGTTTTCAGTGTTTCATTATGATAAATTATGTTCTTGTTAATGTCTTTGTGCACAAATCATTTTTGGTTTTTAAATGCAGCTTATTGTTTCTTACGTGATGATAAGTTGCAGACTCTCTTCCCATAAGGTGAGGGTAGCCTGCAGAGGTAGGCCATTGAGGGGCAGGGTCTGGTTGCTGGCAGTGCCTGTTGGAGGCCACATACCGGTTAAAACTTCATGGCCCCATGTCTGATAAACATATTCTTAATTCCAGAAACAGGATAGTCCTGGTATATTCACTGATTTGGACCTTAGGCCTGACTGGTGATCATTAAAATAGCACAGGATGGTGAATAAGCCATTATGACCGTTCATTTTAAAATGTGGGAATTGGGAAATCCCCTTTCTATAACAGAACTATTCATGTCTGCCATCTAAGACATTCTTTTTCTTTCTTGGGATTAGAACACTTGGTAACCTCTATCCAAAGGTTGTTTGGTGGACGAAGAATTAGAACAAAAGGTGGAGAAAATTGAGAGCAATGGTGGGTCCCAGTGAAATTTTACTAACCCCACCAGGAGATACTGTTCTGTAACTCTCTCAAGGGGCAGGGCAGGAGGCAACATTTGAATGTTTGTTTCTCTGTTCCATACTTTCTTATTGACCCTTTAGTCGATGTGTTTTTCCCTTTAGGCCTGTCATTGTTAAGGTCATGTTGCTGACCTTGTAAAGCTGAGAAAAACCTGCTTTCTTCCAATAAATGTTAATTTCATCAGCTGGTTTCTCCTATTATCATGACCTATGGACAATTGCATGGGAAGTAGCTGGGCTGCTTGTTAAATAATGCAAATCTCTGGATCCCGCCATAGACTTATTTAATCAGAGTCTCTGGTTTGAGTCCCAGATCATGCTTGCAACAAGCACTCCATGCATAGGAAAGTAAGGAAGGATGCTCCAGGCAGTGCAGCCACTGCAGGCAAAGGCTTGTTGGTGGAACTGCCAGGAGCCCCGAAAGGCTGGGCATACATTTGGGTACAAGGTGTTGAGGAGTGCCAGAAATTCACTAAATCTATTTTCCTGCTAGAGTCATTTTGAATACAAGAGATTTTCTTTAAAAACCCTTTAGAGATATTTACTTTTGGTCAGTCACCTTTTATAGGCCCAGGCCCTGTAATTAGGTCTTGTGCCATATCAGAGTTCCTGATCTTGAAGAACTTGCATCTATTTAGGAAATGCATTTTTAAGACAATGAACAATATAGCCATGCATAATTAAGTAGGAATCCTCTAGCACCTAACCAGCTTCTCTAGAAATCCAGAGTGATGATTTCAATAGTAAAGGATGACTTAATGGAGGGATTAGTATTTAAATTAGGGGTGCTAAGAGGTATAGAATTTGACTATGGGGTGTAGAAAGTGGAAAGAATAATTAAAGCAAAAGCACAAAAGTAAGCATGAGCATATTGTGTTATTGGGGGTATTGAAATGAAGTAGAATAATTCTCCACTCATTCTACAAATTATATTGTAAGATCATAGTATGACAAGGACGGGAGAGAAAATGGTATGCAAAGCAGACACTTGGTCCTGCCCTCTCTCATGCATCCATCCATGCATCCATCCACCCACTCAATAAGTAGTTGTTGAGTATCTACATTGTGTCAAGTATTGGAATGGAAACTGGCAACATGGTGGTAGCATCAAATCAGAACTCCAGGGCTGCAAGGGAACACAGGTCTAGAGTAACATCATCCTTACATTGCTGTGCACTAAATTCTGTTGTGGACCATGGACCTAGCCCAATTTTTAGTCCTGGTTCTTCCTTGTCTGCCAAGCTCTCATGTCATTTGTAAAAGGGAACTTTAGTAAGATACTGTAGTAAAAACTAAGGCACCTGGCAGTGGGAACCTGCATTAGGCTACTAGTAGCTAGGTTCAATATTCAAAGCATTCAAAGCTATCACCCAGATTTGATCATGGTAAGATTTGGGAGATGACAGATATATATATATATATAATGCCTGCAAGATTTCCTTCCTGGCTAATAGGAAGTGTAATTATACAAAAGTCTAACAGGAAAGTTAAGAGGACAAGTGAAATGTGTTGGTCAAGACACTATATCATAGAAGCAAAATCTAGCACCTCGATAAAAAATACATTGCACATTTATTGGACAATGAATCCTAGTGCAAAATCATTAAAACACCAACGGATTATATATGTGGTTTCGTTCCATCTTTGGTGACCAGTTGTGTTGTGTTTGGGTTCCAAGACTCAGTGGCAGCATGAAGATTATTTCTCCTGATGTCTCATGAAGATAACTAAGCCCTGTTATTTGTGTAAATAATAAAGAAAATACCCTACATACACATAAACCTCAAGACAGACTGGAACAGCTGGAGGTTTCTATAGAATTACACAAATGTGAAGACAATGAGAAATTGCAAAAACTGAGGTATCCACTGCTGCAATGGGCTGTAAGGCTAAGTTCAACTGATCTCCATATACAGTTATTAATATGTGGTAGGGTTTGCAATTCTACTGTACCCTTCATTATTCACCTACTTTTGCCATGTGTGTAAGGGTATAATTTTGCATGTACGTACAGAGAGAGTGAGTGTTAAAGGGATAGAGGGACAGTGAGATGTTTACATACTAAACATATACATACATACATATGTATTCCATGATATCCAGATGTTTTGCAGGATTTTAGAAGTGCTTCACCAGATGTTTGAATTTGTGGGAAATCATCACCTGATACTGTTTTGGTGAACTTTCAGAATTTACAAAGGCTGAAGAAGATCACCTATTTTCAGTGGTCATATTATTTTTTTCTGGCATTTAATTCTTGTGTCCCTGCTGGTTTCAACATTACTGGTATTTGCTTCTGAAAGCCAAGAAGATTCAGCTTTTGTATAAACATCAAGTAGGTCATGTGATTATCCAGAGGCATCAGCCTGGTCGTTTTCTTCAGAGTTGAGTAGGTAGAAATAATTAATGGGCTGGTTTATTGACATGCATTGAGACATTCCTCTCTTTGTGGTTTTAATTCCCAGTTTCTATCAACTAATTTCAGATTTTATCTGAAGCACCTGTAATTACATGGGGCAAGAAAAATTGCTAGCCAAATGTAACCTGATAATGCTTAATACAACTGTTAGACTAAATCTTAAACCTGATACAGGCACACAAGAGCTTAATGCCTACGTCAACCAGACTGTCTTTTATGCCTTCCTGTGGATTCTCGCAAGAATGAGTCACCTGATTCAGGAGGCTTAATTCTCAGAAAGCAAAATATTGAGGAGGAAACCATAATGGCAGCTTAATTCATCTTAATTCTGTGCTAGGTCTGAGGGATGAATGAGAGCAGAATAAGAGTGGGAATTTTAGACCTGGGTTCAAATCACCAGCTCAGCTGTGCACTGGCTGAATAACCTTGGATAAATTACTCAACTCTTTGAGCCTCAGTTTCCTATCTGTAAAATGGGAAAACTAGTACCCATCTTTGGGGACTGCAATTATGTAGAATTTGATGTAAATCTACCTTCTTTCTGATTTCCCACCAATGGCATACTCCATGACTTGGTGAATAAAAAGAATTGGCTATGATGATCATTGCTAATTTTATTGTTTTGATTTTTCACTATCACTTTGGTGGACAAAGATATTCAGCAAAGTGTGTCCTCTTATGACCCTGATTTTACAAAGGAGGAGACTGAGGCTCAGAAGAAAACATGTTTGGCTTAAGTCAGGGCACCAGGTTAGGGAGGAAGTATAGCACAGGAGTTATAAGAACACAAGGAATCTGGAGCCAGAACAACCTGAGTTTTGAATTTTGACCTCACCACTTGCCAGGGTGTTTTTTTTTTTTTTGTTTATCTTGAACAAGTTAGTTTGACGTCTCTATGTCTCAGATTCCATTAAGACTGGTGAGAATCAGGGCGATAATAAAGTCTACTTCCAAGGTGATTAAAAGAGCAAATTTCCCCTTGAGGGCTTTTTGAGGAAAGGGGCAGACACTGTCCTCTATCAAGTATGACTGAAGTACCTAACTACCTGAAGACATGAGGAGGAGCCAGATAACCTCTGACAGTCTTGTGCCCCCAAGAATGGTCCAACAGCTTAAGGGTTCCTAGGATCACTAGTCCTAACTCCAGATTTCCGTGGAGCTTGGGTGTTTACGGTCCCGTAGTGGTAGCAGGGGAAGAGCAGCATCTTTTTGATCAGGAAGGAAGTTTTGTCGTATAAATTACCATAAATGTTACTACACTCAAAACAGTATGACACTTACACAAGAATACACAAATAGGTGAAACAATCTAGAAAGACCAGAAGCAAATCCAATACATATGGAAACTTAATCTGTGATCAAAGGGGCGTTCAGTTTGATGGTGAAAGATGGTTTGTTTAATAAATAATGCTGGCATTATTCACTTTTTATCAGGGAAAAAATATTAGACCCCTGTCTCATAGCATATACAAATATTAATCACTGGTATATTTTTAAATAATCAAGTTGTAAAAAGTATAACAATAAAAATATTTTATAAAAATGTAAGAAAAACACGTATATAACCTGTAGTTGGAAAGGCCATCTTAAATGAGAGAGAAAACCCAGAAACCTTATAAAGAAAATTATCAACAAATCCAACCATACAAAATGGTAAAATCCTTATATAGCAAAATATCAAAAACAAGGTTTAAAAGCTAGATAAGAGGCTATAAGAAAATATTTATACCATGTCACAAAAGGTTAATATCTCCATAATTCACATGACAGCTGAAGTTGAAATGAAAAACATAAATAACCCAGAGAAAAATATGTGAAGAATACGATCAGAAGAGAAATGCAAATAATCAATGAGCATATGAGAATATACTAGAAATATTTCTAGTAGCTAGAAAATGCAAATTCAATCAGTGAGATACCATTTCTTCCTGTAGATTGCTAAAAATAAATAATAAATAACATCCAATACTATGGAGATTTTGGGGAAATGGATGCATCACACATTGCCGATAGGAGAGTAAATGTTCATCATAGTCACTACCAGTATCTTTGAAACTAATTTGACAGCATCTATTAAAATAAAGCATGTGCCTACCTTGACTGAACAATACTACCTTTAGGAATCTTTTCTACTGAAATGAAAGCACCAGTATGAAAAAGAATATCTCTGAGGCTATTTATTGCAGCATTGATTTTCATGGTAAAGTAAGATGGAAATAACTGTAATGTCTTTCATCTAGGGAATGATTGAGAAAAGTGAAGTGCATTCAAACTGTAGAAGTTCTGTAGCTTTACACAAGAAAGAGAAGCTCTATTAGTATGGACATGGAGGGACATCCATGGCATAATGTTACTTTTTATAAAAATACTTCTTTTTTAGAAAAGAACCTCTCAAATATATATATACATGTGTATATATTTGTATGTATGTTTGTAGGAGTATACTGAAAGATGTTGAATGATGCCTAATACACTTTCACACTGGTTTCCTCAGGATGTTACTGGAAGGAGGAAGAGATGATTACCTCTTGCTTTATACACCTGTGGATCATTTGACCTGTTACCATACATACATTACTTCCTTTGGTTTTTTTCTTTGTTTGTTTTAAAGAAAGAAACTGATCTCAAATTCTAGTTCCCTAACCTACTGGCCAGGTGACCTTAGAAAGTCATTTAACCTCTTTGAGTATTATTTTCCTCACCTGTAAAATAATAATAATGAGGAGGATTGAGCAAGATAAGATGTGTCAAGTTCCTAGCACAGAGCTTGTTAAACAGGGGGTGATCAGCAAAAGAGAATTCCCTCTTCCTCCTTTCTCTTTACCTTTAGTGATGTGCTTTTGGGGATCCAGCCAGTCACCACTTGGAACCAAGTACAAACAGGAAGAAGGACGAAGCTGCTGCTGCACAAATAAGTAATCTGACAACTCCCAAAAGCTACATTAAAATGATTTTTCTTTGGAGTTAAAAACCCTATTGGATGACCCATATCACTGCTCACTGCCTTCATTTATCCAGACATTGAGACCTATGGATCCAAGAAATAAATGCACATGGCTCATTGAAAGTATGGAATTAAGCAATTAATCCCTTGACCTAGACTCCCATCAGAGTGCCCTGTTCTGAAACCAGGCTGGGTTGGGTGGGCATCTGAAAGTTGCCTCCCTGTACCCTTCTGCCTGGATCCTTCACCCTCGACTGTTTCTGCCCTGAGAATGCTACAGTGTTGGAATCACACTGTGGTTCATGCTGTTCCCCCTCCTCACTCAACCCCTTCTCCAATGTTTTAAATCCTTATTATAGAGCCAACATTATGCTAGACCATTTATAAATACATTCTCACAATCTTCCCAACAGCTCTGTGAAGTAGCTGTCACCCCCATTTTTACAGCTAGAGAAATGAAGCCACCTAGTAATTTAGCCACCTTCTGATGGTTCTGTGGTAAGGACATGGTACTAATGATCTTTTCCCCATGGAATAATAGCTGTATGGGAGAAATATTGGAGAAGTGAGAAGATGGAAGATGCAGTGGCTTAAATTTTCCCTGTATAATAGTTGGCATTCCGGTGATAATCCATCTTAGTTGTTAGGACTAGTATATCTCTGTTTGAGGAGATGATTCAATGTTTTAACTAGTTACAAGACTAAAAACACACCTAAAGCAATAGGATTAAAATAATGCACTCTCTATGAGTAAGGCTTACCTTAGCACTTGAGAAAAGGGCCAGGTCAGCTTGCTTCTTGCTCTGAATTAATTTAAGCCTTAATATACACATACCCTTATTATAACATCTATCATATTTTGTTATAACTATTTGTTAGCTTGTCTATCTTCCCACCATACTGAGTGTCCTGAAGAGTGGGAGCATTTTGATTTATCTTTCTATCCCTGGTTCATCAGATACAGTCCATTAATTTTTTAGATGAATGCACAAATTAATGATTATGGGTTAAATAGGATATATGCAATTCCTTAGAGGTTCCCAAGTGACAGCCCTAGTTCTCAATGGGAGAACTTACCTTTAACAATGGGCAGCCCTAGTTAAAGACCCTCCATGTGCTATGAGTCAGAGGCCCTGCAATGGAGGAAGAAATCATCAGCAAAGGGGTTAACTTTAAGGCCAATTCCATCTATGAAATAAATCAAATCAGAAACAGACCAAAAGCCTGCAGCAGTGGGTATTTTAAACTTGCTCATTAATAATGGCTCAAAGTGGAGATTTATTACAGTTGAGAAGAGAGGAAGAGACAGTAAATCAGGATTGGTGAGGAAAAGAGCAAGGGAAAGATATGAGTTCTTATTTAAAATGTATTCATATGCTTTATAACCCCAAAGTAGAGATTGCTATATTGAAGTGGAAGGCTTTATCTGTAGGATTGAATTCACTAGAGATATGTTTTATGCCAGCGTTCATTTTCCCAACTTTCATTTGCTTTCCCTTGACCAAAAAGTAGGGGACTTAGTTTATTGCTTGAAAACGAGAAAAGATTGCTTTAGCTGAGTGTCTTCATGAAAATATTCCTTGCTTCAAAGAATGGCTTGTAAAGCACTAGTTCCTAGGAAAACACGATTTTATTGGCACATATTTTGAAGAGAATAATTTTAAAACATTCAATTAGTTCTGCCTTTGAAATAGAATTTAAACACACCAAAAGCAATAGGATTAAATTCACTTAAAAACCTATGTCCCCAACTGTTGCTTGGGAACCAATTCTTTTCCCATTCAAACTACTTCAAGGATAGTCGAGCTTGCTCTTGGCTGTGTTCCATCTGAGGCAGATACCTGCCTTTAATTAAAAAATCAGACCATGGTATTTCCCTGCTAAACTCTCAGTGGCTTTCTATTAACTTGGAGTAAAATGCAAACTCCTTAGTGTGGCCTGCAGAGCACTGAGCCATCTGTTCCTGGTCTACCCAGCCAGCCCCCATCTCATTTCGCTCTTCTCCTCATCTGGTCCATCAGGCTCAAGTCGACTGACTTCCTCTCTGTTCCTGAACACATCCAGCTCTTCTCTGCCAAGACTGCTCACTTTCGCTCTGCCTTGGACATCCTTTCTCCTGCCACTGTTTAGAAGCAACTTTCCCAGTCCTTCCAGAGTCTACCAGCTGACCCTTCCAGAGAGACCACCCTTGACCATGCTACCTAGGTTTTCTCTCCCATACATGCTTTAAGCTATGATCCATTACCGTCTTGTCTCTACAACATGCTTACCAAAAACTTTACACAGATAGACATATAGAAACTTGTTTATCTCCCATATTTCCCACTAGCCTGCAAGATTCATGAGAATAGGAACCATATCTCTCATTCATAATTGACTTCCCAGAACTGATGGCAGTGCCTGACACATAGTAGGTCCTCAGTAAAGATTTGTTGCATCAACTTTCAGTGCCAACCCTAATGCCTGGCACATCAGAGGCTGTCAGTAAATGCTTTTGAATTGAATTTATCTTGTTGCCATAGGACTTAGCAAATTCACATAAGCTGTATAAACTTATTCCAAGTGCCTAATATCCTGCCCACAGCAGCAAATTCTGCTGGCTTAGGACAAATGAATAA